>NC_000023.11:100587542-101212542 GCF_000001405.40 Homo sapiens
TTCCATTCCAGTGGGGAGTTATGATTCATTGTCTTTGATATTTAAGTCATGGCCTTCATAAGACCAGGTTTGGTTCATTGAAAACTAAGAAATCAGCTGGAAATGAGGATGCTTTACTTAGTCCACTACTACCTTCAGGTCCCAGACAAAGATCTCAAGAGACCATCTATGTTTCCAATGGGTACGCCTATCAACAAGCCTGCCTTAGAGCAGACTTAAGAATTCTGGGAAGAGACTAGCAGTCAGATTAGTCTTGGAAGAGTTGCATAGGAAAGGGACACAGGCATCTTACATAAATTAAAGACTCTCCCCTTAATGGTATGGCCTAGCAAGAAACAACAGCAGATTAAAATCCAGGCTCTTTGGGCTTTCCTTAACAAATCTATGAGACTTGTTGGGACTCTGTGGCCCTTGGTAGAGAGAGCTGTGCATGCAACTGTGCTTATTGGTGGCAGTGATTTGTTTGCAGTCCTGGGATTTCCTCCAAGCTCTTAGTGTTTGCTCTCCTAGCCTCCACCACGCCTCCTTTTTATTTTGTCTTTCAACATCTGTGTATAATAAACAGTATTTATTTAACATCCCACATCTGGTGTTGACATTTCCATGCCAATAAGTCCTTCTCCTCACTCCCGCTTTGGTGTGTACAAAAGATCCAGATTCCTGTATCCAAATTGAGAACAAGCCATGCTTGACCTCCTCCCCTCACATACCTCAGGTCTGCGTGCACACAGGTGTGCACACGCACAGACTCACACACACACAGACACACACACACACACACACAGACCAGAGAGAGAATGAAATCAAAATAAAGTGAAACAAGGACGACTAACTCTGGGTGAGCTGCTGCATTTTCTTACAGGTCCCAGGCCCCTGACCCACAGCCACATACAGGAGCCACCTGAGCTAAATGAAAGCCAGGTCCATCCAGCTCTGAATTCAGCTTTCTTAAACAAGCAGAAGAGACCTATTCAGTCCCAGCAATTTTGAGAAAGCATCGTAATGAGGCTCCCCTTCTAGGCAGTGACTGCCCTGGGATCATTGAAGCAGAATCACCAAAGAAACATTCTTGCTTAAAGCCCCCTGTATTACACATTTTACTGGAAACAGTCAGAAGCCAACTCCTCAGCTAATTAATCCAACATGAAGCAAACAAATCAGAAAAATCCTAGCCCTTAAACCAACAGTTTAGAAACTTAGCACAGACCTTGTAGCCCATCCCTGCCAATCCTTTGTGGAGCGAGGCAGAAGAATCATACATTTAATAAATGAAAGAGTGTCCTTACTGCCTTACATAGGAGCTGCCTGGTGACTTTAGGGTTGTTTGAAAGCCATCAGGACCACAGTAATCAATAGATTCGTGAGGATGTTCCTTCAACTTCTATATATTACCAGAGCAATGAGGAGTGGTAGGGATAAGCGGGCACTTTTCTGCCCTCCTGCCACACCTCAGTTGCAGGTGATCACTAAAACAGTCTCCCCCAGCGTTGTGAGTCCACTATCATTCTAGGTTGAAAATCCTTTGCTCAGAAGAAGCACTTTCTTGACGAGTCTGATTGCAACATTTTGTGCGTGCCTATTTCTTGGCACGCACAATTGGGCATTAGCCCAATATTAACTTTTTTCGCTCCTCTCTAGGCACACAAGGAAGACAACTTTTTTCTCCAGGTCCCCTGGGCTTTCCTACACCACAGTCCGGTGGGTGAAATGTGGGTCTAGAGAAACATTAATATACCCTCAAGGAAAAAGTTGAAGGAGTAGCCGGAATATTTTTGGCAGGGAGACTGAGCTTTACCAGATGGTGCCATGTTGGCATTTTCAAAAAAAAAAAAAAAAAAAAGACCTCTCTTCATTTTCCTCTTAAAGCATTGTGAGACCCAGGTCCACCCTTGTACAACTCTCACTGGGCCAGCTCTTATTCTGGGCTACTCAAGGGCAGCTCCCAGCAATTATGTGGAGCCAGGCTGTGGCTGTGATGGGCATGTTCTTCTTAGTCAGTCTCTTCATTCTCCTAAGGCAGCATTTGCTGAACAACTTATATGACACCAGGATGAAGAGCCTGGGCCTTCAAAGACAGCTGTTCTGGAGTGGTTGAGAGTGGAATTGGGGCTGTGGAGGAAGTAGCCTGGATGATCAACAGATAGTGGCAGTAGGCGTAGTCCAGTGATCAACCTGACAGGTTGATCTGAGCAAATCTCAGCAGACTTTGCTAACTATCTAACATTACAGATGAAAAGGGGTAAAGGATTAAAATAGGAACTGAGTCCCTAGAGACACTCAGTGATTTGCCCAAAATCACACAGCTTGTAAGTGGTGGGGTTAAGGTTAGAACTAGAGGCTAGTCTGAAGATTCTTTCCACTATTCTTCAGCTGCATTTAAGAATCAGGGATGGGGATAATGGGTAGGAGAAAAACTTACTGGTCAGCTCAAGTCTGTAGATAAAAGAAGTAGCTTTTTCTTGTTGAAAAAGAATGTCTGTGCTGCTTATGCCAATATTTTGCATATTGCCAAATGGTGATTGAAGATGCAGAACTCTAACTTTGCATAAGGAACAATCTGTCTGCTCTGTGTTGGTAAAGAAATACCCAGAGGCCCTTTAATTCCCCCAAGTTAGGTTAATAATAATATGGTACAGTGCATTCTCTTCCCTTCCTTCCAGCCTAACACCTGCTAGCCAGCTATTCTGAGCATGTATTTCACCTTTGGAGAGTGTACCTCATAACAGACAGTAAGGGATGAAGATGGAGTGAAGAGCAGCTAGATTAATCACAGGCTTCAAAAAACAAACCTAAGCCAAATGTCCTCAAATCCCTGTCAGGACAGGCTAAAGCTTCTTGCCCCTAAAACAGATCCATCACACTGAGGTCTGAGATAGCTTTACCTTTTCTAAATAGCTTTCTTTTCTGATCTCAGGGACTGCCACAGAGGCAAGAAAACAAGGAAAACTGTGAAAGAGGGATGTTAGGGCTCATTTGCTGCCTGAATGGAGGATTTAACTGGACTGAAGACAGAATTCCTGGGCAGGGAAGAAAAATGGGTTGTGTCCTCTACATATTTTGTCAGTGTGGTCTTCTTACACTTCTCACTGCCTGGACTTAACCACATATCTGTCTCATTTCACTTCTGATTCCTATTCCACTCCATTGGCTTCCTTGTTCCATTCCAGTGTTCTGGTTCTTATAGTTAAGGCCAGCCTTATGTGTGGGTGGAGTAAGAGCCCATTTGAGTGGTGCTGGAAAGATGCCCTTGCCCCCAAATATCTCCCATTCCTCGTGCCACTGTGCCTATTAGATTGGTGCAAAAGTAACTGTGGTTTTAGCCATTGAAAGTAATGGCAAAGTAATAAAGTAATAAAATCCACTATTAGTACTTCATTCCTCTGAGTGAAGTATTGCACTCAAATTTTTAAACAGACAAATATTCATCACTAATATCTAAGTGTGAAATCATGGGTCAGATTGATTTCTTCTTTGTCATAAGGTACCTGAAGCACCACGAGATTCCTAGATGTCTAGACAGGAGACAAAGGGACAGAAATGGGAAGAGAAAGGGGAAGGGCTATGAGGGTATAGAATGAACAGAATATGAAAATAGAGCAGAAAAGGAAAGCTAGAAGCACCAAAAATTAACTCTCTCTATTTTCCAATTGGGCAGGGGTGTACTCCTCATCATATTCTGTCCTTGCTCTATCCTCCCTGGAATAAAGCTGAGTTGGAGGCAGCTGAGATGAGCTACTTGTAGCCCACTCACACCTCTCTTCAGGCCAGTCATCCTGTCTCTGCTTTAGCTTGCTCCTGGAGAGGACAAAGCCATTTATTCTTTCATCTCCAGAAAGACCTTCAACCCCTGAGCCAGGAAGCTTAGTAGAGAGCAAAGTACTTGTGATGCCAAAGGCATGAGCTCAGTCTTCATACGGGCCAGTGAAGCTTGCATAGCCATTACCCAAGCAATGTGCTCCACAGGGACCCAGGCGAGACAGTGTGTCTGGATTTGCTCATACCCATCTCCAAACAGTCCAAAGTGGGCCACCAGCATCATCTTCCTAGACGAAGAACAGTCTGTTCCAAAAGGACACCTTTGATAGTGGAATTCTGTCTGGGTGAATATATAGCTCCCCACTCCTACCCCCTACCAAGGATTCACACATAAACGAAGTCATTCTGTTCCCACTCTAGTAACTTATCATTACTAACATAAAGCCAACAAGTTGGTTAATGAACACAATCAGAATGGACCCCTTCTCCCCTACCAAAAAAACTCTTTGCAGGAATGTTGAAAATAATCAAGATCTGCTGAGCTTGGCAGTTTCCAATAGTTTTCATCTAGCAAGGTGTCCAAGTAAAGTGCATTGCCAACAGTGCAGGAAAACTCATTCCACAGAAGCACACTGAAATTCTAAATGTCACCAGTAGGTTCCATAGTCTTCTACCAGTGATTGAAAATACAGCCTGTATTTTCTCTTTCGCCCAGGTAGGCAGTGTTCCAGCATCCCCTAGTCTCTAACCTCATTTTTCCATACAATAATCCATCAGTGGTGCTACTGATGAAATAAACACCCCACCGCAGCCCCCAATGGCTAGTGGCATCAACATTTGTCTCAAAAATGGATAGTATTTCTAACAAAATTCCCCCGTTGGGAGAGCTGACAGGACTGGATCTGAAGTGGATGCCTCTCTTTTCTACTTAGGTCAGACAGACTGAGAGCTCAATTTGTTGCCACAGGTAGAAGTTTCTCTTCTCAAGCTGGCTGCAGAGCTGGAACTGAGGACATATTTATTGCTAGAAGCAAATAACAAACCTAAAGGAATTTGCTACCTATCACAAACCAGGCCAGACTTCCTGAGTTAACTCTGCAGTTGCCAGAGAGTTCTAAGTATTGTTTTTCTTTCACTTTTAAAATGGTTTTTTTAAAAGACCTTGCCAATACTCAAAAATGTCTCTTTAGGAAGATAAGGATGTGCCATTGGTGGGGACAACTTATTCAACAAATACTTAGGTTCCAACCATGTCCAAAGCACTGTAGGGCTACCAAGAGGTAAATGACATTGTCTCTTGTTTTTCTCTTCAGCAGCTACATTAGACTTGTCACCCTTGAAGTAACACTTGCTTCTACAAATGGTTCCAATTTGTTTTTCTCTAGTTGAGTTGGTGAATATTTCACCAGGTTAAACTAACATTCAGTCAATGGCATCAGCAGAGACTAAAAAATGACCCAACCTGGTGTAAGTTCTCTATAAGGCTGCCACTGGGAACCGTATCATTAGAAAGCAATGTGGGCTCTGAAGAAGACTTGCTTTTTCAGGCTTTTAGTTTCCCAGATTTTTTTCATAAGGAAAAATGAACATGGAGAAACTCGATAAACAAAGGTCTCCTAATGACAGAGATAAGATAGACTTCCAAAAGGCATCATCAGGTCTGGCCTGGTTTGTGACAGATAACAAATTCCTTTATGCTTATTTGCTTCTACCTATAAATATGTCCTAAAACTATAAGTTATGGGCTTACTCCTAAACTGCAGTGCCATATGGGACTGGTCCTCTTGGTCTTTAGAAATACAATTGCCTCTTTTAGAGTGCAGGAGAAAATCTGGGGTTTTGTTTTAGCCACTCAAGAAAGACCTGATGAGCAGTCTTTCTTCTTGGGAGGCTCCATGTTACTTAATGCAGGACACTTGGCTCAGTTGGCTTAATTCCATATACACAAAAGAATCCGTAGAACTTGAAAACAACTGAATATGGCTTGGGAAACAGAACCCAGGAATAAACTGGGTGGGGTTGGTTGCCGTATAAAGAGAAGGCTAAGGGAAGGCAATAAATGTTTCCTGGAGTTTAAGGGGCAAAAGGAAGCAAACAGAGCAGGGTAGGGCTCTAATATTGGCAAGGAGAAAGTCTTCAGATTCTAAAAGGAATAGACTCAAGGCTGTTGTGGCAATATTAAAGCCCTGGATAAATAAGGAGACAAAAAACACTTAACCATTTTAAGTGTATTCAAATCTCTTTCTAAGCCCTAATGAATTTCACGGGTGAGGGGCGGGGCAGTAAGGGGGGGGTCGTGATTACTTAGCACTTGGAAAGGGAAGTGGTAGCTTAAAGAAGCAGCATAGGTTTTAGGTGATCCCTCAGCTTAACACAAGGGGAAAATACTTTATAGGCTGGTTTGCAAACTATCATTTGCTGTTTAGTCAAGGCTGCCAAGAAAACTGTTGGAATTCTTAGTAATTAGCTCAGCAGCTTGGCTTGAATTCAAAATACCAGCTCTGAAGGGATCCCCATATCAGCTCCAGCGCCAAAAAGCACCTCACTTTAGGGACACACTGAGTATCTTAGAGATTGTTTTCCTCTGTTCTCCCAGGCCTATGACATGGAGCACACTTTCTACAGCAATGGAGAGAAGAAGAAGATTTACATGGAAATTGATCCTGTGACCAGAACTGAAATATTCAGAAGCGGAAATGGCACTGATGAAACATTGGAAGTGCACGACTTTAAAAACGTAAGTTGGATGTTTTCCTCCTAAGGCTTTCCACTTAAAATATTAGAGCAGTTGAGTCAAGTTAAAAATAGCCTCCATCTAAAATTTGAATTCAAATGGAAAGCTAGCCTCCTCTAGCTTTCCATTTGAATTCAAATTTTGCTAGTCTGGGACCCCAACAGATCATGGAACTTACTAATAGTGGCTCTTTTGGGAAGCTTTATTGTTGTTTTGTCTGTTTTATAGGGATACACTGGCATCTACTTCGTGGGTCTTCAAAAATGTTTTATCAAAACTCAGATTAAAGTGATTCCTGAATTTTCTGAACCAGAAGAGGAAATAGATGAGGTATGTAAGAAGAATAATTGTGGTGGCAAAAGACATCATTTATTGGATGCTAGCTATGTGCCAAACATTGTACTAAATGCTTTACTTTTCTTTGATTCTCCAACAACCTTATAAATAGATACTATTGTTATCATCATTTTCAGATCAGGAAACTAGAACTCAGAGCCAAAAAGTGACTTGCTCAAGGCCACACAGCTAGTGAGTAGCAGATTGGGGTCTTGAACTTAGGCCTTTCAGAAAACTCAAGTGCATAATTTTAGGTGCAATGCTATACTCTTATACCCGGGCACCCATTAACATTATGTTGATTTTCTCTGAAACCAAAGATTTCTAGTAAGAGGGATGAGCCAGAGAAACAAAATCAATCTTGCCTCAGATAAAGCGTTTTTAAAAAAGAAAGTTCCAAAGCCACCTGGGGTTCTTGCCACTTTTGTCACACTTCAGTATTCACCTATTTTAAAGATTGTGGTTCATTCACCTTACCATTTTATGCTGGGCTGCTAATGGAATAATTCACATTTAACCTCAGTAGGAAAGGCAAAAGCAAAGAAGGTGAACACTGCAATGGGATACAAATTCTCTGAAAACACCCTGCTAGACCAAAGTAAGGCAACCTAGGGTGCTGGTGAAATCACTGAATGGCCCTTTAAAACCTAATGGGAGATGGATGTTATTGCCTAAAATACAACGATCTGTAAGGCCCTTGAGGCTCTTTATTGTTCCCTGATATTTTGTCTATAATTACAGTATGGTTTTATTAGTGGGAGGAGAAGGGGGACCTCAGTTAAGGTCATATTGTGACAGCATATCCCCACTATAGCAAGAAAAAACAAACATTGGTTTGGTTTGGTTTAGTGCTTAGTTGCCAAATCTAAAGTGGAATTATGGCAATGGCAGAATGATCTTTCTTCTTCTTCTTCTTCTTCTTTGTATTTTTAGTAGAGACGGGGTTTCACCATAGCCAGGATGGTCTCAATCTCCTGACCTCATGATCCGCCCGCCTAGGCCTCTCAAAGTGCTGGGATTACAGGCATCAGCCACCGCGCCCAGCCATGGCAGAGTGATCTTTCTATAAACTATAAAAACCTCTTTCTTTCTTTCTTTCTTTCTTCTCTCTCTCCCTGTTCTTTTTCACTTTTCTCCCACCCAGCTCCCTCCATCTTGATTCTCACCAACCCATTTATCTTTTCCTTTACCTTTTTCTTTACCTTTTTCTTTATTTGGGGGCGGTGGGTGGGGAGGACTATTTTTCTTTCCCTTACCCAAGTCTTAGAGCTGTCATTGGCTCCCACTTTACTCTTTCATGCTACTGGTCTCCTCGGGGCCAGAGGAGTTACAGACCCTTGTTACTAGAATTTGCAAGAAAAAAAAGAACGTTCTCCCAAAGATGATGCTCTGCTCCCAAGGTCTACGGTAGTGACAAAGTTTGGAGACTTTTTTTAAAGTAAGCATAAGTTAGATGCATCTGAGGAATAGATCGACGTTCAGGATATTAGGAATGACTATAGAAGGCAAAGGTAAGATAAAAGGAAAATCAATAGGATTAAAAAGCTACTATACACAATAACATATGCTGATTACATACAGAAAATAATGTAAGCATTTGAGTAGGCCACTCAGCAATGAGAACCTGAAGTGATATAATAGGATTTATTTTTTTGAAAGATTAAGGCAAAGGAGGCGGGGCACGGTGGCTCACGCCTATAATCCCAGCCCTTTGGGAGGCCGAAGAGGGGGATCACTGGAGGTCAGGAGTTCGAGACCACTCTGGCCAACATGGTGAAAACCCATCTCTACTAAAACAAAACAAAACAAAACAAAATTAGCCGGGCATGGTGGCGTGTGCCTGTAATCCCAGCTACTGAAGAGGATGAGGTGGGAGGATCACTTGAACCCGGGAGGTGGAGGTTTCAGTAAGCCGAGTTTGCGCCACTGCACTCCAGCCTGGGTGACAGAGCGGGACTCAGTGTCAAAAAATAAATAAATAAACAAAAAATAAAGGCAAAGGCTCATAATGTCTCATTTTGGCCCTAATTTAGTCTTCAGTTAATTTCACCAAATATTTTAAATAACGCAAATTCATTTCATGATAGTAAGAACACTGTACCTTCAAGTAAATCTTGTTTTTTATATTCACGCCACAGATTTTTTTTTAATGAGACAAATTTGTGGTCCTGAATGACAAAAACCTTCTTCTGTAATTCCCTCCACACTGTATCCATGGCATGTGTATTTTAAACATGCAGAGCAGGTATATAAATAGCCCTGATTTTGCTAACAAAGCTAGTCAGCATACCAACCTCATTTTATACAATTCCTTTCAATGCATCTCAAGGTCGTTACAGACTCAAGGACAAAGGTGCTAAGACTTTAGAATTGTAAATGATTCCGGGAGAAATTAGTAAGAACTAGGTATACAACACAATTACCTCAATACTAGAAACTGAAGAGAAAGTGGCATCCTTCACAATATAAAAAAAGCTGCTTAAAGGAAAAACACTCTGTGAGATAAACTCTAAGCATTTACAATGAAAGGAATGCAATAGTAGGAAGGCCAGTGAAGTCATAAACTGGAGACTTGCCTTTAAAACATAAAAGGAAATCTTTTGTACTATAACTAGCTACCATCAACAGGCAAATCTTGTAAAACCAAAATATTAGATTACATTGTTATTGAATTGATCTCACCAGTTTGGATTATAGGAGTTTTGTCAGCTTCGGGTCAAATCCTGCTTGCCACCCAAGATGCAAACCTAAAATAAGGCAGGCTAATAAAATGTATTTATAAAAAAGAAAACAAATGTAAATCACTTAGGGTTCCAGAAGCTCAAGTTAAAACATACACAGACCCAGGGCACCCTGAAAATAACGAAGCCCCTTTCTGACTTTGAGTGAAATGGTAACAGAGAAGGCTCCTACTTTAGTAAGCAGTCTTGCTGTTAGACCCAGGAAGGAGGAAGGATCAGTTGTTAACTCCCCCAAGGGCACCCACTGAATGCAAGGCACAGAGCTAGTTCACCAGCAGCCCTAGGATTAAAATTGTTACACTCAAAATATATTGCTTTCCAGCATCCCATAATGTCTCACTTGTTCTACTAATTTCTCTGCCAATCCCTACCCTAAGCTACTTTCTTCTTTCAGAATGAAGAAATTACCACAACTTTCTTTGAACAGTCAGTGATTTGGGTCCCAGCAGAAAAGCCTATTGAAAACCGAGATTTTCTTAAAAATTCCAAAATTCTGGAGATTTGTGATAACGTGACCATGTATTGGATCAATCCCACTCTAATATCAGGTATGACATTCTTATCCTCATCCTCCTCCTATTTTCTAAGACAGTAACAGGTTAATGTTCCCAGCATTTAGAGGCTACATTTCTAGGAAAACAAATGATCGGTTTATATCTTCTTGGATGAGTCTATATATGCTGACTGCCAGTGAGGAGGGAATTTTTCACAGCCAAGTTATAAATCAGATAAATTAATGTTGACAGGCTTTTAAATATCCCAGCAAAGGTAACACCACCCTAATGTGACTAGTGATAGCAAAAAACTAATCTGTCTCTCTTTGCACATCTATATTCATTGCAGTCGGTATGCCAGACTATTGCTCAAACCACTGTGGGTCCAACCCAAGAATAGAGGAGAGAAGGGCAAAAACAATGCTCTGCTATCAAGAAGGATTCCCTATGTCAAATGGTGGCATTTTCCTTAGAAGATAGGACAATCACTGCAATACAAATTTCTTTGTTGCTGTTTTAGGAATTACTATAAAAATAGTTGAGGGCTTGATGTCCAGAGTAGAAGAGTCCAGCCCTCAACTTCCAGTCAGCCCATAGAGAAGGTAAAGGCCCCTGGATGTCTTAGTCTGTTTAGCTAACATGGAATTTGGCCTCCCTCATTCTGCACAGCATAGATTACTCTATTACCCAAGAGAGGTTATTCTCACCAATGTAAGCATCTGTGGGTACTCTTTAGAGATATTAAAAAGGTGACTAAATGCAGTGTGGTATCCTGGACTGGATGCTGGAACAGAAAAAAACATTAGTAGAAATACTAATGAAATCTGAATAAAGTCTGTAGTTTAGTTAATAACATTGTACCAATTCTAACTTCTGATTTTTGATCATTGTACCATGGTTATGTGAGGTAACATTAGGGGAAACCGGGTGAAGAATATGTGAACTCTGTACTATTTCTGCAACTCTTCCATAAATCTAAGATTATTTCTAAACAGAAAGTTTAAAAAAAATTTAAGACAAGAAACATAAGGGAAGTGGGAGGACAGAGGATGTCAAATCAATTCAGGCAACCAAGAAATATTTATTGAGCATCTACATGGGTAAAATCATCATTGTAGGAGATACAGAAGTCCCTTGTCCTCAGTTTTTAATTTAGTGTGCTATTAAGTCAAAGCAGTAAATGTTTGATGCCAAAGAAGCAAAGAAGTTTGTGTATGTAGAAATGATCAGGCTTGTTTTGGAAACTACTCTAAAATATCAGCTGAAGGAGCTTGGAAAAGTGGTCCATGCCTAAATGATGCCAGTTAGAAGACACAATGAAAATCTCTATCCCCAGCTGCTATTCTCCCAAGCACTTCTTTCAGGAACATTTGCAAAGCAGTTGCATCACAACTTTGCATTTATTATCTTAGTTTCTGAGTTACAAGACTTTGAGGAGGAGGGAGAAGATCTTCACTTTCCTGCCAACGAAAAAAAAGGGATTGAACAAAATGAACAGTGGGTGGTCCCTCAAGTGAAAGTAGAGAAGACCCGTCACGCCAGACAAGCAAGTGAGGAAGAACTTCCAATAAATGACTATGTGAGTTATGTTTATGTAAACTCTTGATAGAGGAGGAAAAAAGAGCCCTCACAAAACTTACTACCCCTCAGATCACAATCATTGGAAGGAGAACGATCATGGCTTTAACAAAAAAAAAAAAATGTTTAAGAAACTTGGAATCTCCAGGAGGCTCATTCAAAATCAATCTCGATCTCTGTAGATATATCTCCATGATCAGGCTAAGGAGCTTAATTTCTCACAAGCCCCCAACTCATACAGTCTTCTAGTTCTCCCCTGCTTGGTGAGAACTCTTGCTAGTGAACCTTCCTCTCCCACCCCCAACACTGGCTTCTTCTTCTTTCAGACTGAAAATGGAATAGAATTTGATCCCATGCTGGATGAGAGAGGTTATTGTTGTATTTACTGCCGTCGAGGCAACCGCTATTGCCGCCGCGTCTGTGAACCTTTACTAGGCTACTACCCATATCCATACTGCTACCAAGGAGGACGAGTCATCTGTCGTGTCATCATGCCTTGTAACTGGTGGGTGGCCCGCATGCTGGGGAGGGTCTAATAGGAGGTTTGAGCTCAAATGCTTAAACTGCTGGCAACATATAATAAATGCATGCTATTCAATGAATTTCTGCCTATGAGGCATCTGGCCCCTGGTAGCCAGCTCTCCAGAATTACTTGTAGGTAATTCCTCTCTTCATGTTCTAATAAACTTCTACATTATCACCAACAGCCTGATTGCTGCTGAACACACTGGGTAAGTGTTTGCTGAGAATATTCACAGCAACTGAAATGGAGCAGACCCGTCAAACATAGATGACTATGCTGAGGCTCAGAAAACAATGCCCCAAAATGAAAGCCTCAGAAGCAAAAGTTTTTCTCTGACCTTCTCCTACCTGCCAGTCTCTCAGTCCCATTCTCCCCCGAGGCTAGCCATAAAAGCTAGAATCCCTCTTCCTCAAGGCGTGTCATATAAATCAAAACCCCTTTTTTCCAAAGCCAGCCTTAAACCTAAAAATATCACTCTGATTTTTCCTCTGCTTTTCTGTGTAAAAGCTGGCCATAAGGAAATTATCTGACCTACCTTGTTTGACTGTAGGTCATAAGACTCCCTTTCCAGAGAGGATCCAACACAACAGGTTTGGAAGTAGAAAAGGGCAAAGCATAATGATACCTAAATATCATATTTTACTCTGCTGTATTAAGACAGTGGAAATAAGGAGCTGATGATAAAATGTCTCCATAACTGATGCATTAAAAACATATCCTTTTGTGCATAGCCCCAGTGTTTAATTATATGAAAGATATATTGTGAACTTCCTTAAGTATCAATTAAGCTGCTGGACAGGCAGTGAGTCATAGCAGGCCAACACTAAAATATTCCAAATGTGCAGACTCAGCAAAGGAGAAAGCTAAACTAGCAAAAAGGGTCTCAGGCTCTCCTCCTATAAACAGGAACTCAACTTAGGACAAATTCAACATTCCATAGCCTTCACATCTGGCTCCTCTTTATATCAGTGTTTGATTAGATACCTTTCCAAGGCAATTGTCTAAAAAACAAGAACCCATAAATACCATTCACAGAAACAGGCATCATAGGAAATTATTGAGATGAGGAATCAAATGGGATTTTCCCTCCCAAATCACAGGGAGCTAGCAGTATACCAGTTTCTGAAAGAAAAGGTAAGGGCATACTTCCCAATCACTCCATACTTTGCTTGGGAAAGGAAAAGAGGGCAAAGGGGAAAGAGAAAGAAGTGGTTAAAGGGTAACGTTAACCTTGATGTCCCAGACAGTTTCAGTTTCAAAATTCATGCTCTACCAATCTGTCACCCCTTCTAGTTTCATTTGAAGGTAGCATATACTTCATTGCTCAACTTCAAAGTTATTGTGTCATGAAAATGTCTGTCTGGAACTTTCTATCAGAAAAATATTTTCAAATAAATTCTTCACCAAGATGCCTGTGGGCCAGCAGTCATTTTCTCCCATTTAAGAGTTGAGGAAATCCATAGAAAATGGCTTTGCCCAAGGTTGAGTTGTGATTAGCCAGTCATTAATTGGTAATTAGCATATATGCCATACTTAGATTACCAATTTTCACAGAAAGAGAGCACAATAAAATATATCTAACAATGCACATTACTGAAAATATTTTTAATTGATGATTTAGAAGACATCTGATTGTTTTAGAGTACTTCGATTATCATAACAAGCATTAATTTATAGTTGAAATAGAAAAACGTCAAAGATAGGAAATTACTTTGAGGTTATATGAACTTTATGATGTTTCTATCATTGTTTTTTAATAAGACTACTCATTTTTAACATTGCTTTTTTAGATCAGCCAATAATTTTATTATATTTAATTTTTTCTATTTTTTATTTATTTTTCCATAGGTTATTGGGGTACAGGAGGTATTTGGTTACATGAGTAAGTTATTTAGTGATGATTTGTGAGATTTTGGTGCACCCATCACCCAAGCAGTATACACTGAACCCTATTTGTGGTCTTTTATCCCTCGGCCCCCCACCCCACCATTTCTCCCAAGTCACCAAAGTCCATTCTGTATTTTTTTTTTTTTTTGAGACGGAGTCTTCCTTTGTCGCCCAGGCTGGAGTGCAGTGGTGCGATCTCTGCTCACTGCAAGCTCCGCCTCCCGAGTTCACGCCATTCTCCTGCCTCAGCCTCCCGAGTAGCTGCGACTACAGGTGCCTGCCACCACGCCCGGCTAATTTTTTTTTTTTTTTTTTGTATTTTTAGTAGAGACAGGGTTTCACCGTCTTAGTCAGGATCGTCTCGATCTCCTGACCTCAGGTGATCCACCCGCCTCGGCCTCTCAAAGTGCTGGGATTACAGGAGTGAGCCACCGCGCCTGGCCCATTGTATCATTCTTATGCCTTTGCGTCCTCATAGCTTAGCTTCCACGTATCTGTGAGAACATGCAATGTTTGGTTTTCCATTCTTGAGTTACTTCACTTAGAATAATAGTCTCCAGCCGGGCACGGTGGCTAAGCCTGTAATGACAGCACTTTTGGGAGGCCAAGGTGGGCGGATCACGAGGTCAGGAGATCAAGACCATCCTGGCTAACACGGTGAAACCCCGTCTCTACTAAAAATACAAAAAAATTAGCCAGGTGTGGTGGCAGGCGCCTGTAGACCCAGCCACTCAGGAGGCTGAGGCAGGAGAATGGCATGAACCCGGGAGGCGGAGCTTGCACTGAGCCGAGATCGCACCACTGCACTCCAGCCTGGGCGACAGAGCAAGACTCTGTCTCAAAAAAAAAAAAGAAAGAATAATAGTCTCCAATCTCATCCATGTTACTGCAAATGCCATTAATTCGTTCCTTTTTATGACTGAGTAGTATTCCATCATACATATGTGTGTGTATATATATGCGTATATATGTATATATGTGTATATATGTATATGTGTATATGTATGTATATATTATATATGTATGTGTGTATATATATCCGTGTATATATGTGTGTATACGTATGTGTGTCTATATATGTGCATATATATATGTGTGTGTGTGTATGTGTGTGTGTGTGTGTGTATATATATATATATATATATATATATATAAAAAACAGTTTCTTTATCCACTGGTTGATTAATGGGCATTTGGGTTGGTTCCATGATTTTGCAATTGTGAAGTGTGCTGCTATAAATATGCGTGTGCAAGTATCTCTTTCGTATAATGACTTCTTTTCCTCTGGGTAGATACCCAGTAGTGGGATTGCTGGATCAAATAGTAGTTCCACTTTTAGTTCTTTAAGGAATCTCCACACTCTTTTCCATAGTAGCTGTACTAGTTTACTTTCCCACCAGCAGTGTAGAAGTGTTCCCTGATCACCACATCCATGCCAACATCTACTGTTTTTTGATGTTTTGATTACTGCCATACTTGCAGGAGTAAGGTAGTATCGCATTGTGGTTTTGATTTGCATTTCCCTGTAGATCAGCCAATAATTTTAAATTCCTGAGACACTCAAATTTATGCAGTCTATAGTATACTATATATACCATGCTCTATGAGGGATATAAATGAAGTAGAAAATATACTCCCTATTTCCAAAGAAAGATGAGACACCCAAAATACATAAGCCCTAACATAGGAACTTATACACAACTCACTACAGTTGTATATGCTGTGTGCATGTGTGCGTGCGCTCACACACACACAGACACACACTCTAAGAGGTATAGACAATTTCGTATCACATTTTAGGACTCAGAGTTCCTACTCACATTCTTTTAATTCAGGAAGCATTTCTTGCTCAAATGAGATACCTCAACCTCCAAATAATTTCACAGTGGGAAATTGTGATCCTCTTAATGAGCCAGAATGAGTTAAAAAAAAAAAAAAATACAAGGGCATGCTTAAAGAAATATTCAAGGCTGGGCACGGTGGCTCACGCCTGTAATCCCAGCACTTTGGGGGGCCAAGGCAGGCGGATCACAAGGTCAGGAGTTTGAGACCAGCCTGGCCAATATGGTGAAACCCTGTCTCTACTGAAAATACAAAAAGAATTAGCCGGGCGTGGTGGCACATGCCTGTAATCCCAGCTACTCAGGAGGCTGAGGCAGGAGAGTCGCTTTAACCCGGGAGGCGGAGGTTGCAGTGAGCCGAGATGGCGCCACTGCATTCCAGCCCAGGTAACAGAGCAAAAAAAAAAAAAGAAAAAGAAAGAAAGAAGAAGAAGAACAAGAGGAGGAGGAGGAAGGATTCAAATTATCACATGCTTAGAAGAGGGGGTGCGGGGAGAAGGGAACAGCACAGCAAATAAACAAATCCAAACACACTCGTCTGTCACTTCAATTTAGGCCCAGGCTAGGTTGAAAAGGAAAAAGTATAATACCTCTCTCATCACAAATTTTTACCCCTCATGTGAATCCTGTGTAGAGATTCCTTATTTCGTGCCTTACACTTCCCTCACATCGACCCCACTGAGGCTAGAGCTGCCACTCTTCCCTACACCCTTCCCTAAGCCCAGCCTCCTCAAAGAGCAACATCAAAGTAACTCTGACGTCCCAAGCCAGAGACCTTGCAGTAATTATAATGTATCCCTGTCACCCACTCCAGCTCTTTTGTTGCCAAATCTTTTCTCTTCTAAACCTTCCCCACCGGATTATTTCTTAGATCATTTGTTACAACTTCCTCCCTGCTGAAGTTCCCAGGTTGGAGATGGAAACTAACATAAAATGCTTATAGACAAAGTTTGTTTTTCACTCACAGATTTCATTAATGCCATTTCCTTTCCTGAGAGTCTACAATAGCTACTTACTTACTACATTAAGGATCAGGCCTAAGTCGCATTCAAAACATCCTGATTCAAACCACCTTAAACTACCACCTTGTATCTCTTTTCTCCTCCCACTACCCTACCTACCACTCTTGCTTTTCTCAGGCATTTTAGTTTCATGCTCTGTTTGTCCAGTCATCCCATCTCCTTTACAGACTTGTCTCTCACTGATTTGAAGACATTTTTCAAATCCCATTTTCCTCTTGCCCAAACATGGAATCTAAATTCTCTCTACTTCATTCTATGCCTGTATAAATTAATACTGTCGTTCCTTGGTATTTGTGGGGGATTGGCTCCAAGACCTCCATGGATACCAAAGTCCTCGAATGCTCAAGTCCCTGATATAATATGAAGTAGTATTTGTATATAACCTACACACATCCTTATTTATACTTTAAGTCATCTCTAGATTACTATTTATAATACCTAACACAATGTAAATGCTATGCAAATAGTTGTTATATTGTATTTTTTTATTTGTATTATTTCTTATTGTTGTATTATTTTTTGCAGTGGTTTTTCCATATGCTTTTTATCCACGGATATGGAGAGCTGACTGTATATCACTCAATGCACACACTCATTACACATGATTTTAACGTGTTAAGTTCTAAAAGAAAATGGCCCATATCCTCTCCCATTTTGCTCTGTCTAGAACCTGGCACCGTATCTAAAGCATATATGTGGCCTTTAGATGTTGTGTGTGTGTGTGTGTTTTAACTGAGGCCAATGAGAAAGAAGACGGGGAAGAAGACAGAAGAAAAAGAAGAGGCTGTAAAAGAGCACAGTTACAAAGCCCAGTCAGAATATTATTACAAAAAGTTGGCCTTGAGTTCTGTTCAAATTTAGGATACAAGTTCTCATTTTACTTAAATTCATTTTTTTATTCCTCATCTTTTGACACAGTTGAATTCCATAAGTGTAAGGAATTCCTCTAATCCCAGAATGATCAAAAGCATAGATGATTGTCCACAGCTCGATTATTTCCATTATATGAATGCAGACATTTGGCATTTTCATCTCAATTTTCAATGATTCTATGCATAAAAAAGAAAAAATGCCAAAAAGCACATCTGCCATGAAATCACAAGAAATACCATATTACCTTTCAGATTCTTTGGGGATCTAAATTCCAATCAAGAAAAGTCAGGTAAGGCAAAGCCATCCATTGCTCCCACTCAGCATAAGGATACTATGCATTAGTGTGCTCAGCACCTTCCTGCACACCTAAAATGGCTCTTTGGCAGGAATAGGGGCAAGGGAAATCTATTTTGAGTCTTTATATATAAGGCTCACTGTCTGGCTGAGTCCAAAACTGTCACTTTGGCTCCTAGAGTCTAACGCTGAAAGCTTACTGAGATAAATATGGACCTTCTCATTCAGGCTGTCAGGAAATGCGTGGATCTATTTTATTTATACCCTTAAAAATGATTTCATTTTGGCTTTCCTTCTTTGAAGAAGTTTAATTCTGGGGCTTAATTTTGCTGACAGAATGCTGTTCCCTAACAAGAAAGAAAAGTATTTCCATATTAAAAAACAGGTATAAATGTATACACAAAAAATACTGTCCCTGGCATTCCAAAGTCCTGCTCCTAAGTCTCCTCTACTATCTTTAATCAATTTGCATGAAAGCTCCTTACCCAATGACTACATCGATCATTTATTTAGATCAATATTCAGTTCTGGCATTTGTAACCCAATGACTGGATAGTCACTTGTCTACTTACTGTTTTGAGATTGGCATTCCATTGTCTATCTTCTCTTCCATTCTCTTAACTTCACACTCAGGCCTATCGTCCTTGCTAAAGGGGGTTCAGAAAGAGAGAGGCAGAATGAACCAAAGGAAATAGAGCAAGCCACAATAAATTCCTCAACCAAAACAAACTAACAACAACAAAAAAACCCAGCATCTCCATAGTCCTGAGATGACCTCTGCCTGACAGTGATATTAATATATTGTTTATATTTATCCTTCTCTGCTGATGCTATCATTTGCCATTCTGAATGTTCCACTGACAGCAGTAATTCTACTGGTCTTATGGAGATGTTGCTTTCTAAAACACAATTCAGGCTCACACTCATATCAGTCACCAGTGAGCCAAAAGCAAGACACCTGCCAAGGGCAAGGGATTTAGGGTACAGGCCCCAGCCATAGTTGAGCTGCTGAAGTAGAGAGTAAAAAAGCAGCAGTGCGACTATTTAGAAATAAAACACAAGGATTTGAGCTTGTTTATTTTGCAAAGGATCCATGTTGCCTATCAACTCACAAATTCACTGTGTCCACTGAAATTTGTTCTTAAGGATGGGGGTTATCTCTACACAGCAATATTGTTCCAGCCTTGTGTATCTGGTGAGCCACCGTAATGTAAATCTTCCATGTTCCCAATAATAGCTTTCAATGTTTGGGTTATGCTAAATCATATCATGCTGAAATCAGAATGGTTTGTGGTTGACCTTTTCATATTTCCTGTTCCTCCAAACTACTTCTCTTTTTGAGAGTTTCTTCTTACCAGGGCATGTCAATCTAGGGTAACTGTTAAACTAACATGATCAACAAGATATGAAGAACCCAGAAACCTGCTAGAAACTATGGCATGACAGATGGAAAATAGGTTATCCTCTTTGTTGTCTAGGCATTTACAAAATACTTGGCATGATAAAAACTGTGCTTTGTAAACAATTAAGAAAGTGTAAGACAGAATTCTTTTCAGGATTCAGGAGAACAAGAATTCTTCATATGCTCTCAGAGACCAAGAACTTCTGTCCCTCAAAAACCAACAGTGATGGTTTTCTCAGAATCAGCCTATCAGTTATATCAACTCAAAAATCTGCAAAGCCCTGATTTCCCAAAGATATTAGTCTTACTGTTAAAATCAAGTTCAGCTGCATATGAAAGGAAATCCTAAAATGATGTAACTTAAACAAAGTAGAAGTAGATAATCTAGGTTGTCCAGTCAACTGACCCATGTACCTATCTTTCTGTTCTTCTATCCTCAGTATGTAGTTTTCATCCTCAAGGTCACCTCATGGTCAAGGATAACTCTAGTTCTAGCCATCGTGTCTACATTCTAGATTGGCTTCAGAAAGAAGCTGGACACCACAAAAGCACACCCCCTAACTTTTAGGGAGACTTCCACTTACACGTCATAAGCCTGAACTTAGTCATATGGCCAAACATAGCTTCAAAGGAGACTGGTAGCATTCTTTGTTCTGGGTGCATTATCACTTCAAATGAAATCAAGATTCTGTCACTGAGGAAGAAGGCGAGAAGACATGCTGGAGGAGGTAATTGGCAATCTTGGCAACATCTAGTAACTTGTCACAGGATCTAGGATCCCTACTATTAAAAAGTTAATGCCTTTTGTATTAAGTTGCTGTCCCTCAAATTCTCGTTAAATGTAAATATATTACTCGGAAAGTGATAAAACATTAACAAATTAAGGCCCATTCTCATACGATCACAAACCAATCGATGAGATGAACATTTTCTCTGAAGAATGAGAGCATAAATAAAGAGAACTAAAAACCCTACTTGAAAAATAAATAAAGGATAGGTTAAAGGAAAGCATCTAGAGGACTCTGTAAAATCAAGACACTACAGGTCAAAAGGCTAAGGGTGGGGAGGGAGCCAAAACCAATTTTGCTTACATCACAATTTTGCTGCAGACAGACCCCACACTTCTGGGTTGATATAATGGTACGGAGTTGCTACAGTCTGCAGATAATACCCAAAGATATTATATCACAAGGCAAACAATTCCATTTATTATCTTTTGCAAGATTTTTGTTTTTCATTTTTACCAACCAAGAGGGAAAAGTGGTACTAGGAGATGTAGGGCTGGTTGGAAAAAGGAAAGAAAAAAATCTTTCTAATAACTATAGCTCTTGCTCTCGAATCAAAATAGAGCACCATTTTGAAAAAAAGTATGACAGGTTTTTCTTTTCAAAAATCCTCGTTAGTTTTTGGAGTAAGACCTTTGTAAAATGAATATTATTCATCAAAGGGATTTTGATTTGACAGACTTAAATTGACTAGAGAAAGTTCAAGTTCTACATTATGGGGAATCAAAATGTCTCTAGCAGAACAGAGTAAGTTTCATGACACATCATACACTAAGCAGATGTGAGAATCTTAGGCCAGTAAAAACAAGTTCTATTTTACTGTCACCCAGGGAAATTTCCCTTTTCTTTTGAGTAGACAATAATCCACACTTATTTTTCTAAATCTTGATTTTTTGCACTATCAGTGGATCCCATCAGTCATGGCAATGAATATGGCTTTGGAGATAATAAAAGGCTGTAACCAATTTATAGACCAATCCCAAGAGCGTAAACTTTTATATTCAGAGAAACTACAATGACAATTTAGGCCACCAGAGAAAAAATAAAGAAAAAAAATATTAGTTTGAAACTTGTTCACAGTTTTCAGGCCAATGAACACAGACTGATTCCCTACAACACATTCATTCTGAGCACTCAATAAATATTAACCAACATTCCCCAGTGTTTTGACCCAATATTACATTTAGGCATCTTAAGAATGAAGCCCACTTTAAGTACTGAGAGATTGCTTCACAGAAATTTTATTTGTCTTGATATTCGATCAAATTATTTTTATGCTAAACCTTCTTTACCCAGTGTCTACATTTTATTAATCAACTGGTCCTTCACTTTAAGCTTATGAGAAGTTGTACAGAAAACACTGAGAAAAGTTTTCTTTCATTTGAGGGTATTATTATCATGGTCGCAGATATTTTGACTTTGGGGACTTGAGGGAAGGTAAGGGAAAGCTAATCCATGTTTCAGCTTTTCCCCAAAGCCTCCAAACTATTGCCCATCCAGTTTCCTTTTAGATGATAATTAAGCAGTCTGCTGGAGCTGAGAAAAAAACACCTCAAACTGCAGAAAATTGAAATCTATCTTTTATCAGGCATGCAAGTATTTCCCTCCAGGTGTCTAATTCCACATTCCAAAGCACGTTGTTTTCAAAAACAGAGTAATTCAACATCTCACAATTTTTCTTACACATTTCTGTACATTTCACACCCTGTTCCAACGTGTTCAATTGGAGTGCAGGTTACTCATGAAAGAAGTGCTCTATTTCATTTCATGGAGTGACATGTCTAGGAGACCATATTTTTCAGTTATAGAAGTTTTAGATGGGTTTCATTCTATGTCATCTTTGAAAAATGAGTAATCCCACCCCAAGGGTCACATTCCTACCCCACGCAGAAGTAGCCCTTGTCTCTAATTATCCAACCAGAAGGATAAGATTTCCATATCAAAGAGAAAAAAGACCATCACAGACTTCTTTGTTATACAAAGCTTAACATCAATAGACTGACTGTGCTCTCTACTGGTAAAATCAAGAGCTACAACTAGCATCAAAATTTTACTTTATGAAAACCTTATGGAAATAGGAATTCAAAAATTGTTTACTGTGCCCAGAAATAGGATTTCTTGCCAACTGAGTTCAAAAATTACAAGAAAAGATTATTCTTTAGCCTGAGAGCAGAGGCAAGTGTAGTCAGAGCAGCCCCAGGATCAAGGTGAATACAGATTCATATACTAGTACCATTTGATATCATTGTCAATGTGTTACTAGTTGCTTAATGTGTTCTGACCAAACACAATGGTCCAGTGGTTCTCAAATTTTAGTCTGTTATCAGAAGCTCCTGGGTTGCCTGTGAAAAATACACAGACTTAGATCTGAGGTACGGAAATTCTGATTCTGCAGCTTTGGGATGAAGCTCTGGAATTTGCAGTTTATCAATTCCTCCCTCCCCTGGTGATTCTGGTGCAAGTGGCCCAAGGAATACATTTTGAATAACATTGATAGATTTTGCAAAACATAGATTTTGCAAAACACCCTTGTCAGATGTGCCTGAACCACAGGAACTCCATCTTGAATAGGGACTGTGTAAAATAAGGCTAAGACCTGCTGGGGGGCATTCCCAATAAGTTAAGGCATTCTTAGCCACAGGATGAGACAGGTGGTCGGCACAAGATACAGGTCATGAAGACCTTGCTGATAAAACAGTTTGCAGTAAAGAAGCCAGCCAAAACCCACCAACACCAAGATGGCGACGAGCGTGAACTCTGGTCTTCCTCACTGCTACACTCTCACCAGTGCCATGACAGTTTACAAATGCCATGGCAACATCAGGAAGTTACCCTATATGGCCTAAAAGGGGAGACATGAATAATCCACCTCTTGTTTAGCACATAATCATGAAATAACCATAAAAATGGGCAACCAGTAGCCCTTGAGGCTGCTCTGCCTATGGAGTAGCCATTCTTTATTCCTTTACTTTATTAAACTTGCTTTCACTTTTCTCTATGGATTCGTTACAGGAAAGGGGTCCTAATCCAGATCCCAAGGGAAGATTATTGGATCTTGTGCAAGAAAGAATCCAGGCGAGTCTGCAGTGCAAAGTGAAAGCAAGTTTATTGAGAAAGTAAAGGAATAAAAGAATGGCTACTCCATGGACAGAGGAGCCCCAAGGGTGGCTGGTTGCCCATTTTTATGGTTATTTCTTGATGATATGTTAAACAAGGGGTGGATTATTCATGCCTCCCCTTATTAGACCATATAGGATAGATCCTGACATTGCCATGGCATTTGTAAACTGTCGTGGTGCTGGTGGTAGCGTAGCAGTAAGGACGACCAGAGGTCACTCGCGTCGCCATTTTGGTTTTGGTGGGTTTTGGTCGGCTCCTTTACTGCAACCTGTTTTATCAACAAAGTCTTTATGACCTGTATTTTGTGTTGACCTCCTATCTCATCCTGTGACTTAGAATGCTTTAACTGTCTGGGAATGCAGCCCAGTAGGTTTCAGCCTCATTTTACCCAGCTCCTATTCAAGATGGAGTTGCTCTGGTTCACACTCCTCTGACAGACTCGTCTCAAATTATTTATTGTGCGAGATCCAAGAACTCTCTTGGGGTCTAGATCAGGACCCCTTTCCAGTAACACCCTAATAGTGTGGTCAGAATAATTACAAACTAGTATGTCAGCAACACCATCTTCAGAACTATGATCTCTCTGGCGGGACTGGAGGAAAGCCTTTGGTTTCCTTGCTCTCATAGGTGCCAGCTCTCTGCCTCCACCTGTCTTACTGACTCCTGTTTGGTGTTTGAGTGAAGGAAAGTATTTTTAATTAATAGTAATAATAAAAGCTAACACTTACTGAATGCTTACTATTTGCCCAGTACTAAGTGCTTTTCTTATATTAATGTAATCCTTATAGCAATCCTATGAATGAGGTAGAATTATTATTATTCCTATTTTACAGATAAAGAAACGGAGACATTGCCCAAGATTACACACCCTGTTAAGTAGCAGAGCCAAGATATAGAAGGCAAGCAGGTCTGCTCCAGAGCTCATGTACCTAACCATTCTCTATACTAACTATATACATTTCAATGGGAAAATACGAGCCTTCTTTTCTTTGTGATTATATTTTGACTTTACCCACTGAGGTACAAAATTATTGAGTAGAAAAAAGGTTTTAAAATGTAGTCCTTTATCAGTGGCTTACTTGATCAAGTTCCGTTTCCCTGAATAGTGTGTGATCACAGCAATATCCACTATTTCAGAGGCATTCAAACCAGAATAACTCCATCTTGAATAGGGGATGGGTAAAATATGACTGAGACCTACAGGGCTGCATTCTCAGGAGGTTAGGTAGTCTTTGTCACAAGATGAGATAGGAGGTCGGCAGGACTGGTATCCTGCTGATAAAACAGGATGCAGTGAAGAAGCCGGCCAAAACCCACCAAAACCAAGATGGCAACAAAAGTGACCTCTCGTCGTCCTCATTGCTCATTATAAATTAATTATAATGCATTAGCATGCTAAGAGACATTTCCAGCAGCACCATGACCGTTTACAAATGCCATGGCAACGTCCAGAAGTTACCTTATATAGTCTAAAAAGGGCAGGACTCGGTTCAGGAAATTGCTTGCCCTTTCCCTGGAAAACTCATGTATAATCCACCCCTTGTTTAGCATATAATCAAGAAATAACAGTAGGTATAGTCAGTCAAGCAGTTCATGCTGCTGCTCTGTTTATGGAGTAGCCATTCTTTTGTTTCTTTACTTCTCTAATAAACTTGCTTTCACTTTACTCTGTGGACTCGCCCCAAATTCTTTCTTGTGAAAGCTCCGAAAACCCTCTCTTGGGGTCTGGATCAGGACCCCTTTCTGGTAACAGCTACAATGCTTTTATAATGCTTTCTGTGTTCCCTGCAAATTCATTGCCTCACTTAGATTTGGAAACTGACACATTAAGCAACTTTTCTGAAGTCACTAAGGAGTTGATGGCAGCAATGAAAGAACCCAGGGAATTTCACTTTGAAATATGTCACCCTGGTGTGTTGATTATTTTAAATTAAAGGCCCTTGAAGGTCAGTAGATGCTAGAAGAGGCTTTATTCCTTCATCCGAATTAAGACAGGACCGGCAAAAAAGAACATAATTGCCTTCCAGTTCTTCCCTGAAATTTCATTATCTATCCCAGAAAAGAAGACTGAGGAATACAGCCACACCTGGACAGACTTTTTCACAAAATATCTGTTTCTCAGGCTCATTCAAATTCCAAAGAATCATTTACAAGTTAACTTTTGTCTCCCAGGCTCATTCATTCTCCCTAATAATTATTTACTACCCCTCAAAAGAATTGCCTATGTTCCCCATCTCCTCCTCCCTTATAAAGAAGGGTATATACACCTCCGGGCCTCATAGGTTATTGGGTAATCACATTTCGGTGATTTCCCCACCCTCTCATGCATGTTAAAGAAATTCTATATGACCTTTTCTCCCATTAATCTGTCTTTTGTCTGTTCATTTTCTGTGGCCCTTCAGATGGCTTTCCCTCTTCAACCCTACAGCTGTGTAGTAAGACCTCTACTCATCCTCCATGTTGGCCCTCCCCACCCAATCCCTGCATGCTCACCACTCAATCCCTTTACATACTGGCTTGGTTTAAGTAGCATAATATCCATAGCCTAGGAATGGCCATATATGAAAGATATAAAAGAACAAGCTGTGTATTACACAAACTTGTCGTGGCTTTTGGAAACCATGCTAGTGCCCAAAAGACAAACAACATAATTGAAGACGTCAGCCTAGACAAAAGAGGTGTTCTTTTTACGGTTGTCATAATAAATCTCTCTCTCAACTTTACTTGGCATTTAGGTATATTAGGCCTTCAAGTGCAGACCTTTAATTTCTTCCCTGTCTTTTTAAACCTCACATTAAATATCACTATTTTCTTCTCTATATCCCCCTCATAAAATACTGTTAAAGCAACTTGGACACAACAATATCCTTCTCCTGCCCTCTACAAACAATTCATGAGCCCAAAGCATGTGCAGTTATTTCTAGTTGCAACTATGAAAGAAAAAGGTTAGCAGTAGCTAGCTAAAATGTTTGTGAGCAACTGTAAGTTCCAGCCAGGGTTTACCAATGCCCCAGAGCAATTTGCAAGAGGGGGCTGCATTTATATCCTGAGTCATCATGCTAAATCCCAAGGTGTAGAACTTCATCCTTCCATCAATTGCCATGAGTCTTGAGAGTATGAAGTTACCCAAATTCATGAAACAATGGTAATAAAAGGGATTGATTGATACCTTTATCCCCAGACTGGTTTTTACAAACCACTGGAAAAACCATGTTGGTAACAGGGTATGCTCTGTGATGATCCCCACATCTAAAACCGTTTTTTTCTCTCCTCTTGCTGTAGCAAAGCCTCAATTCAAAGCAGTTTTCAAATCATGTGTAAGGTAAATAGATACCCTTATCTTAAGGTAAATAAGTGAATTAATGGAATAAGGCACTATTTTATGAACTATTGAATTAGCAAAAATTAAGAAGATTTTCAGTGTTGGTAAATGTATGTGAAGAAAGACACTTTGATATAGTAGTAAGAGGAGTGTAATTAGTGTAGCTATCTTGAGGGCAATTTGGCAGTATCAGTCAAAATTAGAACTGCATATACTCTTTGACCAGCTGTTCTTCAATTGGGAATCTAATCTAAATATATATACTTTTAATATATAAAAAATATAATTCAAAGGGTATTCGTTGCATTGATTGTGATATGAAAAAAATTGGAAAAAACCTAAATTGCATTGATTATGAAAGAAAAAAAATCTCAGTCTAATAATAGGGCATGGTTAAATAAATTATGTTGTGTCCCTACTCTGGAACACTACATTAGATCTGCATGACCTGGTATTAAAAAAAATGTAAGAGGCATTTTTAAATGAGGAAAAACCAAGGTAAGGAACGGCTTGTATAATAAAATAATAGCTAACCAGGTGAGACTTCTGGAATGGCGCAGTGAGGATCTCCGTAAATCCACTCCTCCATAAAATCAATGAAAATGCTGGGAAAATTATAAAAATCAACTTTATTTTTTTTTTTATTTTTTTTTTTTTTACAAATCTGGAAATTAACCCAAGGTCTAAAGCAATCTGAGGAGCATTTATTCAAGAAAAACCACAGCACCTATGTAAGAAAACTACATTTTTAACTTGGCCTACTCCCATGTTTCTCTCCCCAGCTCCACAGTTCCCTTGAAAACCAGCCAACTCACAGCCAGAGGAGCTGTAAAAACAAAACAAACAAAAAAATCAAAAACAAAAAAAGACAGCAGCTTTACAGCCACTAGAGGGGGCAGACTGGGTTTGGAGCTCCTCAAAAAACTTCTATCCCACAGCATTGTTACTGTTTGACTTGTCGCATACCTCTCTGGGAAAGCCCCATTTATACAGTGCTTTCATATGTGACCTGACTCTGAGCTTGCTCGACAAGAAAAGCCCTATCTTTAGTGCATTTATCAAAAATAATCAGCTGCAATTGTTTAACATCACAACTGCCTGAGGTGATTATACACGTTTGGGCAAGCCAGGGCCTGTCCAAAAACTTAAAAGAAAGATCTAAGGAATGCAATGTTTGTAGTGGGCTTTAAAGAACTTGAGACCAGCCTGGCCAACATGGTAAAACCCTGTCTCTACTAAAAATACAAAAATTGGCCAGGTGTGGTGGTGCACACCCATAATCTCAGCTACTCGGGAGGCTGAGGCAGGAGAATCGCTTGAACCTGGGAGGCGGAGGTTGCAGTGAGCCAAGATCATGCCACTGCACTCCAGTCTGGGTGACAGAGCAAAATTCTGTCTCACACACACAAAAAAAAGGGTTTAAAAGATGCAAACAGAAATTACAGAAATTATGGAGTTGCAAAATACAGTAATTGCAATGAAAGATTCACTAAAATTGTTCAATAGCAGATTTGAGCTGGCAGAGAAAAAGAATCAGAGAACCCAAACATAGGTTAATTTAGGTAATTCAGTCTGAGTAATAGAAAGCAAAAAGAACGGTGCTTTGGAGACCTGTAGTATACCATCAAGCATACCAATAGACATACAATGTAAGTCCCAGAAGGAGAAGAGGGAGACGTAAACAAATAGAAAGAATACTTGAAGAAATAACAGCCAGAAATTTCCCAAATTTTATGAAAAACTTTGCTCCTCATAGCTAAAAGTGCAACAAACTTCAAGTAGGGTCAACACAAGGATATCTACATCCAGTCACATCATAGTCAAACTGTTGAAAGACAAAGACTCTTTAAAGCAGCAAGAGAAAAGCAATTCGTCTCTCAGTGAGATTAATAGTGGACTTCTCATCAAAAAGGACAGAATGCCTTCTTGCCTTCATGGAAGACGGAATGCATTGGGATGGCATCCTCAAAGTGCTGAAAGGAAAAAATTGTCAACTAAAAATTCTGTATTTGGCAAAACTATCCTTCAAAACTGAAAGAGAATTAACACATTTCCAGATGAACAAAAACTGAAAGAATTTTTCACTAGCAGATCTGACCTACAAGAAATACTAAAATAAGTCCTTCAGTCTAAAATGAAAGAACTACACAGTAATTCAAATCCACACAAAGAAATAAATAGTACCGGTAAAGGCATATACGTAGGTAAACATAAAAGACAGTATAAATGTAGTTTGATAACTTTTGTCTCCTCCTACCTTATTTAAAATATAATTGCATAAAGAAATAGTTGTAAAATTGTGTTGATAGACTAATAATATAAAATATATAATTTCTATGACAATAACAGCCCCAAAAAACAGATGGAATGGAGCTATATTGGAAAATGATTCCATATACTATTAAAATTACATTTCTATTAATCTGAACTAGATTGGTTTGCTGTTGTTGTTGTTGTTGTTATTGTTGTTGTTGAGACGGAGTCTTGCTCTGTCGCCAGGCTGGAGTGCAGTGGCGCGATCTCGGCTCACTGCAACCTCCACCTCCCGGGTTCAAGCGATTCTCCCTGCCTCAGCTTCCCAAGTAGCTGGGATTACAGGCGCCCGCCACCAAGCCCAGCTAATTTTTGTATTTTCAGCAGAGACGGGGTTTTGCCATGTTGGCCCGGCTGGTCTTGAACTCCTGACCTCAGGTGATCTGCCCACCTCGACCTCCCAAAGTGCTGGGATTACAGGCGTGAGCCACCGCCCAGCCTAGATTGTTTTAAGATAATAATTGTAATCCCCAGAGCAACCACTAAGAAAATAACACAAGGGATATATGGTAACAGAAATGACAAATTAATTAAAATAGGGCATTAGAATAGGCCTACATGTCACAAAGTAAGGAAGTAATGGAAAAACAGAGGTACAAAAATGATATGACATACAGAAAACAAATAGAAAAATGGCAGATGCCAGTCCTTTCTTTAAAATCAGTAATTACATTACATTTAAATGGAGTAAACTCTCCAATAAAATGTAGAAATTGACATAGTGGATAAAACAAACACAATTCAACTATATACTGTCTATGAAAAAACTACTTTAAATTTCATATGGAACCAGAAAAGAGCCCGTATAGCCAAGACAATCCTAAGCAAAATGAACAAATCTGGAGGCATCACACTACCTGACTTCAAGCTATACTACTAGGCTACAGTAACCAAAACAGCATAGTGCTGGTATAAAAACAGACACACAGACCAATGGAACAGAATAGAGATCTCAGAAATAAAACCAAGATGAATTAAAGACTTAAATGTAAAACCCATAATTATAAAAGCCCTAGGAGAAAATCTAGGCAATACCATTGAGGACATAGGCACAGGCAAAGATTTATTGATGAAAATGCAAAAAGCAATTACAACCAAAGCAAAAATTGAAACACGGGATCTAATTAAACTAAAGAGCTTCTGCACAGCAAAGGAAACTATCATCAGAGTAAACTGACAACCTACAGAATGGGAGAACATTTTTGCAATCTATTCATCTGACAAACATCTAATATCCAGTATCTACAAGGAATTTAAACAAATTTACAAGAGAAAAACAAACAAACCCATTAAAAAGTGGGCAAAGGACATGAACAGACACTTCTCAAAAGAAGACATACATGAGGTCAACAAACACATAAAAAAAAAAGCTCAACATCACCAATCATTAGAGAAATGCGAATCAAAACCAATCAAAACCACAATGAGATACCATCTCACACTCGTCAGAATGGCGATTATTACAAAGTAAAAAAACAACAGAGGCTGGTGAAGCTGCAGAGAAAAAGGAATGTTTTTATGCTGTTGGTGGGAGTATGAATTAGTTCAACCATTGTGGAAGACAGTGTGGTGATTCCTCAAAGACATACAGAAAGAAATACAATTTGACCCAGCAATGTCATCACTGGGTATATACCCAAAGGAATATAAATCATTCTATTATAAAGATACATGCATGCATATGTTCATTGCAGCACTATTCACAATAGCAAAGATATGGAATCAACCTAAATGACCATCAATGATAGACTAGATAAAGAAAATGTGGTACATATACACCATGGAATACTATGCAGCCATAAAAAAATAACAAGATCAGCCAGGCGCAGTGGCTCATGCCTGTAATCCCAGCACTTTGGGAGGCTGAGGTGGACAGATCACGAGGTCAGGAGATGGAGACCATCCTGGCCAACATGGTGAAACCCCGTCTCTACTAAAAATACAAAAATTAGTCCGGTGTGGTGGTGTGCACCTGTAGTCCCGGACACTCGGGAGGCTGAGGCAAGAGAATCGTTTGAACCTCGGAGGCAGAAGTTGCAGTAAGCCGAGATCGCACCACTGCACTCCAGTCTGGCAACAGAGTGAGACTTTGTCTCAAAATAATGATGATGATAATAATAATAACAATAATAATAATAATAATAATAATAATAATGAGATCATGTCCTCTGCAGGGACATGGATGGAGCTGGAAGCCATTATCCTCAACAAACTAACGTGGGAACAGAAAAACAAACACTGCATGTTCTCACTTATAAGTGAGAGCTAAACAATGAGAACACATTGACACATTGGGGGAAACAACACACTGGGGCTTGTCGGGGGGTTGGGGGAGGGAGGGAGAACATCAGGAAGAACAGTTAATGCATGCTGGGCTTAATACCTAGGTGATGGGATAATCTGTGCAGCAAATCACCATGGCACCCGTTTACCTATGTAACAAACCTGTACATCCTGCACAGGTACCTCGGAACTTAAAATAAAATCGAGGGGAAAAAAAGAAAGCATTCTTATTGTCAATTATGAAATCGTCAAATATATCAAATATAAATTATATTTTTCAGATGAATGTCAAACAGAACATGTAACATGTATAATGTAAAAAGGGTATATGAGGAAAATGAATAAGTACCACTTTTAATAAATATACTGATTTTAAAAATAGTGTGAGACTAATTACCTTAGAAAACAGAAAAACAATAAAAATCAACAAAATCCAAGTTGACTTTCTGAAAGGATCAACAAAAGTAATAAACCTTTAGCTAGACTGACCAAGAAACAAAGATTCAAATTGCTAAAACTATAAATGAAAGAGCAGGCATCACTACCAACTTTAGAGAAATAAAAACATTATAAAGGAATACTATCGACAATTGCATGGAATCGAATTAGATAATCTACATGAAATGAACAAATTACTAGAATAACTCACAAACTACCAAAAGTAATTCAAAAAGAAATACAAAATCTGTATAGCTTTATGACAAGTGATTGAATTGGGAATCAATAAACTTTCCACAAAGAAAAACACAGGCTCAGATGGCTTCACTGGTTAATGCTATCAAAAGTTTAAACAGGAATTAATACAAATCCTTCATAAACTCTTCGGAAACTGGAATGTGAGAAAACACTTCACAACTCATTCTATGAGGCAAATATTACCCTGAAGCCAAATTAAAACAAAGACATAATGAGAAAGCTACAGACCAATATCCCTTATAAACATATGCACAAAAACCCTCAACAAAATATCAGCAAGCCAAACCCAGCAACATAAAGAAAAATTTATACATCATAACCAGTTGGGATTTATTCTGGGAATGCAAGGTTGGGTCAACATATGAAAATCAGTCAACATAAACCTAAAATGATCAATTAAAATATTTTAAAAGACAAAAACCACATCATCATTTCAGTAGACACAGAAAAAGCTTTTGACAATGTACAATATCTTTTTATGATAAAAATGTTCAACAAACTAGGAATAAAAGGGAACTTCCTAAACCTGATAAAATGTATTTACACGGTGGCTCACGCCTGTAATCCCAGCACTTTGGGAGGCCGAGGCGGGCTGATCACAAGGTCAGGAGATACAGACCATCCTGGCTAACACGGTGAAACCCCGTCTCTACTAAAAATATAAAAAATTAGCCGGGCGTGGTGGCGGGCGCCTGTAGTCCCAGCTACTCGGGAGGCTAAGGCAGAAGAATGGCGTGAACCCGGGAGGCGGAGCTTGCAGTGAGCCGAGATCGCGCCACTGCACTCCAGCCTGGGCGACAGAGCGAGACTCCGTCTCAAAAAAAAAAAAAAAAAAAAAAAAAAAAAAAAGTATTTACAAAAAAACCCACAGCTAAAATCAGACTTAAATGTAAAAAACTGAAAACTTACCCCTAAAATCAAGAACAAGACAAGAATATCTGTGCTCACCATTTTTATTGAACATTGTACTGGAGGTTCTATCAGGAGAATTAAGCCAGAAAAAGACATATAAATCATCCAGATTGAAAAGGTAGAAGTACAATAACTCTATTTGTATATGACATAATCTTGTATATTGAAAATCCTAAGGAATCCACAAAACAAAACAAAAACTATTAGAAGTGCACCAAGGCCACAGGATATATGATCAGTGCATGAAAAACATTATATTAGAGCTTCATCTCACACCATACAGGAAAATTTATTCTGAATTTTTCGTAGACTTAAATGTAAGAGCTAAAAACAATAAGATTTTTAGAAGAAAACATAGGATAAAATCTATAAGACCTTAGGTTAGGTAAAGGTTTCTTAGATATGACACCAAAAGCACAATCCATCAAAGAAAAAAATTGATAAATTCAGCCTTAGGAAAATTCAAAACTTCCACACTTCGAAATGACGCTATTAAGAGAACAAAAAGACAAGCAACAGACTGGAAGAAAATATTTGCAAAACACATATGCAATAAAGGATTTCTATTTAGAATACAGAAAGAACTCTTGCAATTTAATAAGCAGACAACCCAATTTTAAAATGGACAAAAGCTACGAGCATACTTTTCATCAAAGAAGATCTACGAATGGTTAATAAGCACATGACAACATGCTCAACATCGGTCATTAGGAAAATGCAAATTAAAACCACAATTAATACCATTTTGTACCCGATAGAACGAGAATGAAAAGTAAAACAAACAACAACAAATGTTAGTGAGAAGGTGCAAGAATGGAAACCCTCATGAAATGCTGATAGGACTGTAAAATGGTACAGCCACTTTGAAAGCAGTTTGGCAGTTCCTCAAAATGTTAAACATATAACTTCCATACAACCCAGCAATTTCATTCCTAGATATCTATCCAAGAAAAATTAAAACATATGACTACACAAAGACTTGCATGGAAATGTTCACAGGAGCATTATTCGTAGTAGCCATATATTGGAAACAATCTGAATGTCTATCAACTGACAAATGGACAAAGTGCGATATAACAGAATAGTACTCAGCAATAAAAATCACAGACTACTAACACATGCTATGTCATGGATGAACCTCACAAACATTTTGTAAAGTGAAAGAAGCCAGGCAAAAGAAACCACGTATTGTATGATTCCATTTACATGAAATTTCTATAAAAGACAAATATTTGGAAATGGAAAGTAAACTAATGCTTGCCTAGGGTTGGGGGTGTGAACAGAGATAAACTGTAAATGAGCAAGAGGGATGTTTATTAGGAGAGTGAAAATGTTGTAAAACTCATTTATGGTGATGATTGTACCACTCACTAAAATCACTGAATTGCACACTTAAAAGGGGTGAGTTCTCGAGACCTTCCTGGCTAACACGGTGAAACCCCGTCTCTACTAAAAATACAAAAAATTAGCCGGGCGAGGTGGCGGGCGCCTGTAGTCCCGGCTACTCGGGAGGCTGAGGCAGGAGAATGGCGTGAACCCCGGGGGCGGAGCCTGCAGTGTGCCGAGATCGCGCCACTGCACTCCCAGCCTGGGCGACAGAGCGAGACTCCATCACAAAAAAAAAAAAAGGGGGGGTGTGAATTCGGCTGGACACAGTGGCTCATACCTGTAATCCCTGCACTTTGAGAGGCCAAGGTGGGCAGATCCCTTGAGCCCATGAGTTCGAGACCAGCCTGGGCAACATGGCGAAACCCCGTGTCTACAAAAAATACAAAATATTAGCCGGGCATGGTGTCACGTGCCTGTAGTCCCAGCTACTGGAGGGGTGAGGTGGGAGGATCACCTGAGCCTTGGAGGTCGAGGCTGCAGTGAGCCGTGATCGCACCACTGCACTCCAGCCTGGGTGATAGAGTACGACTCTGTCTCAAAAAAAAAAAAAAAAAAAAAAAAAAAGAGCTGAATTTTATGATATGTAAAATATATCTCAATAAAGACCCTTTAAATATTAGACTGACACATAACGCTGTTTTAAGTGTCTGGCATATAAGCAACTCATTTAATCCTTATAACAGCCCTATGAAGCAAGTAATATTATTTATCTTTTCATAAATGAGGAAACTGAGGCACAGATAGATTAGGTGACTTGCCAAAGAGCTCACAACCAGTAATTGGTAAAGAAGGAACTCCAACCTAGCCAGTCTGGCTCTAGAGTCTGTGATCTTAACCATGGCTTCCATTTGTGGGAAGAAAAATTTGTACAGATACACATGTATATGGCAATGTGTGGAAGGAATCATAAGGCACTTTAATCAGTGATCCTCTCTGGGCAGTGGGAGTGAGGGTGGGCAGCAAAGCAAGACTTTCACTTATTACTTTATACTTCTTTGAATTCTGAATTTTTTATACATTTTCTAATAACTCATGTATTCATTTTGTAGATAAGAAACTTCTACTTTTAAATCAAAACATTGGTTATCTTTGATTTGTTACATTATACACCTTTAATTTCCCTGAACATTTTTACATTTTCCATGTTCTTTGGGATATGTGTGTCTTCGGGCCAAGTTCTCAAATAATTACCATGACATGTTTTCTGCTACATTTTGTCTTGCCAGTGTCAGAGTCCCAAGATGGGGCTGAGGCCAAGAAGGGTTGGGTAGGAGGCTACGGAAAACTTCATGAAAGAAGGGCCTGTATTGCTCGCTCTGCTTGGGCAAGACTGTGATTGGGCTGGATTCAAGGCTGTCCTGAGCTGCAGTGTGCAGCTCTGAACTCCCTGGATCCCCTGGGGCACTCTAAGGGGGGCTGGCTGCTTCAGAAATTGCTTCTATTCTGTAGGGGAATAGATTATCTGCATGCATGTGCACATGTGCGAACAAACCCATTTAATGAAAGCAGGAGTTTGGACTTGTGCCTGAAGAGTAGGAGTGATTCTGCCCTGATGTGTGAGTGTGTAGCATGGGTGTTTTTGTTCTTGTTTGTTTCACTTAATATTTAAAGATACTCAAATGGGACTATGTTATGAAAGCAACTAAGTGTTGTGGAGTGTCTTTACTAACATAGGAAATAATAGTTTGTAAACTTTAGGAAGCATTAGACTGTTGAGATGCTTAAAAGAAAATGGAAAGAGTTGATGTTTAGACTGCGATTAACTCTCTTTGTAATCATTCCCTTGGTTCGATGATGTTGTGGAGCTGAGGAATAATAACAAGGTTGGTTGGTTTGTTTTTAATATGTACTTACTGTATACTAACACCCTACAAAGGGCATATTGTGAGAGAATAGGATATTCTTTTTTTATTATTATACTTTAAGTTCTAGGGTACATGTGCACAATGTGCAGGTTTGTTACATATGTATACATGTGCCATGTTGGTGTGCTGCACCCGTTAACTCGTCGTTTACATTAGGTATATCTCCTAATGCTCTCCCTCCCCCTTCCCCACACCCCACAACAGGCCCCGGTGTGTGATGTTCCCCACCCTGTGTCCAAGTGTTCTCATTGTTCAATTCCCACCTATGAGTGAGAACATGAGGGTTTGGTTTTCTGTCCTTGTGATAGTTTGCTGGGAATGATGGTTTCCAGCTTCATCCATGTCCCTAAAAGGACATGAACGCATCCTTTTTTATGGCTGCATATTATTCCATGGTGTATTTGTGCCACATTTTCTGAATCCAGTCCATCATTGTTGGACATTTGAGTTGGTTCCAAGTCTTTGCTATTGTTTATAGTGCCGCAATAAACATACATGTGCATGTGTCTTTATAGCAGCATGATTTATAATCCTTTGGGTATACACCCAGTAATGGGATGGCTGGGTCAAACGGTATTTCCAGTTCTAGATCCTTGAGGAATCGCCATACTGTCTTCCACAATGGTTGAACTAGTTTACAGTCCCACCAACAGTGTAAAAGCGTTCCTGAGAATAGGATATTATTTCATGAAGGTTTTCTCTTTGAAGATTTCATATTCAATAAGGACTGATTAAAAGATATTTGGACAGGTCGGGCGCAGTGGTTCACACCTGTAATCCCAGCACTTTGGGAGGCTGAGGTGGTCAGGAGTAAGAGACCAGCCTGACCAACATGGTGAAACCCCCGTCGCTACTAAAAATACAATAAATTAGCTGGGCGTGGTGGCATGCGCCTGTAATCCCAGCTACTCAGGAGGCTGAGGCAGGCAGAATTGCTTGAACCCGGGAGGCGGAGGTTGCAGTGAGCCAACATCGCACTACTGCACTCCAGCCTGGGCGACAGAGAGAGACTCTGTCACACACACATGCGCGCACACACACACACACACACACACAAAGAAAAAAAAAGAAACTGAAGGGGGGAAATAGTCTTTTCAAATGGCCTATCTTCTCTTATATGCCACTTTTTTTTTTTCAGACGGTGTTTTGCTCTTGTTGCCCAGCCTAGAGGTGCAATGGCGTGATCTCGGCTCACCACAACCTCTGACTCCCGGGTTCAAGCAATTCTCCTGCCTCAGCCTCCCAAGTAGCTGGGATTACAGGCACGCACCACCACGCTCCGCTTATTTTGTATTTTTAGTAGAGACGGGGTTTCTCCATGTTGGTCAGGCTACTCTCGAACTCCCGACCTCAGATGATCTGCCTGCCTTGGCCTCTCAAAGTGCTGGGATTACAGGCGTGAGCCACCGCACCTGCCCTTATCTGCCACTTTCCTGCTGAGGAAGTACATGGCCTTTCTGGACAGGAAAATGTGTCCAGAATCTCTTACGCTGTACCCTAGGTTGCCCTGTGTACATAATGTAGCTACTTTACCTTTCTAGTTATGATTCTGAGTAATTGTCTACCCTGCTATATATGCTGTATATAGCCATTGGTGAATTGTCTATATCCAGGCAAGTGCCACGTCAGTTTGATTTGCTTTGTGGACATTGCTAATAGGTTTGTGTTTTCCCAGAAAAAAAGTGGTGAGAAACTGGCTGGAAGAAACAAGAGCCTTACCAACTCACCACTTCATTTTTTTTAATGAAAATTTTGAGGATATGGTAATGAGAACACCATCAGATGAAGCATGACAATCCCAAAGAACTGATGTGCACTTGATAAATGCTTGTGGTTAGAACAGCTGACCCATTTTCCCCAGTTTCCATAAGCCATGTCATCCCTGATTAAAGAGCCAGGTAGGTCAATGTCAAATAAGTACTTACTCTTCCATTTGCTAGATGTTATAGGAGGAATATTTAAAAATTTTTAAGTGTTCAGAATGCTACTAAACTTTTAGGTATTGGAGAGGGGTAGGAATATAAGCAAGCTGCTATGACCAACACACAACTAAAGTGCATGTCCCAAGAATAAAAGGTTAGGCCTGATGATCATGTACTTTAATTCCTCAAGGTAAGGTCGGCATAATCTAAGAGCAAAAAACCAAATACAAGCCCTTGGGGTCAGCCACACTTGAAAAGGAGGAGGAAATTCAAACAACAAAGTAAACTAGAAAGAGCAGTAAAAGGGAAGAAAATCAGGATGTTACACAGTCAAAACAAAAAAAGAAAAATATTTTTAGTGGTACCAAATGCAACAAAGACTTCAAGAAAGAGAAGCAGCAAAAAGCGATTTGACCAGGAGGAAGTTAGCTGTGGTTTCCGAGGTTAAGTGGTTTCTGACTGGGCAGGTGGTTTCTATTATATAAATGGTGGCTTACATAGAATGAGATGTTGAGATCATCTTATTTCACACAGAACATTAAAGGACCATTATAATTAGACTCACTCATTCATTCATTTATTCCATTAGCATTTACTGTGTTCTTACAAGTGCCTGATGCTACTAAGCTCCATGGGGTCAGGGTACCTAATAGAAAAACCATAATTAAATCATAATGGCTTCTCTCTCACAAGCAATCCGGGTGAAGTTTTAAAGCGATGACTTAAAAATGAAAGTCTTATTTCCCTATAGCTGTTTCAGTTTATATATTCATTTCTGACACATTAGCCTTTTGTTTTCCTTTTTAAATTAGTAAGGTTTGGTTTGCCGCATCACAAAGTTTCAACCTAGAAAAGTAGCAAACTTAAAAAAAAATCAAATCTCAAATTATCTTATATATGCTGTGAGGAAAAGTAGAAATGGCATTAATATCTTAGGTTAATTTTTTTCCCTGCAAACACAAACAAAAACCCTCACAGAATAGTCCAAAGGAACCAAAGTTTACTGTTTCATGAGAAAATGCATATATTGCTTTGTGTCTCTTTTTTATTTTATTTTATTTTATTTTTTTGAGACGGAGTCTTGCTCTGTCACCCAGGCGGGAGTGCAGTGGCGCGATCTCGGCTCACTGCAAACTCCGCCTCCCGGGTTCACGCCATTCTCCTGCCTCAGCCTCCTGAGTAGCTGGGACTACAGGCGCCCGCCACCATACCTGGCTAATTTTTTTGTATTTTTAGTAGAGACGGGGTTTCACCGTATTAGCCAGGATGGTCTCGATCTCCTGACCTCGTGATCCACCTGCCTCAGCCTCCCAAAGTGCTGGGATTACAGGTGTGAGCCACCGCGCCCGGCTCTGTGTCTCATATTTTAACAGGTTTGTTTGGGTGCATCACCAACTTGGATTCTGACAGGAGGTTGAAAACATCAAGTCTCAAAGATTCTTTTGTGAGCTCTGAGGAAAACCAGAAATGGTATTTATACCTTGTATTAGGTATTTATTTCCACAAAAGTTTGATGCTTACAACATAAACCCAACAACCCACCTGGAATAGGCCATGGAAATCTAACAAGCTTTTCACACTTAAGATATACCTAGAGATTTCTGCTTCTCAAAATGTCACCTTGCAGTGAGCAACCTGGTGCCTGGAAATAAGGCAACCCACATCAATTTTGGGACATCAAAAATGAATTATTTTAAACATAGATATATAGTGAAGTAAAATGTAAAATTCTCCAGATTTCTATAAAACAAAACTTAAAAGCTCAAAACCCCCAGCCTGTGCCACTAAGGGAAACTCACTCCCTCTGCCATTAGGATTGTCACCATGGAAATGAGCAGACCTACTGCCTCCAGTGGAAACTGGATCTCTCTCTCCAATCTAGTGATCCCTCTTTCTAACCAGCTAGTCTAATTAGCAAACTATTAAAGACACGTGAACTTTCCTTTGTACCAGTTATCATTAGGTGAAATGTTTCCTCATTACTTTCAGAATTAAGTATACAATTCAGTATGCACAAGCACACATCAGCTATAAGGGCGTTTTCTAACTGGCTATCCAAAATAAACCCATCTTAAAAATAAACAAACCAATCCACCTGACGAGTGATGTGTGGTGTTTTTCCTCTTTCTACATTCTATATTTTAATTTTCTATAATTTTTCCTTTTTAATAATGAGGGAAAACTTTTTTTTTTTTTCTGAGATGCAGGTTCACTCTTATCGCCCAGGCTGGAGTGCAGTGGTGTGATCTCGGCTCACTGCAACCTCTGACTCCTGGATTCAAGTGATTCTCCTGCCTCAGTCTCCCAAGTAGCTGGGATTACAGGTGCTTGCCACCACACCCAGCTAATTTTTGCATTTTTATTAGAGACGGTGTTTTACCATGTTGGCCAGGCTGGTCTAGAACTCCTGACCTCAGGTGATCCGCCCGCCTCAGCCTCTCAAAGTGCTGGGATTACAGATGTGAGCCACCATGGCTGGCTGAGGGAAAACTTTTTTAAAAACTCTAAATATAACCTTAAAACATTCTTCAAAACCACTGCAGTGAAAAATATGTATTTGAAAATTGCTGATAATCCTTTAAATATTTGCTTCTTTAATCTCAGTAGCCAAAAATCTGATTTGCTGTACTTGAGTCACTATTTTTCAACTTAATTTTCTTATCACCTTATCCTATGTCAAAAGTCACACATCAAATGTTCTAATGGAGAATATCATTTTTCTGCAATAACTCCAAGCATTTTAAAACACATACTCAAAATTCATGATCATTTAACTAGTAGTTTTTGCCCAGGTTTTTTTCTAACTGTAACTGACTCCCCCTTACCATCAATTCAAGGACTGTGGCAATCAGACTAGACAGGTTCTACTAATGGATGTATAAAGAGACTCAAAACCAAAGAAATAATTCCCTGACTTCAACTCAAATTTTAGTAATTATTATTTTCCTTATTAATTTCCCTATTATCCTGAAGATACAGGTTACATCCCTCCCTGTACAACTTTTTAATGCAAACTATACAATCAAAAAAGTCTGATCTCTAGGAGAACACTAGTCATATGCTACTTTATAACATGGAATATAATTTTTTTCACAGAGAACAGTTTTTTTTAATATTTGCACTTTAAGATTTTTTTGTTTACATTAAGTTCTGGGATACATGTGCAGAATGTGCAGGTTTGTTACATAGGTATACATGTGCCATGGTGGTTTGCTGCACCTATGGGAACAGTTTTTTTTAAACAAAAACATTTTTTTTAATACAGAGTTAAGGCCGCAGGCTTATATTTCACATCTAAAAACAGTACTCTGAATAGAAATGTAGGGCTTAGCTTTCTCAGTGGAAAACAACAACCATTCCAGCAGATTTTCTACAAGTTAATTTAAACACGATCTTTTTAGAGGAAAGCAGTATTTATTGTATAAGAGTTATACTTATTAATCAAAGGCACAAACGAAAACTAAGACTTAAAGTTGACCATAATATTGACAAGTCATATCAACCTGGTACCAGCTAAATTTAATGAAGATAAGTTCCACTGAATTCCTAAGGAAAATACAACAATTCCGACACCATTTAATAATTAGAAACTTTCAAACAAGAGGGAAAGTATGAACATCATAATAAATGCCTCAATTTGGAGGCAAAGAAATGTAAGTTGTGTGCTGAAACCTGATGTATCACAGAACATCAGTAGTCCCTTCCAGTCGTGGATGCCTTAGACCCAAGGCCTTACACTGTTATCACCATCTGGCAACCCTGATGAGGGATGCCATCTATTGACTGACTGAAATTAAATTACACAATGTGACTCTCTGCCTGTCAGCAGAACAGAGAGTCATAAAACATTTTAACTTCTTGGTGCAAATTATACAATCAAACCAGATAACCTTGACTGGGAAGGAGCCAGTTCAGAGGGGTGAATTTTCTATCACACTACATCAATAGCAAAGTCAGAGGAATCAATTTTCCATCTTGTAACACTACATCAAAATAGCAAATTCACAGTGCCTTCCAAAGGCCCCCTACTAAGAAAAATAACAGTCAAGAGGAACACAGTATTACTTCATTTACAATTTACTAGCTCTTCCAGTGTTTCAGAGGGATACAGGGTTTCAACGATCTAACATGAATGGGATAGAAGGTGGACTTAGAACATAGCAAACATACATCTTGATTGAATCAGCCCACTGCGAGCACGGATCTTGATTGAATCAGCCTATTGGTGTAGTTTTAGGTCTACATACATCTTGATTGAATCAACCTACTGGTGTAGTTTTTTGGTCTATCAGTAAGTAGTGTTGTCAGTTCTCCAGCCAAGCAACTTTCTAATTCACAGGGGGGACCCTAAATGTCCTAAAATTAAAGAAAAAAAGTTAATGTACTTGTTACCCAAATTTCAACATCTGTATTTGCTTACATACATTCTAATCTATTCCTGCTAATGAAGACCTTCCTATGTGTTCCTAGTCAGTGGCTCAAGTAAAATGCAAAGTGTGCCCTAGGGATCAATTCAGCCAACAACAGTTCTCACAGTATTTTACCAGTCAAATACTAACGCCATTGAAACACATGTCTTCCCAAAATCTGGTTCCTTATTAGACCAGATGAGTTTACGGTTTTAACAAAAGCCCACCAAAAACATCTTTTTACCAAGAAAGCCACACTCTCAACAACTGATTAAGATTGTGGTAAATGAAAACTACGAAAAGGACTAAGGAAAATGTCAATATTGGTGAGGAGCAGAGTGCACCTGCCAGGGAACCTCACGAATAAGGTCATTCTTGGGATTCTTTGTTTCTCCTCTCTCCAGGCCAAAACATGTTAAAAAAGGGACCACTTATGATCTTTAGGCTGACATGTGTATGTAAATATATAAACCCACACGGGGAGTCTTCTGTTGCATAACTGTAGAGAGCATGCATAGATAAGCTGTAGCTAAGTCATTACTTTCTGACCATGCCCTGTGTATAGAGACCTAACCTGCCTACACAGGGTTTACATAGCACCAGCTAGATTTAAATATATTACTAGACAAGACGTTCTTGGCAAACTTAGTCCATGCATCACATACACAGGCTAGAATAAATATCAACACTAACAGAGCTGAGGACCAAAATGAACGCACCTTAAAGGTAGAGAGGAATAGGCCCACAGATACATTGGGTTACACTATCTCATACTGGTTATTTGTTATGGCACGAGAGAGGCAGTAGGCGAGAAAGATTCCAATCAGCTAGAAATAAAATAGGAACAAAATTAAATACATACACAAAAGAACTTGAACACCTCAGACTATATTCTCCTCTCACTTGTAATTCGCTTATAATTTTCGTCCTTGAGTTTTTCTAGAGTTATGTTTAATACTCTGCAGCATCTAGATCACATTCAAAGAATCTAAGTGAAGTTTTATTGCCACTGTGACCCAGAATTTCACAACTCTCACCAAAGGAAAATCCAGCAAACTCACTCAAGGAAAATTCAGTCACGAGTTTTGAAGAAACTTTTCTTACTCTCATTTCCCAGAAAAAACAAATACATGGTTTTCAATAAGTATCTTAACAAGTGAAATCTCCATCAACGAGGGCAGAGATTTCCCTGGAAAGATCCACAGCAATGCTACAATAATGAAAATGTTCTAGAATCCCTGTACTGTCCGATATAGTAGGCAGCAGCCACATGGCTACTAAGTATTTCAAATCTCCAGCAAACTGAGGTTTTAATTTTATTTAATAATTTATAACAATTCAAAGGTGGCTAGTGGCTACTGCATTAGCATAGATTTAGATATAGCTTTGCTTACTACTTTAAAAATATATTAAGACGAAACTTGAATTAGTCTTATTTCTAGTGTTTAATATAAAAAAAAACGTTCAGAGCCACAAAACAAACTTCATGCTACAGTGGGAAACACAACTTGGGAAACACAATTTGATCTACAACGTGGAATCAACCCCAAACAACTGGTGCATAAGGAATGTGGGGGTGGCATCATCTAAATTTTAATAGGTTGGAACTTGTATACAACTCATCAGGCAGTTGCAGCCCAGAAAAGATCCTAATAACATTTTAGAATCTTGACTGACCGCAGAGAGAACCAAGGTTCCTATCTAATGTTTTGTTTCATGAGCTATGATACTGGAAAGTTGCCATAACTAAGAGGGCACTGAGTCTTTCCACAGTTAACTGCTTTCAAAAGATATGCACTGCTACAAGTTAATTCTAAATCTTACTTTTTTTCTTCTTTTTTTTAATTATACTTTAAGTTCTGGGATACATGTGCAGAACGTGCAGGTTACATAGGTATACACGTGCCATGGTGGTTTGCTGCACCCATCAACCCATCATCTACATTAGGTATTTCTCCTAAATAAAGTATTTTTATACTGTGACCAGTAACTGAGAGTTTTGTGAAAATGCGACTTCCCTAAAAATGTCCTCACTATCCAGTCCCCTGAAGCAAAAACTTATAAGCCTTAAAAGTGAAAATCTCGCTGCATGCAGTGGCTCACGCCTGTAATCCCAGCACTTTGGGAGGCCGAGGAGGGCGGATCACTTGAGGTCAGGTGTTCAAGATCAGCCTGGCCAACATGGTGAAACCCCAACTCTACTAAAAATACAAAAAAATTAGCCAGGCATGGTGGCGCACACCTGTAATTCTAGCTACTCAGGAGGCTGAGGTGGGAGAATCGCTTGAACCCAGGAAGTGGAGGTTGCAGGGAGCTGAGATGACGCCACTGCATTCCAGCCTGGCAACCGAGCAAGACTCCATCTCAAAAAAAAAAAAGTGAAAATCTTCTAGCTTACACCTACAAGAGGGATGAAATATTTCCTAAGTAACTACAAAAACTTACTTGGAAGCAAGCAACTCCAAAGGAAATTCCTGCAACGACTCCCATTTCTGACTCTATAATGGTCATCACCTTTATAAAACAACCCTAATGGGAGGAAAAAAACAAAGATTAAATACAGCACAAGCAGCCTGTGCTTTTCTTTATGGTAATAAATACTTCGATCATATAACTCTGCAGAAAGATATATTTATGGTAATAAATACTTTGATCATATACCTCTGCAGAAAGATGTATGTATCATAGCCTTTGATTGTCATTTTATTGAAATCTATTCTCTTCCATATGTTCTCAACAGAACAAATAATTATTCCCAATTATTTCCACCTTCTGGATTATATATTTAAAAGTGTTACTTCACTTGAACCCAGGAGTTCAAGGCTCCAGTGAGCTATGATCACAACACTGTACTTCAGACTGGGTGACAGAGAGAGACACTGTCTTTAAAAAAAAATACTAAATAATAAATAAACAAAAAAGTGTTACTTGCTGGCCGTCTGAACTCAATTCTTACCCGCCCTATCTATTTCAGCTTATATTTAAAAATTAAAAACTGGCCAGGTGCAGTGGCTCACGCCTGTAATCCCAGCACTTTGGGAGGCCAAGTCAGGTGGATCACAAGGTCAGGAGATTGAGACCATCCTGGCTAACACAGTGAAACCCCGTCTCTACTAAAAAATACAAAAAATTAGCCAGGCGTGGTGGTGGGCACCTGTAGTTCCAGCTACTCGAGAGGCTGAGGCAGGAGAATGGCGTGAACCTGGAAGGCGGAGCTTGCAGTGAGCCGAGAACGCGCCACTGCACTCCAGCCTGGGCGACAGAGCAAGACTCTATCTCAAAAAAAAAATTAAAAACTGGGTCAATTTTGCATTCAGTTAAGTCTTCAAATATTGCCAAATAGAAAATTTTAAAAGGCACCTTACTTCATTGTTTACTTTGTCTGCATCTCTCTGTGGAGTACAATCTTCAAGTTTACAGCAACTCTTAGGAAATCCTTTTTCTGAGTAATAATTAGTATCTGTCCAATCTCTATAATCGGTGACACCACAACAATGCAACTGAAAAACCCAACAAAAGCATTTACAGTTTATATTACAACTTTGTAGTCAAACATTTAACCTAATATCCTCTATTGCAATTTGTGCTCAAAACATTTACTAATCTCAATGATCTCTCTCCTCAATTGATTCAAGAGATGAGCACTGGGTCCCTGATTAGCACCATGCATGACAGTTTTGTATTGGCCTTACTTTCCTGCTATAGTTGGTACTAACTGTACCTGGACTATGATGTAAGTGGGGAAGGAAGAGAACAGGTGCACATGTGAGGAAAATGAAACACGTCACACTTCTTTCCCCTACAGGTGGATAACATCTAGTAGCCAGACTCTGCTCTTTTCTCTGAGGCAACAGGGAATGTGTTCCCCTCTAGGTGGTGGTTACCACTTACCGTATTTTGGATCTTGTCTACTGCATGGCTTCTATAATCTCCTGTAGAGTTATACTGCTTCAAAGCCTTCTCATAATTATTCTTAAAGCTGTTCTTAATCTATAGCAAAGAAACACAATGTCAGTAAGAAAATCCTCTAGAAAGTTTTTGGTTTCAGGTCAAATAAGTTCTCGAATCTGACCAATGGTCATATCTTTGACAGCAGCAACATGTATAGTAATTAACTTCCATGGTACAGTCCTGTCCTCTAAGGGGTATAGGTTAGCTGAGGGGACTACTAAGCAAAACATTAAAATATATGATGAGAACCACTACAAGTTCAAAGTGCTGTGGGAATATGTATTTATCTGAGTGGCAATGCAGTATTGCTGTATTCTGCACCCTGCTAATTTTTCTCCACTTTAAACTGAGTTCAAATTCGATGCCTATGGAATTTGTAAGCTACAAAACCTTACTTTGGGAGGCTGTGCTACCACTTTATGAGAACTCTCATTAATGAGCCTTTGCTACTCACCGAATGTTATTTGAACAACCCCAAGTTTACCTGTTTTCTAATTCAGTATTAAGCTTTTTTTTTTTGAGATGGAGTCTCGCTCTGCTGCCCAGGCTGCAGTGCAGTGGCGCGATCTCGGCTCACTGCAAGCTCCATCTCCCGGGTTCATGCCATTCTCCTGCCTCAGCCTCCCGAGCAGCTGGGACTACAGGCACCTACCACCACGCCCGGCTAATTTTTTGTTTTTTTTTGTATTTTTAGTAGAGACAGTTTCACCGTGTTAGCCAGGGTGGTCTCGATCCCCTGACCTCGTGATCCACCTGCCTCGGCCTCCCAAAGTGCTGGGATTACAGGCGTGAGCCAACGCGCCCGGCCCAATATTAAACTTCTGATGATTTGCATTAAGTATATCCAATCTTTTCAAAATGCAAGGCATAAGAAGGTTATCAATTTTGTGCTTTGAATATTTTCCTATCAGCAAAGTTATAAATTGTACTATCTCCGTTTTAATAGGTATTTATACACAGAAAAACGACAGGGAATATAAGTAAGTAATTTTCTTCTGGTGACTATCAGTCTTTACAATTTTCTAAATTTTCTTTTAAATTAGAAGTGGACCAGAATTTTTACAAGAAGGCCATTATTGTCAGCTACAGGTTTAAATACAGAGGTCTGACTCTTCTACTTTAATAAATCCATTTTTATCTCTCAGAGGATAAATGTAACATGCTAAGCTTCCCTAATTCAGGCTTACCTCATGTCTGAAAACAAATCCTACGATGGCAGCGACCAGTTCGACCAAAAAAACGAGAGTCAGAAACATTGCATACTGCAGGATAAGAAAGAAAGTCCAAGTCAGCATAAATAAGATATAGCACAACTGCAAAGGGAGTCAAAGAAAAAATAATGGTCGTCTTCTCAATTAGTTCATCATGTTTTCATTGAAAAGGGCAGGGAAAATAACAACATGTCTATTTTGAAAGTGGAAACTGGCAGCTGAACTGTTACTTGATAAGTTTCCATAAGGAACAGGAAAAATTGTAAAGGGCCATGGCCAGTTCCAACAAAGGAATTCTATAACATACAAAACTTTTCTAAAACCAAGAATCAATTCTAATGAAAACAAGGACTCACCAGTTTTAGCATCCATGCAGAAGCTCGGCAGGTAGCAAAACAACCAAAGGTGCCCAAAAGAATAATGACGGTACCAGTAGCAATGAGCACGAAGGGGACATTGGTGGCCTTCTCATTTAAAAGAGAAAAGTAATTCTCCAGGCTCACCTTGCCCCAAATGCCAACTGCAAGAAGGATAACGCCAGTGATCTATGTGGGAATTCAGAGAATACAAACAGTTACGCACTGTGTACAGCAGCATCTTCAAATCACAACGCATGAGGTATTTAAGGCACAATAGGTGTAATATGCTGGGATACGGCAGACAAGGGGGAAGAGTAGAAGGGGTTAGGGGGGGATCTGCACACAAGAGCAGGCTGTGGACCAGGTATCTTATCAAAATTCTTAAAATTCATCTTTTTGTGTGTAAACACAAGCCCATGGCATATTTGCCCTAGGGATCAAAACTTCCTTAACTATCTTACTCCAACCTTAGGAAGAAAACCTTGAAGGGGAAAAAAAAAACGTGATTTTATGAGTTCCAGAAACTTCCCCCGTCCTCTCCAGGTAGGGATGGGCACAGGGTACAAAGGACTGGTACACAAAAGCAAGCCCAAGGATAGACTGGCGGGAGTGGAGGCATACCATACTTACCTGCGAAACACTCCTCTCTTACGAAGCAGTGAAAAGAAAGACACTATTATGCAAGTGAGCCCTCAAAGGGGCCGGGCAAGCCTTGCTTGCCTTTGCAAAGGTCCAGGGTCACCGTCTGCGTGCTCTGGGGGCTTAAGGCCCCACCTCGCCTCCCGTATCGAACTCGAACGCTGGTACGTCTGGGTCCCAGCTCAGCCTCTCGGCTGCCTTCGTCCCGCACTCCGACCCCAGCGCCGGCGAGATGCCTGAGCTCTTTGTTCGGGGCCCAGTCACTGGTCGCCGGCGTCGGGGTCCCAGGCGCGATGGCCGCCCAAACCCCACACCGTTCCCGACCTGAGCTCCCGCCGCTCAGGGTCACACCCCCCACAACTAAAAGCCCGGGATCCCCTGCCGGCCCCAGGCGCCTTCGTCTCTCACCCAGAAAATAAAAGTGTAGATTAGCAGAACGCTCTTGAAACAAGTAATGACTGGTTTAGTCTGCAGTCTCCGAGACGGGGACGCCATGACTAGCCCGAGACCCTGCACCACCGCACCGGGCGATTGGAACACAGAGAGCGAGACGCGGAGTCCCCGAGTCTCCCCGGAAACTGCCGAAAACTTACGAGCGTCCACAACTGAGAAGGGCCGGAAACACTGTACAATTTTGTAGAGGGTAAAGTATGGGAGGCTGTCCGGAAAGTGGCAACAATTTCAGAGCGCCCCCTGCCGAAGGTTACCGAAAACTATATACAAAGGTTCTAGTGTCGGAAATTTCATAGGTCTTCAAGTGGAGCTTTCTTCATTGTTTTTTTTCTATCCTAAGGAATCTTTCCCGCCCCCCACCCCTCCCCTCTCCTTATAACTTCACCATATTGTTTCTATCACCAGCAGAGCCCGCAGCGCTCTGAGATTGGGCCTCCCTGGCCCCTGGTGCCCTAGAGAGAAGGAAAAGAATGAAGAGGTTAAAAGCGACCTAAGAAAATACATGGGAAAATACCCACAAGAAATATATTTGCAAAAAGAAAGCGGATTGCAAAGCAATACATACAGTCACGTGTGCTTAGACAAAAACTGAAAGGAACAGTGAAATTTACCTCTGGTGGAATTAGGCTGATTTTTTTCTCACTTGTGTGCTTTTCAATTTGTGAACATTGTTTTATGGGTTAGGAAGGGGAGATGTGAATGGAGGAAAATAATCACCACTTGTTGAAAGAATTTCTAAGCTAGGTATTAAAGATAATAATGACTTTAGAATTTACCTGCAGGACTTTGCAAAACCCCAGTATTCCTCTCCTTTTTTATCCCCTAAGTAATTGGAAAGTTGAGGGAAAGTATTTTTACATAATAGTGAAATGTAAGTTCAGCTATTCGCTGTAAACTTTTAAAAAGAGAGAGTGCAATGGAAAAATCCCTGGTGAGTGTGACCTCCTCTTAAATGTTAAAACAGAAAGGCACTGTACATTCCAGCCACCTGGTTTTTCCCATCAAAACCCAGCTGATTACAGAGAGATTAAAACCTAATGTTATATATTGTGAATATATTGGTCTATGTTGTTACAACACAGGAGGTGCGTTAAGGTCTGATTTCTCAACTAAAGCGTCAGCTCTTTGAAGGCAGAGACTGAGTGTTAAGTGAGTTTGTGTTATCTCTAGAGGAACGGGGTTAGAAGGCTGTATCAGTTCCCTATGCAATCCAACCCTTCATCATTGACACAAGCTTAATATCACAAGTGGCTATTTACTCTATTGCCATTGCAAAAAGACCTGCATTTGTGGAGGAGAGATGAATACTCAAACTTTTCTGCTTGAAACGTTGCTTTAAACATACACCTCAGGACCAGAACACAGGAAAGTTCCATTGACTTGGTCACACAGAGCTTCCCTGTGCTTCGAATATTGACCTAGGACCAGTTCCTATAACATCTTGCCAGACGTCTGAGGTGCAAGGCAGCAACTGTTGGAAAATTAATTATTGCATTGCCAGGCTTTATACTAAAATTTTTACTAAAATTTGAAAGGCCTAATACACAAATACATGGAGAGAATGGATAAACGATACATCTACATACACCTTCAAACACTTTGAGGTAAAGTCGTTAGGAAATACCAAATATTCAACATGGTGGAGGGGGGTGTCTAAGTATATGCAAAGATTTCTCCCTAGGCTAAATGACCCCAACTGAAGGGTTCTTATACTAAAAACAAGGATCAAGGGAAGTCTTGATAACTTCTTGTCATCTTAAAGAGAAGTTTCTCTGAAACTTAGATATGTACTGAAAGGGATTTACAGTGTGAGCCCAAGAGCAAAGAAATATGTCTGTAGCTGAAGAAAAAACAAAATAGCAAAGCAAAAGCCACATCTTATTTCCAAGAATGTGTTGACTTTCCTCCTCTCCCTTCCTCTACCACTCACAACGCTGCTTTGTTTGAATAACACTCGGTGCCAAATTAAACCAAATGCTGACATGGAAATTCATATTCCTATGGCTACAACACCTTGCACCATTGCCTCCTACTCTGCTACACCCACTTCCATCTCCCCACCCCCACAATGCCACCAAACCGAGAAATTCAATTTAGTTCAAACCTAGGCCTGGGTTTGGGTACAAACCCAGACCAAAGGGGCATCTAATCCCGTTTAAGGCAATTTAAGAAGTATTTCCCTAGGCCACTAGATAAATGTATTCTTTAAAGTATTAATAATGACTGTGATAATAAGTATTGACTGTATACCAACCACTATTGCTAAGAGCTTGATACACATTACCTCGTATGCACACATCACAAGAACCCTATTATGAGGTTGACACACCTAGCACCTTCATTTTACAGATGAAGAAACAGGTTGAAAGAGACCAAGTAAGCTGCCTAGGACTAAACCTGGGCAACTTCTGTGTCTTTCATCAGAAATGGGGCCCACTTTGTGATGAAACATAGCTGCTGTTGTACGTACAGCTGCCTCTGCGCAGAGTAACCTGAGTAAAGACTGCTGTTGCACAGACATTTAACCTAAAACAAGGACTCCTCGGAGCCTCTGAAGCTTAAGAACCTCAATGATTGCCCCAATTCTGCCTTGCACTTGGGGTTTTTTGGTTGAGTTTGGCTTTTGCCTTCACTCCAATAGCCCAGCCACCTAGGAAGTAACCCTACCTGCCCCAGAGTGGTAAGGCAGAGAGTTCAGTACTTTTTCTTGTTCAACCTCTTAATTTCTCCCTCTTTCTGAGCACAGAAACACAATTTGATGCCAACAATGTAGGAAAAAAGGAAAATACTTTAAGTATTGTTACTGCTTGTTTTACATGGAACATTTAGTAGCCCCCCTTCCCAATTAATTTCCTGTAACCTTCAAGATTAGGTGTAAATGTTTTTCATTGCTAGACATCAGGCAAGGGAAATGACATAAACAAGGGCTCACTGTTAAGTCAGACCTCCCTTGTGCCACCTCCAGCCTCCCTCCATCCCTACCAAGCCCCTCATCCCAATACAATCTCAACTGATTTCCTACTGCTTTTCCAATGTGAATTTTCTGCTCTGTACCAGGTCAGTATGATCAACCCCCCAATTAAACAAGTCCTATTCCCTAGTCCCTGCCCACCCTCAACTTCACTCATACTTTCTGCTTCTACTGAATATCCAGTTCAATCCCAACTCAGTAAAAAGTCCCTCCTTCCTCACCTCTTTCTCTAACACCATAACTGTCTTAACTACACACTCACTCCCATTAACCCAGCCCTTTAGTCAATTACTGCAATATCTGCTTTGCATTTCTACTTACCTATTCTACATCCTACCGTCTAGATGTTCAGAAACTACTGAAGAGCTAGTGTGGCAGGGCCCCTATGCCCCCTTTTATACTCTCCTCAGTACCCTAGGACATAATGCCCAATTGATGAGTTCATTTTCTGCTCGGCCAATCCCTGTTGAGCTGATTGCTCATTGAGGTCATAACTGGTCTCTGGGAGCAACCACATAGTAATTACTCAGGATTGATTGTTGAAATTAAATAAAAAATTAAATGTCTAAGCCATCCCAGTATCACACTATAATAAAACAGAAAAAATTAAATTGAGTACCTAGATAATGTCTTGGGACATTCCTCTCTCTCTCAGGAACCACTAAAATAATAACAACAACAATAATAATAATAATAAACTGTATCGCTGAGTGTACATCTTATCTCTTATTCACATAATAACTTTACCATTTTCATTTTCTAATCCCTTTTCTAGCATCCCTTCAATTACCTTTGGCTAAGTGCCTATCATAGAATTTAAAGGCGCATCCTACTTATTTTCTTAATATCTCATATTTTATGTTACAGCCATCAGATACCTCATTATTTAAACAGTTAATTCATATGTACAGTTTTAAAAATCCATTTCGTTAATGGAATATCTCTTTATTTCTATTGTCTCTTGTGCATTCCCATTCTCCTTCTCTGAAATTCTATTCTTTGTCTATTTTTATGCCCTTGTTTTCCATCCACTCCTTTCAGATGCTCTGTGAAACCTTTCCTCCCTTTCCATCCCTGATCTTGCCTTCTTCAAAAAAGCTCATAATATACAGTTTGGGACACATAGACATGATAAATACTTTTTTTTTTTTTGAGACGGAGTCTCGCTCTGTCGCCCAGGCTGGAGTGCAGTGGTGCCATCTCGGCTCACTGCAAGCTCCACCTCCCGGGTTCATGCCATTCTCTGGTCTCAGCTTCCCGAGTAGCTGGGACTACAGGTGCCCGATACCACGCCCGGCTAATTTTTTGTATTTTTAGTAGAGACGGGGTTTCACCGTGTTAGACAGGATGGTCTCGATCTCCTGACCTTGTGATTCGCCTGCCTCGGCCTCCCAAAGTGCTGGGATTACAGGCGTGAGCCTCCGCGCCCAGCCATAAATACTTTTAAATGGTATTAAAATTGACAATTCTATGTCCATTTTCTAAGAAAGTTGTTTCTAGTCTAGCCTTGTTGAGCTTTCCTGAGATCTCAACTAGGGAAGTCAGTTTCCATATCTAATATTTCGTAAAACAATACCTTATTTACTGCTGAGGGGCTTCATATTAAAAGTCTTAAAGTTGAAAATGGTACTGAACTTTAAGAAACTTAAGAAATTGAGTATGCCTGGATGCTGTCAGTCTCCTTATCCACCTTTGTCTTATCCTCCCAACCAAACCATAAAGAGAGGTGTTTTATTTTACTTTGTAGCCTCACAGTATCTAACGTTGTGTTTTACACACTGAGTATGTGCTGCAGAAACATTGGGGTTATTATAATTAACCTCACTTGTTTTGGGTGAGCTCTTTATATTATTAATCCCAATGCTTTGCAAGAATGCTGTCTCTCTCTTCTGACATATCCCCTTACTTTGATCTCCCTATGATTTCCATATTCTCCCCCTTCACTTTCTTCTTTAACCTCTCTCTGGAACCCTTCTGTCCCACTGCTTCCAGCTTTCAGTGGGATTGAGGCCTTACGCAGCATCTTCACCCTGGCATGTGCTAGGCTTTGTGTTGGATGGCTGGGGATATGAAGAAGACTAGGATAAGGTTCTTGCCCTTATAAGCACTCATAGTCTAGTAGGAGTCAGAGATAAGTAAAGAACAATGCCAATAAGTGTGAAAAGTCCTAAAATTGAGATATGTACAAAGTGCTGTGAGAGAAAAGGAAGGCAAAGTTAACCATCTTGGGCTGGGATGGGCTGGGGGAAGGTTCCTAGCAGCAAGGGTGGGTAGAGTTCCAACAAGCCAAGAAAGGAGGGAAGGGACCATGGAGCAGAGTGAACACGTCTGTGCAGAGGCTCCAGGGTGTGAAAGGAAGAACAAGAAGCTCAAGGAAGAGCATGAGGCAGAGGGTGTCCAGAATGAGGAGGCATGGGGTGAATGCTTAAAACTAGGCTAAGGACATAGGTGGGGTTTGCTTGTGAAGAACATGGTATGCAATGCTAAGGAACTCAGACCGTACACTATGCCAAGAGGGAGCCAGTGAGGGGGGTCTAAGAAAGAAAAAACTCTGGTAGAATGTATTACTTTGCTTGTTCCCTCTCTCTCTCATATTCCTCTCTCTCTCTCTCTCTCTCTCTCTCTCTCACACACACACACACACACACACACTCTCACATACTCAAACACACAGACACACACATTTAATATATTCACTATTTTCTCACACACGAGTTTAAAATAAACTCCTATATCTGATTTTCTGGCCCTACCCTATTTATTCAGCTTTGTTTTCTATCTTTCCCTGAAACCTCTTAGCAGTTAGCCTCTCCCTCCTCTGACCTAAAGGTGAACTCTTGTTGATGGCATTTCCTTTGCCTGAGGCTAGACCAAGGCCCACCTCTTCTCAGGTGACCCCCTCCTCTGACTTCCTCCTAGCGTCCTTAAAGTCTGTAACACAGCTTTTGGCAGTCTATTACGGTAGGGAGTTGTATTGTTTTCTAATTGATTGTGTCCCTCTTCTCTCCCCTACTAAACATAAACTCTGGGAGCTGGAGAGTAAGCTCCATAAGATCAAGAATCACACATTACTTGCTCACCACTGTATCTGCAGTGCTTAGCTTATAGTAGATGACCAGTAAAGATTCCCTAAACACACACAATTGTAATTAAGAACATGCTTGTTTGATGTCTGTCTCCTCTGTTCCATGAGGGCAGGGATTTTTGTCCATTTTGTTCACTGATGTTTCTCAAATACCTAGAACCATATGTGGCACATAATGGATGCTCAACAAGTATTTGTTGAATTAATTATGGATTACAATGCCTGGGATTTTGTCTGTCTTGTTCACCACTACATCCACCACTCTTGACATGGTAGATACTTGATAAATTTATGGAATGAATAAGGCCATGACGATCACGTCTTCTTCTTCTTCTTTTTTTTCTTCTGAGACGGAGTCTCACTCCCTCGCCCAGGCTGGAGTGCAGTGGCGTGATCTCAGCTCACTGCAACCTCTGCCTCCTGGGTTCAAGCAATTCTCCTGCCTCAACCTCCTGGGTAGCTAGGATTACAGGCGTGCACCACCACGCCCGGCTAATTTTTTTTTGTATTTAGTAGAAACGGGGTTTCACCATGTTGGCCAGGCCGATCTCGAACTCCTGACCTCGTGATCTGCCCACCTCGGCCTCCCAAAGTACTGGGATTATAGGCGTGAGTCGCCGCGCCCAGCCACATCTTCTTTACGTAGCTATTACACTGTTAAGCAAATGGTAGACACTCAATACATATTTGTCACAGGTGAATTGGAAATGAAGCAGGCTCAGGCTTGCTTTTGAACTTTGTATTCTCATAAGTACAATTCTTCCCCTTATGACTGAGAAGGGGTTACCAATTTGCTTGCATACACAGGAGAAACACCCTTTCTACAACAGCTTAAAATTCTTCCTTCTATAACCACTGATTTTCCAAGAGATGGAAATGTCAACCGTGAGGGGAGGGAGATTGTAAGTAGCTGCTCTGTGCTATGGCAGAATAGTCTCATTATCAGATACTAAAATGAAAAAATCTTGCTGAGTGAAATGTAGCCCTCCATCAGAGACCACTGGGAAGCAGCTAGATTTGCTCAAACAGCCTCCCAGTAAAGCCTCTCCAGGCATGCTTTCCCTCCATTCTTAGTGTGGGAAATCAGTCTTGATCCTTCGGGCAAGAAGTACATGTTTTTTGTTTTTTGTTTTTTGTGTTTTTTTTGTAAACAATATAATCTTAACAGAAACTGAAGTCCAGAGAAGTTAGGTCACTGGCATGAGGGTTTCAAAGCGTATCTGACGTGATACCATATAGATTGCAAGACAGTTCAGAGTTGGGAGTCTAAGGAATTACAGGAGAAATCTTAGGGAATGTCAAAGTCAGCTACAGTCTTCCCCTCTCTTTGGTGTTTGTGAGTGTTTATGAAATTCCTTTTCATTCAATTCTTATGTCATGCTGAGTCATAAAAAGAAGTGTTCTTCAGTGCAACACATCTCTGGAGGCCGCTTAAGCCAGCCTCTGTGTTAGTCATCACTATATTCACAGGCTTGGAGCCAGTGCCATTCACACTTCCCCCTCTTCTGCAGCAGACGGACTGAGTTCCTCTAATCCCTGTGTTCCTTCTCCCCCATCTTTCTAAAACCCTTCTCTGAGAGAGGAATAACTATAGCTTCAGGGATAATATAGCTTTAAGGAAACTTTTGGCAGATGTGGACGTCGTAACATCTGGGCAGTGTTAACAGAATCCCGGAGGCCGGGACAGACCAGGAGCCACTCGTTCTAGGAATGTTAAAGTAGAAGGTTTTTTCCAATTGATGAGAGGAGCAGAGAGGAAGGAGAAAGAGGAGGAGAGAGAAAAAGGGCACAAAATACCATAAAACAGGTAAGATCTGCAACTAACCCCTCCACACTCCACTACCCCAATTCACAATTGTGAAGGGGATAAGGAGACCCAGAACTTGGGCAACATGGCTGGGGGTGGAGGTCGGGGGGAAGTTCTTTTATGAAGCTGGATCATATGCTGCTTTTCATTTGTGCCGTGACCTGACTGCAAACACATGTTCCCAGCAACTTCTCAGCCCACAGCAGAGGGATGGGATGGTTGACTCTGGTGAGTCAAGTATTAAGCCTGAGATTGGGGAGAAGCTGGGCAGGTACGAGGTCACAGGTTCAGGGATCTGAAAAAGGAATGCCTCTGCTCCAGAACGAAGGAACTGGATGGAGGCTAGATGTGGGAGAGGGGTCAGTGATTAGTTATCTAATGTTCACTTCCTGGACCTCTCTTTAATCTCCTCTTTCTGCTCCTTTTGTTGCCTCTTTCTGCGTTTATCTATCTCTTTCCTTCAGCTCTGTCAGATTTTCTTTCCTTCCTTCCCACATCTTTCTACTTCCCTTGCCTCCTTCGTTTACTCTCACTTTTTCTCCGTCCTGCTTCCCTGTCACTTTCTAGACAAAATCTGAAGCCAAGTAGCAATGAACTAAAAAATACACTTTTCCCTTTCTTGGGCTTTGCATGTCCCTTAGGGACTCTGGCCAGAATCTACCACATTTTTGTTTCTCTATTTCTAGGACTGACTCCTCCCCTGAGCATGGCATTTCATTGAAAGCCCGTGAGTGAATGGGTGCTTGCTGAAATGCCCAGTGGCCAATTTATACCAATGGGCAGCAAGTTTTAATACTGTCATTTACAAAGTATTTGCCCGCTGGGAACCACAAAACTCTCGTCCCATTAGGGTGAGGACAGGGGAGGAAGTGAGAGGGCAATTGGAGCTTGTTCACCCTCTCCTCATGTACCTCAGCAGGTCCTCCTCTACCTCGCTGACTTCCTGCTGGCTCAGCAAGGTAAAACTAGAGGGTTAGGCTGGACTTGAAAGCCAGAAGCCACTACCAAACCACCAAGCCTTAAAACCCAAAGCTAAGAACAGAGCCAGAGTCCAGTTACTGCCTGGGACACTAGAGAAGGGAAACATTCAGTCCTGTCCAATACAAAGTTGGTAATAATATTGTCTAATATATAAATTACTTCCCTATATGACAGACAATAATCAATTCATGAGGTAGACAGTATTATTATTCCCATTTTATAGATGAGGAAACCGAGGCTTAGAGAAGTTAAAAAATTTGTCCAAGACCCTATAGCTAATAGGTGACAGAATTGGATTCACATCCAGACCTGTGTAACTTCAGTGTTCAAATTCTTAGACCACATATGCTAACGCTTTCCCAGATTAGTGGCTAGGAAATGTTAGTTGAATGAATGAAACCTAATGGCAGCCTTTAGGTCACCAGGTTCCCTCCTGGTTCTGTGTAACTTCATGTTGGCCTTTTCCTGGTCTCAGTACTTCAATGTCCCTCTCTATAACTTGGACCATGAAGCATTTGCATCTGATCCCACCAGAGTCAGATGAAGATTGGTTGTTTTACATCCTCCTCCTCCTGGGAGGAAAAGGGACCATAAATAACAAACAGAGTCTTGTTATTCTATAACATGAAAGATCCTTATGAGGGAGATAATATAAAAGGCATTCATTAATTATAAAATCTCTCTTCTTCCTCACAGATCCCATATTTCTGCTTCCCCTCACTTTTAGAAGTTAATTGATGGCTGACTTCTGAAAGTCACTTTCCTTTGCCCTGGTACTTCAGGCCATATACATCTTTTCTTGTCTCCATAATCCTCCCTTTCAAGGATGGCCAGTCAGCTAACTCAAAGAGGAGCTCTCTTTCTGCTGTTCTTCCTAACTCCGGCAGTGACACCAACATGGTATGCAGGTAAGTTCTAGGAGCTGTTGCCTATTATTTCCAGGAAGGATAGGTCCTAGACCAAGACTTGGAGAAGGAAGAGTTAGACTACAAAAAGAGACACTTATTTTCTATACAGAGAAGTATTAAAGGACAATAAAGATGGTTAAACATGGCAACAGACTACCAAGGGAGGCTTTTAAGGCAGCCTAACAAGAGCTATTTGAAATAGGTGAAATAGGCCACACTAGTACAAACATGAGAAGGTTGGACATCACCTTTGAGGCCATTGTCTCACCTGCTTGTGCACTTAGCTTCCTGAAAACCATTTTCTAACATGAAATCCTTTATGAGTCAAATCTTTATTAATATTAATTCTTTTATGAGTCAAATACTCTTGTCAAGACCACAAAAATGGACTTAGACCACATACCTCATTTGGAAAAAATAAGGGGGGCAGGCAATCTATTCAAGTGAAATGAGAATCCATCAGACTTCTTCCCACCCTCTCTGATCTTATTTATAAAATGAGATTTTTTATAGCCCTTTTATGCCAAAGCTGTTAGTGGCAATACAGATCACATCCTTTTAATCAGGAATTTCCCAGTTTCTTCTCATTTGTTCTTTACTTCAGAAGGGATGGAGATTTCTGGATTCCTGAATATTTCACTCTTCACCCAGAGAGCCAGAGAACAAACTCAGTGAGAAGAGGGAAAGGGGAGGGGGAAGGGATGAGGGCAGGATAATGAAGTGGCATACAGAGGTTTTATATGGGGCCCAGCTGGCATTCCAAGTGCTAAGAATATTCTGTGGCCTGCAGTGTCTGCCCTCACAGGGGCCCGTGGGGAGTAGTGGGGGAAGGAGACAGACCCAACCAATGGGGTTAGGAAAATATCCAGAGATGAGTAAATAACAAACTGCTCCCATCACAGCCACAGTCCCTGCAGCTAAAATTTTCCACATGCCCTTAGCTCCTGGTGGAGGCCTTTGGCAGTAGCTCTGTTTGTCTGGAACAGCTGCATCAAGCTTTCAAACAAATATGCAAACTTCTTCCCCTTTTTGGCTTAACCTGGCTTTGTAGGGGGTGAAGCACAAGGACTGACATTGAGATGAAAAAATTCAAGTCAAGCCCTTGGCAGAGCATATCCTGTTTGGGGTTAAAGGTGCCTCAAGTCTCCAGGAGATAAATATGCAACTGTCCTCCCCAACCTCCCCTTGCTTCAGTTCATTTACAGAGACCAAAATCCAGCCAAAGACCACAGGACTAAAGGAGTGGAGATTAGATGGCTCGAAGCCCAATTCTGAACACCTGTATGAAACCTCATGGCATGCAAAGGTCTTTACCTTTCCCAAAACAGAAGCCTGAGCTGTTGGAGGCGTGAGCACAGAGCAGTTTTTTAAAAGTTAGATTCAGTTGAGGTTCTCAAAGGGCTATTTGCAAAGGTGGAACACCCCACTTCCACGTGAATCACAAGTCACCACTCCTGAGAAGCTCAGATTGGTGAGGCCTCTGCCAGCCCTGCAATTCCACTCATTCTTCCCTCTTCTATCCTTAGGAGGCCACATGATGAGAGACATTTCCCCTACACTGCTAGCTCAGCTGTTGGGCTTGCCTTCATGCCTTTGTTCATTCATTCCTTCAACAAATATTTATTGAGGACTCTTTATGCATCCAGGACAGTTTTGTTTACTTGTACAGCCTTGTCTTCAAATGGGCATGGCACAGAATAGCAGCCAAATGTGGATCCAGGGCTAATCAGAAAAAGGGTCCAGGAATAATCAGCAGTGGCTGGGAAAAGTTAAGAATATAAATAAAGCAAAGAATGGGTTAAAAGTGTGTTCTGGCATATCTGTGCAGCCCAGAAAGTCAGACTGTATTTGTCATCATAAGCCAAGGATTAATATGAATCTTAAGATAGTCTTTTAACTATCAATTACATGTCTAACTATACTTTTGTGAAGGGCAGTGCTTAGAGGGCCTGACTGTACTATGGAGGTTGGAGGAACCCAGTAACAGACCACACAGTAACCAAGCACTGATTGATCTAAAGGAACTGAGGAATGCTCCCCAAGTCCTTCCCCCAGGGCTGAAGAGGGACAAGCAGACAGAATAATGTAGGAAATGTTCCCCTTTAATTTCATTCTTATACCCATCTTAGTATTCCACCATTTGCAAAAAAGAAAAAAAACTCAAAGATAGGCAAAGAGGGGAAATGGGAAAATGGAAAGGTTTAAAGTGGCAAGATGGTCTGAACCCTTTCTCCACACAAAGCATAGTTGGCACTGGTCCAGCTACTTCCGCACCCTGATGGAGACTGTAATTATCTTATTGAGTCTTCCCCACAGTTTTCCTACATCCCTTGTAATTCTGGAATGATGTAAAATGCTTGGTGGCCTTCGATCCCACACACACAGTAAAAAAGCTGGATTGCAAAAGAGATTTTGGACTTTTACCCCAGTTGGACATTATCAAAAGCTCTTCCCTAATCACCATCTTCAGTGGAGTGTCTGAGTTTGGTATCTAGGGGGTCAAGCAGACCTGGGCTGGAATGCCCACTCTGCTGCTTACTAGCTGGGAGACCTTGGTTCTCTTGGTTCCTCAAGCCTGTTTCTTCGGCTTTATATTGGAGCACATTAGTAGTACCTACCCTGCTGACATGTTATGGTGACATAATGAACTAACATATGTAATGTGCTTAACACAGAATATGAGCTGAGAGATGTTAGCAGTCATTGTCGTAGTTGTTCTTGTTGTTGTTACTGTTACCAAGCCACAGGGCTCTGACACTCCTGACACTCCTGTTTTCTCTTCTGTTAAACAGTCCTTTGCTCCCTGCTGAGCATGTCTTCAAAAGCTGGCTCTGTAACCGGAGCAGGAAGACCTAATACTTTAGGGAATCACCCACATCTGGCCTCCTGTTTACAGGACCTATAAAGCTTTGAGGCTAATACTGAACTGAAACAGCTGACAAAAATTCCATGACCCGCCCCCCGACTCCCCCGCACCCACCAAAGAAACCTCCCATTATGGGAAAAAAGAGAGCAGGGGAGATGAGGTCTGAGAAGAAATCAACGGAAGCCAGAAGAAGAACTGAAATGGGAAAACAGAAAAAAAGAAAAAGGGGAAAAAGAAAAAATGAACTCTTTCCTCTGGAATGAGGGCAAACCAACGAGGACATGATTTCATAAGGCAAACTTTCAATTGATTCATTCCCTTGTTCACCAAGTTGGACTGGTTTCCCAATACCTCACCTCCCCCACCCCTAGTCTGGGCCTGTGGGGAATGGAGGAGCTTCATCATCTGGCCCTCTGCTCCGCCCTTCAGTGCAGGGGGCCCTGTGCCTCTTCCCAAGAGGAGGAGGCGAGCTTGTGGCCTGAGTATTTACACAGGCCAAAGGGCTCCAGCACTAAAACCCAGCCCTGTCCTGGAAGCACACCCTCTCCTGGAAATAGGGAATTGTCTCTTGACTCCAAAACAGCTGGCTACCCTATTCCTGTGCATGCATTAGGGCTCAGGGAGGCTGGAAGGAGGGCTTCCGGAAACTTCACTCCGGAAAGGACCAAGTTGTTTTCCAATTAGTTCGTATTCATGACCGATTTCCTGCCGTCTGGTGGAACATACTGTTTAGTCTCCCAGACAGCCGCAGACCTGCCTCCACTAGGGACTGGGCCACTTAACTGGATGGAGATAGATTAGGAATGTTCTCTAGCTCAGCAGCTCCCTGTTAAAGTTCCTTCTGATTAGAGAAACAGGAAATTTATCCGAAGGACTCTGCCTTCTCTGTTCTCCAAACCAGGGCAAAGTGCTCACAAAACTGCTTTCATTTCCTCTTGCCTTTTAAGTCATCCCTCTCGGCCTTGGCATGCCACCCCCAGCAATGGTAATCCGGTAATCCGATGACAAAAAGGCCTGTGCCCTGTGGGCTAGTGGAAGCCTGAGTAATTGTTTTTTTTTGAGGACCATAAGCAGGGCTGTCACTAGGGGGAAGACACAGGTTCTGTTTTTGCCTCCTATCAGGGACCACAGTCCATTCTCAGAGATTAGTCCCCAGTGTCTTACCAAGACTCATGTGTTGCTTCAAGGAAATGGGTCATTTATAGTCCAGATTGACAGGATTGATGTATGGTCAGGTTCAATTTTTTTCTTTTAGATGGAGTCTTCCAGTGCTCGCAGTAACTGGCCACCACAACTATGAGCCTGCCCTCTATGCAACTGAGGTGCTGAGATTCACCCACAGTAGTTCTGCTGCCTTACAATGCAGGATTTCCCCCACTAAATATCCACCTGGCTCCCCACCCATGGAATGCCATGTCCTAAGGAAGTGACAAAGTTGGATGAGAGGGGGAAGGTTGGGAAGGAATTGAGTGAGAAATCAAGACACCATTTTGATATTGTCTTCCTTATTCTAGGTTCTGGCTACTATCCGGATGAAAGCTACAATGAAGTATATGCAGAGGAGGTCCCACAGGCTCCTGCCCTGGACTACCGAGGTAATCTACCCTGCTTCTCAAGCCCAGAAAATCTCTTTTCTGGCCTCAGACCTAGGCCCTTCCCTGAAGCATCCCCATCAGGCTTGGCTCACATGTGTCAAAACTGTAGCACAGGGAATCAGGGGCTGTGATTTCTCATCATGAACTTGGTTACTGACTTACTGTGTGACCTCACCTCTCCAGCCTGAAGGTTCTCCATGTATTATTAATCATTAAGTATTGACTAGTTACTCAATGCCTAATCCTGTGCAAGGTAAGCCTGTGGGTAATACAAGGTCTCAGATAGGGTTTTGTCCCCATCATGTAGCTTATATTCTGTTGGGGGTGATGGGGGGGTATAAAGTTAGCACATGTAGGGCAAGTAAGTGTGAAGCTATGTCATAGCAGTAAATGCAATAGGGTTTAAGAAAAAGAAGTCAGGAAAAGGGTCATGAAAGATGACATTTAGGCTAAGCTTAGAATGATAGGTGGGATTTTGAGAACCAGAAAGGGGAGGGGAGAGCATTCAGCAAAGCAGATGGCTAAAAATACGGAAGTAAGAACAAACCTGGTAGAGGAGGGAGCTAAGAAGAAACCAGCCTGATTGGAGGAAATGGAATATGGAGGGAGTAGTATCAAAGAAGGTTAAATATAGGCCAAGTGCAGTGGCTCATGCTTGTAAACCCAGCATTTTGGGAGGCCGAGATAGGTGGATCACTTGAGGTCAGGAGTTCGAGACCAGCCTGGCGAATATGGTGAAACCTCATCTCCAACAAAACTACAAAAAATTAGCCAGGCATGGTGGCATGTGCCTATAATCCCAGCTACTCAGGTGGCTGAAGCAGGAGAATCACTTGAACCTGGGAGGTGGAGGTTGCAGTGAGCCGAGAGCTGAGATGGCACCACTGCTCTCCAGCCTGGGTGACAAAGCAAGGCTCTGTCTCAAAAAAAAAAAAAAAAAAAAGTTAAATATAAAGAGTGAGACCAAATTAGGAAAGACTCCATGATCTAGGGACAATACTAATGAGAAGCATGAAAATTATCTGTGATGAATGCTGCATAGTGAGTAATTCCTGCATTAAAAGGGAAGTTAGGCCAGGTGGTATCTAATATCCCTTCTATTTCTGATTCTTTGTTTCTTTGCTTTGCAAGCCATGTGGAAGAGTTTAGCTGTTGTACTAGGATCTATAGGGAGCCCATCACATGTTTTTGCACAGAGGCATGACACAGTAAATTGTCATTTTAGAACATTAACCTGATTATTCTATGCAGAAATAGGGGTTCAGTGGTTAAGTCTGAGTCAGGGAGACTCTCCAGGAACCAGCTACAGTAATGTTGGCTAGAGATGACTGATGGTGGTGGCAAAGAAATGGAGGGTACAGATGAACCCCATAAATGTTTCAAAGAAAGAGATGACAAGACTTAGTACAGACTTGATGTACCAAGAGGCTAAGAAACAAACTGATGTCTGAAAGCACTCAGTCTGTACACCTGGAAGAAATAAGACCCCTCTCAGAAAGACAATGTCAAAAAAGAAAACTGGTTTGGTAAAGATGCCCTACAGGCGGCGGAAGGATGAAGTTGTGTGAGTCATCAGCTTAGATAGATGGGTTGTCTGAGGGAGCAGAAGGCCAGGGTCAGAGCTTTAGAAGACATCTGTAGACATGAGTAGGAGAAGAGGAACCAGCAAGGGGAAAAAAAGAGAATTAGTGGTCAGTCATGTAGGAAGATATCTGGGCAGTACCTGTCATATTACAGAAGCCACAGGAGAAGAGAGTTTTAAGGAAAGGAAGGGGTAAGAGATAAATTGTGTCAAATATTGCAAAGAAATCAAATTGAGGGTAAAGGAAAGATGTTATCTGGCAAGAAGGAGGTAAATGGTGACCTTTAAGAAAAATAGTTTCAACTGAGAAATTCTCAGAGCTTTGAGCTCCTCTGAGCATCTTTGTAGCTACCTTCTACGCACGTTCTTCTCCCTGCCAAATGGTGCATACCCACTGCCTCTCTCCTCAGCACCCACTAACTCCTAAACTCTCTACAGTCTGTTTCTCGCCCACTCACAAATCTACAACCTGAAATGACATCTCTTGAAGAAAAAAGTTCTCTCCCATGAGAGAACCAATTCCCATGACCCTTTCTTGAGCTTGTCTCTCAGTCTCTCCAGCAGCAGTGAGCACCTTCCTTTCTTCTTAATCCCCCTTCCTTGGTCTCCATGGCATTTCACAATTCTGGTCAGAGCTGAAACTGGGAAAGGAGGTGGACTCTCTGGTGGTGACAATAGAGAGAATGAGACTGGGATCTGAACTTGGGTCAACCCTGACCTGTCTCCTGAGCTGGTGGACTACATCTCCAACTGCTGCTACACACTTCCATTTGGAGATATCTAAAACAAAAGTATTTCCTCTCTCCTGAAAAATGTTCTACCTACTGACCTTCCTACTTCTGATAACACTACCATCATTCTCTTAGTTACTCGGACTTCAAAATACCTCAATGTCACCTCTAATAGGTCCTGTCACCTTTAACAGCCCCCTTTTCCTCATCACTTCCTGCCAGTCAGTCACCAAGACCTGTCATTTCTTTATTAATCCATGGGATTAAAACTTTGACCTCACACATGGATAATACAGTTGCCTCTAACTGGATTATCTGACTCATGTTTCCCCCTCCCCCAAACCTACTGGCCCACAATGACCATTTTAAATCAGAATCTGGCCTTGGTCTAGCTTCCCAGACTGACAACTTCCTACCTGTTCTCCCCACATGAAATCTGTGCTTTGGTCAGGCTGTGTTCAGTACTGTGTTCCCAACTGCTTTAGCCCACACTGAGCTTTCTCTCGCCCATTTATTCTTTCATCGAATATTTATTGAATACTTATTAGGTACCTCTTCTGAAATAAATGTTTACTGTCTAGACACACTCATTTGGCCTTCATTATGCACTGCCTCTTTGGTTAACTTTTTATTACCCTCAAGAAAATAGTTCTGTATTTAACTGTATTTAGCTATATTTCTGTATTTGACTGTATTTAACTGTATTTGTGTATTTAACTGTTTTTAACTGTATTTAACTGTTTTAACTGTATTCCTGTATTTAACTGTTTTTAACTGTATTTGTGTATTTAACTGTATTTAAGGAATCATGTGTGTTACTCTCACAGAGCCATGGTAAAAAGTAGATGCTGACCACTAGCATCCTGGGAGCAGAAGCCAGATTATGGGAGACTATAGTTTGGAGAGGTGGCTAGTAAAAAGCAACAGATGCAGAAGGTACTTTCATGGAGTCTGCAGCCCTATTATTAACATTAACCTTCTTCACTGGTTCTTCTTAAATGAGCAGAAAGCCCTTTAGAGAAATACAAGCTGCATAAGGGCCTTTGGTTTGGAGGTGTAGTGTCTCATAGCTCTTTTTAGGACTTAGTCTCAGGGCATAAAATGAATTGAGTGAAGTTAGCAATGATGAGGGGGAGGGAGTGGCCAGGAAAAGTACAACCTGAGGCCCCAGCCTCCCAGGTAAAGTCTTTGTGACCTTATAATCAATAGGTCTGCAACTGTAGTGCTAAATGACTTCCCGTAATTTGAAGATGGTGTCTCCAGATGGCAGTAGTGTGTCTCAGTCACATGCTCAAAACGAATGCTGGGAACCACAGCATGTTGCTGCTTTAGGAAAGATGGGACACTGGCTCAGACCCAGACACTGACTTAGGGAAAATCATTCACAGGGTTGAATATTTTACACATGAAATTTCATTTGGTTCTCACAACAGCCCTATGGAACGGTTTATTATCCCCCATTTTACCAACCAGGAAACTAAGCTCAGGGAAGTTTTAGATTCAGAGAGTCACAGAGAATTTAAACTCAGATCTGTCTGACTCTAAAGCCATGCTTAATTCATCTCTTTCATCAAAAATTAACTCATTGTTCTAAAAAAGAAGACCAGAAAAAAAAGAACAACCAAATCATTATTTTAGAGCAAATTGGCATGTCATTTGCTATCATTTTCACTCATCTTGCACTTTCTATCATTCCCTTATCCCAACTCCTAGCTTGGAGTCAGCTGGGGCTGCTGCTTTCCTTGCAGCTTGCCTCATCCCTGAGCAAGCTAGTCACACTGCCTGGGTTATCTGAAGATAATAGAAGACAACAGAGAAGGCCCTTTCAAAACTCTCGTCAGCACTTTATTTTCTGCATACACCTTAAAAAGAGATAGACAGATGAATAGCTACAGAAAGCGGAGACAATGGGCCTGAGTTCAAACCTCCGCTTCTCCCCCTTCCAGCTCTTGGACTCTGGACAAACACCTATTATGTGCCAGTCACTGTGCTATGTATTTTATAAATGTTATTTCATTTAAATAAATTGCACACTTGCTATGTAGTGATATGGAAAGATCTCTAAATACACTGTTAAGTTTACCAAACAAGCAATGGAGGGAAGAGTGGGCATAATATGCTACTCTATGTATTAAAAAGGAAGGAAAAATAAGAAGCTATACCAACATTTGCTTTATAGGCACAAAGAAACTATTAAAAGTAGTTATTTGGGAGGGGACTAAGTCGGGGTGGGCATGGGAGCAGGGGTTGGGGGAAGACATTTTACTTTGTAACTTTTTATACTTTTGAGGTTTTGAGTCATGCGGATATATTATCTATTCAACAAGGTCAGTGTTTACTTCAAAATAGTAGCCTATTTTATATCTGCAGTGGCAGACACTGCAATTACATAGGACATGGAGTTTGGAGCAGACAAAGCCTGGGTTCAAATTTCAGCTCTACCCCTTACTTGCTTAGGGATCCTGGGCAATTTACTTCCTCATCTGCAAAAGAGGGATAAACACCTGCATACCTTACAGGGCTGTTGGGAGAACTGTATAAGATGATATATGTGAAAAGGAAAACATGTAGCATGGTGCCTAGAACACAGGAGATACACAATAAAGACTTACACACTTCCTACCAGACAATTTTGCTATACAGTATTTTTGGGGTTTTTTTAGGTGGGGTGGGGGAGTTTTTTTTTTTTTTTTTTTTTTTTTAAGACAAAGTTTCGCTCTTGTTGCCCAGGCTGGAGTGCAACGGCACAATCTTGGCTCACTTCAACCTCTGCCTCCCAGGTTCAAGCAATTCTCCTGCCTCCGCCTCCCAAGTAGCTGGGATTACAGGCGCACACTACGGCACCCGGCTAATTTTGTATTTTTAGTAGACCCGGTTTTACCATGTTGGACAGGGTGGTCTCAAACTCCTGACCTCAGGTGATCCGCCTGCCTCGGCCTCCCAAAGTGCTGGGATTACAGGGGTGAGCCACCACGCCCAGCCAGCCATACAGTATTTAACCACATTCTTTTTTCTTTTATTGGTACATAATACTTTACATATTTATGGGGCACATGTTGAGTGTCACACGCATAGACTGTGGACTAATCAAGTCAGGGTATTTGCGGTATCCATCACCTTCAGTATTTATTATTTTTATGTGTTGGTATCAAGTCCTCTCTTCTACTTACTTTGAAATATACAAAACATTGTTGCTAAGTATAGTCACCCTATTCTGCTATCAAACATTAGAATTTATTTCCTCTAACTATAGATTTGTATCCATAACAAAACTCTCTTCATCCCCTCTGCCACCCACTTACCCCTCCCAGTCTCTCGTATCTATCATTCTATTCTCTATGTCCATGAGATTAACTTTTTAGCACCCACAATTAAATGAGAACATGCAGTATTTGTCTTTTTGTGCCTGGCTTATTTTGCTTAACATAATGTCTTCCAGTTCCATCCATGTTGCTGCAAATGACAGGATTTCATTCTTTATTATGGCCAAATACTATTCTATTATGTATATGTACCACATTTTATTTATCCATTAGTCCACTGATGGATACTTAGGTTGATTCCATATCTTTGCTATTGTGAATAGTGCTGTGATAAACACACGAATGCAGATCCCTTTGATATCTTGATTTCTTTTCCTTTAAATAGGTACCCAGTAGTGGGACTGCTGAATCATACGGTAGTGCTAGTTCCCTCCCTCCCTTCCTTCCTTCCTTTCCTTCCTTCTCCTTCCTTCTCCTTCCTTTCTTCCTTCCTTCCTTCCTTCGAGATGGAGCCTCATTCTTGTTGCACAGGCTGGAGTGCAGTGGCGCCATCTCGGCTCACTGCAACCTCTGCCTCCTGGGTTCAAGCGATTCTCCTGCCTCAGCCTCCCCAGTAGCTGGGATTACAGGCACCCGCCACCACGCCCAGCTAATTTTTGTATTTTTAGTAGAGACGGGGTTTCACCATGTTGGCCAGGCTGGTCTCGAACTCCTGACCTCAGGTGATTCACCTGTCTTGACCTTCCAAAGTGCTGGGATTACAGGTGTGAGCCACCACGCCTGGCTAGTTTTCATTTTTTAAGAAATTTCCATACTGTTTTCCATAGTGGTTATATTAATTTACATTCTCATCAACAATGTATGGTTCCCTTTTCTCTGCATCCTGGCCGGCATCTGTTATTTATGTCTTTTTTTTTTTTTTTTTTTGAGACAGAGTCTCACTCTGTCCCCCAGGATGGAGTGCAATGGCATGATCTCGGCTCACTGCAACCTCTACCTCCTGGGTTCAAGCAATCCTTCTGCCTCAGCTTCCCAAGTTGCTGGGATTACAGGTGCCCACCACCATGCCCAGCTAATTTTTGGATTTTTAGTAGAGACGGGATTTCATCATGTTCGCCAGGCTGGTCTCAAACTCCTGACCTCAAATGATCCGCCTGCGGAGGCCTCCCAAAGTCCTGGGATTACAGGCATGAGCCACTGTGCCTGGCCTTTTTAATAATAGCCATTTTAACTGGGGTGAGATGATATCTCATTGTGTGGTTTTGATTTGCATTTCCCTGATGATTAGTGATGTTGAGCATATTTTCACATATCTGTTGGCCATTTGTGTGTCCTCTTTTGAGAAATATCTGTTCATGTCCTTTGCCCAATATTTTGTTTTTGTTTTTTGTTTTTGTTTTGGAGACGGAGTCTCCTGACCTCGTAATCCGCCCACCTTGGCCTCCCAAAGTGCTGGGATTACAGGCGTGAGCCACTGCGCCCAGCCCCTTTGCCCAATATTTTAATGGAATTATTTGTTTTTCTACTGTTGAGTTGTTCGAGTTCCTTGTATATACTGGACATTATTAGTCCCCTGATGGATAAGTAGTTTGCAAATATTTTCTCCCATTCAAGAGGCTGTCTCTTCACTCAGTTGTTTGTTGTTGTTTTGCTGTGCAGGAGCTTTTTAGTTTAATATAGTCTTCCTGGTCTATTGTTGTTTTTGTTTCCTGGCTTTTGAGGTCTTAACCATAAAATTGTTGCCTAGACCAATATCCTGAGGAGTTTTCCCTATGTTTTCTTCTAGTAATTTTATACTTCTGGGTCTTACATTTAAGTTTTTACTCCACCTTGAGTAAATTTTTGGATATGAGAGATGGGTGTCCAATTTCATTATTCTGTATAAGGTTATCTAGTTTTCTCAGCACCATTTATTGAAGAGAGTGTCCTTTCCCCAGTGTATGTTCTTGATGGCCTTGTCAAAGATCAGTTGGCTATAAATATGTGAATTTATTTCTGGGTTTGCTATTCTGTTCCATTGATCTATATATCTATTTTTATACCAATACTGTGTTGTTTTGGTTACTATAGCCTTACAATATATTTTGAAGTCAGGTAATGTGATGCCTCTAGCTTTGTTCTTTTTGCTTGAGATTGCTTTGGCTATTCTGGCTCTTTTTTAGTTCCACATTAATTTTAGGATTGCTTTTTATATTTCTGTGAAAAATGATGTTGGTATTTTGATAGAAAGTGCATTGAATCTGTAGATTGCTTTGAGCAATATGGTCATTTTAACAATATTAATTCTTCTGATCCATGAACACGGGATATCTATTTTTGTGTCCTCTTTAATTTCTTTCATCGATGTTTTATAGTTTTCAGTGTAAAGGTTTTCACTTCTTTGGTTAAGTTTATTTCTAGATTTCTTTGTAGCTATTGTAAATGGAATTGCCTTCTTGATTTCTTTTAACCACATCCTCGTTTCAGTTTCCCATGGGCATTCTTTGGGTACAGTTGCTCAGCCACTTATGAATTTTTAACCATATTGTCACCTCTCCTGTATTACATCTCATCCACATCAATGACATGAAAAGCATTGTCACATGCCTCACTTACTTCCACATAGTGTATCCACCATTTCCCCTGCTCTACCAGTCTGGTGACCCTACCCAAACAGGAAATTAGGTCAGTCTGGAATTACTTGTTCCAGAGGGTTCCTGGAGATCACTATTTCTCTGGGTAACTGCCATACGCCTTATGTTTAAATATTCTAGAACACTATGCTATCAGTGCTGTCAGTGTCACTAGGCTATAGTTCCCAGAGACTTCTTCCTTATTTGAAAACAGATTGTGTTTGCTCTTCTCCAGCCTTTCAACGTTTTTGTCTTTATGCCAGGATTTTTTCTGGGTCGGAAAATTTGAACTTATTTACAATAGCTGGGGCCTCTCCTACTGTCTCAGCATTTAGACCGACCTTTATATTTCCCTTTACCATTCTTACTTATTCTACCGATTCCAATCTGATGTGTATTTTCCTTGACAGACTATGGGAGCGATATAGAATGGGAGTGATTGTTGAGGTCCCAGCCTGCCAAATAAGGTCTTTGTGATATGTGTTGTGGCCTTATAATCAACAGCTCTGCAACTGTAGTGCTTAAAAGACTTTCTGTAATTTGGAGATGGTGTCTCCAGATGGCAGCCATGTGTCACTGCCACAGGCTCAAAAGTAATGCTGGAAGCCCCAAGAGTAGTGTTTACTGAAGAAAAGATTTCTCACTGTCATCTGTCTTCATTCTCCAGTTGCACTCAGAAAGAGGCTCTAGCCTTTCTTTGTTCCTTTGGTGTCTCATCTACTTCTTTTTTTTTTTTTTCAAAGCTTTTTTTTTTTCCCCCTTAGGATGTGGGAACTGAGTCAACTCACATGGGGCTTTAGCCTTCCCAACCCTAGGCCAACAGACCCGTGCCATGCTGTGTGTGTGCATCCTTGGGCAGGCGGCCCTCTGCTTGTTTATATGTGCCCCTTTAAACTCTGAACCCACTAAAGAGTCATTTATTTTGTATAGCCTGTGAGGCATCTTTATGATGCCTTTATGATTTAACAGCCTTATAACCTTTTGTGCTCAGTACTGAACTGGGATTGGACTTTAATTCCTAAGAAGCCTTCTTCCTTCTTTGATGTCACATTCCCTTCCTCTCTCTAGTTTACATTTTTGTATTATCCTTTAAATTTTTATTTTAAACATACATACAGAAAAACTCACTCTTTTTGGTGTACAGTTCTGTGAGTTTTGACAACTGCATAGGGTCACATAACTCCCACCACAGTATGAGACAGTTCCATCACTTCAAAATCTTGCCCAGTGCTTCCCCTTTGATGTTATTCCCTACCTCTACCCCTAATCTCTGGCAAACACTGATCTGTACTCTGTCACTGTATTTTTGCCTATGTCCCTATATTTTTGTTATATAAATGGAACTCTACAGTATGTAGTTTTTCAAGTGTGGCTTCTTTCACGTCCCAAAATAAATTTGAGATTGATTGATGTTGTTGCATGTATCAGCACTTCATTCTTTTGTATGAATACACCACAGTTAGTTTAGCCATTCACCCATAGAAAGACATTTGAGGCTGGGCGCGGTGGCTCATGCCTGTGATCCCAGCACTTTAGGAGGCCAAGGCGAGCAGATTAAGAAGTCAAGAGATCGAGACCATTCTAGCCAACAAGGTGAAACCCCGTCTCTACTAAAAATACAAAAATTAAATACAAAAATTAGCTGGGCGTGGTGGCAGGCGCCTGTAGTCCCAGCTACTCGGGAGGCTGAGGCAGGAGAATCAAGCTTGAACCCAGGAGGTGGAGGTTGCCGTGAGCCGAGATTGCACCACTGCACTCCAGCCTGGTGACAGAGGGAGACTCCGTCTCAAAAAAAAAAAAAGAAAAGAGAAGAAAGAAAGACATTTGAGATTTGAGTTGTTTCCAGCTTTTGGCAATTATGAATAAAGCTACTTTTAACTCTCGTGTACAGGATTTTGTGTGGACACAGGTTTTTATTTCACTGGCATAAATACCTTTAAGTGGGATTGCAGAGTCGTATGGTAAGTGTACCTTTCTTTATAAGAAGGTAGGTGTTACCTTTATAAGAAATAGCCAAAATATTTTCCAAAGTGGCTGTATTTTTGCATTTCCACCAGCCATATATGAGAATTCCAGTTTCTCTCCATCTTCACAAACACTTGGTATTACCAGTTTTTTTTAAGGATACCCTCCCTGATGGATATATAAGTAGTATCTCATTATGATTTTAACTTGCATTTCCCAAATGATTAATGATGCTGAACATCTTTTCATGTGCTTATTTGCCATCGGTGTAGCCTATTCAGTGCCATGTGTGCTTATATCTTTTGTCCATGTTCTAACTGGATTGTTTGCTTTTTCAATGTTTTGAGAGTTCTTTCTATATTTTAAATACTAGTCCCTTTTATGGCTTTGTCTTTTCACAGAGCAATTTTTAATTTTGACAAGGTCCAATTTGTTAATTCATTAATTTATTTATTAAAATTTAATTCTTCTGGCCGGGCGCAGTGGCTCACGCCTGTAATCGCAGCACTTTGGAAGGCCGAGGCAGGAGGATCACAAGGTCAGGAGATCGAGACCATCCTGGCTAACACAGTGAAATCTCGTCTCTACTAAAATACAAAAACTTAGCCAGGCATGATGGCAGGCGCCTGTAGTCCCAGCTACTCAGGAGGCTGAGGCAGGAGAATGGCGTGAACGTGGGAGGCGGAGCTTGCAGTGAGCTGAGATTACGCCACTGCACTCCAGCCTGGGCGAGAGTGAGACTCCGTCTCAAAAAAACAAATTTTAATTTTTCTTTTATTAATTCTGCTGTTGGTGTCATACCTCAGACCACTTTGCTTAGCCCTAAATCCCAGTGACCTTCTCCTGTTTTTTCAAGTCCATGATCCCATTTGAGTTAATTTTTGTATAAGGTGTGAGACTTAGGTCGAGGTGGGGTTTTTTTTTTTTTTTTTTTTTTTTTTGCATATGGAAGTACAAGTGCTCCAGCACCGTTTGTTTGAAGGCTATCTTTCTTCCACTTAATTGTTTTTGCACTTTTGTCAAAAATCATTTCAACACACCTGTGTGGGTTTACTTCTGGGCTCTCTATTTTTTTCCATTGACCTATTTGTCTTTTCACCAACACCACACTGTCTTGATTACTATACTTCTAGCTTGCCTTTCTTCTATTGCTACAGTCCCCCGATGGTGTTATACATTAAATATCCAGGATGGAGAAGCCACATGCTACTCACCGAAGGGAGGAAATTATCACAGCAGCCTGGGCACGCGTTGTGAGCTCTCCTGTGACCGGGGCTTTCGATTGATTGGAAGGAGGTCGGTGCAATGCCTGCCAAGCCGTCGTTGGTCTGGAACTGCCTACTGCAGGCGTAAGTTGTGTGTGTGCATATGCTGATGTATGTATGCGAGAGAAGCCAGCCAGCCAGCTGCTGAGGGTATATGCCCGGAGGTGTTACTAATATGCCCTTCTCTCAAGTACAAATTGAGAATATTCCATAAGCCCCCCAGCAGGGCCTTTCCCCATTCTAACATTCGAGTTCCATTTCTCTGGGTTACTGCCCAGGCAATATGAGCATTTAACTAGCAACAAGCTCTTCTGTCTCGGGGAGCCCAGGAGTGCACAGCCAGAGCTAAGGCTTGGGCCTGAGGTCTGTTGTGGACCTAGATCTTCTTCTGGAGCTCCTAAGGATGTGTGGTCTTAGACTCTTTTCCACTTGTGGTCAACTGCTGTAATTCCTGGCCTGTAGCCTTAGAAGACCTTGGCAGTGGAGCTGTGAAACATGTGCTATTCTTAATTTTCTTCTGGAAGTCAGAAGAAAAATCCCTAAGTCTAGAATGTGAAAGTGCTGATATACACACATTCCAAATCACGTCCCCCTTCAGCTTCCAAATCTCTACCTCTTACTCAAGTTCCATAGCCTTTTAGCAGCTGAACTTTTCCTGTCCATATGTCCATGGCAGAACACCACTTGTAGGACACCCATGTATGCGCAGCCCTGTATTGGTCACTTCCTGTGTTACTCAATTCTTCAAGTACTCCCAGGCTGCTTATAGATGAATGGGATAGAAACACAAATGTGTGCACATCAGTGTGGTGTAACTGGATGCAGAAGTGCTGAGCATTCATATAGAAATGGGGCTGGTCAGAGAAGACGCTGTAGACGAGAAAAGAAGCTTGATAGCCAGAAAGCAGGCAGTCACCACACCCCTCTCGGTGACTGGAATTAAATTGTTTCAGGACTTAGACCCCAACATTTTCAACAGGAATTTGAATCGGTCTGACACAATTGAAAAATATAGGTCTGTAAAGTACAAGTGAACACAAAACCAATTAAAATAATGGTGACATACATATTTCCAGGTGCCTACAATGAGTCAATTACTACATTTGAGCACTGAATCTAGCTTTGACTTTCCTCATAAGAGACAAAAGGGCAAATGCTTTGGATCTATCATTTTTCCTGTCATATGATACTAAGCAAACACATTCATCTGAAGAGACAAATCTTTTGCCCTGATTTCAAAAAGGTCATTTTTGCATAGGTCTTTACAAAGGGACACTGGAAAACAGAAAATGCAATAATCTTTAAGTCTGGTTTGCCAAGCAACAAAATGAACATAGCTTATACAGATCTTTATTCAAAGCTCCAACAATTGAACTTAGGCAGGACTAGAAGTTAGACAACCTAAAGGAATATATGGCCTCCTTCTCTCAAGTATCAGGTATCTCCAACAATACTTTGGCAAGCATAGGCTCACAATTAATCCATGGTGACAGGCTCCACCTCTGCCACACGTGGTGTCCAAGGCACATGGATTCCTCTTTTACCAAATACCACACCTGGCCCTCCAGGCACTGGTCTGACTTGTATTCTTGCCCAGACAGAGAGTCAGCCCAAGTTGGCATGTAAGTGAGCCTCAGCTGAGCAGTACCTATGGGAGCCCCAAAATTATATTGAGTATGCCTGGAGGAGAAAAGAAGCTTTGAACGTGCTCAAGGGCATCTAGCATTTGAGGAATAAGAGACAAAAATTAACAGTTGCTAAGGCCCTAAATGAGCCCAGAGGATATATGCATTGTCTTTTTTAATTTATACAACAATCCTATGAGGTATCCACATTTCACTGAAGAAAACACTGAGACTCAAAGAGATGAGGCAACTTCTTAAAGTTACAGAGCTAGTAAGAGGTAGAACTGGGATGCAAAGTCAGGTCTGATTTTTTTTTTTTTTTTACTCTTGATAAGTTGTTTTCCTTCCCCCTCTAAAATAGATTCTATTTGTTTAGAGAAGTTTTAAGTTCACAGCAAAATTGAATGAAAGATACAGATATTTCCCATTTATCCCCAGCACCCACACATGTACAGCCTCCCCTGTTGTCAACATCCCCCACCAGAGTGGTACATTTTTTACAGTTGACGAACATAAATTAATACATCATTGTCACCTGAATTCCATAGATTATATTAAGGCCCACTCTTGTTGTATATTCTATGGATTTTGACAATGTACAGTGTTAGGTCTGATTTTGAAGTCTATATGCTTGGACAAGTAATTTACTTTTTTGACACCCCCCTGCCCAAGGGTGCTGCTATACTTTATGAAAATACAAAGACAATTAGGGAAAAAGGCAGTTAGGCACAAAAATGTAAGGGCAGTTCAGGTAGGGTTTCTGTATTTTCTGCTCTTTCTGATGTTTCTCCCTGTGCTAGATGCCCAGGCATCACCTCCAGATAGTCGCACAAGCCACTGAGCTTGCCACTTGGTTTTCTCTTAGAGATGAGATGCCACGCACTACCATTCATCACTAGTGGCACTTACACCTGCACAAATGGAGTGCTTCTTGACTCTCGCTGTGACTACAGCTGTTCCAGTGGCTACCACCTGGAAGGTGATCGCAGCCGAATCTGCATGGAAGATGGGAGATGGAGTGGAGGCGAGCCTGTATGTGTAGGTAAATGCTGGTTGCTCCCAGTTGTCCTGGTGCAAAGAGCCACCCCAGCATTATATCGACAAAAGATGTGGAATTCTCACCACAGAAGGCATTCCTCTTAGCTATGAGGGTGGCACCCTGGGTATTTGCTAAACAAAATGATCTTCTCCCCTGAAGTTGCGCTTCCTTCCCCAGTTTCCTTGAGCACCTTGAACTTTTTATCTACCCAGTGGTGTGTGGCATTGCTTCAGTGGATTCCCTCCAGGGAAAGCAAGGGGCCCACGAGTCAGCACTTGATTTTTCATCTTGGCAGACATAGATCCCCCCAAGATCCGCTGTCCCCACTCACGTGAGAAGATGGCAGAGCCAGAGAAATTGACTGCTCGAGTATACTGGGACCCACCGTTGGTGAAAGATTCTGCTGATGGTACCATCACCAGGTGAGCCTGAATAATGGATGCCCCTTATGCCTTCCCTCGGCTTCTCTCAGTCATTCAGGCTGGTCACATTGAAACTGCACAGGCTAAGGTGACAGTGGGGATGTGCCTCAGACTTCAATTCTAAGGGTCTCTTTCCTCAGTGTTTATTTCACCCTGTCCCATGCAGGGTGACACTTCGGGGCCCTGAGCCTGGCTCTCACTTTCCCGAAGGAGAGCATGTGATTCGTTACACTGCCTATGACCGAGCCTACAACCGGGCCAGCTGCAAGTTCATTGTGAAAGTACAAGGTCAGAAAGAATTATTTAGTTTCCATATTGTTCATTAATCCTGCTCTACCCTGACCCACCCCATGTCTCTCCTCTCTATGCCTGGAAGAGACACACCTCATTTATACTGGGAGAGGAGAAAAACAAGTTCACCAAACAGGCTTATTTAGGAAGCCAGCGTTACATGTGCATACATATGTTTCTGAAACCTTGACTCTCCAACAAGACTCTCATCAACAAGACTCTCATTATCCTAAATCCAGATAAAATCCACAAGGATATTCTTTATCCATTTCTTTTCTTAGACTTCAAAATGATCACATGTAATCAGCCATCATTCTGTCGTTCACCTCTGATAAAACTGGTGGTGTTGGCTGCCTGATTCTTCCTCTTTGCTTTGTGTTGTATTGTTTTGTTTTGCTTTTCTCATTATAAAAATAATTCATGCTTATTGTTGAACATTTGATAAATAAAGAAATATATAAAGGGGGAAAATCTATTACCCCATCATCCAGAGGCAACTGCTATTAACTTTTTGGTATTTTCCTTCCAGTCTTTTTTCTATACATACTTTAAAAAATATATAGTTGAGATTGTACTGTACATCCATAAATCATCCTTTTCACTTTTCATTAACAAAGTAATTTTCCCATGTTATTTAAAAATTCTTCAGAAATATTTTTAATGACAGCATAATATTCTACTCTAAAAATATATCGTAATTTGCTTAACCCTTCTCCCACCAATGAACATTTAAGATTCCTCCAACTTATTTCTGTTATTAAGAGGAATTCTGCAAGGTAGTCATCTTTACACAGCATGTCCATAAAGTCTGGAAACAGATGGTAATATTTTCTTTTAAAGATTGTCAGTCTTTTGATAACAACATGTATATTCACCTGTGTTTCCAGACTTTACAAACCTTTGTCTGCATTTCAGATTTAATTCCTTAAGAAAGGAAAATTCCAGCTCTATCCCCAGCCAGTGGAAATACAGAAAAGCCATTTTTCTGATCATCCTAAGTCTTCTGATCTAGAAAGCCCAGCATGGGCACCCTCTTAGCCTTTCCTTCTTATAAGAAACACCATAACTTCTAACTTGAGCTCCTCCCTGACAGTGAGACGCTGCCCAACTCTGAAACCTCCGCAGCACGGCTACCTCACCTGCACCTCAGCGGGGGACAACTATGGTGCCACCTGTGAATACCACTGTGATGGCGGTTATGATCGCCAGGGGACACCCTCCCGGGTCTGTCAGTCCAGCCGCCAGTGGTCAGGTTCACCACCAATCTGTGCTCGTGAGTGAAACCGGGGAATGGGGCAAGTGGATGTGGTGATCAGGGGAACTTTGGAGGATCTTCCTCATGGACAGGGGTCCAATAACAATGTATATGATGTGGGAAAGGGGGGTTCTGGGATGTGTCTAATTTAAAGGCCAACATTCCCCCGTAGACTACTCCTACCCCAAGAAGAAGGGTTTAAAATCTCTAAGTGTTCTTTTAGGATTTCCCCCAAGGGATGGGAGAAACAGCCAGAGAGAGGTAACCTGAAAGACTGGAACACCTCAAGATGTTAGGTTACCTAAGCTGGGATGGAGGAGAAAGCCGTACTCTGACTGGTCACCTGCTTCTGCCCTAGCTATGAAGATTAACGTCAACGTCAACTCAGCTGCTGGTCTCTTGGATCAATTCTATGAGAAACAGCGACTCCTCATCATCTCAGCTCCTGATCCTTCCAACCGATATTATAAAATGCAGATCTCTATGCTACAGGTAAGGCCCACTCCCCTAAAGAGGGCTTAGCTCCTGTAAATTATCCCTTACCTTTTCCAAATCAGAGTTGTTCTCTGCAGCACAAACCTTACCTACTTCCTGAAACTTTTTGTGGATAGCATTTGATCAGTTTTACCATAGACATATTTAGCACATTTAAAAAACTGTTTTTACTGAAAAGGCAATAAAGTCACTGGAGTGGTGGCTGTGACTTGCAGGGAGCTGGGTGAAAGATGGGAAGGGAGTGTGGCAAAGCACTCTGAAGAGACTTGCAAGACAGCTATGATCAAATGTAAATGTTGGGAATTAAGTACATTTATGTTTTCAAGGAATAACAGCGCTAACAAACACTTATGCAGTAAGTGCTATGTAGCTATCCAGTACTGATCTATGGGTTTTACACATATTCATCCAATTCTCACAACAACCCTTTGGAGGTGGATACTATCGTTATCCCCATTGAATAGGTGAGGAAACTGATGCATAGAGATTAAGTCACTTGCCCAAGGTCACTAGCTAGTAAGTGGTGGAGCTGGGATTGAACACAGGGAGTCTGGCTGCAGAATCTGTCCTCTTAGCCACTACCAGTAGCAAAAAAGAAGGAAAAGCGTTATGATATCTCAAAGTAAAATGAGAGAGTTGCATGGCAGTTTTTAACATAAGAGATACCTAGCCAAAGCCACTGGTAGGGAGAGGTCGATAGGACAGAATAAATATGATTATGGGGACTTATAAAAGAACAGGCTAGGTTACTGAAGATAATTCAGGATGTGCTGACAAGACTAAGAGAAGCAGCTCTGGGGAGCTACAAGGGGCTGGATACCCACGTGGGAGAAAAAGCTACTTAGGAGGCTTCTAAAGATTGAATCTTAGAAGTTGCCTAGTGAATATTCAGAGGCCCAGGATGGAAGCAGTTTTACAAAAAAAAAAAAAAAGAAAAAAAAAAAAAAAAGGACCCTGGAGGGTCTAGACCAAAAAGAGGGCCTTATTCATCTAGAGATCCAAAAAGACTGACAAAGGCAACAGTTCCTTTGGAAGCAAGGGAGTAAGAACAAGAAAAGGAACCTGTCAGCAAGCATAGTGACTCTGAGGGTAAGGACTAGAGGGGAAGCCCAAAGATGAAACAGAGGTGGGGTGCCGGGGAGTATTCAAGGCCTCTTTAAACCTCACCCTGGTAAATGGCTAGCAGGTGATCCTGCAAGACAAGGCAGGACAGAGATCTGGGGTAGGACTGCAAGCTGCACTGCCCAGTGCAAGGAAGGTAACAAGGGGTAATGAAAAGAGCACTGGGCACAATTTTGGAGAAATCCTGGAGACCGAGCGAAGGCCCTGGCCAGGTAGCCTATTGGTAAAGAGCACACGCTTGGGCAGGGGGCATCAGTCCTCAGTTTGAATCTTGGCTCAGCATGTTATTGTCACCACCTGGCTTGTGAGGGGTGTTGTGAAGATTAGATTATGTCTACAAAGCATTAGGTTTGTGTATTCAATAAACAACAGCCATTATCATATCACATTGGCTATCCATCAAGAACTTATGTAATTTAAAACCTATGCAAAGCTAAATGATTATGTTCCTGCAATTTACTCATTGCATTTCTCTTCTCTACCCCACTTTGTGTAACTGGTTTCAGTAGAATGAAGGAAACACTGTTGGGGCAAGTACTTCAGGAATGACAGAGGGAACAGGTTGTTGTAGACCCCACAGTGTGATTGCGTGATCATTGGGGGAGAAGGAGCTCCTTTCCCACACTGCTTCATATGGTCCCAGGAGGAATCAGCCAAGTAGCCTTAGGTTTGAACGCACAGCTCTGTTGCATAAAATGTTCTGTCTCCCTCCCAGCAATCCACCTGTGGACTGGATTTGCGGCATGTGACCATCATTGAACTGGTGGGACAGCCACCTCAGGAGGTGGGGCGCATCCGGGAGCAACAGCTGTCAGCCAACATCATCGAGGAGCTCAGGTCCAGGCTGGGAGGCTGCCAAACTTGGGGGGAGGGGGGGCTGGGGCGGGGGGAGAAACCCTAGGCAGGACACTGGCAAAAGCGGACTATGGGGAAACCATCAGACACTACTCTCTTGCGGCACTTCTTGCGTTTGAACTCTTATGGATGCATTAGGTAAGACCAGAGAGTAGTTTCTTTACTTTGGTAGAACATCAGAATCAAATGAGGGCTTAAAATACAGATGACCAGGCCCCATCCTAAACCACCTTAGGAATGTGCTTTTACAAAGGCACCTGAGGGGACTCTGAAGCACAGCCAGGGCTGAGACAGTAAACCCAAACTTGACTCAGATAAGCCCCTGCTCTTGTTTTCTGGCCTCATCTCTTTGCCTTCAGTCTCCAAAGGAGCAAAAGCCATCTTTTTTTTTTTTTTTTTTTTGAGACACAGTTTTGCTCTTGTCGCCCAGGCTGGAGTGCAATGGCACGATTTCAGCTCACTGAAACCTCCACCTCCCAGATTCAAGTGATTCTCCTGCCTCAGCCTCCCGAGTAGCTGGGATTACAGGTGTGCACCACCACACCCAGCTAATTTTTGTATTTTTAGTAGAGACAGGTTTCGCCATATTGGCCAGGCTGGTCTCAAACTCCTGACCTCAGGTGATCTGCCCACCTCCGCCTCCCAACCTGCTGGGATTACAGGCATGAGCCACCATGCCTGGCCGCAAAAGGCATCTTTAAGCACTGAAATCTGAGTAAGATCTATCAAATCCTGGGGAAGAGAACATTAGAGGTGACAGGTGATGGAAGAAGTGGGTCTTTCTCATTATCTATCCAGTATCACCCTTCTAATGCCTTCACATATATTCAGGGCCAATAAAGCCATCACTGCTCTGTTTTAGAGCAGTGCCTCTAAATGATAGAGAAACTATACCTGCCTCTAGGGCACAGTCTCAGTGGGGACAGAAAGATTCAGTCCTAGTTAGAGAAGAGACTAGAAAACCCTCAGAGGGAGACTGCAGACTTGCAGCTACAGATGGAAGAGTTAACCAGAAGGTATTTATCAACCTAAGGGCTGCCATGTATGATGTGCATACACAGCACAGTCTCTGCAGCGGGTGGCCCCTGGAGTCACCCTGTGCAGCCTGCACAGCAATATGTGATAGCCCTGCTTAAAGGGGCCTACAATGAAAGCACCGCCTGTTAATAACAAAGTTGTTGCAGCTGAGGTGAGGAAGGGACAGCTTAGCAGAACTAGATGCATAGAGGCAGCAAGAGTAGAATCTGAACACAGAAAAACAAAGCGACTTGAGACAGGAAGTAGAGGGAATGGGGACCAGGGATGAGGTGGGGAAGGAATTAGTCCATGAGTGGAGCTGCAAAAAGTCAGAGGGTAGTAGAGCCTGTGGGGATGGGTGCCCAGACAAGGTCTCATACCTCCCTGGGCTGTTCTCTCTAGGCAATTTCAGCGCCTCACTCGCTCCTACTTCAACATGGTGTTGATTGACAAGCAGGGTATTGACCGAGACCGCTACATGGAACCTGTCACCCCCGAGGAAATCTTCACATTCATTGATGACTACCTACTGAGCAATCAGGAGTTGACCCAGCGTCGGGAGCAAAGGGACATATGCGAGTGAACTTGAGCCAGGGCATGGTTAAAGTCAAGGGAAAAGCTCCTCTAGTTAGCTGAAACTGGGACCTAATAAAAGGAGGAAATGTTTTCCCACAGTTCTAGGGACAGGACTCTGAGGTGGGTGAGTTTGACAAATCCTGCGGTGTTTCCAGGCATCCTTTTAGGACTGTGTAATAGTTTCCCTAGAAGCTAGGTAGGGACTGAGGACAGGCCTTGGGCAGTGGGTTGGGGGTAGAAGTTCTTCCTTTCCTAACCCGGGCCCCTGCCCAGCTCTCCAAAGTCTTTCAGAAAAGTAAATCCTAAATTCAGTGATGAACTGGCTGTTTTAACTGGTTCCTCTACCCTGAGGTGACAGCAGAGGGCAGCACGAGCACAACAGAAACCAGCTTACACTTTAAGCAAGTGTAGCTGGATTTTCCTTACAGGATGAGGGGTGGGTAGCAGGGTACAAAACATCCTTTTTTTTTTTTTTTTGAGACGGAGTCTTGCCTTGCGCCCAGGCTGGAGTGCAGTGGCGCGATCTTGGCTCACCGCAAGCTCCGTCTCCTGGGTTCATGCCATTCTCCTGCCTCAGCCTCCCGAGAAGCTGGGACTACAGGCGCCCACCACCACACCCGGCTAACGTTTTGTATTTTTAGTAGAGACGGGTTTTGACCATGTTAGCCAGGATGGTCTCTATCTCCTGACCTCGCGATCCACCCGCCTCGGCCTCCCAAAGTGCTGGGATTACAGGCGTGAGCCACCACGCCCAGCCCAAAACATTCTTGAACTTGTTTGTCATTTCCCCTTCTAGGGCACTGGGCAGCAAATGTTATCTGAACCATTGCTTCACTGTTAGAAAAACCCTGCAGTGGGAGAGAGCTTGGTAAGATGTATCCAATCAGAGCAGAATGTTCTCTGGGGCCCTCCAGCTGGCTCACGGGCAAGAACCCCTTCTTCCTGAGGCCTCCCGTTTCTGTAGCAGAAGGCAAACGATTCTCTCCCTTCCTCAGAGGAGTCCCCAGCTTGTTACTTAGGAAACTTCAAAACCACCACTGCAGGTCGTAGGGAAAGAAAAGAAAAACAGACTCAGCCTCATGTATTAACTTCTTCAGATACTTGTCCCCTTTTGAGAGATGAGCACAGAGCAGGTGGGAGCTATAGCAGCACAAAATCAAGCCTTACCAGGCCTAAAATTCGAGGTGGAGCCACACACAGATCCCTGCTCTGACTGCAGTCCCTCTCAATGGTGTGCCAGTGTCTGAAAGACAAGTGTTCTCTCCCTTGCTGCTGAGAGCCTTCTTTCATACAGTCATGGAACCCAGAGTCATAGCTAAGACTCAGCAGCCTCTCTCCTTCAGCTTTACTCAGGGGGTCATCAGTGGATGACTTGAGGGGAGAAGGAAGCAGGCTGGGTGGGGAGGCAGAGCTCATAATGCTCAAGCACTATGTGCCAGGTGCTGTTCTAAACACTCTACTGATTGACTCCGAAGCCTTCACAAGAACCCTATGAGGTAGGTACTGTTATTAACCCCATTTTACAGATGAGGAAATTGAAGCTGAGTGAGATTAGGTAATTTGCCTAAGATCAGACAGCTAGTAAGTGGCAGAGTCAGGATTTCAACACCAGCAGCCTGGCTCTAGAGGCAATGTTCTTCTTAGACATTATGCCATCCTGACGCTACTTCTTTTCCTACTTTCCATTTAAAGACAACTGAAAGCTGTAAGCAAGGAGAAACTTTCCATGTTCTATAATCCTACCCAGACACAAGGCTCAGAGTGGGCTCAGGAGGAAAGAGGGAAATGGAAATGAAAGGGTCTCAACCTGAGAAAATTCAGTCTTGAAAGCGGAGTGATGGGACATAAATCATGAGCCCAGAACAAATTGGGGGAGCAGTGAGTCAGAGAGAATCTCCTTCCACTGGGATTTTAGTGGAAATCTCATTTTTAAAATGCAATATAAAAAATTAGGGAGTTGCTGGGTAGAATGGAACATGGAGGAAATGTTCAAAGTTGGAGCAAAAAGGTCCCTTCTCCCTCTTCCCTCCAGGGAAATATGGGAACTGTGAGAGGCAGCAGGCAAGTTATGGGCAGAGGCAGATACAATGAGTTCATGTGGGAAATTTCTGGTCAGACTAGCTCTGTGGTTCCAAAGGCAAAGACTGCACCTTGGGCGAGATGAATGCCCTTCGTTGTCTTTATCACTAACACTTCAAATGGGGCAAGCCAGGACATACTAGCAGGTCAAAGGCCCAAACAGCGGAGGCCTACTACCTCCTGAACAGAGCTCCACCTGGACCTGACTCAAGGAACATTTATATGCAACTGAGGAGCTTTTGTTTCATTTCATTTTGAATAGTCAAGTCAGTCTTGCTTTCTTTAGGTAAAGTTTTACAGTAACCTCCTTTGTAGTCCTTTGAAGATGAGGATTTGAGAAATCCCAACTCCTAAAGTAGGGGAGAGACAGCAGCAGAATATGACCCACAGCCAGACCCAAAGGGGCTAGCCCGACCCCTGTATATATTGTACCTCTCTCTCTGCCCACCTCTCCCCCACTTCTCCCCACTGCCCCATTCTCTCTTATCCTGCCTATTCCTCTCCCCTATTTCTCTGTCTCTCTCTCTCTCACATACACACACACTCACTCACAAGCAGTACAGTCACTAAGTTGGCTAGGTAATATCCAAAGCATTCTGATTGTCCTACTTTTTGTAAATTGAACTTATTTAAGATATTTTAGAAGAGATGAGTCACGTCTTCCTTTGACCCTTCACCCATAACACACATACCATTCTCACAGGAGGCCACATGGTGCAGTAGAGTCAGACTTTGATTCAAAGCCCAACTCTGTCACGTGACAGTAGGCTTGAGTTTCCTCATCTGTAAAAAGGGAAGATTTCCTACTTCATAAAGTGGTTGGAGAAATTAAAGAAATAGTATATGAAGCCTTGCACATAAAAAGCATTTGATATATATTAATGCCCTTTTGCACAAGAGGTCAAGAATTGCTTGGGTTCTACCTAGAAATCAAGAGCCTTATTTCTGAGCTGGGTTACTTGGCACCTGTGTTATTTCTCTCTCAAAACTACATAATGGTAGGAGGAGTAAAAGAAAAAGTCCCCGCCTCCCAGAGAAATTGAAGGATCCAGAAAGAAGTGCTTATAGCAGGGAATGTCTCCCCTCACCTCCTGTATGAACATCTCTCTCCTTCCTCCAGTATAGGAGGGTCTGCAAAGCTAAAGGAAGAGTTCCTTTGTTACAAGATAGAAAAGTGGTGCCACTTTAAAGATGATTTCTCAGTGTTCTCCTTAGATACCAAATACAAAGGACGAGGGATCAAGCTCAGCGAAAGTATCAGGCATTTAAGGTATCAGGCAGCAATGCGGGGAAAGGTGAATTTTCTTCAATCAGCATAGGATGGTTAGGGAAGAGCATTTATCACTTTGGTTCTTATCCTTCAAGCCAGGGGAAAAGCAACAGTGAGGACATCAGAGACAAAAGCATTTATAGAACTAACAAACACAAACGTTTGACAAGTGAGAAAGCTTTATTAAAGCACACATACATGTCAGGGGGGTGGGAAACAAAAGAGCAAGTTACAGCCCGGGATCCCAAGTTATGCCTTCCATTACAATTGCAATCCACACCAAATCAATCTTTGAAAACATTCCTCCATTCGGTTCATACATACAGTAGAAACCACTGTGGCTGCCCTTAATCCAGTGTGCTTATAGGAAATCAGTTAGCAGCTGACTCTGTTGAAAGGGATTTCCTCTCTGCTATACACTCCTTCCACACACAACTTTGGGTAGAAACGCTTATGAGAATAGAAAGGTCAGTTTGATCAATGAGTACCAGAAGATGAAACTTAGCTCACTAGACCCTTCTTTGAAAAGCCTCAACACACTACACCCATGTAATATGTAGGTCAAATTTAGGAAACAATAGCAAAAACAGGAACTGAAAGCTCATCAAGCAGGAAGTCAGAATAACAGGGAGACTCTGTCTACATTCCCTTAGAGCCCTTAACAGTCCCCAGCCTGGAGAAACACTGGGCCAATTGAGATAACACTTGGCTCTTCTGGTTGACACAGTGGGATGTAGACCATGCTCTGTTTGATAACACACCCCAGACGCAAACACTAAGACAGATGTGGTACATGAGGATGAATATATCTCATCTTTCATTCGAGAAATGAGGAGCTCTCTCTCCAATGACTGCAGTATCAGTTTAAAATGCAGAAAATTCAGCATGGGCTGTGAGACACTTTACCCTCAGTCACTCTGGTCCTCTGAGATCAGCTAGAAGCTCTCACTGGGCATCCTCGTGATTTAGTCAAAATACATTATCTAATTAAAGTGCTTTTCAAAAGCAGCTCCATTATAAGAGTCCCCCAAAGGTCTAGTAAAGATATCTAGAACTGGAAAAAGCTTGGGAATTCTGTTAGCATTTCAAAGAAAAGCATTAGACCAAAGCAAGGTGGAAACTGCTTAAAAACTAGAAAAGTTAAATTTAAAAGCCAAGTTCCAGAAGTTTATCCAGGTAGAAAATAAGTTAAAAGCATAAATTGGAGAGGAGAAAGAGGAAGGAACTACTCACCTCTCCCCAACATTCCTGTCTTTACTAACCAACCCTGCTTCCCAGAGCCTTAAAACCCAGACTGGTCCTAATGCGAAAGGTAGCCAGGGCTTCCTAGGGAAGTAGGAACAATGATAGCAAGACAGAAGATAAAAAGTTGTTTTAAAAGCTGTTTTTAAGTTAAGTGAACCTTATAAAGACATAAGAAAAAATGGACTCTGAAAATAAACTAGATTATACACAGAAACATTTTAAAGAAATGCTTATTCTTGAGACTGCTTTAAAAAGAAGAACAAGTCTGCATCACTCTAGCCAGCATAATGAGATTTGCAGAAAATACATGTTTGTACACATACACACACACACACACACACACACATACACACATACACACATACACATTAAATTATAAATCTTTGCTCTTGATTTCTTCACTTCCTCTGACCTGCCCTCGCCAGGGCTGGACCTGCAGAAGAGGACAGGGACTCATAAACCCAGCTTCTGCTTGGCCATTGAGGAACGGAGCTGCAGAGTCCCTTCTGCCCAAGACCCTGGGTACTGTCGCATCTTCTGCCACAGGCTCACTTCTTCCCCAGTCGAGTCCATCCAGTCCACCACTTCCCCATTACTGATCCCTGAGGAGAAACACCAGAAGAGGCTAAAGAGGGGCCCCACTCTCAGCCCACCAGGGAAGATGGGTTGTACAGCAAGATTAGCCACCCCATAACAGTTTCCTACGAAGATGGGCTAATGGCCACAGCAGTCTGGGAAGTGCTCCCTCACCTGTATTCCTGAGACTCTGTCAAGAGACTCTGGGTTGATGAAATCAGACTCCAAATGGCACACAGTCACTAGAGACTTCTTATTCTGAGGCTGTTACAGAGTTCTAGTGCCTGACAACTCATGCCAGAGCTATTGCCAACTGTACTTAAACATTTTTCTTTTATTATTATTATTAATTTGAGACGGAGCCTCGCTCTGTCGCCAGGCTGGAGTGCAGTGGCACAATCTTGGCTCACTGCAACTTCTGCTTCCTGGGTTCAAGCGATTCTCCCGCCTCAGCCTCCAGAGTACCTGGGACTACAGGCCTGCGCCACCACGCCCAGCTAATTTTTTTGTATTTTTAGTAGAGACGGGGTTTCACCATGTTGGCTAGGATGGTCTCGATCTCTTGACCTCGTGATCTGCCTGCCTCAGCCTCCCAAAGTGCTGGGATTACAGGTGTGAGCCACCGTGCCCGGCCAACTTTTTTCTTTTAAAGCTAAACACCTCTCCTCTAGCTGCAGACTCCAGGTCAGAAGTGAGGATCGTATGTGGCCCCATTCATATTCTCTTATATATTCATCCATTAATTCAGCAAACATTTATTGAGTGCCTACTGTGTGCCAGGTACTCTTCTAGGCTCTAGAGACACTAGTAAACAAAGCAGAAAAAGTCTCTGTCCTCAGGCAACTTTCATTTGAATAGGGAAGACAGAAAATATACAAGCAAACCAATAAGAGTATTTCAGACAGTGAGGTTAACATTATGATGTAAATAAACAGGGTGATGTATAGTGACTGACTCAGGAACTACTGTGCAGATGGAGTGGTCTGAGGACTCTCTGAGAAGGTGACATTTGAGCCAAGACCTGAAGGATAAGAAAGAACCAGACTTTCCATTCAGAGAAAACAATAATTGCAAAGGTTCTGAAGTGGGAATGAGCTTGGTATATTTGGAGAGCAGAAAGTCATTTTGGTTGAAGCATAGTGAGCAAGGGGAAGAGTGATACAAGACGGATCAGAAAGGAACAGAGGACCCAGGTTACACAGGGGCCTGTAGGCATGTTAAGAACTTTGGATTGTTTTCTAAGCACAACAGAAAGCCACTGAGGGGTTTTAACAGGGGACTGACATGAATTGGCTTACATGTGTAAAAACATCAGTCTATATGCTTCATGTTAAATATTCTGTGTGATTATTAATATATAAGTATATTAATAGACAAGTGCAGAGACTAGGGAGAGGGCAAAGAAGAGGATCCGAGACTAAGCTCTGCCAAGCACCAACATTTAGAGTTTGGGTATAGAATGCAGCACCTACAAAGAAAACTGAGAAGGGGTGAGCAGTGACTTAAAAGGGAATCAGAATGCAGTGTCAATAGAAGTTCAGCGTTTCAAGCGAAAAGGAGTGATCTAGCATGTTAAATAGTGCTGAAAATTCTAGTGAGATGAGAACAACACTTTGGCAAGAGCAACTGCTCAGCAGAGTGGTGGGACAAAAGCCAGATCACAGTGAAGGAGAGCTGAAGGAGAGGTGAGAAGTGGAGACAATTCTTTCTAAGAAACTAGAAGGGGAACGTGTAGTCAAGGAAAGGTTTGTTTTTGTTTCATAAGATTGGAAATACCAGAGCATATCTGTATTCACCCCTGGTAGGTAGGGAGGATGAAACTGAGAGATGACGATTATAGAAGTGAGGTCATCGAGAAGGGTAGGGGGAGGTGGCCCAGAGCACTTGGAGAGAGCTTGGCTTTTGCTAGCAATGACCCTTCTTTCATTATTAACAGCATGGAAGATGGAATGTATAGGTACATACATATAGGTAGGTTTGTAGATTTTTTTGGTGGGAAGATTATGAAGTTCCTGGCAATCAGGGTCACATTTATCTGTGCACATATCAGTGCATGAGCTCAGCCTTCCCCTAGTCCTGGCACATAGTAGGCACTCAATAAGTATTGGCTGAATGTTAACTGAAAGGAAAGAAGACAACTGTCATCACAGAGGAGCTTTGTGTTGGGGGGCGGGAATGGTAATAGGAGTAAAATAGACAAGAAGCCTTCAAACAAGTGAGGATGGGGGAGGGGATCTCACCAGTGCCAACACCCAGCCTGACCCCTCCCAGGAAGTCATTGCTGGCCAGGGGCTCCCGGTCCCACACAGTCAGTTCCAGGCACATATGCTGTAGATCTTCCAGCCTCACACCATTGTAGACAAATGTATGGTTGTAGTGAGGATTCAGGGTCTTCTTCATCACAGGAGTTTTACGTTTACTGGCCTTGTTCCTCATGGGAAGGAGGTATCTGGCAGAGGGCGGGGAGTAATCAACAGCCTACTCAAAGCGGACAGTTATCTCTCTAAATTCCCCTTTCCCCTACCACAGGCCTAGCCCAAGAAGATGAACCCACATCCAGATCCTACTACACACGCCCCTCCTTGAATCTGCTGAAGCAGAGTTCCCACTACCTCTACTAGATCATTCACCTGATTCAATTCCTTTAACCTAGAGAGAAAATGAATATAATAGTATTAGTGAGGCTATTCTGTGCTCCACTGAAAATGGGTTTTAAATATTTGGCTTTGTTTCTACTAGACAATTTATCTCTTTAAATAAAACCAATAGTAATATCTATAAACTTAGCCAAACATGATTTCTAGATAAATTAAGTCAGTAGGTAATCTGTAATTTTCGGAAAGCTTAAAAACTGTGGGAAACAAAGCCCTGAGTTCCCAAATCTAGACAGTCAGAAGACACAGATTTTCACCCAGAATTAATTAAGAACATGAGTCAGACAAAAGTCAGAACCTGTCTGCAGCCCTCCTCTTTGGATTATCAAGTCTACAGCCCAGACCAGTGCAAAGGTGGTGAAGGTTTTGTCATTACCTAATTTCAGGAACAAATTTGGTTGCCGGGAGTGGTAAGACACACTGGATAATATCCACAGAGAAAGTTAAATTCTTCTCTTAGCTCTCTTGTTCTGAAACTGGTTAATTTGGGGCTGGTCTAGGGACTCACCCCTTGACAAAGCTGTCTGAAGTCCCTCCTGCTTTGGCAGCCGTCAAGTTCTTGGCTTCTTTGATCCACACCTGGAGCTCTCCCCCTTCCCCACCTTTACCTGTAAGGGATGTCAGCCATAGCAAGTGAGCCCCTTCCACCTCTAGATTTATCTTGAGCTTTGTTTATGCAGCACTTTCTTTGCTTGCTCCTAAAGGCAGCGAGCTCCATAACAGAACCGTGCCTGTCCTGTCTCCTCAGTGCCTAGCACAGTGCCTGCCAGTAAGCAATAGGTGCTGTATTAATAACAACCACAATATTAATAAATGCCTATTGAAAACTGGCTATGTGCCAGATACCATGTTAAGCATTTAATTCTCAAAACAACCCTAGGAGAGTCACACTATTTTTGTCCTCATTTTGTACATGAGAAAATTGAGGCTTAGAGACATAAAGTTGCCTGATATTTGTTCAATGATTTAAAAAAGAGGGAACTCCTCCATCTGAGTTCTCGATTCCACCCCTACTTCACAGGACTCTTCAGACATCATCAATTTCAATCCTCACCTCCCAATTTAAATATCTCTTTCTCCACTTGTCCCTTCCCCTCAGTCTAAATATATACTAATCTCATCTCTTTGAAAAAGTACTTCTAAAAGAAAAGCTCCCTTTAACCTTATCTCTTCTTCAAGCTATTCTCCATGTCTCTACTTTCTTTCACCATCAATTATCCTGAGGAAAAAAAGTCCACACTTACCACCTCTACTTCTTTGCCCATTCACTCAGCCTAGTTTCTAGTGAAATCTGGTTTCTGCTTTCACTGATCCACTGAAAATGCAATCTAATGCCAATTGGCCATGTCTTCTCAGACCTCATCTGGTCTGACCTCCCTGTAGTATTTCAATACTGTTGATAACCTCCGCCCCTTCTTCTTGAAGCTCTCTCCTGATAACCTTTTACTTCACTGGTGTTTCTTTCTCTCTTCATCCTTTAAAATGTTGCTGATCTCTCTGGTTCTATACTTGCCTCTCTTCTCTAGTCATGCTACATACCCTCATTGGGGATTTCATTGATTCCCCCAAACCTTCTAGATGTGACTCTGCCAAAGGTATATTTTTTCAAAGAACGTAGGCCACACATTGCCAAGGGATCAAGTGAAACTCTTTATCATTAAGTTCAAGGCCCTCTTCAGTCAGGCTCCCACCTCATGTCCAACTCCAGCCCCACACCTACATCTAGTGTACCAGAACTCCAGTCCCACTAAAATAAGGGACACACTCACATACAACCCCACATTACCATGCCTTTTTAAAACCTTTGCGCATGTTATCCCCTCTTCTGAAAATGCTCTTCTCTCCTCATCCTGCTCCTTTTCTGTCTGGTAAAGTTTTAAGATCCAGTTTTAATGTTACTTCTTCAAAGCTCTCCCAAATGTAACCAGACATAATTCACCACTCCTATATCTGTGTCCTTTTAGCACATGACTGTCTTTCTTGCAAAAACTTAAGCTCCTCAAGGGAAAGCAAATATGTTTTACTCATCTACACAACCGTAGTCACTAACACAGCAGCTGGCATGTTGAATTACTCTTCCCCAGCTTTCAACTTCCTGTCCTTCATACTTTACCACCTCTCCCAGCCACCCTTCTCAGCCCCAAAGTTTCTGTTCTCTTCTGCCCTCTTAGTAGCTTGCCACAGCTGGACCAAGACCAAGTCCATTTAATAGCCTAAAAAAAGAAAAGAATGCCAACCCTAAGGCATTCCCTTCTGTTTGAAAAAACGCAGAGAGGCTTCCTTAGTAAAGGAATCTCCCTAGCAGATCCAGGGAGCATCCCAATTTGGTCTCTCCAACAGTGCTAACCAGTAGCCAGCACCGGCCTTGCACAGATCCTATGCAGAAGACTAAGCTACATCCAGGACCCCAAAGAAAACTCACTCTTTTTCCGGTCACCTCCAACAGGGGTTTTGGAGGCTGGGATGTATTTCAATGAAACCACCAACTCGCCTTTGTGTGATGGCAAGCCAGTCGGGGACTCAGCACTGATCTGAAACACAGGGAAACCCAACAGGTCAAGCTGGGCTTCTCAAGAATTGTTGGGACTTCTCTCTGAAAAAAATTCTAAAATTACCCCCCAAGAACAGCATCAGGGCAAAAGAGGATCCTTCTTCATATGAATATAATCCACCGTCCCTAGGCCATGGCAGCCACAGGTTTCTATGGCAGTTTCTTTAGAAGGAAATAGGGCAGAACCAACAAAGAGTCTTCTGCAATACCCACTATTATGCCACTTTGGGGGCATAGTTACTAGATTCCAAATACTCTCAAAGATCTTCAAGCAAGGTTGCCATACAAACTCACGAAGGACTGACAGCATGACAGAGAATCTTGCTACCAGCATTGTTAGTAATAGCCAAAAAGTGGAAACGACCTAAATGTCAATCACTATAGAAAGAGTTAAATGAATAATTGTAGTGTCCTGGTATGGCATATGGCATGCAGTCATCAAAAAAGAATTCAGTGAATCTGTACATGCTGACATGGAAAGATATCCAAGACATAGGGTTAAGTCAACAAAGCAAGATGCAGAAAAATGTTCCACTTATATTAAAATATATTCATAGTTGTACATGTGAATATAAATGTATGTAAATAACGATTGCCATTATCACTTATGTTAGCCCTTACTATGTACTAGGCACTGTTATAAGTACTTTAGGTGTATCATTTTGTTTGATGACTGTCTCTATGAGACAGGTACTATTAACTCCATTTTACAACTGATGGAAGAGAGGAACAGAGAAGCTAAGTAACTTGCCCAAGGTCACACAGTTAGTAATTGGCAGAGCTAGGATTCAAATTCAGACAGACTGGTTCCAGAGTCCGTGCTTTTAAACATTATACTACACTGCATAGAAAAACCCAGGATACGAACAAACTTATCCTCGTTTCCTCTAGGGAGGGCAACAGAATAGGGAAATGAAAGACAACTTTCCCTTTTTTACTCCATATTAACTTTTAGTGTCCTTTTAATGAGAATAGTATATATCATTTGTATGGTTTTTAAAAATACAAAGTATTTTTACAAGGTATTTTTAAAAAGAAGGCTTGCAGGGGAAAAAAAAAAAGAGGGCTTTCAGTCAGGTGCAGTGGCTCACATTTGTAATCCCAGCATTTTGGGAGGCTGAGGTGGGCAAATGCTTGAGTCCAGGAGTTCGAGACCAGTCTGGACAACACAGCAAAACCTTGTCTCAACAAAAAACACAGAAATCAGCCGACGGGGTGGTGTGGGCCTATAATCCCAGCTACTTGGGAGGCTGAGGCATGAGAATCACTTGAACCCAGGAGGCGGAGGTTGCAGTGAGCCAAGATCGCACCACCGCACTCCAGCCTGGGCGACAGAGCCAGACCCTGTCCCTCCCCCCAAAAAAAGAAAAAAGGAGGGCTTGCAAAGATTTGAGGGCTAGGTGAAACTCTGTTACACGAATTTGGATTTGCCACAATTATAAATTTTGCATTTAAGTTATCTTTGATCAATGTCTGTCTCTAACACTGCAGCCGAAGTGCCAAGAGACAGAAATCAAGCCTATTTTTGTTCATCCTAGTATGCCCAACACTTAGCAAAGTATCTGGCACATAGTAGGTGCTCCACAAATATTTACTGAATGAAGGTAAGAGTGAACGAATGAATGTCTGAGATGAGCAGCAGGTGGCCTATTGTCTTTGGCTTTGATTGGCAGAACTGCTTCACTCGATTGGCTCTCTCGGCATGACTTTGTTCCTTGTGCTTTAGTATCCAGAGCATGAGCTGGTGCAGACTAGAGGTGCCCTTTCACCTGCCTGTATTTTTTTTTTTTTTTTTTTTTTTTTTGAGACAGGGTTTCATTCCCAGAGCCCAGGCAGGCTAGAATGCAATGGCGCAATCTCGGCTCACAGCAACCTCTGCCTCCCAAGCTCAAGTGATTCTCCAGCGTCAGCCTCCCGAGTAGCTGGGACTACAGGCGCACACCACCACACCCAGCTAATTTTTGTAGAGGTGGGGTTTTGCCATGTTGCCCAGGCTGGTCCAGAACTCCTGAGCTGAAGCGATCCACCCACCTCAGCCTCCCAAAGTGCTGGGATTACAAGCAGGAGCCACTGCACTTGGCCTTGCCTGTGTTAATTGGGGTTCCTCTAACTTAGGTCCTTACCAATGCTAGGAAGGCATAATCCCCATAAGTTTGGATCAACATACCACATACCCAGAACACACAGTTTAATATATGTGAGAGAGACAAAAGAATCGGGAGGTAGATGCAGGCAAGGGAAAACTGAATAGGAGCAAATGGATTGCTAGGGAAAAAACAAAAAACAAAAACAAAACCAGAAACAACAAATGTAGAAGTTAAAATCGATATATAATATGGGAATGGTCTTTCTGTTGTTTATAAAATGTCTACACAATTTATTAATTTCTAGAAAATTATTTTTTAGAAAAGTTCTGTGAACTTCAGTGGACTCTTAAAAATTGGAGTTTAGCATTAGCTAGAAACTGGCATATTTGTTTTAGTAGCACATTCTTATTCTGGCTCCAAATATTTACAAAGAGCAAAGACCTCCATGTTAATGTGGTTTCTTCTCTTTATATAAAAGTTTTATTGGCAGTAGTTCATGATGGTTTACAGTGACATTTCCAATATAATTATATTGACCGTAGAGAATGACTTGGGTGCCAAATGGTTAAAAAATTCTAAATTTGTAATAATATGTTATACTTTGGTAATAATTTCTTTCCTGTCTTTTTATTGACATATAATATTTGTATATATTTATGGGGTACATGTGATATTTTGTTACATCCATCATTTTGAACATTTATCATTTTTTTGCACTGGAAACATTTCAAATCTTCTAGCTATTTTGAAATACAAATATTTTTGTTGACTATAGTCATCCTACTGTGCTGTTGAACAAATTCCTGTTTTTATTAGTATTTAAAGGGACAAATTTAATGTTGTCACTATTTTTTTTTGCAAGGGCAACAGCTATCAAAATATTGGATTTATATTTCCTTTCACTCAGCAATTCCACCAACAGGAACTTCTCTGACAGTTACATTCACAAAAGAAGACCAAGATATATTACAGCATAGTTTTAAGAGCAAAAAAGAATTCAAACAACTTAAAGGCCTATTAGTGGGGGAATGGTAAATAAATTATAATACAGGCACATGAAAAAATACTATGCAGCAGCAATTAAAATGAGATAGATCTGTAAGTGATGGCACAAAAGGATGCCCATGATAAATGAAAAAAAAAAATGTGTACAATGAGGTCCATGTGAACCCATTTGTGTAAAAAAAGAAAAAAATACATATAAATACATGGATGCATATCTGTGCTGCTTAATACAAAATTTCTTTCTTTCTTTTTTTTTTTTTTTTTTTTGAGACAGAGTTTCACTCTTTTGCCCAGGCTGGAGTGCAAAGGCGCAATCTCGGCTCACTGCAACCTCCGCCTCATGGGTTCAAGCGATTCTCCTGCCTCAGCCTCCCAAGTAGCTGGGATTACAGGCTTGCGCCACCATGCCCAGCTAATTTTTTTGTATTTAGTAGAGACGGGGTTTCACCATGTTGGTCAGGGTGGTCTCGAACTCCTGACCTCAGGTGATCTGCCTGCCTCCGCCTCCCAATGTGCTGGGATTACAGGCGTGAGCCACCATACCTAGCCATAAAAAATTTCTAGAAGGATACACAAGTAGTGTTAACACTGGTTATTTCTAAGGAATGGAACCTACTTTCCTTTTAATATACTTTATGTTGTTTTAATTTTGAATCATGTGTACATAAGTCCATTTTTGCTTAATTTTCTTAATATGGTAAAAAGTTCAAATGCTTAAAAAGGGGATATAGAGAAAACTAAATATTCCTTCTACCTCAGTCTCCATTCCTAGAGGCAGCCACCATGACTAGTTTCTCATCTAACTTCCCAAAGTCTATGGACCATGTAAAACCATCCCACATTTAAAACGCTAGTGTAAAAAAAAATAAGATGAACTTTGTCATGTCATTGTGTAGTTCTGATAATCAAGAAGTTGCTGAATAAGTCCTCTGTTTTAGCTATTTCTTCTTAGCCAGATGATTTCCCTACATTATTTTGTAGTTAAGTGACTCATCTAGTTGGCAAGTGACAGAACCAGGATTCCAACACAGGTCTGCACTCAGATCCCAGGCATGATTATGCCATACTGCTACACTGTGGCCCGAGGTGCCATCTCCAAAGTAATATTTCCCTGGCCTCTGTAACCAAGAGCATAGCAATTGGAGCTCCATGAATTGCTTTACTTCCCACTTGGAAGTAAAGCAGTGGCTTGGCAAAAGGGTACAGATTAGGATATACACAGAAGGTTAGCTCGGAGAAGAGGTGCGAGTTAGGATGTTAGGATACACCCAGATTCTGGAAGGTTAGGAGACAAAGTTTGGTACACATATGAAAATTTTTTCAAAGCAAAACCATGGCTTCACACTTTGCCTGGTTTACACAGAACTCACACTTGATAGACAAATGCCTCTGAAATTGCTGTCAAACTCAGAAACACCAGCAGGGGGCACTAGAACTCCAGAGAAGACTACATTCAAAGACGCTACCAACATAGACCAGCAGAGGCTACTGCAGACAATTCTACCTCAGATCCAAACTGCAGGAGTTGTTAAAGCAGACTACCTTTCCATGTAAAGGGAGGCAATGATCCAGTTTCTTATCAAGCTTCCAGGAATCCATCTGGATCTCTGCCTCTCCAAGGAAAGTGTTTCTGCCAAAACGACCATGATGCCAAACTGAGAACTGCAGGGTCCTCTGGGCCAGGAGAGATTCTGGGATCTCATACTGTGAAGGGAAAGTAAAAGCCCAAGATGATTAGTTAAGGGTAATTCTTCAGACAAGATTATTCCAAAACCTGAGCAACCATTCCTGAAGTCACTAGTCCTGAATACCAAATTACTTTATGTTCCCTGAGCACTTTGAGTTTCCTCACTCAAAGCCTCAACTTAACTCATTTTATAAAAACCTACCATATTCCATAGGAGGACCTGGAAAATTCATTTTTTCTTAAGTGGATGAGATAACACTGGATTGTCCAAAAAGAACTGCCAAGGAGACTCCTTATCTCAAATGTCTTTTTTACATGAGATTTGTGGCCATGTGAATCTCAAACTTCACATCAATCCAGGAAAGGCAGATCACCTTTGTTCTCTTCACTGGGAGATCAGGATGTGAACAGATACCCAATGTATCCTCAGACACAGACATGGCCCACTGAAGCCCGTGTCACCTGGTCATGTTGCAGAGGAATAGCTACAGCTTAGGGCACAAGACAGAACAAGTTCTCCTACCCTTGAGGTCTAGATACTTACCCTCAGCGTCTCATCATATAGTGGATTAATAGTGTCCCGCTTGATGCTGGTTTTTCTTTTTCCTTGGCGGGACTTGTCAGGCAGAAGGTAAGTCTTCACATATCTAGAAACCAAAGACAGCACTGAGTAATTTGCTGGCCTTTCTCAAGCCTGCTTTTCACTTTCCTCCTCTCCATATAGATATGCCATGGTGACATGTGATGTCAAAAATGTCACCTCAAGCCCTCTTAGACATGCCATTCTTGCTTTTTCCCAATCCTGGTTCTTTTCCTACATTACACCTCCCTGCTCCCCCAGAAACAGATAAGCTCTGTTCAAGAGTGCCCGGACAGATGCCGGGGTCTGGTCTCTGGTCTCAGAGCATCAGTCAGGTTCCAGAAGCACTCACGGGTTAGAGCGCTTCTTGGCTTCATCAGCATAGGCCAGCTGATGGCACTCCTTCACATGGACAACCAGACTCTGGGTTTGCTGCTCATACTTCAGGGAAAAGGCAATCCTGCCAGTCACAAAGATGTTCCCGAAATCACCAGCTTCACTGTAGATGCTCATCATGCTGCCGATCGTACTCTGAAGATAAAGCACCCACGAACATCTGGGGAAGGCACACTCCCCCGCCCGCATTGCTCACATCTTCCCTCATGATAAAACCACAGTCACTGAACAGAAGTTTCAGAAGCCCCTGCAATAAGCCAGTGCTGCTGACATTCCTTGACCCAGAGGGTAAGAGAGAACTACCAGCACTCAAAATTGTTCAGGTGAATGAATCAGCTCATGGCTCACCTAGCCTCTTAGCTTCTCTTCCTCAACTCTTTTTACAAATTTTAGTGTTCATTTTCACCTGCCCCAGGAGGTGGGCAGGGAGCAGAGGCAAGGTGCAGTTAAGTCCATCTGGGGAATGTGTTATATACACTAAAACACCAGCTAGAAGGGGGTTAGTTACTAACTAAAACAAGGTGCCTTAATTATCTGTGGGTTTCTCTTATCCACCTTATGTCTTATCAGGGCCTACAGAGAAAAGAGATTTGGCCAGAACTGGGAGTGAGTGGGAGGGAGGAAACCCCACCAGAAGTGAAAAGGCACCTTCCTTTCTGGTAGTAATCGGTCATGCGAGCTGACATTCTCTTCCTGTGTGTGAGTGTGAACAAATTCTGTTCACCCTTGTTCCTGTTTCCCTAAATATCAATCTTCATGCTTATGACAGAACCAGGCCCTGATTCTTAAATGTTCCCTTTAAATTCATTATCCTGACTGGTATTATTGCTTGTTAACCATACCCTGATGTCGATCAACCCTGCCAGAGCCCCTCTCATGACACTCACTTTCTTTTAATGTTGAGAATTTGGAATGGGCTATGATGAAGAAATCTGATCTTGCTCACTTCATAGCCTGGGTACCCCTTTAGAGGATAAGTTAAGGTTATTGTTCACAAAGCTGTGATGAAAAATGTCCCAAGCTGTAATGTAATAATCTCCAGGTGGGGGCTCAGGAAGTCACCTAGATGTACACTAAGCACCTATAGTCTAAATTGAGGATAGGAACAAACAAATGATCTTACTTACCTGAAAAGAGTGACTAGGATGGTTTCCCCAGGTCCCGAATCTGCTCTAGGGAGGTGCTTCTTTTCTTCCTAGTACCCCAACATGCCTGTAACCACAGATCTAATAGAACTTACCATGGAGGAGCCACTTTGCATGCTGCTTCTGGCTAGCTTCTGGCGATGTAACTTCACTAGGTGGTCAATGTCTTCTTCTTCTTCTTCCTCTTCCTGGAACAATAAATATAAATTCAGAGTTAATAAAAGAAAGACTTTTCTTTAGCTTCAAAGACTAATATCTTTCCTTTAAAGCTCCAAGTTGCCATGTGTATGTGTACGCACACATACTTCTTTTTTTTTTTTTTTTTTGAGACGGAGTCTCACTCTTGTTGCCCAGGCTGGAGGGCAATGGCGCAATCTCAGCTCACCGCAACCTCCGCCTCCTGGGTTCAAGCAATTCTCCTGCTTCAGCCTCCAGAGTAGCTGGGATTACAGGCACCCGCCACCACACCTGGCTAATTTTTGTATTTTTAGTAGAGACAGGGTTTCTCCATGATGGCCAGGCTGGTCTCAAACTCCTGATCTCAGGTGATCCGCCTGCCTCGGCCTCCCAAAGTGCTGAGATTACAGGCATGAGCCACCATGCCTGGCCTCATATCCTTCTTTTTACATGTCTTCCCATTTCAGGGTTCCCAGCTCTATTCCAACCATCCTTCTCATATCTCAAAAGAATAAGATAAGAATATTTAATGTTTTTCATAGAAGCTATAACTCTTTTCCATTTGACTTTCCCCAACCCTGTTTACATTTTAATCAAAAGAAGTATTTATTTGAGCCCCAGCCATATATCCAGCAATTTATTAGAAAATAAAAGAGATGGTCAGGCGTGATGGCTCATGCCTGTAATTCCAGCACTTTGGGAGGCAGAGGCGGGCGGATCACTTGAGCCTAGGAGTTCAAGACCAGGCTGGGAAATACAGTGAGACTCCCATCTCTCAAAAAAAAAAAAAAAATTAGCTGGGTATGATGGTTCATGCCTATAGTCCCAGCTACTCAGGAGGCTGAGGTGGGAGGACAGCTTGAGCTCAGGAGTTCAAGGTGGCACTGAGCTATAATTGTACCACTACACTCCAGTCTGGGAAACAGAGTGAGATGCTGTCTCTTAAAAAAAAAAAAAAAAATTGGGAGGCCGAGGCAGGTGGATCACCTGAGGTCAGGAGTTTGCGACCAGCCTGGCCAACATGGTGAAACCCCATATCTACTAAAAATATAAAAAATTACCCAGGCATGGTGGCGCACACCTGTAATCCCAGCTACTCAGGAGGCTGAGGCAGGAGAACTGCTTGAACCCAGGAGGCGGAGGTTGCAGTGAGCCGAGATCGTGCCATTGCACTCCAGCCTGAGAAACAAGAGCGAAACTCCGTCTCAAAAAAAAAAAAAAAAAAAAAAAAGAGATAGCAAAGACAGTCCTTTCCTTTAAGCAAATCAGGAACCAGATTTACTTTAGAAACTTGGGGGTATCAAGTTTCATGTTGCCTTTTCTTAAAGAATTAAATAGGTTGACTGAGAATATCAGGTACTAAAGCCAACTCCAGATAAGTAAAATTTCATATAGTGACCAAGTAAAATATAAGGGCACCTACCATATCCACATTGAGGCCTGGGACGGATTTGCTTCTGTCTCCCAAGGAGCCACTTTCATGTACCACATCTTCTGGGCGAAGATCTATCACAGATTTAGTGTACTCTGAGGGGAAGACCAAAAAAGCCAAATCAAAGAGACCTATTCTTCTCCATACCAAGAGCCCATCAAGGGTACTCAGAACTTCAGTCCTGAAAGACCAGTAAGGGAAACCAGTTACCTGAAGGCCTGAGGATTTTTCTGGTGTTCTTCTTAAATATCATCTCACCCTCATCCACAAATACCACATTTTGACCTCCAGGCTGAGTTTCCTAGGAAGGAACAAGGGCAAGAAAATGGAAAAGAACAGATGGATAGGTAGAAGGAGTGAGTAAGGAAGGACAGTCTTAAGAAGAATAAGGCTCAGATTTTCGCTAAACTATGACAAACTTAAAGGAAAGATTAAATGCCTAGAAATAGTACAAAACCTATTTTCTCACACATTTCAAACAAAACTTCAGAAAATGCTCCCAAGTGAATTTGAACTGAAATTTGTTTAGTTGAAATTCCTGATTTAAATTCTGCCTAAGAGAATGGAGGGAGGGAGGGAAGAAAGAGGAAGAGAAGAGTGAGGGGGAGGGAGGGAGGGAAAGACGGAGGGAGACAGGAGGTAAAGGAGAAAGGGAAGGAAGGGAGGGGAGGAAGGTGGCTCAATAACCTGAAGCTTACCTTTTCTACTTGAGATTTGGGAGCAGACATCTTCTTCCATTCTGGAAAGAGGCCAGATTTATCCAGAGAGTCTCTCCTGGAGGTAGATTCAGAAATTATAACTAAGTCACCTCCTACCCTTCCCCTTCTACCCAGGGATCAAAGCTCTATGGAAGGAGAGCCAATGGCTTGGGTCATCGTAATAACCAAATTCAGAAGGTACACTTCGCATGTGATTTACCTGGAAGGAATGCAGAAGATCAGATAGGCAACTTTGCACAAACACAAACACTCACACCCTCATTCTTAAGGGACAGCAGCATCAGTTGCTACTGGGCTAAGAAGAATACTCCAAGATACTGGGGGAATTGACTAGAGATGTCAATGTGTTCCAGGAAGCTGTGCTCAGAGCCAAATCAGTAGACGTGCTACTGAAAAGACTTCTGTTGAGGACAGAGAAAATACTTCGTTCAACTTCCTGAGGACAGAAGTCAGGAACACTGATGCTGCAGAACAAAATCACAACTTGGGTTGAGAGGAGATGAGGGAAATGGGGGGAACCCCACCTGGAGGTGCTATCCGAGTCAGCTGTGAAGCTATCCAGACTCTCACTCTCAGCTTCCAATGCACTCTTTCCACTTTTCAGCTTTGGCACTTCAAATAGCACACTAGAATAAAAACCAAGAGCCAATATTGAAAGGAAGCAGGTTCTCCTGCCTCTAGTCAGGCCTCTTTCCAATCCATTCACAATCGTAGCCTGAGTGATCTTTCTAAAATAAATATGAGTATACTTTAAACATATAATAAATTAATTAATTAAGAAATAAGGTCTCGCAATGTTGCCCAGGCTGGAGTACTGTGGCTATTCACAGGTGCCATCATAGTGCACAACAGTCTCTAACTCCTAGGCTCAAGCAACCCTGCTGCCTCAGCCTTCTGAGTAACTGTACCATGGTGTACCAGCTGAGTACAGGCATGTACCATGGTGCCCAGCTGAGTATACTTTTTTTTTTTGAGACGGAGTCTCACTCTGTCTCCCAGGTTGGAGTGCAGTGGCGCGATCTTGGCTCACTGCAAGCTCCGCCTCCTGGGTTCACGCCATTCTCCTGCCTCAGCCTCCCGAGTAGCTGGGACTACAGGTGCGTGCCACCATGCCCGGCTAATTTCTTTGTATTTTTAGTAGAGATGGGGTTTCAATGTGTTAGCCAGGATGGTCTCGATCTCCTGACCTCGTGATCCGCCTGCCTCGGCCTCCCAAAGTGCTGGGATTACAGGCGTAAGCCACCACACCCGGCCCTCAGTATACTTTTAAAACTCTTCAGTGGTTCCCCATTGCTGTTGGGATTTAGCTGAAACTCCTTAGCATGGCAAGAAATCCTCATGATTTGGCCCCTGCTCACCCTCTCCAGTCTCATTTTTCACCCCCTACTCCTCCTTCAAGCTTTATATTTTAGAAAGACAAAGTTATTTTGTTTCTCTGAATATCCTGAAGCTCTCCATCTTCCCTCTTTTATCTGCCTAAGATATTCTTTTCACAATGGCCACTTTTCTTCACCTGCCTCAATCTACTCCTGCTTCAGGTCTCTCCTTATATGTCAATTCCTCCAGATCTCTCTGGCCATGCCCCCACCCTAAGTCTCGATTAGTAACCTTCCTCTGTGCTCCCATAGCATCCTGATTTCCTAGTAACAGTCACCACATATGTAACTATTTATGTATTTTAAACAAATTATTTATTTGGTTCAATAATTTAAACAAATTATTTAATGTCTTTCTCCTCCATTCGACAAAGTTCCATAAGATCAGTGACCACGTATCTTATTTACTGATGTGTTCTCAGTGCCTTGAAGAGAGACTAGCATAGAGTATGCACTCAAGTATTTTTATTGACTGAATTATTGAATAAATGCCCTCAGTGGGACTGAGATATATCCATAAATAAGCAGTATGTCTAGAAGACAGTATTCAGGTGACCAGAATTCTTTTTTTTAGCTTAATCGCCTTAATGAAGGATGACTCTGGGCATTCAAAATACCAGTTCTCATCTTTCAAGGGAAGGATACGGTTCCTCGGCCCCTTACCTCAAAGAATTAGTGAGAGCAGCAGGAAAAGGGGGAAAAAACATCGATTCTTCCTCAAATATCTCAAATAACTTCCCTTGGCTCCCCGGACACCACACTCTCCTGGTTTCCTCCTCCAACCTCACTGGCTGCTGCTTCTCAGTCTCCTTTGCTAGTCCTTCCTCCTCCCGTAGACCTCTAATATTTAGATTATGTCCAAACTTCTTCCTTGGGCTGCTCCTCCTCTCTATCTAGAATTATCCCTAAATGATCTCATCTAGTCTCATGGCTTTAAATATCCTCAATAAACTAATAACTCAAATATATTTATTTTTATTTTTTATGTTTTTTGAGATGGAGTCTCTGTCACCCAGGCTGGAGTGCAGTGGCACAATCTCGGCTCACTACAACCTCCACCTCCTGGGTTCAAGCGATCTCCTGCCTCAGCCTCTTGAGTAGCTGGGATTACAGGTTTGTGCCACCATGGCTGGCTAATTTTTTTATTTTTAGTAGAGACAGGTTTTCACCATGTTGGCCAGGCTGGTCTTGAGCTCCTGACCTCAGGTGATCCATCCGCCTCAGCCTCCCAAAGTGTTGGGATTACAGGCGTGAGCCATCATGCCCGGCCTCAAATTTATCTCTTACTCAAACTCCAGACTTGTTTTTCCAATGGCCTCCTCAATGTCTCCACGTGGATGTCTCAAACACAGCAAGCCCAAAACCAAAGCCCTAATCTTCCCCCAAAACTGCTCTTCGCTCTGTCTCATCAAATGGCAATTCCCTTTCATTTCTCAAGTCAAAAACGCTAAGAATCATCGGTTACTCCTCTTTTTCTCACAATACAAATCAAATCTGTCAGCAAATCCTCTTCAATGTATACCTAGACTCTGATACGTTCTCACTGCCTCCACTGCCATTACTCTGGTCCAAACCACCATCATGTAGCTCTTGGATGGTTGCAGTAGCCTCCTAACTAATCCTGCTTCTTCCCTTGGCTTTGACTTTCCCTCAACAGCCAAAATGAGCTTTTAAAATGTAAATCAGGGATAGAACTATCATATGACCCAGCAATTCCATTCCTGGGTACCTACCCAACAGAACTAAACAATATATGTCCACACAAAAATGTTACATGAATGTTCATAGCAGCATTATTCCTAATAGCCAAAAGATGAAAACATCCTAAATGTCCATCAATGCATGATTAGACAAATGAAATGTGGTATATTCATATAATGGATTATTCATCAATAAAAGACAATGAAATTCTGATACATGCTGCAACATGGATGAACTTTGAAATCATTATGCTAATTGAAATAAGCCAAACACAAAAGGCCACATATTGCATGACTGCATTTATATGAAATGTCTAGATTAGGCAAATCCATCAAGACAGAAAGCATATTAGGGGCTGGGGTAAATGGAGGTGGCTACTTAATGGCTATCGGGTTTCTATTTGGGATGGTGAAAATGTTCTGAAATTAGATAGTGGTGATCTAATTTCACAACATTCTGAAAGTACTAACAATCACAGAACTTTATACTTTAAAATTGATTAAAATGATTTTATGTTATGTCAACTTTACCTCCATTTTTAAAAAGAAGACAAAATAAGGCTGTGCCCCTCAGAGCCATCCTTCTTACTTGGAGTAAAAGACAGAATGCTTACAAGTGCCACCAAAGTCTTAACATGATCTGCTTCTCATCCCATCTCTGTCCTCAACTCCTTCCTCAGCCTCCCTTGCTCACTCAGTTTCAGATTACTCAAAAGTGCCAAACAAAATCTCACCCTAGGGTCTTTATACCTCCTTCTTTCTCTATCTACATGCTCTTCCCCCAGATACCCTAAGGGTTTGCTCCCTCATTTTTTTCATATCTTTGCTCAAACGTTACCCTGTTGTTAAGACTTGCCCTGGCTATCCTAAACAGTATATGTACACACATTCATTCCTGGCACTCCCTATACCTTTGGTCTACTTCATTTTCTCCACAGCACCTGTCAACATCTGATATACCATACATTTACTTGACTATCTTTTTATCTCCCACCCCGGAAATCTAAGCCCCACAAACAAGAGGCCTTGTATTCACCAGTGTATCTCAGGGTCTAAAACAATGCCTGGCACATAGTAGGCATTCATAGATATTTGTCAAACAAACAAACTAATAGATGCACAAAGAATGAGGTAACCAAAATCTATAATGTCTTAGCCAGTAAAGAATAAACTCTCCAAGTTGTCACATGATGTTTGACAGTTCTGTGAAAACAGACAGCAGGGCTGAAATCCTAGTACTTACAAGAGGTGAAATGTCAGTCATTCCTTGAAAGATGTATTACTTGTATAGCACAAGACATAGCAGGGGGGCTTGATTTCATTTTTTACTTTAGAATTGTCCTTTTTCCCCTTTTGTCCCCACCCCCACCCCCGCCAAAAAAACCCAAGCAGAACCATTCCTCCAGAGAGGTAGTTTTAACAATGGTCCATGGAGAGTGGTTTTTCCTTTTTTTCCTAAAGATTAATACATACCAATCCACAGCTAATACAAACAACCCAAGGGCAGAAAAGCAATTATTTGACATCTGTGCAGTAAAAAATAGACTAAGAGATGGGAGCCCTGGGCTCTAACTATCTGTATGATCTCAGGTAAATCACTTATCCTGCTTTCTTTTCTGCAAAAATAGGGTGGTTGAATTAAATTATCTCTGAGGCTCCATAATTTCATGGGAAAGATCATTTATGGTCACTTAATCTGTTTTCATGTTTAGGATAAATAAGAGTCTTCTGGGTCCAATGAGACAAGAGATCACAGACAACCAGAAGCAATAGGTTTCAGAAATTACATTCTGACTGATGATGTCAGATGTGTTAATCAGGTTCAGCAAATAAAAGCCATTCTTATCCTTAATCCACAAAGAAAAAAGGGGGCCTCATCACCTGGAACGGATGAGTCACCCACCCAAGGCTGTGTAGATAAAAATCACAGTCCATATATACAATGAAACATCATACAGATGTCAAAAGAATGAAACAGATCCTTGGTGCTGACACAGAAAGATGTTCATGTTATATCCTTCTACAATTTTTTTCTTTTACGCTTTGAGTAATAACTGACATAAATAAGCTGCACATGTTCAAGTGTGCAACGTGACATTTTGACAAATGTAGACATCTGCGAAACTATCACCACAATTAAGTTAATGAACATATCTTTCACTCCCAAAGGTTTCCTCCTGCCCCATTCTAATCCCTCCTGCCCTTCCTGTAAGTGTTGATCTGCTTTCTGTCACTGCTTTCTAGTTTGTATTTTCTAGTTTTTATACAAACAGAACCATACAGTATGTACTCTTTACTGCTTGGCTTCTTTCACTCAGCATGATTATTTTGAGATTCATTCATGTTATTGCGTGTATCAATAGTTCATTTCTTTCCATTGCTGAGTAGTATTCCACCGTATAAACAAATCAGTTTATCCATTCACCTGCTGATGAGCATTTGGGTTATTTCCAGGGTTGGGCTATTACAAATAAAGCTGCTATGAACATTCACGTAGAAGTCTTTGTACAAACATACGTTTTCCCTTCTCTTGAGTAAGTACCCAGGAATGAAATGACTTAATCACAAGGTAGGTGCACAATGAACTTTTTAAAATACTGCTAAACTGCTTTTCAAAGTAGCTATGCCATTGTACATTCCCACCAGCAGTGTATAAGAATGCTAGTTGTTTATAATAGCAAGGAGGAAATGTAGAAAAGAAAATTTTTTTTAAATCCAGTTGTTTTACATCCTCACCAACAATTGGCATGGTCAGTCTTTTTAATTTTAGTCATTCTAATGGGTATGTAGTAGTATCTTATTGTGATTTTTAGGTCAAATTTATTTAATGACTAAAGATGTTGAGCACCTTTTCATGTGCTTATCTGACATCTCTATATTGTCTTTGGTGAAATGTCTGTTCAAATTTTTTGTGCATTTTCTATGGGATTGTCTGTATTATTGAGTTTTTAAAGTTCTTTTTCTTTCACTTTTTTTCACTTAACATGTTTATAGTATCATCCTTTAAAGAAAAAGAAATTAAAAACTTAGGAACCCAACCCATATATGTATATTTAGACAGCTTGGTAGTCCATATGCCAAAACTATTCACAACTATTAACGATAATTATCTGGGGAAGAAGCAGTGAGGTTACTGGAGGACTTACTTTATACATTTCTATGCTGTTTTTCAACAATCATATGAAACATGATAAAGTCATTTCCCTTTGGGTGAGTGAAAGTTAGGGGAAAAAAAAACCACACACACACCATACAAAAGCTAAAAATTCACCGCCACAACCAAATGAGTCAAAAATAAAGCCTCAAGTCACAGATTTCAAAAATCGCACCTAAGAAAACAGAAGATTTAATTCAGCAAAGCTCCTTAACTAATCCTTTCCAATGTAGCAATTTGCAGATTAAGTGAGTGAGTAGTCAAGAAAAACAGAAGTCCTCAAGATTTATAGCCCCAGGTACCACTGTAGAACCTCAACAGAGACAGACAAGACTGATGCAAAATGTCATCTCCCAGGGCACTGGTATGAGCTAGGGGATTAACCCAGATCTGGGACAGGTAAGCCCTGAACCAGGACATTTAAGAGAATTTCATGAGACCAAAACTCAGGACTCCAAGTTGCCTTCTGCACCTACCCCTTCAGGTTACAAGGAAAGAAATATAAAAAGCAATATTCAGTCCTTAAACTAAAGTACAGCTGGGAATGGGGAAAAGATAAATTGTTTCAAGTTAAGGTGAGAAGAACTCACATATGCTATATCAGAGGAAACAAAAGATACAGACAAAACTTCCCATATTAAAGTTCAGTAAAATGAAATAATAGTCTGGCAGATATATAAATAGCCATGAAGTGGAGAGAAATGAAAACAATTTGCAAGATGGATGAAGAACCGAGTCTGGAGAAGAATTTAACCCTAGGAAAACAAGTAGGTTTCATGTGAGTGCTTTACACTACAGGGGAACTAATAATATAAATTCAATAAAGTGCAAGAATTCAAATACAAGATGATAAAACAAAATGAGAGAAAGAAGATTAGAGCAAAGAACAAATCAAAACCTAAATAAGATAATTTACTCAAATAATTAAATTAGAAGCAGCAAAAAGTAAGGAAGGGAGGGGAAAAGGGGTAGGGGAGGGAAATAAACTGAAAACCAAATTAATAGCATGGAGGAATGGGTTGGGCTAATCACAGTTAATTGCTTTCACCATTTTTCCTATTCCATTCGCTAGTAAAAGAAAATGACAAAAATAGAGGATAAGAAAATCCAGTATCTCTGAGGTGGAGAACTTAAATAATAAAACAGAAAGAAAAAGAGTTCTGAGACATGATACAGAAAAATTTTCCAGCAATGAAGAAAGAACTCATCAAGGATATATCACATATAGGGAAAAATGATACAGAATGATCACCATTGAGTTACAACCTTGTTAAATTACTAAACTTTTTTTTTATTTTTTATTTTTTGAGATGGAGTCTTGCTCTGTTGCCCAGGCTGGAGTGCAGTGGAGCAATCTTGGCTCAGTGCAAGCTCCGCCTCCCGGGTTCACGCCATTCTCCTGCCTCAGTCTCCCCAGCAGCTGGGACTACAGGCGCCTGCCACCACGCCCGGCTAATTTTTTTGTATTTTTATTAGAGACGGGGTTTCACCGTGTTAGCCAGGATGGTCTCGATCTCCTGACCTTGTGATCCGCCCGCCTCGGCCTCCCAAAGTGCTGGGATTACAGGAGTGAGCCACTGTGCCCAGCCCTTAAATTACTAAACTTCAAGAAAAAGAAAAGAAAATTTTCAGGCAAGTCCAATCTCTCTCCCTTTCTCTTTCTCTTTCTCTCTCTCTCTCATCCATAAGAAAGAAAGACAAGGGCCAAGATGTCCTCAGACTTCTTCACAGTTACATTCAATGGAAGAAGACAATGGAACAATGTCTACAACATTCTGAGGGAAAGAAAATGTGGCCCAAGAATATAATATCCAGCCAAGATACCATTCAAGTATAAAGGCAGCTGGCAGACATTCTTAACATGTAAGAATACAATAAATATAGCACCTGCAAGCTCTTCTTGAAGGACCTCCTCAATGATGAAATCCAGAAAACCAAGAAATAAATCAGAAATAGAGAAGTTGTGGTATAAGGCCTGGTTGTAAGCATACAATCCTTTTAAGTATAAAACTAAAAGGAAACAAACAGATAAAACAAACAGATGGTTTATGGTTATATAAGAGAATGTAAATATTATAAACCCTGACAAAGGAAAAATAATTTGAGTAACAAATAGTGGGGATAGAAGAAAATAACCGGGGGGAAGTGTAAGAAAGCTAACTGCTTCCTCTTTCACAGCAAAGCGCCCACTGATAATGTTAAATATTGAAACAGGCAGATTTTTAAAATGACGGCTAACTCCAAAGTATCCACCTTAGAAAAATGAAAACAGGCCAGGCATGGTGACTCACACCTGTAATCCCAACATTTTGGGAGACCAAGGCAGGTGGATCACTTGAAGTCAGGAGTTCAAGACCAGTCTGGCCAACATGGTGAAACCCCGTCTCTACTAAAAACATGAAAATTAGCTGGGCTTAGTGACGCGTGCCTGTAATCCCAGCTACTCAAGAAGCTGAGGCAGGAAAATCGCTTGAACCTGGGAGGTGAAGGTTGCAGTGAGCCGAGATGGCGCCACTGCACTCCAGCCTGGGCAACAAGAGCGAAACTCCGTCTCAAAAGAAAAGAAAAGAAAAAGAAAAGAAAAGAAAAAAGAAAAGAAAAGAAAAAAAAAGAAAAGAAAACATACATCCACACAAAACTCTTAATGAATGTTCATAGCAGCATTACTCTTTTTTTTTTTTTTTTTTTTTTTTTGAGACGGAGTCTCACTCTGTTGCCAGGCTGGAGTGCAATGGCGCGATCTCGGCTCTCTACAACCTCTGCCTCCCAGGTTCAAGTGATTCCCCTGCCTCAGCCTCCCGAGTAGCTGGGACTACAGGTGCGTGCCACCACACCTGGCTAATTTTTTTTTTTTTTTTTTTTGGTAGAGATGGGGTTTCACCATGTTGGCTAGGATGGTCTCGATCTCCTGACTTCATGATCCACCCGCCTCAGCCTCCCAAAGTGCTGGGATTACAGGCGTGAGCCACTGCGCCTGGCCCAGCATTACTCTTAATAACCAAAAAGTAGAAACAACCCAAATGTTCTTCAACAGATGAACAGATAAAATGTGATAAATACATATCATGGGGTATTATTTGGCTATAAAAAGGAATGAAGTTCTGATACATGCTATAACATGGATGAACCTTGAAAACGTTAATGTTAAGTGAAAGAGGCAAGTCAAAAAGGACCACATATTGTATGATTCAATTTACATGAAATACCCAGGATAGGCAAATACAGAGAGACAGAAAGTAGATGAGTGATTGTTTAGGGATCAGGGAGGGTGACAGCTAAAAGGGTAAAGGGTTTCTTTTTGAGGTGATGAAAATTTTCTAAAATTGATTCAAGGGATGGTTGCAAAACTCAGTGAATATACTAAAAACTATTGCATTGTACACCAAAAATGGACAAATTGTATAGTATGTGAATTATATATATCTCAATAAGGCTGTTACCAAAAAAACTCCACTAAAAAAGTGACCAACTGCTCAATGGCTTTCATAATATTTTTTCTTAAGCTTAGAGGAATGTTAACAACTAATATCTTTTACTTTAAAAAAACATTTGTCTGAAGATTAGCTATTCTTTCATTTTATTTCAGTGTTTTATTCTGTTAAATTCAAGTAAAATTAAATAGGATGATTTTAATTTATTATACTATGATCTAATATTAAAAAGATTTTTCAGTTTATCCATCCAGTCAACCCGTTATGTATATACATAGAAGATATACGAAATAATTTTCACATAATGTGAAAACTGGGGTAGTAGGAATGTGGGTGATTTGTTGCTTAATAATGAGCATGTGTTATTTTTATTTGTCTTCAAATTGTTCGTATAAAGAACAAACTATTCAACCTGAGAAAGCGAATGCAAACTATAAAAAATAAAGAACTAAGTAAATATACCAAAATGTTAATGTCTACATATGAGTAGTGGGATTAGGAATGATTTTTTCCCTCCTTTACTATTTTCTGTACTTTTCAAGTTTTCCTATAATGAACATCTATTATTTTATAAACAGAAGAAGTAAAAAGAATAGTAAAAGAATTAAAGGGATATTGTAAGCATTTCTTTAAACAATTACTTGATTCTTACCTGGGCTCCTTCTGCCGCTCCTGAATGATCTTTCTTCCTGGCCAGATGTCACCCATCTGTGTCTGATGAAGGAGGGACTGTCCCACTGTCTCTCTTTTACTCACTTCAAGACAAAGAAAAGTATGCCAGGGTGGTGGTTATGAGTAGGGGAAAAAGGAAACAACCCTCATAGCAAATCCCCTGAAATACACCATGCTTGCAGAAGGGATGACAATACAATCTTCTATTCTCCACTAACTGGCTGAGCCCATGGAGTTAAGATGCTACCAGTCAGAATACACTAGGATTCCATACCAAGAACCATCTCTAGACAGGTCCAGTACCTGCAGGTTTGTGGCGCAGGGACATCCTGATTATCTCACTACCTGTGCGGTAAGCAAAGCGATTCACTTTCTGGTCATAAAACCAGTCCCCAGTTGCTTTCTTCAACTCTCTGGGAAGAAATAAAAGAAAATGACAGATGGATAAAGAATGGTTCTTGTCTAATAAAGGCTGAGGAAAGAAATTCTCACCACGGCCAAGGCCTCGCCCCCTCTCTACTCAGCCATAGGTGACACTCACATTTCCTTGGCGCACACCTTGCACCTCCAGGTACCATTGCTTTCCTGTATGCGGCAGTCCCGACACACCAGGTGATTACAACCCCGACAAGTATTGGTTTTGGGACTCAAACGGCCCAGGCTCTCCTGGCACCGGGCACAGGTCCGATCACTGTAGTGTTGGCTGCCCCTCTTGGCCCCTTTCCTTTTTATCTCCAGTAACTCATTCTTTAGTCGCCTGCCAAGACCCAAAACAGAAGCGTAAGTGGATTCAGGATATGCATAGATTGGATGGAGAGGGGTTGAGAGGTAAAGACAGTAAGACTATTTGGTTCTGTGGAAGCAACAAACTCAGAGCCCAGCGTGACCCAATAAGTAGTGGTAAACATCACATATACAAATTCCTATGAAAGTCAGGTGGGAGACATAAGGAAAAGCCCAGACATCATTGGTCAAAGGCCTGGGACCCCATGCGTTTTGGGGAACTCTTACCTAATCCTTTTCTCATCTGCTTTCCGGACCTCTTCATCTCGCTGTAGAACACTGAGAATCAAATCCTTTTCCTCCTCAGACAGAAAAGAAAGGTCCAGTAACTCCGACATGATTTACTCAACTTTTTCTTCTACTCTTCTTTCTTCAAAACAACCAGACAAGGAGAGCTACCAGAGTTGCCTGAAATGACAAAAGAACTAATTTCACACAGATGATTTACTCAAGAATAGGCCCACAGCCCTAAACCCTTTCAATAGGTTCCTTTCCCCTTGAGCCAAGCTAAAGAGACAAAGTAGAAGTATCTGACCTATTTAGTCTTCCTACTCCCATCCGAAACATGCCCTGAAAATGAAGAGTCCTTGATTTTTCAGAAAGAAAAAGTTATTCGTGACTCTGGGAAAAGGATTGGTTATTCAGTATATGCATCTTAGTCTGGAAAGAACATAGAACAGCTGAGTCAATCTCCCCCTCCACCAAGTGAGTCCTCAATCATCCAATTTTTAATACTTTAAATGTTCTCAAATCTCAAGCCTATTAACCCAAATAACCAGGCAGCTGGTCTCTGCAGTGAAGGAGAAAAGCACATGAAGGCTCCTGCCAGTTTAAGCCCAGTTGTCTATTCCTAACCAGCTTCCATTCTCCCAGGAGTCAGTCAGCTTTCTGCTATACTTCAAAACTTCCACCCCCTACTCTATCTCTCAAAGTTCTTATCATACTAGCACTCTAGCACTACCTCCAGGATATCTTTCCCAAATTCATGAACACTTGTTGAGCACTACGCTGACAGGCATTGTGTAAAGTGCTGGGGATACAAAGATGAGTAAGGCACAGTTCCTACCCTTATGAAAATCACAGAGTAGCAGGGGAGACAGACACACATAAATACAGTACAACGCATTAAGTGCTATCAGAGGGATTATAAGGGACTATAAATTAAGTGCTATGAGAACTTAGGGAAGAAAGCAACTCATTCTATCTTGCATAGAGAGAGGAAAGAGAGCAGTATACATGGGAAATTTCACAGAAGAGGTGGATTTTGCCTTATCAGAGGACAAATTTCCTGGTAGGGAAGAATGGTAGGAAAGATAGTTTGGGACCAGATTACATAACTCTTAAAAACTTTTTTAAAATTTTAAGAATTTTGGCTCAGCATGGAGGCTCTCACCTGTAATCCCAGCACTTTGGGAGGCTGAGGCAGGAGGATCTCTTGAGCCTAGGAGTTCAAGACCAGCCTGGGCAACACAGGGCGACTCAGTCTCTACAAAAAGAAAAATCAAAACTTAGCTAGCCATGATGGTACACGGCTGCATTCCCAGCTACTCGGGAGGCTGAAGTGGGAGGATTGTTTGAGCCTGTGAGGTTGAGGCTACAGTGAGCTGAGATCACGCCATCACATGTGGCCCACTCTAGCCTGGGCAACAAAGCAAGATCCTGTCTGGAAAAAATTTTTTTTAATTTTAAAATTTACTGCATAGACAATAGAAATCCACCAAACATCTCTGATGTTGCTTTTTGATGCTGGGAAATCACATGATGAAATTCACTTTACAAAGACATATTATAGCTATATCGCTCTAGTTATAATATGAAAGACTGATTTAGAGGACAAATCAGAGGACAATTTGGTAGTACATACATTTAAAATAGGCATATACTTAACCAAGCAATATGACTTCTAAGAATTTACCTAATAGAAATATTCATACAAATGCACAAGCAAGAGTATATGCACAAGACTATTACTGCAACATTATTTGTAAGAACAGAAACAGTTATTTAACATAGGAATCATTAAACAAAATAATATGTCCCCATAATGGAACATTATGTCGCCATTAAAAATGTGGTAGATACACACGTACTGACATAAAAATATGGCCATGAGTGAAAAAGTAGTTGTAGGACAATAAAAAATGATCTTTTATAAAGAATTTATCTAAATATTTGTATATGCAAAGAGAAAGGTCTAGAACAAAAGCCACTATCATTGGTTTCCCTTGGGGAGTAGAATTGGGAAGGGGCAACTTTCACTTTTTACTTCACATAGTTCTAATTTGTTTTTACATATATCTTCCATTTATATCTCAAAAAAGAAAACAATACAAATGAGGCAGAGATATTATTACAATACTGCAGCAAAAGACAATCTAGATTTACTAACTGTGCCTCTAAACAATTAGACCAGTCATTTTATTTTTCATTTCATTTTATTTTTCATTTTTAGAGACAGAGTTTCACTATGTTGCCCAGCCTGGACTCAAATTCCTGGGCTCAAGTGATCTTCCTGCCTCAGCCTCCCAAGTAGCTGGAACTATAGACAGAGCCACCGTGCCCAGCAGAAGTCATTTTATTTCTGACTCTTTGGTTTCTCATCTACAAAACGACCCACCTCAAACGTTGTTTAAAAAATTAAATAATGTGTGTTAAAGGGCCAATCACAATGTTTGGAGTACAAATACTTGCTGAATCTTCTAAAATGATAAAGGCCTGAGCCAGGCAGCAAGAAAAAACAGAATAGGTTTGAGAAGTAGAATTGACAGAATAGGGAGACTGACTGAGCAGAGAGGATGAAGAAGGTGAAGTCAAAGATGCCTAGTTCACAGTCAAGATTAAACAACTGACTGGCTAGTGACAGCCCTCATAGCAATAGAAGATGTAAGGAAAGAAACAGGTTTGGAAGTAAGGCAAAAAGTTTTGTTTTAACCCTATTAAGTTAGTGTTGCATACTTGATATCCAGGTAACTGGGCCCAGGAAATAGTTGGAGACACAGGGCTGGACCTCAGGAAGAAAAAATGTATCTGATAATATACACTTGGTAGTCATGGGAGTCAAAGAGCCCAAGGTAGACAGAGAGTGAAAAAGGAAATGAGAATCACACTTACCTTCTCTCCTCTCCTTTGAAACTAGACAACACGCCTCTTTCACTTTATTTTTTCTTTTTCTTTTTTTACTAGTTCCCTACAAAACAGTGGAGAACATAAACAACACGGCAAAGCTATACAGGTTCCTGAAACCTCAATATTTCCTCAACTTGTATATTTCCTGGTCTTTATTGAACTATAAGATGTTAAGCCTCTTGCACACACCCTTTCTTAGACAGTCTTGAGGAAGTGTTCTTAGTTCTTATCCCCAAGGAGAATATATACCCTCCATGAAAACAAGGACTTTTTCAATCTTCTCCTCTGTATCTGCCCTAGCACTTAATGCAATATCTGGTACGCAATTTTGCATATGCTGCCAATATTGCAATCACTGTCATTGTCACCCCAACAGTATCTTTTATTGAGAATTGACTATACGCCAAACAAGTACCTAACATATATTAACTAATTTAATCCTTGCCACAATACCAAGAATGAGTGACTATTATTACCCCCATTGTATAGATTAGGATTCAGGAGAGGTTAGGCTAACTTGCCCAAGAATAAAGAGCAAGTAAGTGAAATTGCAGGGATTCAAGCCCAGGCAATCTGATACCAGAGTTGGTGCTCTACAGGCTCAGTCTAGGCAGAATTATAACCAAAGCAACTATAAAGTACTAAACAGACAAATCAAAAGCATTGTGGAAATGAATTCCCATATGTGTGATTACGGCTGAAACACTGCGCAAAAAAATCAGTGGCTCCTGGATAAAAGAGGTATTATCAGTTACCTGTCAGCTAAAAAGCAAGGATAGCACAGGCACACTAGAAATGAGAACCATATCAGATTTAAAAACTGGTGCTTGTGGAGAGGCAGCAGAATATTGTGATGAGAAAGGCACGTTGGCATAATAATGAGACCAAGTAATATCAAAATCCAGGGAAGTAAGAAGATCCTTGAGGAAATAAAGATAGTATCTTAAGAAAATGGAACTACCAATATTGTACATCTGCCCTTTCTTTTTCATTTATGGACCTGACCAACCAGAACTGCCCCCTCTGAAATCTTAAATTCAAGAATTCCCACTTTCCAACCACAGCTCACTCCTGCTCTATCTGTTCTTCAACTTTATCAAGACCACAGTCTCTTGAGCCCCACATTGTCTCTTGGTCCACTTGCCTTCTGCTGATCTATCTTCCCCCCATACCCATCCTGGACTCCAGATGGCTCAACATTTGAACCACTCTCACCAGTACCTTCCATATCCATATACCTTCATCCCTCTGCCACAACTGCCCATGAAAATCCCAAACCTGTGCTAATGCTCTAGCCTGCCTTGTCTGCTCCTATACCCAGGTTCTACATAATTCCTGGTCTACAACCTCAGCTGAACCCTCATTGTCACCCATAAATTCTGTTACTTATGCTTGTTCAATTCCTTTACCTAGTCCCTTTGGGTTCTATTCAAGCCTTCATTCATCTCACACTCCCACTTCCCTTCCCTCCAGTCCCATCAGACATGCTTGTCTCATACTTGTAAAAAGGTTTTTGTAAGACCATCAGACATGGACTCTATCAGCTCCCTGCCTCCTCTTCCCCATCACTTGCCAATCTGACTCCTTTCAGAAAAGCCATATCCCACCCCAAGCCCCACCTTCCACCATAGGTTGCTGTTGTTTCCAACACTAACCCTGTTAACAGCCAGCTTGTTTGCAATGGGATCTTGCAGAATCAGTAATGAGGAGCAGAAAACAAATTAAGAACAAAAATTAAAAGGCAAGAAGACAAAGGTAAGTGCAGAAAAAACTGAGACAAAGAGAAAACAAAAGGTAAAATGGTAAAAACAAGTTCAAGTATATCAATGAATATGAAACTCATATATGAGCAAAATTCACCCTTTGAAATACAGGAATTAACAGACTGGATAAAAGGAAAAAATCCAGTTATGTGCCATTTATGAGAGACACATCTAAAACATAAATTGAAGGGAAAATTGAAAGTAAAAAGATAGGAAAAGATATACCAGGTAAATGCTAGCCAAAAGAAAGCTGAGGTAGCTATATTAATATCTAAAAGTAAAAAAGACAATAAAAGCTTTATAAAGGTTAGATAAGATCACTACATAGAGATAATAAATATGCACCCACTAATAAAACATCACTAAATATACAAAGGAACAAAAGAGAGAAATTGAAAAATCAACCATCAAAATGAGAGGTTAACATATACTTCTTTGTTGTTGCAATTATGAATGGTACAAGCAGATACAAACTAGTAAATATATAGACAAGTTGAACAACAAAATGAGCTTGATTTAATAGGAATACAAAAAAAGTCTATATCCAACTGGAGAATTACATTATTTTCAAGCACATATAGAATATTTACTCCCAAAACTGACCATGTACTAGGCTGTAATGCAAGTCTGCATAATTTTTTTAAAAAATCCTTCCCATACAGACCAGTCTCTGACTTCGAGGAAATTAAATTAAATAAGAAATCAATTTAAAATAAGGTAATTTCTTATCACAATACTTTTTTTTAAAATTTATAAAGACACTTCTAAATAACCCACATGTCAAAGAAGAGATCATAATGGTACTAAATCTATCCTTAACATCTTAGAGGAAAATACCTGCCTCCTACCTCACTACCATCACTACTCCCCATACTATGGCATAGAATGTTCTCTAGAAATTCAAAAAGGAAAATATGAAAGAAAAATACAGCTTTCATATGCAATAAACCAAGTGATATATTTTTATGGTAAATAGTACATCATATTTTGAAAACTAGAACTCAGGAAAATAATGGAGGCACAAATACAGTTATAATAAGAAAACCAGATAGATGTGAAGTTAGAAAAGCTATGACTAATCGGATACTCCCAATTTATGGCTACTAGGGTTTAATAGAGAAACCAAAGCCCAAGAAAACTTAAGACCCTTCATTACATTCAGTCCCAGGTGTACAGTCAAAAAGGCAAGATTATCTATTGAGAAGACCACGGCTCAGGTAACATGAGTGTCAGAATCTGAGCTCAGATGGACAACTTGTTCTGTGTTAGTCCTGAGGTGTCAAGACTCAGATGAAGTATCTTAATATAGCATCCTTGTGGGACCCATGCCCATAAAAATATATTTTAGAAAAGGTGGTTTGTATCATTCTCAGCAAACTATCACAAGAACAGAAAACCAAACACCGCATGTTCTCTCATAAGCGGGAGTTGAACAACGAGAACACATGGACACAGGGAGGGGAACATCATACACCGGGGCCTGTCGGGGGTGGGGGGCTAGGGGAGGGATAGCATTAGGAGAAATACCTAATGTAGATGACGGGTTGATGGGTGCAGGAAACCACCATGGCACGTGTATACCTATGTAACAAACCTGCACATTCTGGTATCCCAGAACTTAAAGTATAATAAAAAAAATTAAAAAAAAGAAAAGATGGCTTACTTAGCAATTATACATATTTACTACTAAAAAATGAGGATAATATGTTAATGCAAATACTTACAAAACCAAAGGAAAAACTAAATCTACCATAAAAATGGGAAGTTACCATACCTCTCTCAATTACTGATAGTATAACAGATGAAAAATTAGTAAATATGTAGACAAGGTGAACAACACAATAAGCTTGATCTAAAGGACATATGTAGAATTCCATATCCAACTAGATATATCCAGTCTATATCCTAATCCTAATGATTGAGAAATAATAACAATGAATGAAAATAAACACTAACACAACTGGTTTTCAAGAAGGGGATGGGTGAGCTATCTCAAATTATTTCAAATTCTAAAGACCAATTTTAAAAATGAAAAGCTAGGCAAAACTTGACAGGAAGCATAGAATAATGAAAATAGTGGTGAAAGACAGACTTGGGTTCAAATCCTAGCTCTGCTATTTTTAGCTATATGACCTTGGGCATGAGACTAGAATATTAAAAAGATGACTAAAATATAGAATTCCTTGTAAGAATAGTACTCAGATTAAAAGTAATCATTGGTGTTCCCAAAATGAAAACTGATGTGAATTAGGAAGACACAAGTAATGTCCCTGCCCTGGACAGCAAATACAACAGATTTTGCTGTGTTGCATGCAGGCCACACATAAAAGTGAAGATGGTAATATATGGTACTTATGCTCAAACTAGAAACATCTACCAGACGTAACCTCTTTGAAGGTAGGTACTATATCTGGATATCATAGCCCCAGGAGCTTGGCACAGTGTGTGACACACAGTATGAGTTCAACAAAAGTCTAGTGAATGTCTTTACCCAGAAATCTATCTGTGTTTACATGTTTAAACTTAAACCCATGGAAATTGAAGAGCTGTAATAGAGCTGAGAGAAAAATGTTTTTGTTTTCCTGAGGCAGTGTGTGAGCTGTGGTTAAAAGCTTGGACTCTGGGCCAGGTGGGTGGCTCACACCTGCAATCCCAGCATTTTGGGAGGCTAAGGCGGGTGGATCACTTGAGGCCAGGAGTTTGAGGCCAGCCTGGCCAACATGGTGAAACCCTGTCTCTACAAAAAATACAAAAAAAAAAAAAAATTAGCCAGGCATGGTGGCTTGCGCCTGTAGTCCCAGATACTCAGGACGCTGAGGCAGAGAATGGCTCGAACCTGGGAGGCGGAAGTTGCAGTGAGCCAAGATGGTGCAACTGCACTCCAGCCTGGGCGACAGAGTGAGACTCTGTGTCCATAAAACAAACAAACAAAAAGCTTGGAATTGAGCCAGACTGCCTGAACTTGAATCCCAACTTCCACATTTACTAGCTGTGTGACCTTGGGTAAGTTACTAATCCTCTCAGTACCTCAATTTCCTCACTTGCAAAATGAAGATAAAAATTGTACCTATCCTTTGGGGCTTGTTTTTATAAAGATTAAATGAGTTTTTAAAATACGTAAAGTGCTTAAAGTAATGAGAACACAAAGAATGCTAAGTGTTACCTATTTTTGTCAGTTTGTATATGTTCATTTGTGCTTTCGGACTTAACTAGGTCTTAGAAAATGACATTTATTTTCTTTTAAAGAATGCAGATGAATTGTGAGTTAAACTGTCTAGACGTCAGTTAAAGTTTCAGGCTATTGTTATTGTTCTTTAAATTTTTTTATTTCAATAGCTTTTGGGGTACAAGTAGTTTTTGGGTACATGGATGAATTTATAGTGATTAATTTTAATGCATTAATCACAGGCCACTGTTTTTGAAGTGAGGAACCATGCTGACAGCCTTATAGATGACAGAAGATTTTCTTAAAAATTGACCCATGCTCAAGGGCCAAAAGGCTGAACTGATATTAAATTATTCTCTAAAGTTATAAGTAGTAATTATATGATGGTTTTGCAAATACATTCTAATGGATTATCATATCCTGCCAAAGTGATGTAATAAAAGTATTTTGCTGTTTAGGCTAAGGACAATGGACAATACCTCACTGAACATGAAAAAGTGAACCAGAGTCTTTCAAAATATATTCATTTAACCAAGAAGCCTGAATTAAACTGCTCTTTTTAAAATGATACTATGTTTTACACCGAAACTGATCAATGAGTTTTATACTGATGTGAGATTTATACTGCTGCATGCCAGATTCTGTATACTTTTGAACATGGGTATTCAGAACTGATTTAGCTACGTCAAGAAATGTGATGGTGTCTACACTTTTTTCGAAAGATGAGAATTTAAATTGGGCTACAAATTTTAATTGGTCATAATTGGAGATTATAAAATGTCAAGGTGGAATGAATTTCCACCCTGCCTGAAACAATAACAACAACAACAAATGTACCAAATACATGAAACAATGGTTTTCAAATCACTGAACATCAGGCAATGAAGGATTATGATTTCTGAGATGGAAAACACATAAGGTGAGCCCTTTGATTTTCCCAGCTTACTGTCTTAAGAGAATTTCCAGATAATGGTACAGAAAGGAAGAACCCAGGTAGAGCCTAGTGAACTCCCTGAGTTCTGGAGACAGAGCTGAGAGTCTGGGAAAAAAACCAGGTAGCTGGAGTTCATAGGACAGAGGACCTGAGAGAGCTCCACAGAAAGAGAAAGAGATCTTCAGAGGCCTGCAGAAGGTTTCACTCAAGTGTTTAGCAAAGGACTGATTAGCCCATGGTATGCCTGTGAGGAAATTACTCTAGGCCAGGGAAAGAACTACCTGAAAGGATTCAAAAGAACAATGCCTGTCACTCACACAGGGCTAAGAATAGTGCCTGTTTCCGCCAGCCAAATTGGAAAACGTCATGATTCACGGGACACTAGCTGAAGGACTCAGAAGGGTCTTGCCTCAGTAGTGGGAAATAGCCCAGATTATGCACTGCTCTGGTCCTGCCTAACAAATCTAAACAGCAAAACCTGAAAGGGTCACTCTGTATCCAAGTAATTTAAGGGCATCCCAGAACAGAGAGCAAGTATACTTATAGTAATACAAAAATATGCAGTACTCAACAAGGTCAAATTCATAATATTTGGTACCCAGTAAAAAACTAACAGGCATGCAAAAAAGCAAGAAAATATGATCCATAATAATGAGAAAAATCAATCAAAAAGACCAAGAACTGACACAAATGTTAGAATTAGTAAACAAAGTCATCAAAGCAGTTATTATAACTGCATTCTATATGTTCAAAAAGCTAGGCAGGGGACATGGGAGATGTAAAAAGACTCAAATCAAACCTATGGATAAAAGGTACAATGTCTGAGATGAAAAACACACTCGTTGGGATTAACAGCAAATTGGACATTACAGTAGAAAAGAGTTAAGAACTTGAAGACATAGCAATAGAAATTATTCAAAATGGAACACAGAAAAAACTGAAAAAAAGAAAAAGGAATTAATGAGCTATGGGACAACATCAAGCTACCTTCTATACATGTCATTGATGTCACCAAAAATAATGGCCCAAATTTGGTGAACACTATAAACTCACAGATCCAAGAAGCTCTATGAACATAAAGCACCAGAAACATAAAGAAAAATATACCATGTGGCACACCATAAATTGCTTAAAACCAGAAACAATGGGAAAATCTTAAAAGAAGCTAGAGTGGTGGGGTGGGGTGGGGTTGGGGTCTTGGGGAAGGACACATTATATATATACAGATGAACAAAGATAATGATAAAAGCAAATTTATCATTGGAATCAATGCAAGTGTAAAGACAGAACAACCTCTCTAAAATACTGAAAGAAAAAAAACAACCATCAACCTAGATAGAATTCTACACCCAGCAAGATATCATTCAAAAACAGAGGTGAAATAAAGACTTTTTCAGACATGCAAAAGTTGAAAGAATTAATCACCAGCAGACCTGCACTATAAAAAGTGTTAAAGGAAGTCCTTGAAGCAGAAAGAAAATGGTACTGCACAGAAATATAGGTTTACAAAAAGGGATACAGAGCACATGCAATGGTAACAATGTAGGTAAAAATACTTTTTTCTTATTATTTAAATCTCTTTTAAAATATAATCGACCGTTTAAAGGAAAAATAACGATATATTGTGAGGTTCAAAACATATGGTAGAACAAAGCGGAAACTTAACCTGATTTTAAGAGACACTATAAATCCACAGTAATCAAGTCAATGTGGTACTGGGCAGGAAGACAGACAAATAAACGAACAGAATAGAGAGTATGGAAATAAGCCCTCATGTTTATAGTCACTTGATTTTTTAAATAAAGGTTAAGGGAAGTTTAGTGGAGAAATGGCAGTCTTTTCAACAAGTAGTGCTGGAAAAACTAGATATCCATATGAAACAAAAAAAGCAAGCATTTCTGACATGACACGTAAAACGTGATCCAGAACTTGATAAATTAGGCTTCATCAAAATTTAAAACCTCTGCTTTGTAAGAACTTTATTAGAAAATAAAAAGATAAGCAGTATACTGGAAGAAAATATTTGCAACTAGTATATCTGATAAGGACTTATATCCAGCATATATAAAGAACTCTCAGAACTCTACAATATTTTTAAAAACACAAATTTAAAAAATAGACAATGATATGAATAGACAAAAGATATGAATAAACATATCACCAAAGAAGATATACAAATAGCAAATAAACACATGAAAACATGATCAACATCATTAATCATTAGGGAAATGCAAACTAAAACCACAATGAGATATCACTACATACTTATTAGAATGACCAAAATTTAAAATGCACCAAATGTTGGCCGGCATTTGAAGCAACTGGAACTCTCATACACTACAGTGGGAATGTGAAATGGTATAGCCATATTGGAAAACAGCTTAGCAGTTTCTTAAAAAGTTAAACATATATCTCCCATATGACCCAGGCTTTCCACTTTTGGTATTTATCCAAGAAAAGCAAAAGCATACGTAGGCCGGACGTGGTGGCTCACACCCACAATCCCAGCACTTTGGGAGGCCAAGGTGGGCGGATCGCTTGAGGTCAGGAATTTGAAGCCAGCCGATCAACATGGTGAAACCCCGTCTCTACTAAAAATACAAAAAATTACCCAGGTGTGGTGGCAGGCACCTGTAATCCCAGCTACTTGGGAGGCTGAGGCAGGAGAATAGCTTGAACCAGGGAGGTGGTGGTTGCAGTGAGCTGAGATCGTGCCACTATACTCCAGCCTGGGCAACAAGAGGGAAACTCCGTCTCAAAAGAAAACAAAAACAAAACTTAGCTGGGTGTGGTGGTGCATGCCTGTAATCCCAGTTACTTGGGAGGCTGAGGTGGGAGAATCGCTTGAACCTGGGAGGTGGAGGTTGCAGTGAGCCAAGATTGCGCCACTGCACTCCAGCCTGGGCAACAGAGTGAGACTTTGCCTCAAAAGGGGGAAAAAAAAAAGCATATGCCTACACAGATTTGCATGGAAATGTTAACAGCATTATTGGTAATAGCCCAAATCTGGAAACAGCCCAAATGCCTACTAAGAGGTAAATGGATAAACAAATTGTAGTATACCCATGCAATGGAATACTACTTAGCAATAGAGAAGAATGAACTACTGATACACATAGCAACATGAACGAATCTCAAAATAATTATGCTGACTGAAATAAGTCAGGCAAAAAAAAAACACTGTATGATTTCATTTATATAAAATTCTAGAAAATACATAGTGTCAGAAAACAGAATCAGTGGTTTCAGGAGTTGACGGGGGTAAGGAGGGTAATAGCACACAGGGACAAGAAGGAAGGATTACAACATGGCACAAGGAAACTTTTGGAGGTGATAGATGTTCAATATCTTAATTCTGGTGATAGTTTCATGGATATATACAGATGTCAAAATTTGTCAAATTGTATACTTTATATATAATTTGTCTATTGTAGTTCAATAAAATGTTTTTAAACATTTTAATATTAAATGTAACTAAACTTTCTTCTTGTAATCATGTTTTCCAATCCCAGAATACCTACAAGACACTAGGAGCCTTTAAATTAATTGAAACACTAAAATATTTTATGTCAAGATTTTTTTTTTTTTTTTGAGATGGAGTCTTGCTGTTGCCCAGGCTGGAGTGCAGTGGCACGATCTTGGCTCACTGCAAGCTCCGCCTCCTGGGTTCACGCCATTCTCCTGCCTCAGCCTCCCGAGTAGCTGGGACTACAGGCACCCGCCACCACACCCGGCTAATTTTTTGTATTTCTAGTAGAGACAGGGTTTCACCGTGTTAGCCAGGATGGTCTCGATCTCCTGACCTCGTGATCTGCCCACCTCAGCCTCCCAAAGTGCGGGGATTACAGGCGTGAGCCACCGTGCCTGGCCAAGGTTTTTTAATAGAGAATAAACAATACAGAGTAGGTTTGAAATATTTCCCTTACTACACAGTTTTGTTATCTAAAAGATGTTTCACGTTTTAACTTTTCAATTTGTCAAAAACATAAAAGACAGCAGGTTCAGGAACAGCAATAAAATGTTTGCATAACTGGTGCCTGGAACTGTAATATGAGTATGATTATTTAGTAAGTGCATCCAAACAATATACTTCTTTTATTTTAAAATGTATATACTTTGTGAGGCATCAGTCATTAAAATCAAGTATAAAAATAAACAGAAGTTAGAATCAGATGTTCAAGTAGCTGTATCATAAACCAAAATTTTGTTTAAATGAAGCACATTTAATGTCACTGGCCTCATCAAAATGAGAGCAAAGGTTATTGTACCATTAATAAATATTAGAATTATTTTTTAAAAGTTCATTTAATCTCTCATCCTTCTTTATTTCCATTTTTGTGCTTTTTCTTTGAGACAGAGTCTCACTCTGTCACCCAAGCTGGAGTGCAGCGGCACAATCGTAGCTCAGTGTAGCCTTGACCTCCTGGACTCAAGCAATTCTCCCACCTCAGCCTCCCCAGTAGCTGGGATTGCAGGCACAAGCCACCACACCTGGCTACTTTGTTTTTATTTTTTGTAGAGATGGGGTTTCACCATGTTGCCCAGGCTGGTCTCGAACTCTTAGACTCAAGTGATCCTCCTGCCTCGGCCTCCCAAAGGGCTGGGATTACAGGCATGAGACACCACACCTGGCCTGTGCATGCTTTATAATATATGACCAATACAGTGGTAAATAATGTAGTTTATAAATACTTATTTTAGGAGTGATAAAAATTTGGGGTGATAAAGGTGAGTAATCAAAAAAGCTAGGAAGTCCTTTACTTAAAGGCTGGTTAAGGGAAACTATTCTACAAATTGCCATATATTTTCATGATTCTGCTTGCATAGAGATATGATGTATGTTAATTAGGAAAGAATAAATCATTCTGATGATTGTAATGCAGTTGCTCTTATGCAAGTAGTACAGCATAATGAATAAGAATTTTTGCTGTCATAAGACACATTCAAAAGTGGACTCTAGGCTAGGTGAGGTGGCTCATCCTAGCAATTTGTGAAGCCGAGGTGGGAGGATCTCTTGAGCCCAGGAGTTTGAGACCAGCCTGGACTACACGGTGAAACCCCATCTCTCTACACACACACAGACACAGACACACACACAAATTAGCCAGGTGTGGTGGTATGTGCCTGTAATCCCAGCTACTTGGAAGGCTGAGGTGGGAGGATCACCTGAGCCCGGGAGGTCAAGGCTACAGTGAGCCAAGATTGGGCCACTGCACTCCAGCCTGGGTGACAGAATAAGACCTTTTCTCTCTCTCTCAAAAAAAAAAAAAAAAAAAAAAGTGGACTCTATTAACTAATTGTGACAAAGGCAATGACAGCATCTAAAGCAGATCAAGCTAAAGTACTGTCAAAACTAATACGTATTATTTGTGTGGGTTTCCAGAACATGGGTGAAGCATAGCCCTAAAAGGTAGCAAAATCTAGTACCGATGGGCGGGGGACTAGTTATTTGATAATCTAAAGGTAAAAGAGTTGATTTGGCCGGGAGCGGTGGCTCACGTCTGTAATCTCAGCACTTTGGGAGGCCGAGGCGGGCGGATCACCTGAGGTTGGGAGTTCAAGACCAGCCTGACCAACACGGAGAAACTCCGTCTCTACTAAAAATACAAAATTACCCTGGCATGGTGGTGCATGCCTGTAATCCCAGCTACTCGGGAAGGCTGAGGCAGAAGAATCACGTGAACCTGAGAGGCAGAGGTTGCGGTGAGCTGAGATCACACCACTGCACTCCAGCCTGGGCAACAAGAGCAAAACTCCATCTCAAAAAAAAAAAAAAAAAAAAAAAAAAAAAAAAAAGTTGATTTTAGAGCACGGAAAAATGAAACCAAATCCAGAGTATATGGTGGTCTGCAAAACTTAAAAAAAAAAAAAAAAAAAAGAAAAAAACTCAAGTAGAAAAGAAAGCTTCCAGGGATGCAGGGCTTCCTAAAATCCCCTTGTCTGGATCCAGCCACCTATGCACAAAAATACCAATGGATAACATCTTACTGGTAACATTTGCATGAGCATACAACATTGCTTACAGTCAATAAAATAATTGCTTTGGGATATTGTGTTGGTTATTGTATCAACTGCCCCTTTCAATTTTAGGGTGATGTCTCTCCTAGAAAACTATAAATATTCTTATTAAAATGTAACTGTCTTAGATACCTATTCCAGGCTACTCAGACAAATTCAAGGAAGTTTCAATTTATAAAGCTGCTAAGTCTGGCTTCTTAGAAGTTTCAAAGTTCCCTTTGGATTCAGACCCCAGCTCCCATCTCCCCACATCCTTTCTGGCTCTTGGGTTAAATAATGTAAATTACCTGGCCCCAAAGATTTTTCTGCAAGAGCTCCTTCTGCTGTCCTGGTAATTATCTTTGAATGTGTGCACAGTTTCAGGCCTTCCAAATCTTACTTCTTTCCCTGTCCTAGAGCTCTGTATTCTGCACTGTTACAGAATGCTCACTAGTTAGGAGGGCCAACTATGTGCTAAGCGGTACACTAGCTGGCTAAGAAGAAAAGAACAGAGCTAGTCCATGCCCACAGAGTTCACAGTTTAGTAACAGAGACACTTAAATAATCCTAAAAAAAAAACATGGTAACCAAAGAAATATATGCATGAGATATTATAAGAATACCAAGGGAGGGCACATAATTCAGCTTGGGGAAAGGGAACTAGAAAGAGAATATCCAGCAGTAGCACATGAACTGATTGTAAATTAATGTTTTTCAGCTGGATAAGCAGGAGAACGAGGGCTTTCCAGGCAAAGTGCGTAGCACTTACAAAAGCATGGAGGCATAAAGCAACGTGGTATGAGCAAGTAATACAATGATGCTGGTTGGTTTAAATTGTAAGGGAGAATGCGGAAGAGGCAGGTGGGGAATCACATCATGTGTGGCTGGCGGGTGCTCCATATGCTACGCGCAAAAACACGGCTAATTAGCCTTTGACAACAGAAATCATTGAAGAGTTTTATGTAAAGCAAGGACTTGTTAGGGCACACTGACAATTTTGCAGACTATGGATTTGAGGAGGCTGTGGCATAAATCCAGGGGAAAGATAACAAGAGCCAAGAGTAGAGGGCAGTGGCACTAGAGATGGAAAGGGGCATATTAAAGACATTACACGGAGAGAAAATCTGCAGGACCTGTGAATGTTCTGTAACACAAGTACGGCCTCTTATACTAGGACTTGGAGTTCTGATGTGCTAGATTTCTAATTAAGGACAGTATAGCATAGAATTGTGCTTAAAAGCACTGGATCTGAGCTGCCTGGGTTAAAATCACAGCTTTGCTTTTTCCCTGAATTAACTTTGGGCAAGTTATTTAACCTCCTTGAGTCTGTTTCCCCATTTGTAAAAATGAGGATTAATAATAAGAGCTCCTGCCTATGGCTTTGAGGATTCAAGCATGCATCATGAGTAAAAGGCATAGCATAGTGCCTGGCCTAGAGTAAGCACCCAATATTGGTAGCTGTTTAGTTTTAATTATTATTAACCATATGCTTTGGAAAATATATGAGCATATGGCAGTTTTGACATCTTTCTATGAAATTTGAGAAATCTAATCAGTATTCTTGCCTAGATGGAAGGTCACCGTACCTCTCTGCATGGAGGGAGGCTGACAAGCATAAATATGAAGCAAATGTTAGTAATTAGATATGATCAGTTTAAAGGATATTTATTTATACACTGTTCCAGACAGGATTTAAAGTGACTTACAAAGATTCATAAAACATCAAAAAATATCATAAATTTTAAAAATAGGATCAAAAAGAAGAAAAATAGGAGTGGAGACAAACTGGTAGAGTCAGTATCAAGGCTCCAAAACCAAAGGGCAACTGAGGCTTCCTAGGAGTCAGCTGGGGTCTAGACCCTCACCTGTCCATCCATGGAGCACATCTATGCCTCACATAAAATCCCCTAGGGCCTGCCTTCACAAATCCATTCTCAAAAGTTGTATGGGAGCAAAGCTGTATTTTTCCCTAACAATGAGAAATTTACAACTAGCTCTTAATTTTACAAAATTCTGATTTTGCAGTAAGGTTTTGGCTCCCTACGATCCTTTTCAAAATAGATTCTACAAAAGTAGAGTTTGCATGTGCTGAGGCATTTTGTGCTTTTCACTCCTTTTTTTTTTTTTGTGTGAGATGGAGTCTCACTCTGTTGCCCAGGCTGGAGTTAGGCAGCGCCATCTCAGCTCACCTCAACCTCCGCCTCCTGGGTTCAAGGGATTCTCCTGCCTCAGCCTCCCAGTAGCTGGGATTACAGGTGTGTGCCATCACACCCGGCTAATTTTTGTATTTTTAGTAGAGACAGGGTTTCACCATGTTGGCCAGGCTGGTCTCAAATGCCTGACCTCGTGATCTGCCCATCTCGGCCTCCCAACGTGCTGGGATTACAGGCATTAGCCATCTCACCTGGCCGGTTTTCACTCCTTTTAAGATATCCACCAACTGATGAAGATGATGACAATGATAGTTAACACTTCTATAATGTTTATTATGTACCATGCACTCTTCTAAGCACTTTATTTAGTCCTCACAATCACACTATGAGGTAGGTACTAAATTATTATGTCCACTTTACAAATGAGGAAAGTGAGGCACAGATTGAGCAAATAACTTGCTCAAGGTCACATGCCCTGTGACAGTCTGGTTTTTGGACCCAGGCCGTCTGGTTCCAGAGTCCAAGCTCTTAACCGTTACATTACATTATACTGTCTCTTCATATTCTGGCAATATTGCTCTATATGGTGATTTTTGGAAAAGGGAACATCAACCTCAGGAACTTGAGGTGGGGTTTCTAAAAGTCTTCAGCTAATAACAAACACAATGTTTGAGAGGCCCTCAGTCTGGCTTACTTTCCCAGACCCCTGACCTCCTCCTGCAATATGTGTAACACGCCAGAGCAACTCTAGCTCAAAGCAACATTATACACAAGACAATAACTCATTCCCCTCATCCAGGACATCCATCCTAAAAGATGGCAGGTGCATAATGGTGGGGCAGGGGGTGGGGGTGGGCAGCAGGGTGGAAGAAGGCAGTGGTAGTAACTAAAATGCCTCTTTTGTTAGCTCTTAGAATCATATGTGGGGACAATTTCCTCCAGATGGAATCCACATAGCTACCTTTCAATACCAACAAATTCTGTTCATAAATGGTTTGTAGAAATTCCCACTTAAAATAATATATACAACTCTAAAACAAGTCCCAGAAGGAAGTCAGATATCTTAATACTATATATTCATTTCTCCTGCAGAATGGTTGTTTTGGATATGTGGAAATGTGGTCCTTCATGATTCTACACGTTTGTCCCCTGCTCCTCAGCAACTCTAGAAGGTGCCTTAAACCCACCACCAATCCTAGAAGGCAGATTTCCATAAATGTGATACATAGAAGTAACTCTAAAATATTATAAAGACCATGTGTCCAAACACCCTACTTGGCAACAGGGAAAATACATATATTAAAACAAATCCCATTTAGCTTTCCAGCTTTCAAAATCTACATTTGAAGCTTCCTCTAACATGAGCCAGACACAAGAGCCTCATAGGCTGATGGGTGCAGGATGGCCAGTTTACCCTCTTCTCTGCCAAAAGCCCCTTCCTTGACAGCCCCATTTTTTAGATTTTTAAAAAATCTAAAATCCCCAACTAAAAGAATGGACTGTTTTAAAATCTAGGTCATTTATATGTACAAAACATTTTTAAGTCCAGTGAGAGCTGACACATTGTTATTTTTCAATAAGCCTCATCACCTCCCACGCAGAACACTATTATCTTTCCTTAGTCAACAAGCTTTGATAATGCAGCACCCCCGCAGGGAAGACCCTCTTCTCCTGCTGGGATCACAGATGGTGGGGATTTCTAAACTGAACTCTAACTGGCATCTGATTATTTCTTGCAGACCATGTCACCTAAAAATTACCCACACAGTCCCCTTAAATGTGAAATCATCATGGTTCATGACTAATCCAGCCCATGCTCACACATAACTGTGATTTCATGCATTTGGTTTCTTTTTAATTTTAGGGATGCTGTGATCTGGCTATGGCCACAGAAACCTTAAAACAATAAAAAATAACCTGTAGTTGAATTTAAATTGAATTGCATACGTGGCAGGTAATTTTAAAGTGTTACTTGAGGCCTATAAGATGCCAAATAAATGCTTATTTCTTTCAAATAAAATATTAATAAATATATACATGACCATATGTACATTAAAAGGTAGGTATAAATAATAAAATAAATTGGAGAATAATATAAAAATAAACATAAAATATTAACTTATTACAAGCCCTCTTTCCCTCCTAAACTGCTTAACCATAATTACTTTACACATTACATCAAATCCCTAGAGCAAGATTAGTACATGCATTATCAACATCTGGTCTACAGCTTGAAGCAATATCCTAATATTTTTAAAAAATACAGTATAAAAAATTAAAACCAATGAAATATTCAAATTAGATTTGTATATATTTGTTTATTTTCAATACTGACATAGTAAGTAAAAATACCTTAAAAAGTTCTAAGGGGAAAAGAGGTATGAGTTTTCATAATTCAGTAAGTATAACTTGAGATAAAGCAAGATACTCAAAATGCCTAGATGGACCTTCTTAGCCCCCATATATGTAAATATTTGATCCTGGTATTATCATTAGTTACAAATAAAGCTACACATACAGGAATCAGCACATCAATAAGGATGTTCTTTTAGTTTATAAAAATAATCTCCCCCACTAGATTGTAAGCTGTATGACAGAAGGGACTTTGTTTTGTTCATTTCTGTACCTTTGGTGCCTAGAGCACTGCCTGGATCATAATATGCACAAAATAAATATTTGTTGAATGAATGAGCTGGCATCAAGAATACCATATATCATATTCAGCCACACCCAAGAGCTTATCATCTAGGACTTCTCCACCTTTGATATCACTGATTCAACACCCCCTCTCTGACCACAACCTGCTGTGCTTCTAGCCTATTCAGCCAATGAGCCCCCCAACTAGCCCCATTCCTGTTCTCAGATTTCTTGGATGGGGGCAGTCTTCCATAGACCCTTCTGCTTTCACCTCCTCAGCTCCTTCCCATCTTTACTTCCTTCCCAATAACATTTAAATTTTATTGTTTCTTTCTCTTTTTTTTTTCTGAGACTTTTTCTCTATTGCTCTGGCTGGAGTGCAGTGGCATGATCTTGGCTCACTGCAACCACTGCCTCCTGGATTCAAGCGATTCTCCTGCCTCAGCCTCCCAAGTAGCTGGGATTACAGGTGTGCGCCACCATGCCCGGCTAATTTTTGTATTTTTAGTAGAGATGGGGTTTCACCATGTTGGCCAGACTGGTCTCGAGCTCCTAACCTCAGGTGATCCACCCGCCTCAGCCTCCCAAAGTGCTGGGATTACTGGTGTGAGCCACCGCACCCAGCCAATTCTATTGTTTCAACTGCACTCTTGTCAATATCCTCAATAATGCATAATTTCACTGCAAATATCTGATTTAAAAAACCATAGCTCTTCTAAGCCCAACTGTTATACTTTATGCATGCACAAGGACTCCTGAGATCTACTGGAGAAAAAAAAATCACACTCTGGTAGATTATTATCCATATGAATTCTTGGTCACCAAGCTCATCTTAACCCTGCCTGGCACTGCAACTATGCTTCCCTAGGCTGCTCTCCTGTTCTCCACAATAACTATTTCAAACCTTCTTCAAATACCACAAATATCTAACTCAAACCTTGTCCCATCTTAACCCCTGCTCTAAGAGGTTGGCCTTAACTATTATATCATAGAGAAATAGAAATACCATCAGACAAGTTCCTGCCGCCAAATCTATGAACCTACTTTCATCTATGCCTATTGAGGATAATCCTCTACCTCAATCTGGATCCCCTCCCATCTGGCATAAGGACTTTGCCTTCCAAGGATTTTGCTCTATTAATTAGTCCCTCCTTCCCACCAGCCTTTAAAGGAACTCAAGTCCTTCCTAAATAAATAAATAAATAAATAAATAACAGGTCCTCAATCTCAACTCCTTCCTTGCTACTACCCTTTCTCTGCTCTTCAAAGCCAGACAGATTTCTCTAAGGAATTGTACATAATCACTGCCTTCACTTCCTCATCTCTCCAATCATTTCTCAACCCACCATAGTTTAGCTTTCTGCCTCACAGTTCTCTGAAATTGCTCTAAGGTCACCAAGAACTTCCTAAATCCAATAGACAGTTCTTGGTCTTCCTAGATTTCTCTGGATCTTTAGTACCACTGACCATATTTTTAACATAGCCATTTCATTTTGAGAAACTTATTCTGCTGATATTCAAGTAAATTCACAAATATATATTCTGAGGATGCTCAATATTTGAAACAGCAAAAAAAAAAAAATTAAAGAACATAAACATCCATCAAAGGAAACTGACTAGTTATTGTACACACATATTAGGGAATATTGTGCCTTTGTTAAAAAGAAGAAGGTACGGTCTCCCTCTGATGCAGAGGTGAAGCTGGACTGTACTGCTGCCATCTCGGCTCACTGCAACCTCCCTGCCTGATTCTCCTGCCTCAGCCTGCCGAGTGCCTGCGATCGCAGGCGCGCGCCGCCACGCCTGACTGGTTTTCGTATTTTTTTGGTGGAGATGGGATTTCGCTGTGTTGGCCGGGCTGGTCTCCAGCTCCTAACCACGAGTGATCCGCCAGCCTTGGCTTCCCGAGGTGCTGGGATTGCAGACGGAGTGTCGTTCACTCAGTGCTCAATAGTGCCCAGGCTGGAGTGCAGTAGCGTGATCTCGGCTCACTACAACCTCCACCTCCCAGCCGCCTCCCTTGGCCTCCCAAAGTGCCGAGATTGCAGCCTCTGCCCGGCCGCCACCCCATCTGGGAAGTGAGGAGTGTCTCTGCCTGGCCGCCATCCCATCTAGGAAGTGAGGAGCGCCTCATCCCGGCCGCCATCCCATCTAGGCAGTGAGGAGCGTCTCTGCCCGGCCGCCCATCGTCTGAGATGTGGGGAGCGCCTCTGCCCTGCCGCCCCGTCTGGGATGTGAGGAGCGTCTCTGCCCGGCCGCCCCGTCTGAGAAGTGAGGAGCCCCTCCGCCCGGCAGCCGCACCGTCTGAGAAGTGAGGAGTCCCTCCGCCCGGCAGCCACCCCGTCTGGGAAGTGAGGAGCGTCTCCGCCTGGCAGCCACCCCGTCCGGGAGGGAGGTGGGGGTCAGCCCCCGCCAGGCCAGCCACCCTGTCCGGGAGGGAGGTGGGGGGTCAGCCCCCGCCAGGCCAGCCGCCCCGTCAGGGAGGGAGGTGGGGGGGTCAGCCCCCCGCCCGGCCAGCCGCCCCGTCCGGGAGGGAGGTGGGGGGGGTCAGCCCCCCGCCCAGCCAGCCGCCCCGTCCGGGAGGTGAGGGGCGCCTCTGCCCGGCCGCCCCTGCTGGGAAGTGAGGAGCCCCTCTGCCCGGCCAGCCGCCCCGTCCGGGAGGGAGGTGGGGGGGGTCAGCCCCCCACACGGCCAGCCGCCCCGTCCGGGAGGGAGGTGGGGGGGTCATCAGCTCCCCCGCCCGGCCAGCCGCCCCGTCCAGGAGGGAGGTGGGGGGGGTCAGCGCCCCGCCCGGCCAGCCGCCCCATCCGGGAGGTGAGGGGCGCCTCTGCCCGGCCGCCCCTACTGGGAAGTGAGGAGCCCCTCTGCCCGGCCACCACCCCGTCTGGGAGGTGTACCCAACAGCTCATTGAGAACGGGCCATGATGACAATGGCGGTTTTGTGGAATAGAAAGGGGGGAAAGGTGGGGAAAAGATTGAGAAATCGGATGGTTGCCATGTCTGTGTAGAAAGAGGTAGACATGGGAGACTTTTCATTTTGTGCTGTACTAAGAAAAATTCTTCTTCCTTGGGATCCTGTTGATCTGTGACCTTGCCCCCAACCCTGTGCTCTCTGAAACATGTGCTGTGTCCACTCAGGGTTGAATGGATTAAGGGTGGTGCAAGAGGTGCTTTGTTAAACAGATGCTTGAAGGCAGCATGCTCGTTAAGAGTCATCACCACTCCCTAATCTCAAGTACCCAGGGACACAAACACTGCGGAAGGCCGCAGGGTCCTCTGGCCTAGGAAAACCAGAGGCCTCTGTTCACTTGTTTATCTGCTGACCTTCCCTCCACTATTGTCCTGTGACCCTGCCAAATCCCCCTCTGCGAGAAACACCCAAGAATGATCAATAAAAAGAAAAAAGAAAAAAAAAAAAAGAAGAAGGTACTGTAGTTCTATATATACTGACACTGAAAGCATATTAAATTAAAAAAATTGCAAATCATATATATTATGATTCCATTTTTATTTGTTTACATTTTAGACAGATTGGATCATGGATGAATGGAAAAATGTCTAGAAAGAAATACAATCTTAACATTGTTACCTCTGGAGAGTGGGATAAGCAGGAACAGAAGATTTATATGTTACCTTTTATTGAGTCAAGTAATAAAAATGTAGTCCCATCCCTAAGCACAGCAACACTTCTAGGTAAGAAAAAAATTTCACAGGAGATCAAAAGGGAATGGCCGTAGAGACTAGGGGAAAATATTTTAAGGTCACCAGGGCTAAGAGAGAAAGGAGAGAAGTGTAGCTAATGGTTTCAAACATGGAATGAGAGATCTATTAAAAACAAGAAGAGGTAAGTATCCAATAGACAGAGAGCGTGAATAGATAATTCTTAAAGGGGAAAAATCACATGGCCAATACACATCAAAAAGAAAAAGTTTCACTCTTACTGGCAATAAAGATTTTTTTATGTTTGCTTATTAATTCAGCAAAATTTCAGAAAGACAATTTTCAGTTTTTAAAAAGGATTTAAGAGATATTCTCATATTTTGTTGGCAAATGTAAATTAGTAAGGCCTGTTAAAAAGCAATGTGACAATCTGATTTCTAAGAAAACTGAACTTCACAGAACTTATCACAATTGTAATTAAAAAATTATGTGATACAATATTTAATATACACTTCCCCTGCCGAAATAAGTTCCAGGAGAAAAATGGCCATTGTCTACCTTCTTCTCAGCCATACCTCAAGCATCTAGCTGGGTTGATGGATGGATAGATGGATAAATCTACATTGTAGGATCCTGACTGTAGGCTCTCAGTTGGTGCAACGTAAATCCTCAGTAAATCAACACAGAGCATGGCACAACATAGGCCCTCAGTAAATCAAATCACGCTTTCTGATGAGTTTAAAGACACTGATACTAATGGTATTCTGATGCCTGAATCGATAGAGCTACAAACAAGAAGCAGTGTAGATGCCATGGAAATTTTCTACTTCTTAAAAATTACTCAAGGTCAAGTTAGGTTTAGATAGTCACAGATATGAATATGAAAGCCACAGTGGTCCATCATTTCAACTATTCTTCTGCCAGGGCCATCCAATCTCCAGCCCTCTCCCTATTTCTGTCACGGCCACCCGGAAAAAATTCCCCATACTAGATTGTCCACACTCTGTTCCTGGTCTGATGAGTGCTGCCAGACAGAATGGATACAGGGTTCTGCGACTTGAGGCAGAGACAAATTCAAGTTACCCAAGCCATTTTAAAACTTTTTTCCAGTTTTATGGAGGTATACTTGACAAAAATTGTGTCTATTTATGGTGTACAGCATGATATTTTGAAATACACATACATAACCTGGATGATATGCCCCTAAAGAACTCCTCTTTTCGTCTCTCTCAAATGCTATTCCAACCCTTCACCATTCTTGCCTTCTTTACTCTCTGGTGAACCTTTCACTCTCTTGTTGGGGGCGGAGGGGCTCTCTCAAAATCCTGTCCCTCCACAGGTACTTCCTTCTCCATAGTTTTTACCAAGAGGATTGGTGAATCCTCTTGTTTCAATGGAAGAGCCACCACTTTTTCTCTAAGGCTAGTCTTTTCTCCTCTTTCACTCTGGCACTCCCACCCTCTGACTTTCTCGGGGACCTTGCATCATCAAGCTGTATGCCATCTGCACATAAATGGGCTCATCTATCTCTTATATTTAAAGTAAAACAAAATTAAATAAAACAGCCTTTTTATCCCCTGTGCCTTACTGTCTATAAGGAACACTCTCTCCTTCCCATCATAGCCAAGCTTCTTCAATGTATATACTACATGTTTTTAATTATATAAATTTATGGGGTACACATGCAATTTTGTTACATATGCAGTGGTTAAGTCAGAGACTTTAGGGTATCTATAACCTGAATAACATACATTGTACCCATTAAGAAATTTCTCATCATCTACCCTTCTCCCACCCCTCACCCTTCTGAGTCTCCATTGTCTATCATCCCACTCTCCATGTCCATGTGTATCTACCATATTTTTTATCAGTCCTTCTCAGTCCTCACTGCCCAACCCTCTACGATCTGCCTTCTCTCCTCCTGCTGCACTGATGTTGTCATTGGCCTCCTAATTGCCAAATCTAATGAACGTGTTTTTTAAATGTTTTATAGTGGGTTTTATCTGATTACGAGAGGGGTACACATCATGAACAAAGTTATGACATATGACAGACTAGAGAGAAAAAAACTTGCACTATATAATAGGCAATGGGTAAATATAACTAATAAATATAGTGTTCTTACAAACAAATCAAATATATAACCCAAAAGATAAATGTGCAAAGGATATAAAGGAGCAAGTCTTGGAAAAATACAAATAGCTAGCACAAATGAAAAGATGCTCAGCCACACTAGTGATCAGAGAAATGCCAAGTTAAATCAGTTAGATACTATTTTTCACCTATCAGATTGGAAAAAATTAAAAGCGTCATCCATCCTCAGCAAGGGCAGGAGGAAAACCACTCGCAATGGTGAAAGGGTAAACCCTCTTAGATGTCACTCTGGTGATGCCTATTTAAATTGTTTAATGTATATGTCCTTTGACCTAACAATTCTCCTATTAGAAAGCTATCCCACAAAAATACTTGTGTATATATATATCCTTGAGCATTATGCAAGAATGTTTGTGGCAGACGTGTGGTGGCTTGGACTAGGGTGACAGGCAGAGGAGATGGAGACGTGTGGCAGAACACATGATACAGTCTGAAGATCAGGTCAGCAGGACTCCCTCATGAATTAAATTGGGTGGAGAGCAGTGATAGAAAAAGAAGAATCAAGGGTGATCTTAGGTTCTTGGTTTGAGCAACTGAATGGATGATGGTGACATTTTACTGAGACAGGGAGTGCTGAGGGAAGAGGGTGGGAATACAAGGGCAATCGGGAGTGCCGTTTTGGCCACGTTACATTTGAGAGGTCTATCTGATAGGCAAGCAGAGATGTCAAATAGGTCATTGGATATATGAGGCTGCAGCTTAGAAGAAAGGCCTGGGTAACAAACATAAATTTGGGAGTGACAACAGTCTAGACAGATGTTCTTCAAAGCCATGCAGCTGGATGAGAGCCTCTGTGAAGATTTTAGATGGAGAAAAGTCCAGGGACTGAACCCCAGGTCACTGCAATGTTCAAAGGCTGGGGAGACAAATTTAGTAGAAAAAGAAGCTGGTCAGCTTTTTGTACAAATTTGAGTTTCAAATAAGTTAACATATATTAAATGATGAGAATCACATATTTACCACCTTTTGAAGGGCCCAACTCCTTCCAAGTCTGTCTTCTAAGAGATTCTGGCCTCTTCCTTTCTGAACATTTCAAAACACTTTTAAACAGAATAGCACTTTTTTCTTTTATGTTACACAGTGGTTTCTCCAGACTGCACAGTCATCCTGGTAGAAAACTAGTTAAGTACAACACAAATAGCACTCAGCTACGGCTTTTCCATAAAGTTCCATAATCCAATAACCACCTCATACCTAAAAGGCTATGGGTAACTTGAAACCAGAAGCCTAATTTGTGCCATCCGTTATTCTTTTGAGCTGTTCACTTCCCCATTGCACAGTAACTTTCTCCAGCCTCTTATTGATCTTGCGAGAAGCCTGAAAAGCCTCAAGACATCTGACAATCCACACCCCTTCCTCCCAGTGCAGTCCCCCTTCCTACCAACAAGAAGCACAACATTTTTACATTTCCACTTTTAAACTTTAGAGATTTCCACCCAGAGACTCATACTTTTAAAAAATAGAGAGGCCAGGAGCGGTGGCTCACGCCTGTAATCCCAGCACTTTGGGAGGCCGAGGAGGGCAGATCACGAGGTCAGAAGATCGAGACCATCCTGGCTAACACGGTGAAATCCCGTCTCTACTAAAAACACAAAAAGCTAGCCGGGCATGGTGGCGGGCGCCTGTAGTTCCAGCTACTCGGGAGGCTGAGGCAGGAGAATGGCATGAACCCAGGAGGCAGAGCTTGCAGTGAGCCAAGATCGCGCCACTGTACTCTAGCCTGGGCGACACAGCGAAACTCTGCCTCAAAAAAAAAAAAAAGTAAGAGAGAGGAAGTACTTCCAACTAGGTCAAAGTTGGCATCAGGAATGCAATCTCAAAGCAAAAATCAGCAGAAGTAAAGCTGAGTTTTGGGCCTGGGGCAAACTTACACCTGTAGGGCGACAAACTGGGTAGGCTTAGTTTCAGGTCCAGGAGTGCCTAACTCCAAGAGTGCCAAATTCCTAGAATGGCAATGCCATTAATTCATTAACAAATATTAGTATGCACCTATGATGTACCAAGGACTGTTCTGGGTCCAAGAGTCTACTGGTGAATACAACAGACAGCAATCCCTGCCCACAGGGTGTTTATGTTATGGTGGGTGAGGGAGTGGGAGGGCAGACAATAAGCAAGAACAATGTAATAAGGTAGGGAAAGGGCATATGGAATGTTCAGGGAAGGGATTACACGTTTAAATAGGGTGGTCAGGGCAAATTCCTAGCTGTGGTATTTCAAGTGCCTCAGGAAGGTGTCTTCTGTACCTCAACCCCACCATCACTACACCTCAGCCCCTTGAAGGAATGGCATGGTATGTCCGGTTACTGGCACAAATATTTGCCAACATCTTATATTTAAGACAAAGGGAGCTCCGAGATCCAGACCTTGCCCTTAGAGAACTTACAGCCTTCCAGGTGGAAAAACAACTAAGCAGTGTTAAGGGCTTTACTGAGGTGTAAACAAAGTGCTTTAGGACACAGGATAACTGGCAATTCTGCTTGGGGGAAGAAGTATGTGTTCAGTAAGGCCGTTCCAAAGGAGGTGACTTTAGAACTCAATCTTGAGGGATGGATAGGAATTAATGTCAGGGGAGGGGGAATGAGGGAGGAAAGTTAGCTTTTTAGGAAGAAAAAAAGGAACAGTTTGAGCAAAGTCCCAGAGATGGGAATAGGGAGGACATTTTCTTCCTATCCTTGTCTATGGTACTCCATCCATCCCATGACAAAACTAGCACACGATCACCCTCAGGCTCTCTGGTATGGCTGTCAGGAAATCCATATCACTTACCACTCCCTCATTTCTCCCCTAGCCAGCAGGAGAGGAAGAAGTTGAGTCAGGCACACATCCCTAGAATCCAGGGTTACCCTCCCCTAACTTCAGGACAATTACCACAGAGCTGAAAACCCGGGAGATTTCATTCATCTAATTACACTCAGGGATGTGTACTTATAGTGGTAACGTGGCAACTGGCCCATGTTGGAAATGAAGTGGGTAAGACATCAGTAAGGTAAGTAGTCCATAGTCTCGGCAGTGCATCTAAGGTGGAAGCAAGGAGAAAAACATATACTTGGGCTTGGAAGACAATTTTTTAATCACTTAGTCCTCATCCATGAGCTATTCAGTGTTCCCAACATCTAAGACAACAGAGGTGGTGTGACAGGATAGGAACACAAGCTCTGCCTCCGAGATTTTGAGGGCAAGGCACTTAACTTCTCAGTCTCTTTTTCATCATAATATGGTTATAACTGTAGCACCTACTGTATAGAGTTATTGTGAGGATTGCATTTTTATGTAAAGAACTTATCACAGTGTCCAGCTCAATGGAGCCTAACAACCAGAGCCTAACAAGCTCAGAGAGCCAGAATGCTACATATACTCACAGATCAATTACCCCAGAACAGGCCTCCAGCTCCATTTCACTGCTCTGACCAAGAGTGAGACACCTGAAATTGTGTTACCAGAAATGTTCATCCTCTGCCCAAAAAGGGCCTCACAAGCCAAGTTGGTGGTGCTTTTCTACTAGGGTGCTAAAAACCAAACAACCAAAAACGCAGAAAACTTCATCAAGGCCACGTCTCTGCATTAAACATTGTTCCCACAGCGACAAAAGTCTTAAGTCATTAATACCTCAATATTAATAGATTTATGAGAGGTGGGGGTGGGGAGCTTAAAGAGCAGAAAATAAGCCAGTTAAATATAGGAGGTCCAGGATGTACAGAAGACTCATTTTTGCCACAAATATACAAGGTCTAGGGTCAACCCTGCCAAGCACAGTACTCTGGAATTTTACGTCCTCTAATCCTGAAGAAGCAGGGTACTGGGGGAAGAAAAGCTTGATTAGAAAGTCACCACTTTTCAAGCCACCAGAATTCTAACCAAATGATTTCACCACCCCAAATCCCACCTCATTCAATGTTAAGGGTTGGAGGAACACCTTTTTCTGCCCCATTACAAACCAACACAGGAGACAGAAGCATTCTGTGCCCCTTCTGAGATCTCGGGGACCCTCCTCCAGTACCAGATCTCTCACAGCCTGCTTGAAGAGCGGCAATATAAAGCAGCTCCACAGCACACAGCCAGGTCCCCAGCCCCAAGCGCAGAGGGAGCCCACTGAGGCAGGACTCCAGCCAACCAGCCTCCAGCCTTTACCTGTGGCTGACTGGCCAACGCCAGAGAAGCCGCGATGTCGTAGGTCCGAAGAGAGTGCGGGTTAGCGACCCCGCTCGACGGCCGAGCGCTGTGAGAGGAACCCACGAAAAGGTGACTGGACGCCTTGGAGGGCGCAGTTCCCGCTAGGAGCTCGGCCCCGCCCCCGCCCCCAGGGCCAGCTCTCGGGAGGGGCACCAGCTCGGGCTGGCGGGAAAAAGCCCGGGCACTCCCCGCGAGGGGAGCCGAAGAGGAGAGGGGAGGCGGCTCCCAGAGGGGCACAGACCGCATTAGTGCTGGGTGGGTCAGGGAAGGGGCCAGAAGAAGCCCTGGAGAAAGAAAAGTGGCCGGGAGGGACCGCCCAAGCAGACGGGAGTCCAAGCCTGGGGATGCGGTCGGGAGAGGCGGACGGGGAGAGGGGAGACGCGGTCAGCTAGGGAGAAGGAAAAATTGGGGGACCAGAGAGCGGGTAGGGAAGACGCACGACCCCGAGATGGGGGTGGGGGCGCTTCAGCAGCGAAAAGGAGCTGGGGGTCCAGAAGGAGCACCGGACCGAGGGCGAGGGGCCGGCCGCTGGCTGTTGACCTACCTGTCACTTGCAACAGGTGCCTCCAGAGATCGAGAAGTCCCAGTGCCGGTTTCAAGGGAGGGTCTCCGGCTCCGGGAAGATCGCAACCCAGCTCCGGCAGCCGGCCCTTCTCACCCTCCCGGGAGGCGGAAAAAGCTGCAACTTTCCCTGGAGCGGGGAGGAGCTGGACTCTTAAAGGGGCCGCACAGCGCCCCGGGCTCCTTAGCAGGGGGCCACTCAGCCCAAAAGGGAGCTCTGGGACCCAAAGCCTTGAGACACAAGAGGAATGTCCTTCCAGGTTAGGAATGGGAGCCTGGGGACTGAGGATAGGGGTCTAACACTAGACGTGCCTCCTCACCCACTTACTTCCATCTGTTGGTCACTCTCTTAGACGGTGAAATCACCTGTCTCTTTCGTTCAGCTGAGTCAAAAGTTGTCAAATTGTCTCACACTTCTAAGAAGATAAAAGAGTATGAACTATCTAATTTGAGTAAATAAAATATAATACCATTCTGATCCTTTGACTTGTGGCCTTTTATGGCAAATAAATGTCTGTCTAAAATAGAAACGTTTTGGGCAAAAGCGTAGACTAAATTCATACATACACACTCAAGGACACAACTGGTTAAAATATCCAACTCACTAGTAATCAAAGAAAAGCAAATTAGAACAATAATGAGATTCTTTGGCAAAGATATTTTTTATTTTTTAATAACACTTAATGATGACAAAGTAGCCACCAAACAAGCTGTCTTAATTGCTGATAGCAGCATATGTTGGTTAAAAACCCTTTTAGAAAGCACGTGAGCAATATGTATCAATAGACTTGAAAATGTTTATACCTACCCAGTAATTGCAGATTCCTCTCCCTGCCTCTCCCATCCCTCTCCCCCTCATTTCACATCAGCAATTAAACATGCTCAAGTATCTACCATCTTAAAAAAAGAACCTCCCTACACAGGAGGTCCCTCTTCAGGTCCTCTTTATGGGCAAATGTATTGAAAATGTACTTCACAGGTGAAATTGCAATTTTTATTCCCTTACTTCTCATTCATTTCTTAGCTCTCAGCAGTCTGGCTTCCTTCCCCCACTGAAACTTCTCAATGAGATACACAAACAATGACCCTCAGTGTCAATAAATCCATAAATAAGTAAGGTATTTTTGGTCCTTATTTTGCTTGACTTCTCCCCTACATTTAACACCGTTAACCATTTCCTCGTCCTTGAAACTTTCTATGGCATCTATGACATTTTACTCTTTTGCTTTTCCTCCTACTCCTTTGCCCTCTCCTCAGTGACCTTTGTAGGCCACTCTTCTGCTATCTGACCTCTGAAAGTCAGACATTCTCAGGGCTAGGATACATATACTCCCTCCCCCAAATAATCTTTTTCACTCACTTGGCTTTAATTACCATATATATGGTCACAACTCTAATTCTATAACTCTACCCAGACTGCTTTATTGAGTTCTGTGTTCTTGACATCTCCACTTGAATGTCCTGCAGACACCTCAAATTCAACACATCCAAAGTTAAACCTACCATCTTTTCTCTTAAATTTGTTCCTCCTCCAGTATTTCTTATATCAGTAAATGACAACATGCCACTCAAGGCAATGGATTCACCATTCTAGATGCCATTAAGAACATTCATGATTCAACGGAGAAGGGCAAAATATCAACATTAACAGGAGTTTGGAAGAAGTTGATTCCAACCCTCATGGATGACTTTGAAGGGTTCAAGACTTCAGTGGAGGAAGTCACTACACATGTGGTAGAAATAGCAAGAGAACTAGAATTAGAAGTTGAACCCAGAGGCCAGGCACAGTGGCTCACGCCTGTAATCCTAGCACTTTGGGAGGCCGAGGCGGGCAGATCACGAGGTCAGAAGATCGAAACCATCCTGGCTAACACGGTGAAACCCCGTCTCTACTAAAAATACAAAAAGTTAGCCAGGCGTGGTGGCGGCCGCCTGTAGTCCCAGCTACTCGGGAGGCTGAGGCAGGAGAATGGCGTGAACCCAGGAGGTGAAGCTTGCAGTGAGCCGAGATCCTGCCACTGCACCCCAACCTGGGTGACAGAGCGAGACTCCATCTCAAAAAAAAAAAAAGTGGAACCCAGAGATGTGACTGAATTGCTGCAATCTCATGATAAAACTTGACTGACCAAGGAGTTGCTTCCTGTGTGAACCAAGAAAGTGATTTCTTGAGATGGAATCTACTCCTGGTGAAGATGATGTGAACTCTGTTGAAACAACAGCAAAGGATTTAGAGGCCAGGCACGGTGGCTCACGCCTGTAATCCCAGCACTTTGGGAGGCCGAGGAGGGCGGATCACGAGGTCAGGAGATTGAGACCATCCTGGCTAACACGGTGAAACTCCGTCTCTACTAAAAATACAAAACATTACCAGGCATGGTGGCCAGCACCTGTAGTCCCAGCTACTCGGGAGGCTGAGGCAGGAGAATATAGCGTGAACCCGGGAGGCGGAACTTGCAGTGAGCCGAGATCCCGCCACTGCACTCCAGCCTGGGTGACAGAGTGAGACTCCGTCGCAAAAAAAAAAAAAAAAGGATTTAGAATGTGACATAAACTTAGTTGATAAAGCAGCAGCAGGGTTTGAGAGGATTGACTCCAATTTTGGAAGAAGTTCTACTGTGTGTAAAATGGAATCAAACAGCATCGCATGCTACAGAGAAATCTTTTGTGAAAGGAAGAGTCAATCAATACAGCAATCTTCATTGTTGTCTTATTTTAAGAAATTGCTACAGCCATCCCAGCCTTCAGGAACCATCACCCTGATCAGGCAGCAGCCATCAACATCAAGGCGAGACCTCCCACCAGCAAAAAGATTACAACTCACTGAAGGCTCACAGGATCATTTGCATTTTTTAACAATAAAGTTTTTCTTTTTTTGAGACAAGGTTTCGCTCTGTCACCACCCTGGAGGGCGGTGGCACAATTGTAGCTCACTGTAGACTCTATCTCCTGGGCTCGAGCCATACTCCCACCTCAGCCTCCGAGTTGCTGGGACTATAGGCACACACCACCATGTCCAGCTATATATTTTTAAAAGTATTTTATTAGAGACAGGCCTCACTATGTTGCCCAGGCTGGTCTCTAACTCCTGAGCTTAAGTGATCCTCCTGCCTTGGCCTCCCAAAAGTGCTGGGATTACAGGCATGAGCCACCGTGCCTGGCCTAAAGTATTTTTCAATTAAGGTCATTGGTTTTTTAGACATAATGCTATTTCACACTTAATAGACTGCAGTATAGTGTAAACATAACTTTTATATTACTGGGAAACTAAAAAATGTATGCGACTTGCTTTATTGTGGTGGTCTAGAACCAAACCCACAATATCTCCAAGGTATACCTGTATGCAAGAACTTTTATTAAAATATTGATAGTGGGCGGTGGCTCACACCTGTAATCCCAGCACTTTCGGAGGCTGAGGCAGGCGGATCACGAGGTCAGGAGATCGAGACCATCCTGGCTAACATGGTGAAACCCCGTCTCTACTAAAAATATAAAAAATTAGCCGGGCGTGGCGGCATGTGCCTGTAGTCCCAGCTACTCGGGAGGCTGAGGCAGGAGGATGGCATGAACCCGGGAGGCAGAGTTTGCAGTGAGCCGAGATTGCGCCACTGCACTCCAGCCTGGGCGACAGAGCAAGACTCTGTCTGAAAAAAAAAATAGATAGATAGATATATAGATAGATAGAAGGATAGATAGTGGGTGTCTCTAGATGATGGAACTAAACAAATTTTTAGTTTTGCTCCTACTTTTCTGTCTTTTTCAACTTTCTTTTAATGAGCATGTATGGCTTTGATAATATTTTTTAAATATTCTTGAAAAATCTTCAAAAGCTAAAAAAAAAAAAATTTTAATTCTAGCAGACAAAACAGTAAAAATCCGTCTCCCAGGCTCTACCCAGAGTTGTTTTTTTTGTTTGTTTTTTTTTTATGCTTTAGCCCTTCAATACACTGCCCCACCCTGAAGTGTGAGGCCACTTTGAAAAGGAAATCCTTAGCCTAGATGATAGATTGATAGGTGCAGCAAACCACTATGGCACATGTAAACCTGCACGTTCTGCACATGTATCCCAGAACTTAAAGCAAAATTAAACAAACAAACAAACAAACAAAAAAAACGGAAATCCTTTTGTTCTGTCTAGCTTTGCTAATTCAGCTCTCCCTCCAGAGCCCTCTAGTCAGCCTTGGACTTTGAATGTGTTCCGCCCCCCAAATCTGGCCTGTGGGAACTCATACCAGGCACTTCTCTGCTCCTTCTTTGCAGGTGGTGCTTGGCAGGAGCTGGAAACACTTTCAGCCAGAAGTAACTTTGGAAACATTTTTTCCAACTCCCTTATTCCTCAGCAAAATTTTAAGCTTTACTTCTTTATATGTGTGCAGTTTCTCACTGTCCAAGGTACCCCTCACTAAAGAGGATGTGAGGATTTGACCCCTCTTCTCTAAGACAGTCTTACTGACAAGCTTCAAATGCACAGAGAGACAAACATAAATAATGAACCCAAGCAAAGTTAGTCAGTGGCCTGTTTACATACATTCTGTGCTTTGCAGACTGCTGCCCATTTCTGTTTTATCCTCCTCGTCTGCCACAAGTTCAAATTCTTATACTAAACATTGAGAGAGGTCTAATGAGAGCAAACCTAGGCACTATCCTGGCAAAAATGTAAACAGGAATGTATGGATTACCACCCCATGAATAGTATATGATCTCCTGACCCATTGTGAATGATTGACTTCAATGAGTCGATTTCGCCACGTTGAGAGAATTTGGACCAGTGCAAACTTTAAAAGATGAAGATTTTCCTCAGTCCCAGGTGACAGGATACCTCAGTATTGAGCAATTACTCTTTTGAAACAGTTTTAAATATTTCAAAAATATGTAAACATATAGAGAATAATATAACAACAAGGACATGCACACTACCCAGCTTATGAAGTAATGCATTACCAAAACAATCGAAACTCTCTGTGTCCTCCTCCATCCTAAGGCTTTCACAATCTCAGATTTGGTCTTGATTATTTCCATGAAATCCGATTTTGCCACACTGAGCAAGTTCTGACCAGTGCAAACCTAAAACGATGGAGATTTTCCTCAGCCCCTGGTGACAGGATACCATGAAATTCCTTGTATGTCTATACACATTTACTAAATATGTGTTTATCTCTAAACAATATGTAGTACTTTACAGAAATATTATCTTTCTGTATGTAACTTCTGCAATTTGCTTTCCTCACTCAATATTATTCTTATGAGATTTATCCCTGTTGATAGGGATAAATTTATTTTCACTGCTATAGAGCATTCCAGGGCATAACAAGACTGCAATTTATATATCTGTTTTGCCATTGATCAGGTAGCTTTTAATTGCCAAAGTTTTAATTCTGGCTGCCAGGACACTCCCTTTTCATCTCATGTTGAGTTTACTTTTGTAAAAATCAAAATTAAAAAAAAAAGGCTTCCTAACACAGCAAAGTTAGTACACCAGTGGTCTACAGTAAGTATAAAGTGTAAAAAGTAAATTCAAATCTCTCATTCTGTCAAGATCGAGGTTTCTCAATCTCTACACTATTGATATTTTGGAATGGATATTTCTTGGGGTGGGGGGATGGTGCTATCCTGTGCACTGCAAGATGTTTAGCAATGTATCTGACCTCCATCCACTAAATGCCTCTATCCACTAGATCACTTTCCAATTTGTGACAACCAACAATGTCTCCAGATATTGACCAATGTCCCCAGTTGAGAACCACTGGTCAAGATGTACTGAGTACCCACTACATGTGAAGCACTTTAATAGGTACTATGAGAAAATAGATGAACAAACACTGGGGAAAAAAGGCCATTCATTCAAATATAAATATATCGTGCTACTTAGGCACTGGGGTTTTGGTGACTGTTTCCTCTGGGAGTTCACAGAATGGGGTAGGGGAAGGCAGGCAAACTAAAAACATAAATTTACAATACAGTATGGAAAGTGCAAAGCTGGGGAGATGCTCAGGATATGGGAGAATGCCTCAGAAGGCCATTTACATCAGCCTGATTGGGGAGTGGTCAGTGAAGGGTTCCTGGAAGAAGAAATTGCTTCTCTGAATCTTAAAGGATGAGTAGGAATTAGCTAGACCAAAAAGGTGGAAAGGCATTCCAGGCAGAAGAAGAGCATAAGCAAAAACAGAAAGGCTAGAAACACTGGATATGTGCAAAGGGAGTGCAAAGAAGTTGCTGGAGCATAAGGTTAAATGAAAAAGTGATGATAGGTGAGGCTAAAAGGATGATGTATTAGTTTATAAGAAAGTACCAAAAACTGAGTAGATTAAATAACAGAAACTTGTTTTCTCACAGTTCTGGAGGCTAGAAATCTGAGATCAAGCTATCTGCAAGGTTGGTTCCTTCTAAGGGATGTGAGGAAAATCTATTCCATGCCTCTCTCCCAGCTACTGGTGCTGTGCTGGAAATCTCTGGTATTTCTTGGCTTGTAGAAGCATTATCCCAATCTCTGCCCTGATCTTCACATGGCACTTTTCTTGTATATGTGTCTCTGTGTCCAAATTTCCCCTTCTTATGAGGATACCAATCATGTCGGATTAGGGTCCATCCTAATGACCTCATCTTAACCAATTACATATGCTATGACCTTATTTCCAAATTAGCGTACGTTATTAGGTGCTGGGGATTAGAAGTTCAACAGATGAATTTGGGGGTACACAATTCAACCCATAACAGGTAGGTAAGTACTAGAACAACAGAGGCCTTGGGAGTCATGTTAAAGAATTTGAACTTTATCCAGTAGCTAATTACAGCCATTTGAGGAGCCCTGAGATTCCCTACTCTATCATTTTGGTGACATCACTCAAATAATTTTTCATCCTTTTGTGACTAAATAATATTCCACTATGTGGATATACCACATTTTGTTTATCCACTCAAAAGTTGACGGACAATTGAGATTTTTCCATGTTTTGGCTACTACAGATAATGCTACCATAAACATTCATGCAGAGGTTTTTGTAATCATATGTTTTCAAAATGCTTGTGTATCTACCTAGGATTGGAATTGCAGATCACGTAGTAACTCTATGTTTAACCTTTTGAGGGATCGCCAGACTGCTTTCCAAAGTGACTGCACCATTTTACATTCCCATCAGCAATACGTGAGGGTTCCAATGTCTCCACATTCTCAACAGCACTTGTTATTATCAGTCTTTTTGATTACAGACATCCCTGTGGGTGGAAATTGGTATCCCATTGTGGTTTTGATTAGCATTTTCCTAATAACTAATACTTTTGAGCATCTTTTCATGTACTTGTTAACCATTAGTAGCATACCTTCTTTGAAGAAATGTCTATTCAGAACCCTTGTCCATTTTTAATTAGGTTGTCTTTTTGTTGCTGTGTTATAAGAGTTCTTTATATAGCTCATTTATACTTTTGAAAAGAGAGGTGAGTAGGAGGAAAGGAGAAGGACATTCTTAGGAGGGGAAGTCTCATGGAGTTGTATGCAGACATAAACAGCAGGTTTTATGGTTTGATTCAAGAGGAGAGTCCAAGTCAGGGGAAAACGTACTAAGTTGCATTGAGGATGTGTCCTTTATGGTTAAGGCCAAGTACGTGCAGGACTGGTTTGTTCTTTGGAGGTTGGTAATGCAGGGCTGAAAACTTTTAAGGCCTATTTTCAAAGATTTATTCTGGTCGGTAATTCATTTTAATAAAAGCATCTTTCAGGGAAAGAAAGCCAATATTTACCAGGATATGAAAGCAAAAATTGGGGCTGCTTGTTAGACAATGCAATGACAATTTTTTAGTTTTATTTTCCTTTCATCCTCTAGCAATGTTTGACACCATTGCCCACGCCTGCCTTATTACAATCTCCTCTCCTGTGGTTTCTGGACATCATGACCTCCTTGTTCTCCTATCTCTCCGACTGTCTTTCCTAATATTTTTGGACTCCACTTTTTCTGCCAGTATCTTAACACTGCAAGACTTAAATGTCATATTAATTTATTCAGGAAAAATCTGAGGTCACTAACATTTACTAGTGCTTGTTATATGCACTGTTTTTTAGGAGTTAGAAGTATAGCAGTAAAGTCTTGCACACATGCAACTTATATTCTAAGTCAGAGAAAAATAACAGCACTAATAGCAAATGCATATAGCACTTACTACTATCCTAAGGTACTAATCTAAGATATACAAACACAAGCACACACATGCACACATGCACACACACACACACACACATTTAGTCCTCACAAAAGTCCTATGATGCAGATACTATTATTACACCCATTTTACAGATAAGGAAACTAAGTCACAGAGAGGTCAAATGGTAAACTCAGTATTTGAAGCCAGACAGTGTGGCTTCAGATTCCATAGTCTTAACTAGTACTCTGTGTTGTCTCTCAGCAATAAATAAATAAATATATCATATTCATGTGTGTGTGTATATAATACATATACACACAAGATATATATTTGTAAGTATATGGGGTTATGTGTATATTGCTACATATATTTGGAAAAGGATGTCAAATGGGACTTTTTCTGTTGTTTCCCAAAGTTTTGACTGAGGCTTCAAAGTTAAAGACATACATACTAGGGGTAGTCATACATTCTAAAGAGGGATGTTAGACAGATTCCCACAGGACTTGCTAAGAGGTAACCAAACTGGTATTTCAATTACTAATCCCCACCACTCAACTCCAGAATTATTATAAGATAATTCTAGAGATTAATTGAAGCAACAAAGAGGATTTTTTGAAGGGAACTCATTGGAGTAGAAAGCACTATGGTTCCCCTGCTCGAGCGAAACAAAAAAGATCTTAAGTAAACCTTTTGAAGAGAGACTGACATCTCACTCCCAGGCTGGAGGCTTGCTGCACTACAGAAACTTTAGCCTTTGTTGCTACTGAAACAGGATGAGTTCATGAGAGAACCTCGCATATGTCCTCTAGTGCTATGAAAAGATAGAAACTTATACTTGACTTTTACCTAAAATCTGAAGGCAGAAGCCTGGTTTAAATTGCTCATAATGGCAGAGCAAAGAAAGAGATCTAGACTTCCAAGGGACCATGTTTGCTGTGGACCAGGTAGTTTCTTTTGAGCATAGCTGGCAACTCCGCATAAAAATGAGGATCCCATGAATAGAAAGTTGTGGGGGCAACAGCCAAGGGGGAAGAGGGTCAGATGGTACATTGTTCCTATCAGGGAATAGTGTAGGGAAGAGATCCCTGCTAGCAGGAAGAGGAGTTAGAAGGTCCCTGAATAAACCAAGAAGGAACACTACAAGAAAAGGCAGTATTTGGGCATCTATGTCACAGAGGATATTCATAGCCAGATTACACCAGCACCAGTCAATTCAGCTTCTCACTGTCCCTTTAAGATTCCCCTCTCCATACCCACCCCACCCCTAAGCCCTGGAGGAGACAGAAGCAGTAGAACAAGTAGGGGAGGAGGTAGAGCAAGAAGAATAAAAGAACAGACCAAGTCACTTTTCTCACTAGAGATCTGTGGGATTGCCAGTCAAGCTGCACTGGAGGTTGGGGACTGGAGGAGAAGTTTTAAACTGGATGTGAGATGGAAGTTTTGATTTGACTGAACTTTTAAGTGCCTACAAATTAAACTATTGTAAATATCTGAGAGTAACCAAAAAGCGAGTGGGTTAAATATATAACATAATATGGGATAGTGAAACGTTACCCAAAAAATCAAAGGAATAGAGTAATATTTTATATATGTTAGTCAAGCAAAGCCTCTCAAAAGAGGTGACACTAACAAAGTACAGAAGCAAGCCATGGGAATGTCTTTGGTCCTCATCTCTCTTCAGTATATTCATTCTCCTTGGATGATCTTAGAATAGAAGCTTGTAAGATAGACAGGGAGCAGATCATGAAAGTCTTTCTAAGTCATGTATGTATAAGACTCAATTTTGAGAACCACCGAGAGCCACTGAGTTTCTCCGTGATCCGATTTGGATTTGGGGAAGACTACTTTGGCAGTGGTATGGAAAATAGATTGGAAGTAGGGTAACTATCCCAATGACTTCAATTTCCCCCTGTTGACTCTCAATCTTGTATCTCTACCCTACATTTTCTCCTGATTTTCAGACTCGTATGTTTAATGGCTACCAGCCATCCCCACCTTAATGATCACAACCACCTCAAATTCAACTTTTCCAAACTTAAACTTCATCTTCCTTACAAATCTTTTCTGTCCCCAGTGTTTTCTATCCCAGTGAATAGCACTACCATCTACTTAGTAGCACAAAACAGAAACCGTCCCCACACCTAACTAGTCCCTAGATCCTGTTGTTCTCATCACCTAAGTAGATTTTAAATTCCTTCCTACCGTCACTGCCTTAACTCAGGCCATAATCATCTCTCTCCTGAACTACACAAACAGCCTCCTGACTTGTTACCCTAATTCCAGTCTATTTTCCACACCACTGCCAAAGTAGTCTTCCCCAAATCCAAATAAATAGGATCATGGAGAAACTCAATGGCTCTCGGTGGTTCTCAAAACTGAGTCTTATACATGGCTTTGAAAGACTTTCATGATCTGCTCCCTGTCTGCCTTACAAGCTTCTATTTTACCATTCTTTGTCTTGACCATTCTGTTTCTAGGCAACCTAAATGATTTTTATTTTCCTCCAAACACCAAGTTCTCTCATGGCTCTTCCATCCTCCTTTTATCTTCTCCAGGCTAAGCCTTACTTATCCTTTGACTCAGATATGATCTCTTCTGGAAAGCCTCTCCTGTACCTTGCTAGTGTGGGTGTACCTCCCCTATGCTCCCATTGTTCCATAACACTCTTTATAAAAATTTCTGACATAGTACTCACTACACAGTATTTGCATTGTCTTTTCAAGTGGTTGCCTTTACCACTAAAACATGAGCTCTTCGAGATCAAGATCTATGTCTTATTAACCTCTGTATTCATAAGGCCTGCATATGAAATAGGTTCCCTTTTAAAATCCAAACTGTTCTTCTGCCCAGACTCTTCTTTCCTTCACTCCCCCTTGCACTTTGAATTCCTAGTCACTCCTACAGATTCAATTTATCTACCCCATAGGGTGTTTGTATGCCAAACAACTAGCGGATTTATTTCTCCTAGGGTTTATTCTCAACCAAAAACAATATTGCTTCCCCCTGCCCAGGGGACATTTTTGGTTGTCACAACCAAAAAGAGAAGTGCTACTGGCATCTAGTGGGTGGAGGCCCAGGATGCTATTAAACATCTTATAATGCACAGGACAGCTTCCCACAACAAAGAAGTGTCCAGCCCCAAGCTCAGTAGTTCTGAGGCTAAGAAACCTTGCCCCTTAGCTGTGGTGCACTTTTCAGCCTTGTTTCTCTTGTGCTGAATTACAGCGTTTTCTGTGAAATTCAGTCCTGCATTCTGGAGTCCAAGATAATGACAAGAGGAAAAAGGAGTCATAAAGATAAAATTCTTGTGGGCTGGGGTTTCATTTGGTCTTGCTGATGAGCAAAACACATTTGCACACATGCTAAAACCCATATTTGGGAAAACATTCACTTACAGAGAGATGGGCCATTTGTAAGATGGGGCTTTAAATTCAGAGAACACTTTAAAGCCACTTTTTTGACTCAAGCTAAGCACATTAGACAAACTCCTATACAAGTGGAAAAAGAGAGGAAAATAATTATTTGTTGAGCTATTTCTATAATGTATCATCTCTTTTAATCATCACATTAGCACTATAAATTAGGCACTATTATTATCTCCACTTTACAGATGAGAAAACTGTGGCTCAGATAAGTTAGGTAACACATTAATGTTAAATGAAGAAACAGGGGCTTAAATCCAATGTCTTCCTATTATACCACACAAGGATGATTCAGTGTTCAAGGCACAAAAAAATTAAAATGTTTTCTAATGCTTGCAACATTTTGTTTGTGCTGTCAAACTTAAAAAAAAAAAAGCAGTTTGGCATTCACTCCAAGTCCAGTTAACCCTCTGTTTGAGTCTCCTCACTTGAGTAGGACGCATCTGCCTTTGGTATATTTCCATCTAGGGGCACTGTAGTTCAATAGGATCTTGCCTGGGCTGGGAATCAGAAGATGTGAACTTGTTCAATTTTTTTTTTTAAATGACTGTGGCAGTTATCTCACTATTCCTTGGTTTCTCATTTGCAAAATTATATTTCATTATGATAATAATATACTATGATAAATATGATATATCCAACATATAGGCCTTTTTTTTTTTGAGATGGAGTCTCACTCTGTCACCCAAGCTAGAGTGCAGTGGCGCGATCTCGGCTCACTGAAAACTCCTCCTCCCGGGTTCAAGCAATTCACCTGCCTCAGCCTCCCGAATAGCTGAGATTACAGGCGCTAGCCACCAAGCCCGGCTAATTTTTGTATTTTTCATAGAGATGGGGTTTCACCATGTTGGCCAGGCTGGTCTCGAATTCCTGACCTCGTGATCCACCTGCCTCGGCCTCCCAAAGTGCTGGGATTACAGGCGTGAACCACCGCGCCCAGCCACATATAGGCCTTTCTAATATGCAACTTCAGGGTCCCTTTTCAGGCCAAGACTCCCTAGCCAAAGGTCCCTAGGATTCAGTCTTCTTTTCTCTTTCCGAAAGTACTGCCACCCCCTCTATCCTTTTGGGCTGCTTCTCAATAATCCTTTTCCCCCATTCTGTGAAGTGGGACATGGTCTCAATGCTCCAGAAGACAATCACAGGAATTCTTCTACTGTAACCAGTTACAGCACTACTAAACTATTTTTCCCTTACAAGGAGTAACTATTGCATTAGCCAGATTCAGAGAAAAACATGGACTGTGCAACTTTTCTGTTGTTATTAGGAATACCATCAAACACTGCTCTAGCACCATTCATAATGCTTCACAGGAATGGTGGTCATTGTAATAGGAGTGTACATATCTTATAATGCCTCAATTACACAATTGTCAACAGCTGCCTCAATGCAAAGGGCAGTTTGGGCTGAGGCAGCGTATAAGCAGAACATTGCACGCTATAATTTGCATTAATAGCCTTTCCACCCACTATGCTTGTATCTACTCTAATATCACAAGCTTCATCTTCAAGGATCTTGAAGTCACATCTCCACTACCTTGCTGTTGCCATTCCATTTTTCATAATGCAGCTCAAAATTTCTCTCTTCAGACTTACAAGGAGGAGCTATCTGCAAATCGCTTCATCTGGGTTTAATCCCTGCTTCCTTTTCCTAAAATTTTCTTTATTATTCTTCTTGCACTCTTACTTGACAATCTTAAAATTGTTCTTACTGTGTATCCAAAGGTATGTAAGAATGAGGCTTGACACAAATAAACTGCAGTAAGATGTGAAGGCAGTTACTAGGGAGCTTCTGCAAATTTGTCGAGTCCTGGCACTCATTTTAAGCAAACAAACAAGTTTATTGAGAGTTCACCCTGCCCAGATACCTTTCTATTTGAAGCTCAGTAAATGTACAACTACCTCACCTCAGCATGAACTGAAAAGGTACAACAAGATTTCCAAAAGAAAAGTATTTGACAAGCAGAGTTAAAGTGAAAATTAGTATTTTCTTTAAAAAAATAAGAAGATTGGGTTCCTCTGTGCTCCAAGTCCTATGATTGTTCTTTGACAAATTTTTCACATTGTTATCTCTTTTGTTAGATCTTCAAAAAAGCAGACTCCCAAACAGGATGTTTTAAAAGTGAAAACCATGGGCTTGAAAAATAATAGAAAGAACGAGCAAGAAGAATAGTGTCCAAATTCCATCCTTCTGTTGCTACTGCTAACTGTCCAGAAAGGGGAAATGGTAGACAGTTGATGTTTCAGTTGCTGTGAAGTAGTGAAGTAAATAATAATACGGGAGGCCTCTAGGAAGAAAGACTATGTGTTGACACCAAATCAGCCAGCATAGAGTAGCCTCCACTCTGTATGTCTCTGCCTGTACAAATTCCTTCTCTCTGGAGGCTATTTTCCCAGCCTAATTTATAAACATCATGACAAAAGAGTTGGTTATTTGGGGTCAGCATAACACCGGGCAGTGGAAAAGCAAATACAGAGAACAAGATGTTCTACGCGTACATAATAGTGTCATTTCTTTTGAGGAGACACAGGAATCAAATAACAGGGATTTTTGGCTCTTCGGATTCTGAAGGAAAACAAAATGACCTTGGCATCTAGCAAATAAGCTCGAATTCAGAGGATTGAAGTTATTACCCAAAATAAGATTAGATTCTGCCCTGTGGGGACACATTTGTATTTCACAGTCAATTTGGGATTAACCTTTTCAGGGCTGGTGGAGAATTAATTAGTTCTTTACTTCTCTCTCTGGACTGCCTCAGGCTCTAGAGGTTTCCATGTATTCTAAAGGAGATTTGTGCAGGGCAGCCAGCTGTGCAACTGTGACTTATTTATTCATGCTTCTGGCATAGATTCCTCTGAGTGTGAGAACTGTAGAAGGCGCCCCTCCCAAAGAGCACACAAGCCCAACCCAGTGTAGCAGGACTTTGTGTGGGTGAGGTCCATCCAGTGCATCAATTATGACAGTCCAGAAAGGGACTGATCTGTGAAACCTCCCCAGGTCTGTTTCCTCCTCCACGGTGTTTCTCTTTTCTTCAATTGCTCCTGCTTTGTCCACACTACCACAGATGGGGCAGTTATGGTAATTCCAAAAGCCCAAGAATTCAAGCTGGCACTGCCTCAGCAACTGTGTGTTTTTAAAAGAAGCATACAAGTTCAATATGCATAGTTTAAAAAAGATGTCCGTCAAAATGTTAACAGTGATTATTTCTGTGGAGTGGGATTACTGAAAATTTTTGTTTTCCTCTTTGTGGTTTCCTAAATTTTCTGTTTTGATCATGTATTATTTGTGTAGGTTTTTCAATTTTCTTCTTTTAAAAAGGTAAGCTTCGCAGATGAATCATTTGTATTTCCCTAGTGCTCTATCTCCAAGCACTGTAGAACAGCCCTGAAAGTGTACAGAAAAACACCCAAGTGGGGAGTTTCACTTCCAGCATTATTTTTCTTTAAAATCATGGAGATAAGGCAAAGGATGAAGATATGAACACATGTTATCAGTGCGGCCTCAGCAGAAAAATAATTCACTCCAAATGGCTCAAATGAAGAGAATTTGTGAAAAACCATTTATAGGAAGTGGTCAGGGTTATAGACCTTGTTACAGAAGAAACAAGGGATAGTGAGGTTTGAGTGGGAAACTGTTACCACCCCTACAGCCAAGGGATAAGCGAAGAAACAGTTACCAGAGGCCAGCAAGTGCTGAGTCTATGGAGGAGGAGTTGGCCAGTGGGTGCTCTAGTTGTTTAAGAATGCAGCTACTGCCAGGGATGCAGTGCACAGCAGAGAGTGTAGGGAAGAAATATCCCTGACGCCTCGCTCCTTCACTCTCTGATCTCCTATTATTTTTAACCCTTTACCAAACCCAATGCAAGCCAAGGCAAGGGAACCAAGAATATGCAGTCCATAGGAGTAAACCTCCTAAGACATAAGGAGGGACTAGGAAGAGTAAAAACTGGATGAAGGTAGGAGATAAAGACCATCTAGCAGTCTACTCCTTTTATTTGAAAAACCACTTTATTGAGGAATAATTGACATAAAAAATTATACATATTTAATGTCTACAACTTGAAGAGTTTGGAGAAAAGTATACACACCTGAAAAAATAACCACAATCTATGTCATAAACACATCCATCATCTCCAAAAGTTCCCTCCTGCTCTCTTCATTTATTATTTTTTATAAGAACACAACATAAAATCTACTCTCTTAGCAAATTTTTAAGTATATAATACAGTATTGTTAACTGTAGGCACCATGCTGTACAGGAAATGTCTCGGACTTATTCATCTTGCGTAACTAAAGCCTTCCCATTTCCTAATACCTTCCCATTTCCTCCTCTCCCTAGCCCCCAACAACCACTATTCTACTCTCTGCCTCTATGAGTTTGACATTTTAGATTCCACATTAGTGGTATCATGTGGTATTTGTCTTTCTGTGTCTAGACTATTTTACTTAGTATAATGTCCTCCAGGTTCATCCATGTGTTACAAGTGGTAGAATCCCACTCTTTTTAAAGGCTGAATAATATTCCATTTTATGTATATGCAGTAGTCCCCCCTTATCTGTGGTTTTACTTTCCACAGTTTCAGTTATCCCTGGTCAACTGTGGTCCTAGAATATTAAATGGAAAATTTCAGAAATAAACAATTCATAAGTTTCATGTTTTGTGTCATTCATAGTAGTATGATAAGATCTCACGCTGTCCCACTCAGTCCCACCCTGGATATGAATCATCTCTTTGTCCAGTGTATCCACGCTGTATATGCTCCCTGCCCATGAGTCACTTAGGAGCCATCTAGGTTATCAGATCAACAGTGGCAGTATCACAGTGCTTGTGTTAAAGGAACCCTTGTTTTGCTTAATAATGGCCCCAAAGCACAAGAATAGGGATGCTGGCAATTCAGATATGCCAAAGAGAAGTTGTAAAGTATTTGCTTTAAGTGAAAAGGTGAAAGTTCCTGACTTAATAAGGAAAAAAAAATCATATGCTGAGGTTGCTAACATCTATAGTAAGAACGAATCTTCTATCCACAAAACTGTGAAGAAGGAAAAAGAAATTCGTGCTAGTTTTGCTGTTGCACCTCAGACTATAAAAGTGATGGCCACAGTGCATGTTAAGTGCTTAGTTAAGGTGGAAAAGGCATCAAATTTGTGGGTGGAACACATCAATAGAAACATGTTCTGGCCAGGCACAGTGGCTCACGCCTGTTATCCCAGCACTTTGGGAGGCCTAGGCGGGCGGATCACCTGAGCTCAGAAGTTCGATACCAGCCTGGGCAATATGGTGAAACCCAAACTCTACTAAAAATACAAAAATTAGCTGGGCATAGTGGTGGGCATCTGTAATCCCAGATACTCAGGAGGCTGAGGCAGGAGAATCGCTTGAACTAGGAGGCAGAGGTTGCACTGAGCCAAGATCACACCACTGCACTCCAGCCTGGGAGACAAAGGGAGACTCTGCCTCAAAAAAAAAAGAAAAAGAAAAAAGAAAAAGAAAAAGAAAAAAGAAACATATTCTGACTGGCAGCAATGTATTGCTCCAGAAAGCATTGAGTCTATACAAAGACTTAGCAAGAAATCCCCTGAAATGAGCAAGCCATTTACTGTAAGTAAGGGATAGTTATACAGATTCAGGAATAGGTTTGGACTGAAAATATATAAATTACTGGAGAGGCTGTGTCTGCCAATGACGAAACTGCTGCCACATGAGTACAGTACAATAAGATATTTTGCGAGAGAGACCACAGTCACATAACTTTTATCACAGTATATTATTATAATTTTATATTTATTATTAGTTATTGTTGTTAATCTCTTATTGTGCCTAATTTATAAGTTAAACTTTATCATGGGTATGTATGTATAGGAAAAAACAGCATATATAGGGTTTGGTACTATCTACAGTTTCAGGGATCCACTGGGGGTCTTGTAAAGTTATCTCCTGAAGATGAGGGAGAGACCACTATACCACGTTTTCTTTATTCATTTGTCCATCCACAGACATTTAGGTTGCTTCCATGTCTTGTCTATTGTGAATAATGCTGCAATGCAATGAACATGGGAGTGCAGATCCCTTCCAGATCCTGATTTCAGTTCTTTTGGCCATATACCCAGAAGTGGGATTTCTGGATCATCTGGTAGTTCTGTTTTTAATTTTTAAGGAAATTTCATACTATTTTCTACAGTATCTGTACCAATTTACATTTCCATTAACAGTGTTCAAGGGTTCCCTTTTCTCTACATCCTCACCAACACTCGTTTTTGTTTTGTTTGTTTGTTCTTGTTTTGTTTTGTTTTGAGATAGAGTCTTGCTCTCTTGCCCAGGCTGGAGTGCAGTGGCGCAATCTCAGCTCACTGCAACCTCTGCCTCCCAGGTTCAAGAGATTCTCCCACCTCAGCCTCATGAGTAGCTGGGACTACAGGCATGTGTCACCATGACCAGCTAATTTTTGTATTTTTGTAGAGATGGGGTTTCACCATGTTGGCCAGGCTGGTCTCGAACTCCTGACCTCAAGTGATTCGTCCGCCTCAGCCTCCCAAAGTGCTGGGATTACAGGTGTGAGCCACTGCACCCAGCAATACATTATCTTTTGTTGTTTTATAATAGCCATCCTAACAGGTGTGAGGTGATATCTCATTGTGGTTTTGATTTGCATTTCTCTGATGATTGGTGATATTGAGCACCTTTTCATATATCAGTTGGCCATTTGTATGTCTTCCTTTAATAAACGTCTATTTAGTTCCTTTACCCATTTTTTTAATCAGGTGGTTTTTGCTATTGAGTTGTATGAGTCCCTTATATATTTTAGATATTAACCCTTTATCAGATGTATTGTTGGCAAATATTTTCCTCCTTTTCATAGGTTGCCTTTTCACTCCTGCTTGTTTCCTTTGCTGTGCAGAAGCTTTTTAGTTTGAGGTAGTCCCACTTGTTTACTTTTGCTTTTGTTGTCTGTGTCCTTGGTGTCTTGTCAAGAAATCATTGCCAAGATGAACGTCAAAAAACCTTTTTCTCTGTATTTTCTTCTAGGAGTTGTACAGTTTTGGGTTTTATGTTTAATTCTTTAATCCATTTTGAGTTGATTTTTGTGCATAGTGTAAGATAAGGGTCTATTTTCATTCTTTTGCTTGAGGGTATCCTATTTTCCCAACACTTTATTATAGAGATTGTGTACCCCTTTTGTCACTCAGGAGCCATTCTTGTCCTTTGTTCAAAGGAAGAACTCTCATCTACAATACAGAGGAGACACAAAATTCTATGAGCTACTGTATCATCATGAGGTGGTGTTGATTTAATTACATTCCTATCTGGAACCTAAATTATAATATTAGCCACCATCAGACTGTTCATCAAGGAAGCAAGAAGAGGGGAGTGAGAAAAAGAAATAGTTGATTAACATAAAATATGCATAGCTGTTACAGTACCCAGTTGCTGAAATGAGGAATGAATTCCCTCATCTCCCTCCCCCTACGCACAGGGAATCAGCCCTCCTCAGCATAAAATCTTAAATAAACACCCCTAGGGCAGTTACCAGGCAAGCTAGTGTTGAGCTTTTTCTGGATCCACACTCTCATCTGCTTCAAGTCCATGTGGAGAGTTAGACCCAACAATAGCATGAATTACAAAAGAACAAGGCCTGGCCCAAGAGAGAGAGCTTTTATCCCAAAAGAGACCTAAGACCTCACCAGTCTGTATTGACTGGAGCACAGGAAGCATGTTCAGAAGTGAGTTCTAGGGGTATGAGTGAGATCAAGGAGGAAAAAATACAAGACTTGATAGAGGTGAATTCTTCAGCACAGGTGTATTCATCCAGAATTCAAAACTTAAAATTCAAGCACTAGGGTATGTTGTAATGGTATGTTAAATTGGCTAATTAAAACCTGGACCCAGTGATGGCCTGCAGTTATTGAAGTTAAAATGCCTGAACTTCTCTGATGTCCTGTGGAATACGGAGTCCAAAGATTCAGGGTAATGGATATAATGAAATGGATCTATGTACAAACTGTTTAGCTACGCCCCTAGGCATCCCTCCTGGAAACACACAGAGGACACTTCCTTCACCAAGGCATTTAGAAAAAGGCATCGATGTCTTTCCTCTTTCCTCTCATTCCTGGGAAATTTAGTCTGAAAGCCATTAGGTGGAGGCAGAGCAATGGAGGCATCTGAAGGGCAGAATGTTAAGTCTGAGTAGAGTAGAAAGGTGTGGTATAGGGTTACGGAGATGGAGCTTAACCAGAGTATGAGGACACCCATGCACGTATGGAGGGCATCACACATAGGAACAGCCTGAATAGAGTGGCGAAGCCCAAACAGGGAAAGGAGGAATTTCGTGAAGAGGGGTCGCCTGGCTTGGGGGTATAGCACTCAAGAAGGATTAGGAGAGTGTCCACACTACCGGACAGTCAAGCATGAGGAGTCACAGCCAGAGCAGAGGGAGAAGGACATCCCTAAGAAGAGGTGGCTTTAGAGTCTGAAGATGGTGAGGAAAGCATCCACATGGATTAAAGGGGAATGCCTGGTGTGGGGAATCAGAGCCCAAGCAGAGTGAGGAAGGCATCCTTCAAGAATGGAACAGGGTATTTCTTTTTTTTTTCCTCTCTGTTTTTTTTAATATGCTTTAAGTTCTAGGGTACATGTGCACAACATGCAGGTTTGTTACATAGGTATACCTGTGCCATGTTGGTTTGCTGCACCCATTAACTCGTCATTTACATTAGGTATTTCTCCTAATGCTATCCCTCCCCCTGCCCCCCACCCCCCAACAGGCCCCAGGGTGTGATGTTCCCCGCCCGGAACAGGGTATTTCAAAGCCTAAGTGAGGTTAAAAGAGTGTCCATACTGGAGCACAACCCAGCATGCAAAGTCAGTGCTGAGCAGAGTGAGGAAGGCATTCACACAGAGATGCAACCTGGCATGCAGTATCTGAGCCCAAGTGGAATGAGAAGGGTGTCTATGAAGGCAGGCAGACTCATACAGGGCAACAGATCCTGTGCCAGGTGAAGAGTACCTCAATGAAATGAGGTGGCAGCCTAAAGCAGGGTGTCAGAACCTGAGCAGGGTGAGGAAGGCATACATGCAAGGGTAAGACCTAGAATGGGGTGACAGAGTCCAAGGAGCGTGAGAAGGGTATCCATGAAGGGGAGAGACTTCCTGGTGCAGGGTCTAAGAGCCCAGGTGGGATGAGAGGAAGGCTTCCATGCAGGTGAAGGACAAGTCTAGAGTGGGGAGTTTTATCCAAGCAGAGTGAGAAGGGTGTCTCCAGGAAGAGGATCCCTGGTGTGGGGCATCAGAGCCCAAACAGTGTAAGAAAAGCATCCATGTGGGAAGAGGGGCAGCCTGGCATTGAAGGGTCAGGGCCTGAGAAGAGCAGGGTGAGGAGGGCATCCTTGGAGAGAGATGCCTGGCGTGGGGTATCAAAACCCATAGTGCAGTCAAGAGGATATCCACACAGTGGAGGTGAGGTGGGGTGGGGATGGGCAGTGTACAACATCACAGACTGAGTGGGACAGAACGAGAATCCTTACCAAAACCAGTATCCTGGTATGGCACATCAGTAGCCAAGAAGGGTGAGGAAGGCATCCATGCTGAGAAGTGGCCTGGCAATCGGGTGTCAAAGCCAAAGTGGGGTTAGGAGTTATCTTCATAGGTGAAGGGGTGGTAAAGACATAGATTAACTACATAAGGGGAGGGGCCTAATAAAATCATTAAGGATAACTGAAGTCATGTTTCTCATCGTCAAAGAAGGGAGTTACCAATATGGTAAGGGAAAAAAATAAAATAAACCTTATGGTATCCGATTGGAATTGGAGGTCCAATTAGAACTTGTCATTTTAAATATAAAAATATAGATGTAGGCCAGGCGTGGTGGCTCACGCCTGTAATCCCAGCACTTTGGGAGGCCGAGGCAGGCAGATCATGAGGTCAGGAGATCGAGACCATCCTGGCTAACACGGTGAAACCCCATCTCTACTAAAAATACAAAAAATTAGCCAGGCGTGGTGGTGAGCTCCTGTAGTCCCAACTACTCGGGAGGCTGAGGCAGGAGAATGGAGTGAACCAGGGAGGTGGAGCTTGCAGTGAGCTGAGATGGCGCCACTGCACTCCAGCCTGGGTGACAGAGCCAGACTTTGTCTCAAAAAAAAAATAGATAGATAGATAGATAGATGTAAATGTTTGTATGTATATATACATATTTAGATAGACAGCTAGATACACACACACACACACACACACACACACACATATATATATATGTATGTCCTAGCTCTATCTGCTGAGATGGCCTGGGATTAATGACATCCCAGTAGCAACAATCACACTTAGCACCCAGATCTCAGTTTCTAAATACCATTCTTGGCTAAAAGAAGCCAGAGGTCCTTGAAGAAATGACTGATTACAGAGCTGGGACAGAAATTGATAAGATGAGCCTGGAACACCCTTTTGAGCTAGAAAGCAAGGAAGTGCTCAAGAATGACTGAAGGCATGTCAAAAGAACATATAAATCATCTTAAAGTGAATCCCTTTGGCCAAATTAGTGACAATTTGAGGATCAGATTAATGATAGTAACAAGTTATTGAATAAAATAAGGAACTATGAGTCCATACTGGTACAGATACTGCTAGACTTCCCATGGGTTTACACCCCGATAAACCCATTGTACACTGAAAATATCATGGGTCAAAAATACATTTAATACACTGAATCTAGCAAAATCATAGCTTAGCCTAGCCTACTTTAAATGTGCTCAGAACACTTACACTAGCCTATAGTTGGGCAAAATCATGTAACACAAAGCCTATTTTATAATAAAGCATTGAATATTGTACACAATTGGGCATTTTATAGACAATAAGATGTGAAAACACAAAACACAATATTCATGTAATGTTTTCAACGTAGTCCACTGTAAAATATTGGTTGCTTACCCTCGTGATCTCATGGCTGACTGGGAGCTGCCATAGTCCAGCATTGCAGAAGAGTACTATACTGCATTTCACTAGCCTGGAAAAAGATTAAAATTCAAAATTTGAAGTACAGTTTCTACTAACTGCATATTGCTTTCACATCACTGTCAAACATCATAAGTTGGGGACCATCTGCATGTGTATATATAGCCGCAAATGTATTCTTAACAAAATAGGGAGGAAATACTCATGACAATTATAATCCGTGTTTCTGTAACTGGTCTTGTGGTTGTAGCTGGTATTTATAACTATGTTCTACTCCCATTCTATATTCCTTTTTCCTTCAAAAAGCACCTTAGCTGGTTGTGGTTCTTTAATTGGCATGGTGACCCAAACATTTATTTCTGAAGGGTGTGGGTCATTTGTACTCCTGCCTGAGTTGGGTTGTTGCAGTTTCCCATTAACCTTAGCCAGAAGGCATGTTAATATTAAGAGATGCCCTAAGGGATCCCTTGTATTCTAAACATACTCTTTCTTACCTCCTTTGTAGAGAACTAATCCAATTTCCCCTTGGTAGTCTGGATCAGTCACCTCAGCTAACACTGTAACTCTCTTCTTAGCCTGTTGACTCAGAGTTATGAGGAGCCCAAAGTGGTCAGGTGGCAGTTTTAACTTCCAGTTCAGTGGAATCATTGTTATGTCTCCTGGTGGAAGCATTTCTCCCTCTGGAACTAAGACCTCCAGGTCAGCAGAGCATAAAGTCATAGGAACAAGAAGCAAAAATGTTGCTTGTTTGTGGGTCACTACAGGTAATGGTAAGTGGTGTCATTCCCATGTCCACCTCTTGATTCCTGGACCTGTGCATCATAACCATGGGAGATACAGTACCATATATTAGACACTGATTAAGAGCAGAAAGAGCCTTCCAAAGAACCTTGCCCGGCCCTGCAAAGTACTGTCATCTACCTGCTACTGTAACTGTGTCTTCAAAAGGCCATTCCATACTACACAGCCATTAAAAAGAAAAAAATTGTATGGTTTGCATCAACATGGATGCAGCTGGAGGCACAGACATCTTCACAGTTTTTGCTAGTTCAGATGTCCATCCACATACCTCTTCCCCATATTTCTTTGTCATCAATTTCCCAATCATGTTCCTTGCAAGTCCCTGACCATGTAGCCAATCCACTGGTCACATTCCATGAATTGGTCTATAATTACATGTCTGGTTCTTTCTCCTTTCAAGCAAAGTGAAAAGCCAGGTGTATTACTTCGTGTTCTGTGCACGAGGAGGATTTCCCTTCACCATCGTTCTTTAGGGACGTCTCAGAAAGGGGCTGTAGTGCTGTAGCTGTCCACTTTCTGGTGGTGCCTTCATATCATGAAGAACTATCTAAACCAGGCCCAAGTGTTCTCTTCCTCTGTCAACTGATCAAGATATCCGCAAACTAAGTTATGACATAGGGCTACAGGGCTGATATACCCCTTCACAGGCAGAACAGTGAAGGTGTATTACTGGCCTTTTCAGCTGAAAGCAAACTGCTTCTGATGGGCCTTATGGATAGGGATGCAGAAAAAGGCATTTGCCAGATCAATAGCTGCATATCGGGTACCAAGAGCTGTGTTAATTTGCTCAAGCAATGAAACCACATCTGGTACAGCAGCTGCAATTGGAGTCACCACTTGATTAAGCTTACAATAATCCACTTCATTCTCCAAGATCTATCTGTCTTCTACACAGGCCAAATAGGAGAGTTGAGTAGGGATGTGGTAGGAATCACCATCTTTGCCTCTTTCAAGTACTTAATGGTGGCACTAATTTCTGCAATCCCTCCAGAAATGAAGTATTGCTTTTGATTTACTATTTTCCTGAGTAGAATAGCTCTAATGGCTTCCATTTGGCCTTTCCCACCATAATAGCCCACTCTCCATAGTAAGGGAACCATTGTGGGAATTCTGCCAGCTGCTAAGTATGTCAATTCCAATTATGCACCTTGGAACTGGGGAAGTAACTGCAGGATGCATTTGGGGTCCCACTGAACCCACTGTGAGTTGGACTTAAGCTAAAACTCCATTGGTAACCTGACCTCCATAAGCCCCTACTCTGAGTGTAGGGCCACAGTGATGTTTCGGGTCTCCTGGAATCAATGTCAGTTTAGAACAAGTACTCCCTGAAATATCTGATTTTTCCCCTCAATGCACAGCTACCCCGGTAAAAGGCCACAGATCCCCTTGGAGAAGGCTGGGACAAAGATTAACCGTAAATATTTTCAGTAGTGTACCAGGGTTTTTCCTTGAGGAGACCCAGCCTCCCCTTCATTCAAGGGATTCTGGGTTTGTAAACTGGCTCAAGTCTGAGAATTGATTGAGGGACCATGATTCTCTGTTTTTATGATTTGGGTTAGACTTTTATTGATTTGACCTGGAAGTTTTCTGCTCACACAGATTAAGTAAAAATTTAGTAGGCTACCCCAGTATTACCCTAATACCAAAACCAGGAAAGGACATAATAAAAAAAAGAAAATTCCATACCAATATCCTTGATGAACACAAATGCAAAAATCCTCAACAAAATATTAGCTAACTGAATTTGACAACATATCAAAAAGATAGTACACCATGATCAAGTGGGTTTCATACCAGGGTTGGTTTAACATACACAGGTCAATAAATGTGATACAACACATAAACAGAAGTAAAAACAAAAATCATATGATCATCTCAATAGATGCAGAAAAAGCATTTGACAAAATCCAGTATCCCTTTGTGACTAAAACCCTCAGCAAAATTGGCATAGAAGGGACATACCTTAAGGTAATAAAAACCATCTATGACAAACTAACAGCCAACATTATACTGAACGGGGAAAAGTTAAAAGCATTCTCCCCGACAACTGGAACAAGACAAGGATGGCCACTTTCAGCACTTCTATTCAACATATTACTGGAAGCCCTAGCCAGATCAATAAGACAAGAGAAAGAAATAAAGGGCATCCAAATTGGTAAAGAGGAAGTCAAACTGCCACTGTTTGCTGATGCTGATTGTATATCTTGAAAACCCTGAAGACTCATCCAAAAACTCCTAGATCTGATAAATAAATTCAGTAAAGTTTCAGGGTATAAAATCAATGTACACACATCAGTAGCACTGCTACACACCAACAGCAACCAAGCTGAGAATCAAATCAAGAACTCAACCCATTTTACAACAGCTACAAAAACAAAACAAAACAAAACAAAACAAAACAAAATGTAGTAATATACCTAACCAAAGGGGTTAAAGATCTCTACAAGGAAAACTAGAAAATACTAGGCCAGGTGTGGTGGCTTACACCTGTAATCCCAGCACTTTGGGAGGCCGAAGCGGGTGGATCACGAGGTCAGGAGATTGAGACCATCCTGGCTAACATGGTGAAACCCCGTCTCTACTAAAAATACAAAAAATTAGCCGGGCATGGTGGTGGGCGCCTGTAGCCCCGGCTACTCAGAAGGCTGAGGCAGGAAAATGGCGTGAACCCAGGAGGTGCAGCTTGCAGTGAGCCGAGATTGCGCCACTGCACTCCAGCCTGGGTGACAGAGTGAGACTCTGTCTCAAAAAAAAAAAAAAAAAGAAAGAAAAGAAAAAAGAAAAGAAAACACTGCTGAAAGAAATCACAGGTGACACAAATGAATGGAAACACATCCCATGCTTATGGATGGGTAGAATCAATATTGTGAAAATGACCTTACTGCCAAAAGCAATTTTTTTTTGAGCACAGATCTTTTTTTCTTTTTTCTTAAATTTTATTATTATTATACTTTAAGTTTTAGGGTACATGTGCACGACGTGCAGGTTTGTTACATATGTATACATGTGCCATGCTGGTATGCTGCACCCATTAACTCGTCATTTAGCATTAGGTATATCTCCTAATGCTATCCCTCCCCCCTCCCCCCACCCCACAACAGTCCCCGGTGTGTGATGTTCCCCTTCCTGTGTCCACGTGTTATCATTGTTCAACTCCCACCTAAGAGTGAGAACATGCAGTGTTTGGTTTTTTGTCCTTGCGATAGTTTGCTGAGAATGATGGTTTCCAGCTTCATCCATGTCCCTACAAAGGACATGAACTCATCATTTTTTATGGCTGCAATAGTATTCCATGGTGTATATGTGCCACATTTTCTTAATCCAGTCTATCGCTGTTGGACATTTAGGTTGGTTCCAAGTCTTTGCTATTGTGAATAGTGCCGCTATAAACACACGTGTGCATGTGTCTTTATAGCAGCATGATTTATAATTCTTTGGGTATATACCCAGTAATGGGATGGCTGGGTCAAATGGTATTTCTAGTTCTAGATCCCTGTGGAATCACCACACTGACTTCCACAATGGTTGAACTAGTTTACAGTCCCACCAACAGTGTAAAAGTGTTCCTATTTCTCCACATCCTCTCCAGCACCTGTTGTTTCCTGACTTTTTAATGATTGCCATTCTAACTGGTGTGAGATGGTATCTCATTGTGGTTTTGATTTGCATTTCTCTGATGGCCAGTGATAATGAGCATTTCATCATGTGTTTTTTGGCTGCATAAATGTCTTCTTTTGAGAAGTGTCTGTTCATATCCTTTGCCCACTTTTTGATGGGGTTGTTTGTTTTTTTCTTGTAAATTTGTTTGAGTTCATTGTAGATTCTGGATATTAGCCCTTTGTCAGATGAGTAGGTTGCAAAAATTTTCTTCCATTTTGTAGGTTGCCTGTTCACTCTGATGGTAGTTTATTTTGCTGTGCAGAAGCTCTTTAGTTTAATCAGATCCCATTTGTCTATTTTGGCTTTTGTTGCCATTGCTTTTGGTGTTTTAGACATGAAGTCGTTGCCCATGCCTATGTCCTGAATGGTATTGCCTAGGTTTTCTTCTAGGGTTTTTATGGTTTTAGGTCTAACATTTAAGTCCTTAATCCATCTTGAATTAATTTTTGAATAAGGTGTAAGGAAGGGATCCAGTTTCAGCTTTCTACATATGGCTAGCCAGTTTTCCCAGCACCATTTATTAAATAGGGAATCCTTTCCCCATTGCAAAAGCAATTTATAAATTCATTGGACTTCCCATCAAAATACCATCATCATTCTTCATAGAACCAGAAAAAATATCATAAAATTCATATGGAACAAAAAAGAGCCCGCATAGCCAAAGCAAGACTAAACAAAAAGAATAAATCTGGAGGGATCACATTACCCAACTTAAAACTATACTATAAGGCTATAGTTACCAAAACAGCATGCTACTGGTATAAAAACAGGCACTTATACCAATGGAACAGAATAGAGAACCCAGAAATAAAGCCAAATACTTAACAGCCAACTGATCTTCGACAAAGCAAACAAAAACATAAAGTGAGGAAAGGACACCCCCACATTCAACAAATGGTTCTGAGATAATTGGCAAGCCACATGTAGAAGAATAAAAATGGATTCTCATCTATCACCTTATACAAAACAACTCAAGATGGATCAAAGACTTAAATCTAAGACCTGAAACCATACAAATTCTAGAAAATAACATCGAAAAAAATCTTTCTAGACATTGGCTTAGGCAAATACTTCATGACCAAGAACCCTAAAGCAAACACAACAAAAGCAAAGATAAATAGATGGGACTTAGTTAAACTAAAAAAGGCTACTTCACAGCAAAAGAAATAATCAGCAAAGTAAACAGACATCCCACAGAGTGGGAGAAAATATTCACAAACTATGCATCCATTAGACAAAGGATTAATGTCCAGAATCTACAAGGAACTCAAACAAATCAGCAAGAAAAAAACAAATAATCCCATCAAAAACTGGGCTAAGGACATGAATAGACAATTCTCAAAAGAAGATATACAAATGGCCAACAAATATATGAAAAAAAATGCTCAATATCACTAATTATCAGATAAATTCAAATCAAAACCACAATTCAATACCACTTTACTCCTGCAAGAATGGCCATAATTAAAAAATTTAAAAAAAAATGTTGATGTAGATATGGTAAAAAGGGAACAGTTTTACACTGCTGGTGGGAATGTAAACTAGCACAACCACTATGGAAAACAGTATGGAGATTACTTAAAGAAGTAAAAGTAGAACTACCATTCGATCCAGCAATCTCACTTTTCTTCTGGGTAGAGGAAAAGAAGTCATTATACAAAAAAAAAAAAAAAAACACTTGGACATGCATGTTTACAGCAGAACAATTCACAATTGCAAAAATATGGCACCAGCCTAAATACCCATCAACCAACCAGTGAATAAAGAAAATGTGGTATATATACCATGGAATACTACTCAGCCATAAAAAGGAATGAAATAATGGCATTCGCAGCAACCCGGTTGGAGTTGGAGAGGATTATTCTAAGTCAAGTAACTCAGGAATGCAAAATCGAAGATCATATGTTCTCACAAGTGGGAGCTAAGCTATGGGAATGCAAAGGCATAAGAATGATATAATGGGCCAGGCATGGTGGCTCACACCTGTAATCCCACCACTTTGGGAGGGTGAGGCAGGTGGATGACTTGAGGTCAGGAGTTCAAGATCAGCCTGGCCAACATGGTGAAACACCATGTCTACTAAAAATAGAAAAATTAGCCAGGTGTGGTGGCACATGCCTGTAATCCCAGCTGCTTGGGAGGCTGAGGCAGGAGAATTGCTTGAACCCAGGAGGTGGAGGGTGCAGTGAGCCAAGATTGTACCACTGCAATCCAGCCTGGGTGACAGAGCGAGACTCTGTCTCAAAAATAAATAAATAAATAAATAAATAAAACGATATAATGGACTCTGGAAACTTGGGGGGGAAAGTGGGAGGTAAGGGATACAAGACTACACATTGGGGTCAGTGTACACTGCTCAGGTGATGGGTGCACCAAAATCTCAGAAATCTCACCTAAAGAACTTACCCATGTAACCAAACACCACCTGTTCACCAAAAACTATTGAAATAGTAATAATAATAAAAATAATTTTAAAAAAGAATGTAGTAGGCTTCCCATCTATTTCACTTCTAAGAACACCATGATTAATTGGCCAATGCCGTAGTCTATACAAGTCAGAGTATTCTGATGGTTGCTCTGACTCTGCTGTTCATCATAACTATGCTCACCATGCCTTTGGCAGTTGAGTGCTGCCACTTGACCCGTGCTGCCACTTGACCCATGCTACCCTGGGATCCAGTTACTCCCACGGAATTTAATTTTACCAATTGAGTGACTGTGGTTCCTACAGCAAGGTCTGGCCTACAGAGAAGAGCAATCACAGAGCTTTTCAAGGATGTTGGGGCTCCACTTGGAAATCTATTTCTTAAAGTATTGGCGAAGGTTATGTCTCCTGAACTCTCCCAAAGTGGGTGACTAGGTCTTAAATGGCAAATCTTCCCTAACTACATTCCAATCTCCTTAAGCCTCTCAAGTTCTTCCTGTATGTTAAATCAAGAGATAATAGGCATCTCCAACTTACCCATGAGCCATCTTTTGATCCATCTTTCAGCTAAACACCCAAACTGTTAGAGCCCTAACTCCCTGAGTTGCAACATTAAATGAAGGCTGTTTGCTTAGTAGGTCAATATCAATAAATTCAGCCTGATCCAACTTTATATTCCTTCCAATACTATACCAAACCTTCAATATCTATTCCAACGCATGTTCCCCAGATTTCTTCTTGTATAAATTGGAAGATTTTCAAGTGGTTCTGTTGGAATGCAGTGCACCTCCTCATGGGTCACACTTTGTACCTCACCTTTAGGGGCCTGCTGGGGCTTCAGTCTAGTTATAAGTCTAGAAGCAAAGAGGGGTGGTGGATAGGTGCTGAGAAAAATCTGAATTGTCTTGCTTGACAACTGCCTTAGGAAATGCCATTACCATTTTCTCAGGCAATGCAAAGTTAATCCCCTCAGACAGAGGTGGAAAGGCAGATGCTGCTGTGGGTCGGGGTTGGGATGACACTGCTGCTAGGGGTGAAGAAGCAACTTCCACTGGCATAAAAGACTCATCCAAATTTAGGAGTTCAATGTCCCCAACTTCATCAGAGTCTTTCCACACATCCACATCCAAACTTACAGGATCCCATTCTTTCCCAATCAATGCTCTCACTTTAACAGTAAATACTCTGCAAGACTGGGAGCTCAACTTTTATTGTAATTCAGCCAATTATATAATGAAAATTTGTGTTTGGTTTTTAGCAGTTTTATCCCTGTGGCTACAGGACATAAGATTCTCCCTCAGGATATACCTAGAAACTCTAAGGTCATGTATGCATTGCTTGAGCCTAGAATTTGAATCTCTGAGTTCATCCTTTTCTTTCATCACTTTGTCCAGTGACATTAGGAGCAACCAACCGATATCATTATATTCCTTAGTTTTCTACAAATGTTTGAAAGTATCGTATACAGGGTCACTAAGTTATTTGCCCTCTTATAAGTGGTTAATTAGGTGTATACAATGCAGACATTTCGCTTATCTCTATAAACAGTTCATGCCATGGGCTATTAGTGCTTTCTGTACTATTGGAAATAGAGTTTTTAGCATTTTTAAGTCTAATCGGATTAAAGAGCCAATTCCCAAAACCAATTCAGGAGACTCATCCTTAAAATTCTCTTCCTCTACAACCACTCTTGGTATCAAAATCTATATTAGTCAGAGTTCTCCAAAGAAACCAAACCAATAGAACGGATGGATAGACTAGACAGATAGATACATAGATAGATAGATAGGTAGATAGATAGATAGATAGGAGAGGAGATTTAATAGGGGAATTGGCTCATATTATTACAGAGGCTGAGAAGTCCCACAATATGCTGCCTGTAAGCTGGAGAACCAGGGAAGATGGCAGTTTGGCTTAGTCCAAGTCTGAAGGTTTGAGGACCAGGGGAGCCAATGTAACTCTCAGTCTGAGGCCAAATGTCCAAGAACACAGGGAACCAGTGCTACAAATCCAAGAGTCCGAAGACCAGAGAATCTGGAGTTCTGATGTTCAAGGGCAAAAGAAGATGGGCGTCCCAGTTCCGGAAGAGAGAGAGAGAGCAAGTTCACATTTTCTCTGTTTGTTGTTGTTGTTGTTCTATCTGGGTCCTCAGATGATTGCATGATACCTCCCCATATTGGGTAAGGACAGATCTTCCTTATTCAGTCCACTGATTCAAATGTCAATCTCTTACTGAAACATCCTCACAGACAAATCCAGAAATAATGCTCTACCAGCTATCTGGGTATCCTTTAATCCAGTCAAGTTGACACCTAAAATTAACCATCACCATATGTCAAACAGTACTTTAGTAAGCTGACTATCTATTCTATTTCTAGTTACCCGGTGATCAATTAGCCATTGCCACAGATTCTTGTGGGTCAAAACATTCAGATTACCATTCTGTTCCTGTGTGCTACTGTGATAATGGTCCCTATCTTGTCCACCTGACCTTTACCACTTTGGGATCCCATTGTTTCTATTTGAGGTCAGGGGACCTAATTGTATTGCAGTATCCCTCACCATTATTTCTGGCCTTTAGAATATAGCCACCACTGAGCTTATCAAGGATGCAGTTGCTCTGCTTATCAATGCATATTTTTATTAATTTTTTTTATTTTGAAGCAATTACAAGTATACAGAAAACTTATGGAAAAGTGGTAAATACAAATGACATTTTTTTCTGAAATCTTTTTAGAATAAATTGCCAACCTGCTGCTCATTCACCCCTAAATACTTAAGTGTGTATTTCCTCAGATATTTAAGTGTGTATTTCTGACAAACAAGGACATTCTCCCATATAATCACAAGCCAACCATCAGTATCAGGAAATTAACACTGCTACATTATTACCATCTAATCCTCAGACCCCATTCAAGTTGTGACAATTGCCCATCAGAGTAAAAGGATTCAAGACAGAATTATAGGTTGCATTAAGTTGTAATGTATCTTTAGTCCCCTTTAGTCTGGAATGTTTCCTCAGTCTTTCCTTAACTTTTATAATCTTGAAACTTGTGAAGATTACAGTTATTTTGGAGACTGTCCCTGAATTTGGATTATTCTAATATTTCTTCATGATTAGATTCATGTTATGTATCTGTGGTGGCTTTAATATTTGTCAACAAGTTAGGCTGAACTGCATTTTCCAGAATTCCCTTTTCTCTATGCTTCTTGTTAGGGTGGGCCACAAAAGATTCCTGTGAGAGATTTGGAGGATGGAAGTGAAGCAATAGCCGTTTTGCAGCTCACACATTTGCTGCTTATCTGCTGGCTCACCTTTTTTGTATGGAGCACATCTGGGCCTACAACTGCTCCACCTTCCCCTAGGTCCTCCTTCAACTCCTTCGACTCCTGAGCCAGGTATGTGTTTAACTCTGAGGTGAAGGGCCTGGCTTCTGCAGGATCTCCATACCACTAAGGTCAGAGGCAACAAGAACTGCCAGCTTGGGCTTGCGTGTTGCAGCGGAGGTTGCAGTGAGCTGAGATTATGCCACTGCATTCCAGCTTGGGCGACAGAGCAAGACTCCATCTCAAAAACAAAAATAAAAAAGATAAGAGTAGTTTAAGGCTGGGCGCGGTGGCTCACGCCTGTAATCCCAGCACTTTGGGAGGCTGAGGCGGGCGGATAACGAGGTCAGGAGATCGAGACCATCCTGGTTAACACGGTGAAACCCCGTCTCTACTAAAAAAAAAATACAAAAATTTAGCCAGGCGTGGTGGCGGGCGCCTGTAGTCCCAGCTACTTGGGAGGCTGAGGCAGGAGAATGGCGTGAACCTGGGGGGCGGAGCTTGCAGTGAGCCGAGATTGTGCCACTGCACTCTGGCCTGGGCGAAAGAGTGAGACTCCGTTTCAAAAAAAAAAAAAAAAAGAGTAGTTTACACATCACAGTTATCACAGTTACAGGGTTGTAATATTCTACTGCTTTTCTGAGTACTTACTGTTATCAGTGAATTTTGTACTTTTAGGTTTGGGCATTAAAGAGTTAGGTATTTATTATAGTCTTCACAGTTTAGGCTTGTTTGTACCCATCCTTCTTGGACAGATTTCCAGATATTCAAAAGGACTTGGGTGTTGTGATCTAAGCTTTATCTACTTTAGGGGGCACCCCAAGCTCAGTAACACTGTAGTTCTTGCAGACTCAGAGGTACCACCTTGATGGTCTTGGACAAGATCTGGGAGAATTCTCTGGATTACCAGGCAGAGACTCTTGTTCTCTTCCCTTACTTTCTCCCAAACAAACAATCTCTCTCTCTCTCTCTCTGTCCTGAGCCACCTGAAGCTGGAGGTTGAGTGACACAAGCACTCCTGTGGCCACTATCACTATGATTGCATTGGGTCAGACCTGAAGCCAGCACACCACTGGGTCTCACCCAAGGCCTGCTATATCCACTCTCTGGTTACCACCTATGTTTGCTCAAGGCCCTACGGCTCTACAATCAGCAGGTGGCAAAGCCAGCCAAGCCTGTGTCCTTCTTTTCAGGGCCATGAGTTCCCCCAGGCCCCAGGCACATCCAGAGGTACTGTCTGGGAGTCAGGGACTAGAGTGAAAAACCATAGACATCTATTTGGTGTTCTACCACACTGGGCTAAGCTGGCACTCAAACCACAAGATGCAATCCTTTCTACTCTTCCCTCCCCTTTCCAAAGGCAGAGGTTCCTACCTCATGGCCACCATGGGGAGTATTGCCAGACTACCACTGATGTTCACTTAAGGCCAAAGGGCTCTTCAGTCAGCTTGTGGTGAATGCTGCTTGGCCTTGGACTCACCCTTCAGGGCAGTGGGCTCCCCTGTGGCCCAGGGCAGGTCCAGAAATCCCATCCAAGAGCCAAGTCCTGGGATCAGGGACCCTAAGAGCCCACTTGGTGCTCTATTCCCCTGTGGCTGAGCTGGTACCTAAGGTGTGAGACAAAATCCCCTTTACTTTTCCTCTGCTTTTCTCAAGAAGGAGTCTCAAAGAGCAGTCTCCATTCCATAGCCATCACAGCTGGGAATGTGCTGAGTCTCACCTGAAGCCAGCAGGTCTCAGAGTCTCACCAAAGGCCCTCAATGTAGTACCTGGGTATTGTTGCTGGTCATTCAGGGCCCAAGAGCTCTTCAGTTAGCAGGTGATGAAGCCTGCCAGGAGTGGGTCCTTCCCTTTAAGGCAGTGAGTTCCCTTCTGGCCCAGCATATGTCTAGAAATGTTATCCAGGAACTAGAATCTGAAAAGAGGGCCTCATGGCTCTGACTCATGCCCTGTCCTGCTGTGGCTGAGCTGGTACCCAAGATGCAAGACAAAGTCTTCCCTACTCTTCCCTTTCCTCTCCTCAAGTGGAAGGAAGGGGTCTCTTTTGGAGCCACAAGCTGAGCAGCCTCAGGTTAGGAGAGGAGTGATACCAGTACTCCTTCAGCCACCCTGACTGGTGTCTCAGCAGGTTGCATGCTCCCCTGCAGTCCACTGTCTGTGGCCCCAGTTAAGCACTAGGGCTTTCCTAGGAGTTATAGTCCTTGAGGCCTAGACTGCCTTTCAAGATTATTTAGAGACCCAGAGCACTTTAGCCCACAGTGGTGAGGCTTGTGGAGACTAAAGTTCCAACTGCTGGGATCAGAAATTACCCTCTGGCTAGGGCTGGTTTAAATGCTCCCTCTGTGGGCACACATCAAGCTGAGTTTGGTCTGGTTTTCCTTTCTGCTCTAAAAGGACAGCACTGAGTTCAAAACCTCACAATTGCTGTGTTCTTCCTCCCCCAGCACCCAGAGATGCTCTCTGCACCACACAGCTGCTGCCAGGGGTTGGGGGAGGAGTGGCATTGGCAATTCAAGACTGTTTCTCCTATCTCTTCAGTGCCTCTTTCAGCAAAGGAAGTTAAAACCAGGTGCTGTGAGTGCACATCTGATACTTGGTTCTTATGAAGGTGCTTTTTCTGTGTAGATAGTTGTTGAACTGGTGTACTTGCAGGGGGGATGATTGGTGGAGTCTTCTATTCTTCCATTTTGCTCCACCTCCCTCCTCTGATCTCTATAGGTATTTTCTTTGTGGTTGCCATTGTAATTACATAAAACAGCTTAAAGTTATAACAATCTATTTTGAACTTATAACAACTTAATTTCATGACACAAAATATCTCTTTAATATTGCATACCATTAACATAGATTTAAAATTACCTTTTCTGCTCTTGTTTTTAAATGCTAGATAAGATTTTTAAAGTGATTTATGTATCTACATTAAAATACTACCTACAGGATTCTACATTTATCTACATATTAACCTTTACCAAGGAATTTTATATTTTTGTATGGTTTCACATTGCTGTTTATTGTCTTTTTTCTTCAACTTGACAGACTTTCTTCAGCATTTCTTATAGGACAGGTCTAGTGTGATTAACTCCCTCAGCTTTTGTTTATCTCAGAAACTCTTCATTTTGCCTCCATTTTTGAAGGACAGTTTTGCCAGATATAATATTATTGAGTAGCAGTTTTTTATTTCAGAATTTTGAATACATCAGTTCTATCCTGCAAGGTTTCTGCTGAAAAATCTGTTGACGATCTATTAGAAGCGCACTTTTAAATGACAAGTTGTTTTTCTTTTGCTGCTTACAAGATTCTCTCTTTGCCTGTGACTTTTTATAGTTTGATTATAATGTGCCTCAGTATAGGTCTCTCTATATTTATCCTAGTTGAATTTCTTTGAGCTTCTTGAATATGTATGTCTTTCTCTCCTCTGATATGGGAAGTTTTCAGCCATTAGTTCTTCAAACAGTTCTTCAAATTCTCTGCTCCTTCCTCTTTTTTTTCCCCCTCAAGGACTCCCATAATGCATATATTGTTACATTTGAGAGTGTCCCATAAGTCCTTTAGGCTCTGTTCAGTTTTATTCATTCTTTTGTTCTTTTGGCTCCTCTGTCTAGATAATTTCAATTTCCTGTCTTCAAGTTCACTGATTTGTTCTATCTGGTCAAATCTGCTGTTGGACTTCTATAGTGAGGTTTTCAATTCAGTTATTGTATTCTTCAGTTTCAGAATTTCTGTTTGGCTCTTCTTCATGGTTTTTATATCTGTTGATATTCTCATTTTGTTCATTTTCCTGATTTTATTTAGTTGTCTGTCTGTACTCTCTTTTAATTCACATTGAGCATCCTTATGGTGGTTATTTTTAAATTCTTCCTCTGGTAATTCACTTATCTTACTTCTTTAGGGACAGTTTCTGAATATTAACGTTCTTTTGTTGGGTCATGTTTCCTTGTTTCTTTGTATGCCTTGTTATCATCTGTTGGGACTTCATTCACGAAACAGCCACCTATTGCAGTCTTTGGAGTCTGGTTTCATACAGGGAGGACTTTCTCCAATTAGATCAACTAGAGTTCTGGAGACATATAAAGCTTTCTAAGGATCCTTCCTGTCTGGGCTTTTGTATGTTAAGCTCCCAGTTGAACTTTACTGGCTTCTACTCAGGAGCCCCACCTGGTGTCTATCTGTAGTACTGCAGCCTCGCTGGTGGTTTAATAAGACATAGCACTGGAGCGCCGCCTAGTGTCTATCTGTGATAATGCACTCTGGTGCACATTTAACTCTCTTTTTCTCAGCAGCCCCCAACCTGGCACCCCATTCTTATCAGTACTTAGCTTTAGCAAGACAGACACTAGTCCCATGGGAAGCCACCGCCCCCACTCCAGAAAAGTTAGAATGTTGGATATATTTTCCATTCTTCTTTCCCTACTCAGGGAGACTTTCCCAACTCAGGGAGTTGGGAGTTCTTTCCCAATCATGCCCGCTATTTTGGAAGAAAGGGCTCTGGCAAATGAATGTCGTGTTTTCTTTGTTACCACACTTCAATTTGGTTGGCTTCACACTAGCCTGTGATGCAGAAACTTATTTATTTATTTATTTATTATTTTAAGATCTGGGATACATGTGCAGAACGTGCAGGTTACATAGGCATACATGTGCCATAGTGGCTTGCTGCACCCATCAACGGTCATCTAGGTTTTAAGTCCGGCATGCATTAAGTATTTGTCCTAATGCTCTCCCTCCCCTTGACCCCCATCCCCCGACAGGCCCCAGTGTGTGATGTTCCCCTCCCTGTGTCCATGTGTTCTCGTTGTTCAACTCCCACTTATGAGTGAGAGCGTGCGGTGTTTGGTTTTCTGTTCCTGCGTTAGTTTGCTGACAGTGATGGTTTCCAGCTTCATCCATGTCCCTGCAAAGGACATGAACTCATTCTTTTTCATGGCTGCATAGTATTCTATGGTGTATATGTGCCACATTTTCTTTATCCAGTCTATCATTGATGGGCATTTGGGTTGGTTCCAAGTCTTTGCTATTGTAAATAGTGCTGCAATAAACATACGTGTGCATGTGTCTTTATAGTAGGATGATTTCTAATCCTTTGGGTATATACCCAGTAATGGGATTGCTGGGTCAAATGGTATTTCTGGTTCTAGATCCTTGAGGAATCACCACACAGTCTTCCACAATTGTTGAACTAATTTACACTCCTGCCAACAGTGTAAAAGCGTTCTTATTTCTCCACATCCTCTCTAGCATCTGTTGTTTCCTGACTTTTTAATAATCGCCTTTCTAACTGGCATGAGATGGTATCTCATTGTGGTTTTCATTTGCATCTCTCTAATAGCCACTGATGATGAGCATTTTTTATATGTTTGTTGGTCACATAAATGTCTTCTTTTGAGAAGTGTCTGTTCATATCCTTTGCCCACTTTTTGATGGGGTTGTTTTTTTCTTGTAAATTTGTTTAAGTTCCTTGTAGATTCTGGATATTAGACCTTTGTCAGATAGAAAGATTGCAAACATTTTCTCCCATTCTGTAGGCTGCCTGTTCACTCTGATGATAGTTTCTTTTCTGTGCAGAAGCTCTTTAGTTAGATTCCATTTGTCAATTTTGGCTTTTGTTGCCATTGCTTTTGGTGTTTTAGTCATGAAGTTTTTGCCCATGCCTATGTCCTGAATGGTATTGCCTAGGTTTTCTTCTAGGGTTTTTATGGTTTTGGGTTTTAAATTTAAGTCTTTCATCCACCTTGAGTTAATTTTTGTATAAGGTGTAAGGAAGGGGTCCAGTTTGTTTTCAGCATATGGCTAGCCAGTTTTCCCAGCACCATTTATTAAATAGGGAATCATTTCCCCATTGCTTGTTTTTGTCAGGTTTGTCAAAATCAGATGGTTGTAGATGTGTGGTGTTACTTCTGGGGCCTCTGTTCTGTTCCATTGGTCTATATATCTATTTTGGTACCACTACCATGCTGTTTTGGTTACTGTACCCTTGTATTATAGTTTGAAGTCAGGCAGTGTGATGCCTCCAGCTTTGTTCTTTTTGCTTGTCTTTGCTATACGGGCTCTTTTTTGGTTCCATATGAAATTTAAAGTAATTTTTTCTAATTCTGCGAAGAAAGTCAATGGTAGCTTGATGAGAATATCATTGAATGTATAAATTACTTTGGGCAGTGTGGCCATTTTTACGATATTTATTCTTCCTACCCATGACCATGGAATGTTTTTCCATTTGTTTGTGTCCTCCCTTATTTCCTTGAGCAGTGGTTTGTAGTTCTCCTTGAAGAGGTCCTTCATGTCCCCTGTAAGTTGTATTCCTAGCTATTTTATTCTCTTTGTAGCAATTGTGAATGGGAATTCACTCATGATTTGGCTCTCTGCTTGTCTATTATTGGTGTTTAGGAATGCTTGTGATCTTTGCACATCAATTTTGTATCTTGAGAATTTGCTGAAGTTGCTTATTAGCTTAAGGAGTTTTGGGGCTGAGATTATGGGGTTTTCTAAGTACACAACCATGTCATCTGCAAATAGAGACAATTTGACTTCCTCTCTTCCTATTTGAATATCCTTTATTTCTCTCTCTTGCCTGATTGCCCTGGCCAGAACGTCAAATACTACGTTGAATAGGAGTGGTGAGAGAGGGCATCCTTGTCTTCTGCCGGTTTTTAAAGGGAATGCTTCCAGCTGTTGCCCATTCAGTATGTTATTGGCTATGGGTTTGTCATAAATAGCTCTTATTATTTTGAGATATTTTATATATTATTTGAGATATTTTGAATCCTACTGAATTCATTTATCGGTTCTAAGAGTGTTTTGGACGAGTCTTTGGGGTTTTCAAAATATAAGATCATGTTATCTGCAAACAGGGACAATTTGACTTCCTCCTTTCCAATTTGGATGCCCTTTATTTCTTTCTCCTGCCTAATTGCTCTGGCTAAGACTTCCAGCACTATGTTGAATAAAAGTGGTGAAACTAGGCTTCCTTGTCTTTGTCCAGATCTTAAAAAAAAATGCTTTCAACTTTTCCTTATTCAGTTTGATGTTAGCTGTGGGTTCATCATATATGGTCTTTATTGTTTTGAGGTATGTTTTTCTCTATACCTAATTTGTTGATAGTTTTTACCATGAAGAGATGTTGAATTTTATTAAATGTTTTTCTGCATGTGTTGAGATGATTACATGGTTTTTGTCCTTCATTCTGTTGATATGATATATCACATTTATTGATTTGCATATGTTCAACCAGCCTTCCATTCCTGGGATAAATTCTGCTTGATCATGTTGTATAATCTTTTTGATGTGCTGTGGAATGTGGTTTACTAACATTTTGTTGAGCATTTCTCATCTATGTTCATCAGGGCTATTTGCCTGTAGTTTTCTTTTTTTGTTGTTGTGTCCTTGTCTAGTTTTGGTATCAGAGTAATGCTGGCTCTGTAGAATGAGTAGAAAGAATTCCTTCCTCTTCCATTGTTTGGAATAGTTTGAGGATAAATTATGTTTGTTCTTCTTTAAAACTTTGGTATAACTCAGCAGTGAAGCCATCCAGTCCTAGACTTTTCTTTATTGGGAGACTTTGTATTACTGATTCAGTCTAATTACTTGTTATCAGCCTGTTCATGTTTTCTATTTTTTTCAATCTTGGTGGGTTATATGTGACCAGGAATTAATCCATTTTCTCTAGGTTTTCCAATTTGTTAGTGTATTGTTGTTCATAATATTCTCTAATGATAATTCATATTTCTGTTTTATCACTTGTAATGTCTTCTTTTTTATTTCTGATTTTATTTCTTTGGGTCTTCTCTTTTTCTTTCTTAGTTTAACTAGTAGTTTTTTTTTTAATTTTATCTTTTCATAAAACCAACCTTTTGTTTTCTTGATCTTTTGTATTGTTTTTCTAGTCTCTATTTTGTTTATTTCTGCTCTGACATTTCTTATTCATTTCCTTCTACTAATTTTGGGTTTGGCTTGTTCTTGTTTTTCTAGTTCCCTGAAGTGCATCATTAGGTTGTTTATTTGAAATCTTCTACTTCTTTGACATAGGCATTTATTACTACAAACTTCCTTCTTAGTACTGCTTTTTCTGTATCCCATAGGTTTGGTATGGTGGGTTTCCATTTTCATTTCTTTCAAGAAATTTTAAAAATTTTCTTCTTAATTTCTCCCTTTAGCCATTGGTTGTCCAAAGGCATGTTTAATTTCCATGTATTTGTACAGTTTCCAAAGTTCCTCTTGTTATTGATTCCTAGTTTTATTCTACTATGGTCAGAAAGGATAATTGATATGATTTCAATGTTTTAAATTTTTTGAGACTTGTTTTATGACCTAGCCCATATGGTCCAACCTGAAGAATATTCTATGTGCTGATGACAAGAATGTGTATTTTGAAATTGTTTGATGAAATGCTCTGTAAATGTCAGTTAGGTCCACCTGGTCTAGAGTGTAGTTTAGCTCTGATTTTTTTGCTGATGTTTCTGTCTGGACAATCTGTCCATTGCTGAAAGTGGTCTGTTAAAAGTCCGCTAGTATTATTATATTGTAGTCTATCTCTACCTTTAGATCCATCAATATTTGCTATACATATTTGGGTGTTCAGGTGTTAGGTGCATATATATTTACAATTGTTATATACTCTTGCTGAATTGACCTATTTATCTTCATACGATGACTTTGTCTCTTTTTGCTGTTTTTGACTTAAAGTCTGTTTTATCTGATATAAATATAGCTACTCCTGCTCTCTTTTAATTTACATTTGCAGGAAGTATCCTCTTTTCATCCCTTCACTTTCAGTCTATGTGTGTCCTTACATATGAGGTGAGCCTCTTGTTGGACACATATATACAGGTCTTGTTTTTTTATCATCCAGTCATTGTATGTCTTTTAATTGAAGAATTTAATTCGTATACATTCAAGATTATTATTGATAGGTATGAACTTACTCTTGCCATTTTGTTCATTGTTTTCTAGAGGTTTTTTTTTTCAACTTTTTAGAGTCGGGGTACATGTACATATTTGTTACAAATGTATATTGCATGATGCTGAGGTTTGGGGTATGACTGAACCTATCACCCAGGTAGTGAGCATAGTACCCAATAGGTAGTTTTTCAGCCCTTTCCCCTCCTCCACCTGCTAGTAGTCACTAGTTTTGTTGCCATCTTTATGACCATGAGTAACTGATGTTTAGCTCCCGCTTGTAAGTGAGAACATGCAGTGTACGGTTTTCTGTTTCTGCATTAGTTCCCTTAGGATAATGGCCTCCAGCTGCATCCACGTTGCTGCAAAGGACATGATTTCATTTTTCCTTATGGCTGCATAGTATTCCATGGTGTCTGCATACCACATTTTCTTTATCCAGTCCACTGTTGATGGGTACCTGGGTTGATTCCATGTTTTTGCTATTATGAATAGCACTGTGATGAACATATGGATGCACGTGTCATCTTGGTAGAACAATTTATTTTTGTTTGGGTGTATACCGAGTAATGGGATTGCTGGGTCGAATGGTAGTTCAACTCTTAGTTCTTTGAGAAATCTCCAAACTGCTCTCCACAGTGTCTGGACTAATTTTTACATTTCCACCAGCCATATACAGGTGTCCCCTTTTTGCTGCAGCCTCACCAATATCTGTTTTTGTCTTCTACTTTTTAACAAAAGCCATTCTTACTGGTGTGAGATGGTATTTCCTTGTGGTTTTGACTTGCATTTCTCTGATGATTAGAGATTATGAGCATTTTTCATGTTTGTGGGTCACTTGTATGTCTTCTTTTGAGAAGTGTCTGTTCATGTCCTTTGCCCACTTTTCAATGAGGTTATTTGCTTTTTGCTTGTTGATTTAAGTTCCCTATAGATTCTGGATATTTCTAGTTGTTTTATAGATCTTTTGCTCCCTTCCTTTTCCCTTGCTTTCTTTCTTAGTTGTTTGATGGCTTTCTGTAGTGGTATACCTTGGGTCTTTTCTTTTTCTCTTTTGTATTTGTATTGTAGGCTTTTGCTTTGTGGTTACCCTGAGGTTTACACAAAACATCTTATACAGCCAGGCACAGTGGTGCATGCCTGTAATTCTAGCTACTTGGGAGGCTGAGACAGGAGGATCACTTGACCCCAGGAGTTCAAGGCTATAGTACACCATGATCATGCCTCTGAATAGCCACTGCACTCCAGCCTGGGCAACATAGTAAGACCCCATCTCTTAAAAATTTTTTTTTAATTAGCTGGCCATCAAATGCCCATCAATCAACAAGTGGATAAAGAAATTGTGGTGTGTGTGTATATATATATATGTATACACAATATATATATACACATATATATACATGTATATGATGGAATACTACTCAGCCATAAAAAGGAATGAACTAATAGCATTCACAGCAACCTGGATGGGATTGCAGACTATTATTCTAAGTGAAGCAACTCAACAATGGAAAACCAAACATCATATGTTCTTACTTATAAGTGGGAGCTAAGCTATGAGGATGCAAAGGCAGAAGAATGATACAATGGACTTTGGGGACTCAGGGGAAAAGGGTGAGAAGGGGGTGAGGGATAAAAGGCTACAATTGGGTTCAGTGTATACTGCTCAGGTAAAATGGGTACACCAAAATCTCACAAATCACCACTAAAGAACTTACTCATGTAACCAAATAGCACCTGTTCCCCAAAAACCTATGGAAATGAAAAATATAAAATTTTTAAAGTTAAAAATAAATAAATAAAATAAAAATTAGCTGGGCATGATGGCACACACCTGTGGTCCCAGCTACTTGAAAGGCTGAAGTGGGAGGATCACTTGAGCCCAGGAGTTCAAGCCAGCAGTGAGCCATGATCATGCCGCTGCACTCCAGCCTGGGTGATAAAGCAAGACCCAGTCTCAAAAATTAAATTAAATTAAAATTTAAAAAATAAAAACATCTTATACTCATAACAGATTAATTTATCCAATAATAACTTAATTTTGATTGCATACACAATACCTCCACTTTTACTCCACCTCCTCCCATGTTTTGTTTTTGATGTTACACTTTTATATCATCTTATAACATGTATCCCTTAGCAAATTATTGTAGCTTTAGTTGTTTTTAATGGTTTTCCCTTTTGAACTTTATACTAGAAATATAATTGATTTACCTACTGCTGTTACAGTATTAGAGGGTTTTGTATTTGTCAATGTACTTACTTTTACCAGTGAGTTTTATACTTTCATATGATTTAGTTACTAATTAGCATCCTCTTCCTTCAGGTGAAGAAGTTCATTTAGTTTTTGTAATGCAGGTCTAATGGTAATAAAGTCTCCCAACTTTTGTTTTTCTGAGAAAGTCTTAATCACCCCTTCATTTTTTGAAAGACAGTGTTGCTGCGTATAGTTTTCTTGATTGGTGGTCTTTTTCTTTCAGGGTTTTGTCTATATCATCCCACTCTCTTATAGCTTGCAAGGTTTCTGCTGAGAAGTCTATTTATATTCTTATGGAGGTTCCCCTATGATAATTTGCTTTTCCCTTGCTGCTTTCAATACTCTCTCAGTCTTTTAACTTTTAACAATTTGACTATGATGTGTCCTGGTGTGGATCTCCTTAGGTTCATCTTATTTGGTGTGCTATGGACTTCCTGGATCTGGCTTTCCAATTTCTTCCTGGACTTGGGAAGTTTTCTACCATTATTTCTTTGTATATGTTTTCTCTCCCTTTCTCTCTTTTTTCTACTTCTGGCTCTGACTCTGGCTATCAATTATGTGTAAGTTATTTTGCTTGATGGTATCCCATACGTCACTTAAGTTATCTTCACTCTTTGTCATTTTTTTCTTTTTGTTCCTCAGATTGAATGATTTCCAGTGTTCCGTCTCCAAGTTCACTGATTCTTTTGACTGCTTGATCTATTCTGTTGTTGAATCCCACTACTGAATTTTTCAGTTCAGTTATAATATTCTTCTGATCTATGATTTCCATTTGGTTCTTTGTAATACTTTCTATCTCTTTAAGTTATCATCTTGTTCTTCCATTGCTGCCCTGACCCCTGTTAGCATCTTTATGACCACTATTCTGAATTCCCTGTTGGGTAAATTATGAAACTCCACTACCTTTGGGTCAGTTTCTGGAGATTTATCTTGTTCTTTTATTTGGAATATAATCCTGTTTCTTCATTTTTCTTGATTCTTTGTGTTGGTTTCTGCACATTAGATAAAATATCTACTTCTCTCCATCTTGTTTGACTAGCCTTGTATAGAAGAAGGTTTTCACCAATCCATGTGGCCAGAGGTTTTAAGCTGCCTCTCTAATCTTTGTGTTTGTCCAGACTGCCATCTCTGTTTTGGATGGATTTCAGGAGCTTAGAATGTGTCACATCTTGTCAGTACCTTGAGACCAGCAAGGTTCTTTAAATATAGCTGGTAAGGTTGGGGTATTGGGCTAGTAGTGGGATTGCTGGATCAAATGGTAGTTCTACTTTTAGTTCTTTAAGGAATCTCCACACTGTTTTCCATAGCAGCTGTACTAGTTTACATTCCCACCAGCAGTGTAGAAGCATTCCCTGATCACCGCATCCATGCGAACATCTACTGTTTATTGATGTTTTGATTATGGCCATTCTTGAAGGACTAAGGTGGTATCACATTGTGGTTTTGATTTACATTTCCCTGATTATTAGTGATGTTGAGCATTTTTTCATATGTTTGTTGGCCATTTGTATATCTTCTTTTGAGGCTTGTCTATTCATCTCTTTAGTCCACTTTTTGATGGGATCGTTATTTTTTTCTTATTGATTTGTTTGAGTTGGTTGTAGATTCTGGATATTAGTCCTTTGTCAGATGTATAGATTGTAAAGCTTTTCTCCCACTCTGTGGGTTGTCTTTTTACTCTGCTGACTGTTCCTTTTGTTGTGTAAAAGCTCTTTAGTTTAATTAGGTCCCAGCTATTAATTTTTGTTGTTGCACTTGCTTTTGGGTTCTTGGTCATGAAGTCCTCGCCTAAGCCAATGTATAGAAGGGTTTTTCCAATGTTACCTTCTAGAATTTTTATAGTTTCAGGTCTTAGGTTTAAGTCCTTAATCCATCTTGAGTTGATTTTTGTATAAGATGAGAGATAAGGATCCAGTTTCATTCTCCTACATGTGGCTAGCCAATTATCCCAGCACGATTTGTTGAAAAGGGTGTCCTTTCCCCCACTTTACGTTTTTGTTAGCTTTGTGGAAGATCAGTTGGCCATAAGTATTTGGGTTTATTTCTGGGTTCTCTATTCTGATCCATTGGTCTATGTGCCGATTTTTATACCAGTACCATGCTGTTTTGATGACTATGGCCTTATAGTATAGTTTGAAATCAGGTAGTGTGATGCCTCCAGATTTGTGCTTTTTGTTTAGTCTTGCTTTGGCTATACAGGCTCTTTTTTGGTTCCATATGATTTTGGGAATTGTTTTTTCCAATTCTGTGAAGAATGATGGTGGTATTTTCATGGGAATTGCATTGAGTTTGTAGATTGCTTTTGGCAGTATGGTCATTTTCACAATATTGATTTTACCCATCCATGAGCATTGGATGTGTTTCCATTTGTTTGTGTCATCTATGATTTCTTTCAGTAGTGTTTTGTAGTTTTCCTTGTAGAGGTCTTTCAACTCCTTGGTTAGGTATATTCCTAAGTGGTTTTTTGTTGTTGTTGTTGTTTGGGTTTTTTTGCAGCTATTGTAAAAGGGGTTGAGTTCTTGATTTGATTCTCTGCTTGGTTGCTGTTGGTGTATAGAAGAGCTACTGATTTGAGTACATTAATCTTGTATCCGGAAACTTTGCTGAATTCTTTTATCAGTTCTAGGAGCTTTCCAGAGGAGTCCTTAGGGTTTTCAAGGTAGATGATCATATCATCAGCAAACAGTGACAGTTTGACTTCCTCTTTACCAATTTGGATGCCCTTTATTTCTTTCTCTTGTCTGATTGCTCTGGCTAGGACTTCCAGTACTATGTTGAAGAGGAGTGGTAAGAGCGGGCATCCTTGTCTTGTTCCAGTTCTCAGAGGGAATGCTTTCAACTTTTCCCCATTTAGTATTATGTTGGCTGTGGGTTTGTCATAGATGGCTTTTATTACATTAAGGCATGTCCCATGTATGCTGATTTTGCTGAGAGTTTTAATCATAAAGCGATGCTAGATTTTGTCAAATGCTTTTTCTGTGTCTATTGAGATGATCATGTGATTTTTGTTTTTAATTCTGTTTATGTGGTGTATCACATTTATTGACTTGCATATGTTAAACCATCCCTGCATCCCTGGTATGAAACTTACTTGATCATGGTGGATCATCTTTTTGATATGCTGTTGGAACTGGTTAGCTAGTATTTTGTTGAGGATTTTAGCATCTGTGTTCATCAAAAATATTGGTCCGTAATGTTCTTTTTTGGTTATGTCCTTTGCTGGTTTTGATATTAGGGTGATGCTGGCCTCACAGAATGAATTTGGGAGGGTTCCTTCTTACTCTATCTTGTGGAATAGCATCAAAAGGATAGGTACCAATTCTTCTTTGAATGTCTGATATAATTCTGCTGTGAATCCATCTGGTCTTGGATTTTTTTGTTGGTAATTTTAAAATTACCATTTCAATCTCACTGCTTGTTACTGGTCTGTTCAGGATATCTAATTATTCCTGATTTAAGCTAGGAGGGTTGTATTTTTCCACGAATTTATCCATCTCTTCTAGGTTTTCTAGTTTATGTGCATAAAGGTATTCATAGTAACCTTGAATGATCTTTTGTATTTCTGTGGTGTCTGTTGTAATATCTTCTGTTTCATTTGTTAGTGAGGTTATTTGGATTTTCTCTCCTTTTCTTGTTTAACCTTGCTAATGGTCTTTCAATTATATTTATCTTTTCAAAGAACCAGCTTTTTGTTTCGTTTATCCTTCGTATCTTTGTTTGTTTGTTTCGATTTCATTTAGTTCTGCTCTGATCTTGGTTATTTCCTTCTTCTGCTGGGTTTGGGTTTGGTTTGTTCTTGTTTCTCTAGTTCCTTGAGTTGTGACCTTAGAATGTCAATTTGTGCTCTTTCAGTCTTTTTTATGTAGGCATTTAGGGTTATGAACTTTCCTCTTGGCACTGTCTTTGCTGTATCCCAGAGGTTTTGGTAGCTTGTGTCAATATTGTCATTCAGTTCGAATAATTTTTTAATTTCCATCTTGATTTTGTTTTTGACCCAATGCTCATTCAGGACCAAGTTATTTAATTTCCATGTATGTACATCATTTTGAAGGTTCCTTTTAGAGTTGATTTCGTTTTATTCCACTGTGGTCTGGGAGAGTGCTTGATATAATTTCAATTTTCTTAAATTTATTGAGGCTCGTTTTATGGCCTATTGTATGGTCTATTTTGGAGGACGTTCCATGTGCTGTTGAATAAAATGTGTATTCTGCAGTTTTGGGATGAAATGTTCTATATATATCTGTTAAGTCTATTTCTTCCAAAGTATAGTTTAAATCCATTTTTTCTTTGTTGACTTTCTGTCTTGATGATCTGTCTAGGGCTGTCAGTGGAGTATTGAAGTCCCCCACGATTATTGTGTTACTGTCTATCTCATTTCTTAGGTCTATTAATAACAGGTTTTTTTGTTTTGTTTTGTTTTGTTTTGTTTTTTTGAGATGGAGTTTTGCTCTTGTTGCCCAGGCTGGAGTGCAATGGCATGATCTCAGCTCACTGCAACCTCCGCCTCCTGGGTTCAAGCGATTCTCCTGCCTCAGCCTCCCGAGCAGCTGGGACTACAGGCATGCACCACCACACCTGGCTAATTTTGTATTTTTAGTAGAGACAAGGGTTCTCCATGTTGGTCAGGCTGGTCTTGAACTCCCGACCTCTGGTGATCTTCCCACCTCAGCCTCCCAAAGCGCTGGGATTACAGGCATGAGCCACCGTGCCCGGCCCATAGTAACTGTTTTATAAATTTGGGAGCTCCAGTGTTTAGTACATATATGTTTAGAATTGTGATATTTCCCTGTTGGACAAGGCCTTTTACCATTATATAATGCCCTCTTTTGTCTCTTTTAGCTGCTGTTGCTTTAAAATTTGTTTTGTCTGATATAAGAATAGCTACCTCTGCTCACTTTTGGTGTCTATGTGCATGAAATGCCTTTCTCCACCCCTTTACTTTATGTGAGTCCTTATGTGTTGTTAGGCCAGCATCACCCTAATATCAAAACCAGCAAAGGACATACCAAAAAAGAACATTACAGACCAATATTTTTGATGAACACAGATGCTAAAATCCTCAACAAAATACTAGCTAACCAGTTGCAACAACATACCAAAAAGATAATCCACCATGATCAAGTAAGTTTCGTACCAGGGATGCAGAAAAGCAGCAGATGGTTTGTGAGTTCTTATCTATTCTGCAATTCTGTAGAAAAGTGGAGCATTTAGGCCATTTACATTCAATGTTAGTATTGAAATTTGAGGTACCATTGCATTCATCATGCTCTTTGTTGCCTGCGTACTTTGGTTTGTTTTTTGATTTTGCTCTTTAACTTGTATTTTTGTTTTATAGGTCCTGTGTGATTTATGCTTTAAAGAGATTCTGTTTTGATGTGTTTCCAGGATTTCTTTCAAGATTTAGAGCTCCTTTAAACAGTTCTTGTAGCAGTGCCTTGGTAATGGCAAATTCTCTCAGTATTTGTTTGTCTGAAAACGACTGTATCTTTCCTTCATATGTGATGCTTAGTTTCACTGGATGCAAAATTCTTGACTGATAATTGTTTTGTTTGAGGAGGCTGAAGATAGGGCCCCAACCCCTTCTAGCTTGTAGGGTCTCTGCTGAGAAATCTGCTATTAATCTGATAGGTTTTCCTTATAGGTTACCTGGTGCTTCTGTCTCACAGCTCTTAAGATTCTTTCCTTGGTCTTAACTTTGTATAACCTGACGACAATGTGCCTAGGTGAATATCTTTTTGTATCCATCGCCCAGGCTGGAGTGCAGTGGCGCAATTTTGGCTCACTGCAACCTCTGCCTCCCAGGTTCAAGCAATTCTCCTGCCTCAGCCTCCCAAGGAGCTGGGATTACAGGCTCCTGCCACCACACCCAGCTAATTTTTTTTTTTTGTATTTTTAGTAGAGACAGGGTTTTGCCATGTTGGCCAGCCTGGTCTCAAACTCCTGACCTCAGGTGATCCACCTGCCTCGGCCTCCCAAAGTGCTAGGATTACAGGCGTGAGCCCCCGCACCCGAGCCCTGATATTAATTTTTAAATTAAAAGACTTTATTTTTAAAAGCAGTTTGAGGTTTACAGAAAAACTGAGCAGAAAGTACAGTCTCTATATACCCCCTACTCCCTGCCCCCAGTTTTCCCTGTTATTAACATTTGTGTTAATGTGGCATATTTGTTACAATCAGTGAATCAATATTGATAAATTAAAGTCCATATGTTAGTGTTCACTCTGTGTGTTATACAGTTCTATGGGTTTTGCCAAATGTATTAATATGTCATGTATCCATCATTACAGTATCATCCAGCATAATTTCACTGTCCTGAAAATGCCCTGTGCTCCACTTATTCATCTTTTCCCCACTTGCTATCACCACACCAAAGCCCTCACAACCACTTATCTTTTTAATATATCCATAGTTTTGCCTTTTGCAGAACATCATATCATTAGAATCACAATAATATGTGGCTTTTCAGACTGGTTTCTTTCACTCAGCAACATGCAGTTAAGGGTCTTCCGGGTCTTTTGTGGCTTGACAGCTCATTTCTTTTTATCACTGAATAATATTGCATTGTATAGATATACCACAGTTTTTTTTAAATTTACTCATCATTAAAGGACATCTTGATTACTTCTAATTTCTGGCAATAATGAATAAAGTTGATACAAAAACTTTTGTGTAGGATTTTGTGTGGACATATGTTTTCAACTCATTGAGGTAAATGCCTAAGGCATATTTAGTTTTGTAAGAAACTGCTAAACTATCTTCCAAAGTATCTGTACCATTTTGCATTCCCACCAGCTATGAAAGAGTTTCTGTTCTACATCTTCACAAACATTGGTGTTATCAGTGTTTTGGATTTTAGCCATTCTAATTGGTGTGGAGTGGTATCTCATTGTTGTTTTAATTTTGCAATTCCCTAATGACATATATGTTGAGCATCTTTTCATATGCATATTTACCATCTGTATATCTTCTTTGGGCATATGTCCATTCAGATCTTTTGCACATCTTTTCATTGGGTTGCTCATTTTCTTATTGAGTTTTAAGAGTTCTTCATATATTTTTGATAACAGTCCTTTATCAGATATGTCTTCTGCAAATATTTTCTCCCAGTCTTTGTCGTGTCTTTTCATTTACTTAACAGTGTCTTTCATAAAACAGAAGGTTTTAACTTTGATGAAGTCTAACTTGCCAATTTTTTCTTTCATGGATTGTGCTTTGTGTGTTGTATCTAAAAACTCATTGCCAAACACAAGGTCACCTCTATGTTCTCCTATGTTATCTTCTAGAAGCTTTGTAGTTTTCTGTTTTACATTTATAGGGGCTGTGAGAAGGTGACAGAGGTTACATGAGGTAATAAGGATAGGGCCTTAGTTGAATAAGGCTAGTGCCCTTATAAGAGGAAGAGACGCCAGTTTTCTCTCTCTCTACCATACGAAGACACAGCAAGAAAGTGGCCATCTACAAGTCAAGAAGTGGGCCATCACCAGAAACCAAATTACTGGCACCTTGATCTTAAACTTCCCAGCTTCCAAAACTGTGAGAAATAAATTTCTGCTGTTTAAGCCATGCAACCTACAGTATAAGTTATAGCAGCCCAAGCAGACTAAGACAGAACCCTTAGCATATTAATCATAGTTACTTTAAATCTCTGGTCCCATAATTCCAAAATATCTGCCACATCTGAGTCTGGTTCTAGTGCTTGCTTTGTTTCTTCAAGACTGTGGTTTTTTTTCTCTTTTTAGCATATCTTATAATTTTTCTGTTCAAAGCAAGGCATGATGTACTGGGTAAAGGGAACTGAACTGAGGTAGATAGGTGTTTAGAATGAAATTTAGAGGCAACTTAAGAAAGTACTCAAAAAACAAAATTATGGGAGCATGCTAAATGGACACAGGAGCCAGCCTGAAAGAGCTTGCAATGGACAAAGTTGGAACAATTTGAGCAACAAAATAAGTTATTCTTCCTTATAGAGGAATTCTAAATAATTTATATAGATACTTGCCTTCCAGGAAGTGGCACTTAATCCCCATCAAACCCTCATAAGTGTGGGCTGGACTTGGTAACTTCCTTCCAAAAAATAGAGTATGGAAAAGGGGTGAAGTAACTTCATAGTGGAAAAACCTGGCAAACACTACCTTGGTTAGCTGAGCAAAGCCTTGATATGGTGTGATGAGAATGGAATATTACCTTTGTGATCTTTCTCTCAAACACTTATAATCCCATTCTAATCATGAGGAAAGCGTAAGACAAATCCCAATTGAGGGACATTCTACAAAATACCTGAGGAGTACTCCTCAATAGGTCATCAAAACAAGTCTTAGAAACTGTCACAGTCAAGAAGAAACTAAGGAAAAATGACAACTAAATGCAATGTGGTATCATGGACTGGCTCCTAGAACAGAAAAAGTCAGTATATAAAAACTAAGAAAATCTGAATAAAGTATGGACTTTAGTGATAATAATGTATCAATATTGGTTTATTACTTGTAGCAAATGTACCATACTAATCTAAGATGATAATAAAAACAATAACTCTGTGTAGGGCCAAAGGGAGGGAAGTGGGCTGATACGGGAACTCTCCGCACTATCTTAGCAACTTTTTGGCAAATCTAAAATTACTCCAAGATACTAAGCTTCTTTTTTAAAAAAAATCACAAAACCTGAAAAATTTTAAAGAAATAAAAATTTAAAAATTAAAAAGAGTCAAATCCCAGCTGTATTTTTATTAATTATGTAATATTGTACAAGTCACTCTCTGAGCTTTGGTGTCCCTGTTTATAAAAGTGATAGAATACATTTTTGAGTGACATCTGAAAGATAGCAGAGTAGGAAGCTCCAGGCCCTCCTTTCCCCATGTAATCTGTGAAAGGAAATTCAATTTCGGGACGCCAAACTCATTTAGCGAAAGGGAAAAGTCAAAGTGGGAACTGGGTCATGCAAACCTGCCTCCCACTTTTGGGTCCTCAATAAGATGGCTACAAGATGAAAAGCTACATGCCTCCGCCATATTTTGCCCACAAGGAAATTCCTAGTGAGTTGTTAAAATTTCACCGTAGCAATGCAAATTGATAGCTTATCTTTACAGGTGCAGTCGCCCCCGGCGCACTAGACATAAATGCACATCTGAGTGTTCCCCTGCCCCATTTTGTCCATGTTATCTTATGTAAAATGCATATTCCCCACATTTTTCCTCTGCCTCTTTTATGTCATCTTATTAATGCAGATTCCCTGAGCCAGACAAAGGCATGAATGACTATTTTTCCCTACCCTCCTCTTACATGAAAATTGTGTACTTCTCAGTATCGCACCCTTTCCCCTTTAAATTTTGAGCCCTCAAAATCATCTTCGGAGACAGGCATAGACCTGTCTCCTGAGTGCATCCTTAACTTTGGCAAATAAATCCCCTAAAATGATTGAGACTTGTCATTTTTCTCAATTGACATCTGGTAACCACGAAGGGATCCTGAGTGAAAGTGACCCAGCCTGCAGTAGCTCACCTCTCAGTGCTTGGCACCGGCTTGGTCACCTTATAGCCCAAACTGAGAGGACAATTTGCCAAAGTCGAGGACCTCTTTCCAGGGATCTCTGATCTTCCAACATTTTCCAGTTGGGGGTCTGAAGTTTATTTGCTGTTAAAAACAAAACAAAACAACAAAAACAACAAAAATTCCTTTTTTTGTAGGCGTTTCCACTCACTTCCATCAAGGAAGGCGAGCCTGTCTGCTTCTGCATATGCAGAGAGCAATCTTCAGCTTGGGCCCCCATCACTAGGTAAGAAACTGGTTTGGAATTCTGTCTTGCAAATTCTTTTAAACGACTAGAATTAGCACTAACAACCAGCTGGTGTTAATTTCCTGCTTACCCTTAGAGCGCTCAGAAATCATATAATTTGCGTGATCATTGTTAGTTTTGTTTAATTGTTTTGTTTCTGGGTTTGTGTGTGTGTGTGTGTGTGTGTATATATATCTGTGTGTGTGTGTGTGTGTGTGTGTGTGTGTGTGTGTATGTGTGTGTGTGTGTGTTTTGGTCCTTTCCCCTATCGGATTTGACCAATTCTGAACCTTCAAGCTCATGAGTGTGAAATTTTCCACTCTGAAGAAACAGAACACATTGCTCCCCTCAGCCCTTTGGGGCATTCTCAGGCGACTGAGAATCACATGAGGGTTTCTGGGAGAAATGCTCCCTAAGACATGCAGCAGCTCTAAATAGGTTTCCCCCTCAAAAGAACATACTTAGGGTCTAATCTCAGCCAGCAGATGCATATAAGGAACTGACCCCTCCCAAACTTTGAGCCCCTGACACACTGTGCCAGGTGGCCACAACGCTGGTGGACCAAACTGGTTCAGGGTGTAATGGCCCTGTGAAAAGCTAGGTTTGCAAGCAGCACATTTTGGGTCCAACACACATCCCAACTTGGTCAAATCCAAAGGGGAACTCTAAATTATAGAGAACAAGGCCTCTAAGACCCCAGCAGTTGCAGAATATAAAGTTCCCCTCTTAGAAACTCCAGCAGGGTATATGCAAAATACTTATGGTGAATCATCATGCAAATATTTAACCAAGCGGACCACTATAACTAAAGCAGATTCTAAGTTACAATGGCCTAAATGGGGATCTTTTGAGATGCCCAAATTAGTGTACCTGTGAACCAGGATGGAGAATGCAGACACAAAAACCAAACAACCAGAATGGGACAGCTATTTTCAGTGGTAGCTGCAAAGTAGCAAAAGTGGGGAAGACCACTGTCACGCGTGTCTGGGTGAAGTGACCACCAAACAGGCTTTGTGTGTGCAACAAGGCTGTTTATTTCACCTGGGTGCAGGTGGGCTGAGTCCGAAAAAGATGTCAGCAAAGGGAGTTAGGGGTGGGGCAGTTTTATAGGATTTGAGTAGGTAGTGTCAGGAGGCCCGACACTCCTGTCTTCTTATATTAATAAGAAAAACAAAACAAGATAGTGGCGAAGTGTTGGGGTGGCAAAAATTTTGGGGGGTGGTATAGAGAGATAATGGGCAATGTTTCTCAGGGCTGCTTCGAGCAGGATTAGGGGCAGCGTGGGAACCTAGAGTGGGAGAGATTAAGCTGAAGGAAGATTTTGTGGTAAGGGGTGATATTGTGGGGTTGTTAGAAGCAATATTTGTTGTACAGAATGATTGGTGATGGCCTGGATACAGTTTTGTATGAATTGAGAAACTAAACAGAAGACACAAGGTCCGAATAAGAGAAGGAGAAAAACAGGTATTAAAGGACTAAGAATTGGGAGGACCCAGGACATCTAATTAGAGTGCCTAAGGGGGTTCAGCGTGATTATTGCTTGGTTGGTCAGTTTTGGGGCTCTATCCTTGAGTTTTTTTATGTTGTCACATACCAGGCCAGATTGATTTAGGTGAAAACAACACTCTTCATTTAAAAATATAGAGTCCCCTTTTTTTAAGCAGTGAGTAAGCGGAAGTCTCGGTGATTTTGGAGGAAATAGAAATGCAAAGCCAGCAATTGTTTGTTAAAGAAGGATTAGAAACGGCTAGGAGAGAGTGAGATTGATAGTGTGGTGGAGATAGCTGGGGAGAGGTAGAGGGTGGCATAAGAATGGGAACGAGAATAAGAGTGAGTAAAAAAGTAAAGAATAGGACTTCATCAGGGTGAAAGTACCGGACTGTGCCTTGCCACTGAAGATCTTTTATCCACTTCAAGAGAGATTTAAGGGTGGTGGTTTGAGATAAAACCAGGAGATACCAGTTATGATGGTTTGGAGGAAAAGTGTAAACTGGGAGTGTAAACAAGGGCAGGGCATTTATGAGTAGTTGAGAATGGTGAATAGGAGTATGACTAGACAGAAGATAGTAGGGATGACAAGTTTTTGGGGTGCAGTCCAAGTTGGGCTGGTGTCTGGAATGAGACTGGGGCCTAATAAAAAGGAGTGTCCATACAGGAGCTCAAATGGGCTGTACCCTGTAGCATCCCGAGGACAGGCCCAAATTCTGAGAAGGGCAAGTGGTAAAAGTATTGTCCAGTCCTTTTTAAGTTGGAGGCTGAGCTTGGTGAGGTGTGTTTTTAAAAGACCATTAGTCCATTTTACCTTTCCTGAAGATTGAGGATGGGAAGGGGTATGAAGGTTCCACTGAATACCAGGAGCCTGAGAAACTGCTTGGGTGATTTGACTAATAAAGGCCGGTCCGTTATCAGACTGTATAGAGGTGGGAAGGCCAAACCGAGGAATTGTGTCTGACAGAAGGGAAGAAATGACCACAGTGGACTTCTCAGACCCTGTGGGAAATGTCTCTACCCATCCAGTGAAAGTGTCTACCCAGACCAAGAGGTATTTTAGTTTCCTGACTCAGGGCATGTGAGTAAAGTCAATTTGCCAGTCCTGGGCAGGGGCAAATCCCTGAGCTTGATGTGTAGGGAAGGGAGGGGGCCTGAACAATCCCTGAGAAGTAGTAGAATAGCAGATGGAACACTGAGAAGTGATTTCCTTGAGGATAGAGTTCCACGATAGAAAGGAAATGAGAGGTTCTAAGAGGCGGGCTAGCAGCTTGTAACCTACATGGAAGAAGTTATGAAATGATGACAGAATAGAATGGGCCTGTAAGGCTGGAAGCAAATATTTTCCTTGGTCCAAGAACCATTTGCCTTGTGTGGGAAGAGATTGATAGGTGGAAGTTTCAGCGGGGGAGTAGGTGGGAGTGACCAATGAAAAGGAGAAAAACTGGCAGTGAGGGACAGAAGTTGGAATGCTAGCTGCTTTTTTAGTTATCTTATTAGCATAAGTGTTGCCTTGAGCGATGGGATCTGATGCCTTTTGATGGCCCTTGCAGTGAATGACTAGCTTTTTTGGAAGTAGAGCAGCTTTAAGAAGAGTTTTTATTAAGGAGGCATTAATTATGGAGGACCTTTGTGTAGTGGGGAAACTTTTTTCTGCTCATATAACAGCATGGTAGTGCAGGATATGGAAGGCATATTTAAAGTCAGTATAAATATTAACACATAGTCCCTTTGCAAGAGTGAGGGCCTGAGTTAAGGCAATGAGTTTGGCTTGCTGAGAGGTAGTGGAGGGGGGCAGAGCAGTAGCCTCAAGGATAGATGTGGAAGACACTATAGCTTAGCCTGCCTTTGCCAGTGATTGGCGATTAGGCCTGGTGGAACTGCCATCAAGTGTGATCAGGGTGAAGAACAGGAAAGAAGGAAATATGGGGAAATGGAGTGAATGCCAGGTGGATCAGAGAGATACAGTCATGGGGGTCAGATGTGGTATCAGGAATAATGTGGGAGGCCGGATTGAAGTCCAGGCCAGGAACAACGGTAACTGTGGGAGACTCAAGAAAGAGTAAGTACAGCTGAAGGAGCCAGGGGGCAGGAAGTGTGAGGAGGAAAATAGATTTTGAAAGTTATGGGAACTGTAGAGGGTTAGTGGAGCATAGCTTGTGATTTTTAGGGCCTCTAAAAGTATTAAAGCGGCAGCAATGAGGTGTGGCTGTAGCCTAGGAATAGTCAGGGAAGCGGATAATTTAGTTAAAATGTCTCAATCTAATAAGGGAGCTGGGCAGGTGGGGATAACTAAAAAAGAGTGCATAAAAGAATGTTGTCCAAGTTGGCACCAGAGTTGGGGAGTTTTAAGGGGTTTAGAAGCCTTGCTGTCAATACCCACAACAGTTATGGAGGCAAGGGAAACAGTCCCTTAAAAAGAAGGTAATGTGGAGTGGGTAGCCTCCATATTGATTAAGAAGGGGACGGACTTACCCTCCACTGTAAGAGTTACCCAAAGTGTCTGTGATGGTCCAGGAGGTTTCCGAGGCGATTAGGCAATGTCAGTCTTCAACTGCTAAGCCACGAATATCTGGGAAGGAGTCAGTCAGAGAGCCTTGGGCCAGAGTTCCAGGGGATCTGGGAGTGGCTGCCAGGCGAGTTGGACAGTCCAATTTCCAGTGGGGTCCCGCACAGATGGGACATGGCTTAGGAGGAATCCCGGGCTGCGGGCATTCCTTGGCCCAGTGGCCAGATTTCCGGCACTTGAAGCAAGATCCTGGGGGTGGCAGTCCTGGAGGAACGCCTGGCTGCTGCAGTTCAGGTGTTTTGAAGTTCTTGTGTGCTGGAGATGTGGCTGGGGTTTCTCTCACAGTGGAGGCAAGTAATTGCAACTCAGAAATACGTTGCTACTTGGCTGCCTCTACTCCATTATTGTCCACATTGAAGGAGAGGTTAATTAAGTCCTGTTGTGGGGTTTGAGGGCCGGAATCTAATTTTTGGAGCTTTTTCTAATGTCAGGAGCAGGTTGGGTAATAAAATGCATATTGAGAATAAGATGGCTTTCTGGCCCTTCTGGGTCTAGGGCAGTAAAGCATCTAAGGGTTGTTGCCAAACGGGACATGAACTAGGCTGGATTTTTATATTTGATGAAAAAGAGCCTAACCACTAACTGATTTGGGAGAGGTCAGATAAAGAAAAAGGAGAATTAACCTTGGCTATGCCTTCAGCTCCAGCCACCTCTTTAAGAGGAAATTGTTGGGCAGGTCGGGGAGGGCTAGTCACAGAACAAAACTATAAGCTGGACCAGGTGTGAGGAGGGGAGGTGATAAAAGGATTATAGGGTGGGAGAGCAGAGGCTGAGGAAGAATTGGGACCTGGCTCGGCGTGGCAAGGAGCAGCCTGGGGAGGAGGGGAGAGGTCAGATAGGTCCGTAGAAAAGGAGGATTCAAAGGACTCAGAGCTTGGGATGGAGACTGAAGGAACAGGAGAGAAAGAAGAAAGATTTGGGACAAGTCGCACTGGGAGCAGAGACTAAGGAGGGATCAATGTGTAAAAGAATGCCTGGACGTCAGGCACCTCAGACCCATTTGCCCATTTTTTGACCAAAATCATCCAGGTCTTGTAAAATGGAGAAATCAAAAGTGCCGTTTTCTGGCTATTTAGAACCATTATTGAGTTTGTATTGGGGCCAAGCAGTGTTGCAGAAGAAAATAAGACGCTTAGGTTTTAGGTCAGGCGAGAGTTGAAGAGGTTTTAAGTTTTTGAGAACACAGGCTAAGGGATAAGAAGAGGGAATGGAGGGTGGAAGGTTGCCCATAGTGAAGAAGGCAAGCCCCGAGAAAATAGAGGGTAGAGACATGGAGAAGGGGGGTGGTGAGCAGCCCTGGGCTGCAATGTGGGCGAGCAGCCACAGCCAAAGCAGGCGTCCCTGCAATTGACTTGCCACCAAGGGAATGTGGGTGAATGACCAAGGTAGGCATCCCTGCGGTGATCAGACACCAATGGAGTGTGGGTGAATAATCAGGCAGGTGTCCCCGCAGTGATTAAACACCAAGGGAAGACTGTCTTCCTGAGTTCATGACTGGCGCCGGAGTTCTGGGTCCATGGATAAAATGTGTCTCCTTTGTCTCTACTAGAGAGGAAAAAGAACTAGAATTGGAAGGACAGAGAGATTGAAGGGTAGCGAGAGAGGGAGACTGAAGGGTGGCAAGAGAGGCTGGAGAAGAGAGTAAAAAGACCACTTACCCGATTTGAAATTGGTGAGATGTTCCTTGGGCTGGTTGGTCTGAGGACCCGAGGTCATAGGTGGATCTCCTCATGGAGTGAGGGCGAGGACAGGGGACTGGTCTCCCAAAGGAGTCCTCCTGTCCCGGGTCTTCGGCACCAAATGTCACACTCGTCCGTGTGAAGAGACCACCAAACAGGCTTTGTGTGAGCAACAAGGCTGTTTATTTCACCTGGGCGCAGTTGGGCTGAGTCCGAAAAAGGAGTCAGCAAAGGGAGTTAGGGGTGGGGCAGTTTTATAGGATTTAGGTAGGTAGTGGAAAATTACAGTCAAAGGGGGTTGTTCTCTTGCGGGCAGGGGCTGGGGTCACAAGGTGCTCGGTGGGGGAGCTTCTGAGCTAGGACATTTCACAAGGTAATGTAATCAGTTAAGGCAGGAACAGGCCATTTTCACTTCTTTTGTGATTCTTCAGTTGCTTCAGGCCATCTGGATATATACGTGCAGGCTTGGGCTCAGAGGCCTGACAACCACCTCATCTCCCTACAGGAGGCCAACAAACAACTTAGAAATGCTAACCAAGAACTCTGTAATCTTGTATCTCTCTTAAAGAAATCCTCAGAATTCCTTACTTCCCCCTTGGTACCTCCCCCTACACCCCTACTCTACCCTGACCAATCTGAACTTCCTGGACCAGATCTGTCCGCCGCCTCTACTGCATGTCTAACACTTGCTCAACAGAAGGCAGTTCAGAGTCTGACTGCAAAGACCCCACCCCCTCATGATTCCCTGACAGCTCCAATGGCAACATCTCATCTGGAAGATGTGGAAAAGGGGGACCGTGCAGGGATATCTCTCATGATCACCCTATTTTGGGAACAACTGCTAACAGGTAGGGGAACCCTGGTAATTGTCTACCAACACCCTGGTCAAAGGCTGAATTCCAAGGCATAAAGAATTTCCTGACCCCCATAAAGATCCAATTGGGTTTGAGTATTTGAGCTCATTGTCAGAACCTATGACCCAGGTCATTCAGACTTTTATCAGCTAGTCCACATGTTGGTCTCAGAAGCTAAAGCTAAGGAATGGCTGGGAAAAGCACAATGGTCAGACTCTATAGCAGATTTGACCCCTGAAGGCCCAATGGAGCCACAACAACCAGCCCCCACAAATCCAGAAGACAGGCACAAAGATGTGCAGGAATGAGCAACCACTCTATTAAATATCATTCCTTCAGTGTTCCAAAGGGTTGTGGATTGGAATAAAATCCAACAATGTCACCAGAACCCAAATAAATTAGTTTTAGATTATTTAACACATTTTGATAAAACTTTAAAACAACATTGTGGGATGTCAGCTGATTGCTTTGAAAACAATAAAAATGATACATTATTAAATGCAAATTTCTTAAACGGACTAGATGATGATTTAGCCACCCTTGTAAAACACAAATTGGACCACAGCCAGAACTAATGAACTAGTTAACTTAGCTGACCAATTATCCCGCACTATGATAAAACAAGGAAAAACAGAAGATTGCCCAAGTTATGCATTTACAGCTAAAGCAATTAACTTCTCAAGCCTCTCGGCCCCAGAAAGATTTTAAGCTCCCTCGGTCTGAGGACTCTTCCCTCCCAGTCTGTTACAACTGTAAATGACCGAGACACCTTATGATGGATTGCCTTAGGCTGAAACAAAAGAAAAGGCAGAATGCAACTCAGGAAGACAAGGGGTGCTCCAAGGAAATACAGGGGTTTCACCTCTCCAAATATTCTACCCTGACAAACCAATTGGGGGAGATTAATATAATAATAAACCATGAGTTTACAACTGCCTTAACTGACATAGGTGTGACTATCTCTGAAAAATCCCACCTTATTTAGAAACCCCATTCCTCAGAGTAATGAAAGAATGAACATGGTGGGTATGTCTAATAAAATGATCTCATGTTTTAAGTCCAAACCCGTACCTTAGGGTTCATCAGGTTCCACTACCCTGTCGCAGGCTCTAAGTGTGACACACTCAGTAGGTCCCATATGTTTCTAATATGCACTGGGGCCCCTGTCAAACTTTTGGGCTGTGATCTCAACATCCATAATGCCCATATCTCTTTTTCATCAAAAGGTGAAACTTTTTTAGAATTGGAGCCAGGAGACCAAAAATACCATATTTAAAAATGTCCTGACAACGTACAATTTAGTACTAGTAATGTTAAAATGTCATCTTGTGACCAGGAAAATAAAATAGAGACAGAGAAGGAAATATTAGGGAAGAAGAGAGAACATTGGAATACAGAGCAGGAAACAGTAAAACTCCTTTTAGTTTCCCCAGTCTTCCTGTTAACACCAGAAGCAGAGCACTTGCTCAAGGATGTGTCCTCCCACTTATAGTCTCAGTCAAATACAGATACAGAGAAAGTATTCTCAGCCATTCCAATAAAGGTAGAGATAAATCCAAAGAAACCCCTATCCAACCTTAAACACTATCCTCTGCAAAAGGAAGCCATAGATGGAATTGCTCCTGTCATACAAGATTATCTGAGAAACGGGCTCATTATTCCCTGCACAATCCCCTGAAACAGCCCTATATTCCCTGTAAAGAAACTAAGCGGGAGAGGATGGAAATTTGTGCAGGAATTGAGGGCAATAAACAATATCATAATTCTCAGGCACACAGTAGTCCCCAACCCACAAACCCTTCTATCACCTATATCCACTACCAGCCAGTATTTCTCAGTTGTGGATCTCTGCAGTGCCTTCTTTAGTATTCCTGTAGAACCAGACAGCCAATATTTGTTTGTCTTTATTTGGAAAGAATGGCAATATACGTGGACTATAATGCCCCAAAGGTATACAGAAAGTCCCACTTAGTGTTCCCAAATATTAGAAGCTGATTTGGAGAATTAAATATTTTCCCAGGGCTCAACATTCATCTACTCTCCTTTGTTCAGACACACTCTCTTCCTCTCAGGAAGATAGTCTATATTTACTCAAACAGCCACCAAGGGACACAAATGTCTAAAGACAAACTTCAGCTATGCTTACCTGAAGTTAAGTATTTGGGACATATTATCTCAGCCAAAGGACTGAGTATTAACCCTGATAGAGTGAGGAATTTTAGCTTTCCCAATGCCCGTCACTAAGAAACAACTTAGAGTATTTTGGGGCCTGGCAGGCTATTGTAGAAACTGGATACCAAATTTCTCCCTTATGGCTCAACTTCAGTGTACATACCTAAAAAATGAACAACCTGATCCCATCATGTGGACTCCGGAGGGACAATCAGCTGTACAACAAATAAAGGAAATTCTGACTAATGCCCCAGCCTTAGGGCACCCGAACTACAAATTGCCTTTCTCCCTTTTCATACACGAAGTTGGAGGTACTGCATCCGGAGTACTGACCCAGAAACATGGTGATCATCAGAGACCTATAGGCTATTATAGCCAACAGCTGGACCCTGTGGCTCAAGGGCTGCCTCCCTATGTGAGAGCAATAGCAGCCACGGCCCTTCCGTATAAGTCTGTTGAAGAAATAATTATAGGTTCCCCCCTTAACATTTTTGTGCCACATTCTCTTGAGACCCTTCTAAACTCTCATCATACACAACACCTGTCTGTCAACTGGTTAGCCTCTTATGAAATTTTGCTTTTATCATCTCCCAATATTACTAGTTCCTGCTGTAATAATCTTAATCTGGCCACTCTCTTGCCAGGCCCTTCTGACAAAACCCCCTCATGACTGTGTTTTGATGACTGACTTCTCACCCCCAGGACAGACCTACAAGAGATGCCACTGGATAATGCTGAGATAGAATGGTATACAGATGGATCTTATTTAAGAGGAGAGGATGGAAATTTTATAGCAGGATATGCTGTGGTTTCCTTACTAGAGGTAATTGAAGCCAATCCTCTCCCCCAAGCCAGATCAGCTCAAGTGACCAAATTGGTTGCCCTGACCGAAGCTTGTCAATTGGCAAAAGACAAGGCTGCAAACATTTACACTGACAGCCACTATGCTTTTGGGGTTGCTCATGACTGGGATGTTATGGAAAGAGAGAGGATATTTAACCCCCTCAGGGCAACCCATAAAAAATGGACAAGTATCAGAGTTGTTAGAAGCTGTTCTAACACCAAAACGCTTGGCAATTATAAAAATCCCAGGTTGGCCAGGCGCAGTGGCTCACGCCTGTAATCCCAGCACTTTGGGAGGCCGAGGCAGGAGGATCACGAGGTCAGGAGATCGAGACCATCCTGGCTAACATGGCGAAACCCCGTCTCTACTAAAAATACAAACCCCGTCTCTACTAAAAATACAAAAAGTTAGCCGGGCGTGGTGGTGGGCGCTTGTAGTCCCAGCTACTCGGGAGGCTGAGGCAGGAGAATGGCATGAACCTGGGAGGCAGAGCTTGCAGTGAGCCGAGATGGCGCCACTGCACTCCAGCCTGGGCAACAGAGAGAGACTCCGTCTCAAAAATAAATAAATAAAATTAAAAAAAAATCCCAGGTCACTCAAAATTAGACACCACAGTAAGTCAGGGTAACCAATTTGCTGAAGCCACAGCTAAAAGAGCAGCATTCAAGCCATCAGCCCCAAGTTGGAAAATGGCCATAAAACCCAAAACACTTAAATACATGTTGAAAGAAACCCAGAGCATAGCTCCTACAAAAGAGAAATCTACTTGGAAACAGGCAGGGGGATACTTGTCTCCCAAAACTGAAATATGGTGTGGACCTAATTATTCCATTCCAAGAAACCCATTATTCCAATGGAATGTCAGGTGTCCCTTATGAAATATGTTCATAATCTAACCCATTGGAATCCAGATAAAATAATATCCTGGTGTAAACAATATTACTGGAAACCATCCTTCACAGTGGCACAAAAAGTTTACTCTCAGCCGGGCACCATGGCTCACACCTGTAATCCCAGCACTTTGGGAGGCCCAGGCAGGTAGATCACCTGAGGTCAGGAGTTCAAGACCAGCCTGGCTAACATGGCAAAACCCTGTATCTACTAAAAATACAAAAATTAGCCAGGCATGGTGGTGCGTGCCTGTAATCCTGCTTCTTGGGAGGCTGAGGCAGAAGAATCGCCTGAACCCAGGAGGCAGAGGTTGCAGTGAGCTGAGATCACGCCATTGCACTCTAGCCTGGGCGACAAGAGCGAAACTCCATCTCAAAAAACCAAACAAAAAAGTTTACTCTCAATGTGTTATCTGTCCCAAACATAACCCAGGAAAACCCCTCCATGGGGCCCAGGGTCATTTTCCCCTTCCGGCTGACCTTTTGAGGTATGACAGCTTGATTTTATCCAGCTGCCATCATCTCAATGTTACAAGTATGTTTTAGTAATGGTCTGCATGTTTTATCATTGGGTTGAAGCTTTTCCCTGCAGGCAAGCAACAGCCACGACAGTTGGAAAAATCCTACTAGAAAAAATTGTCCCACTGTGGGGAGTCCCCTGTGAACTTCACAGTGATGGGGGATCATACTTTACTGGCCAGGTTACTCAAAATATTTGTAAAATTTGGCCCATATTTCAACATTTCCATTGTGCCACCATCCCCAGTCTTCAGGCCTGGTGGAGAGGACCAATGGAATAATTAAAACACAATTGGCTAAGTTCACAGAGGCATTTCACCTCCCCTGGCCCAAAGCACTACCCCTAGTGCTGCTTATACTACGATCCACTCCTTTTGGAAAACATCAACTGTCTCCTTATGAAATTATAACAGGAAGGCCCATGTGTATGGGAACGAACATAACCAATCCAACTTTTCTCCAGGGAGATATATTGCAATATTGTGAGGGACTCATTTATCATCTTAGAAAAAACCAAAATTTGTTAAAAAATTCCTTTCACGGTGCGCTCCCCGAAGATAAGGTGCCTGGTCATCTGCAACCTGGAGATTTCATCTATTGGAAAAGACATCTAATAAAGGATTCCCTTCAACCCTGATGGAAGGGCCCGTACCAGGCACTACTGACTAATCCATGTACTGCAAAATTAAAGAGTATAGATTCATGGATTCACATCTCTCATCTTAAAAAGGCACAACCTCCTGAGTGGACTGTAACTCCCACCAAAGACCTTCACCTCCGGTTCACTAAACATCAACCTGCAACCCAGGATTAGAAGCAGACAACAGCTGTTGTGGACTGCTTAAACCCAAGACACAGAACCAGGCCTGTATACAAAGGGAACGCCTCTGTTTATTGTACAGTAACCATTACAATTATTGTCCTAGATATACCGGCAACTGCTGTCTTATAAATGACAGGGCACTTGCCTTGTCTGATTTAACACCATTTAGTAACTAAAATGAATTTCGCAACCTTGCTATTATTAATCCTATATCCCTACACTTTCTTGCCACTGCCACCCACTGATGCCCATGAAACAAACCTGTTTCTACAATGGGCTCAGCATTATGCAGACAAATTACAAAGAACACCTGCTGGATATGCAGACTCATGCCTCTTTCCAGTGGCTCCAGCCTGCCATGGTGGATATCCCCCTTCCAAGGTCAGGACTGGATAGAATACCAAAAATTTATCACATCACAGAAATGGTCTGGTATTCTTAGTGCTGGGATAACAAAAGACAATACATACAATTGGCCCATTAAAAACACTCTTAAGAACAAGGGACATGGGAAAAGATTTTGAATGGAAAGGACCAGGTCATTAGCTCTCACTTTAGCATCCCCCCAGCTAAAACAGAAGGTGGTAACCACACCCCAAACAACAGCTCATTTTCAAAATGGAATAATGCAAATTTGGGCTGGATTTATCTGGCTCACCCGTTCGTCTGGCCAACTCAGCCAAAATTCTCCTCTGTGCTGGGAGAAAGAAACCATATCAAGGACCTATGGCCAAACAGTACGAGAGATACGGGGTGGACACCTGGAGAATGCTGTGACCACATTATCATATTACAAGACGCTGACTGGAATGCCACCGATTGGGTGCAGCAATCAGGTATTTATTGGATAGCTCCAAATGGGACATATTGGCTATGTGGCACTAACTTATGGCCGTGGTTACCTCTAGGGTAGTTAGGATGATGTTCCCTAGGTTATGCTTGGGCACAAGACACGTAATCCAGACCCTGCCAAAACCAGCAAACCTTTTTCATTTACAATTTCATTGGACATGTTAGGTATTCCAATGGTATGATCACTTAGCTTTAATCTTTGTACCACAGACAGGTATTGAAGATGTTATATGGCATATAGAGGCCTTACCCAATTACATCCAAAAGGCCCTGAATGATAGCCACATGAGTATTGCCTTGCTAAGCAATGAGGTCATGCTTATGAGGAAAGTTGTGCTATACAACCATATGGCTTTAGATATACTCATTGCAGCACAAGGGGGGACCTGTGCCGTCATAAAAACTGAATGTTGTGTGTATATTCAGATGAATTGAAGAACATAACTCGATTTATGACTGATATGAAAACCCAGATAACCAACCTGTCAGATCTAAAACCCTCACTAATCAATTGGTTGAGTAGTTGGTTTGGATCCTGGGGAACTTGGTGGCAGAAGCTACTGCTTATAATAGGAATAATAATAATTTGTGTTCTGTCCTGTTTCTGCTACAATGTTGTTACGGTATGTGCTTGCAAATAAGTTAATGCACAACTGAAAGGGCTGGGGTAATAATTGCCCAGAGAATTGCTTTAATTGAGGAAGCAGTAATATAGCTTGACCCAGCTTCAAGGTTTGCTTTCCTTTTGTTGCTATAAATATGACCTAGGTCCCTATATATATATTTTTTTCTTTTTCTTTTTTCCTTTCCTTTTTCCTTTTTTCCTCTCCCTTTTTTTTTTAAATATTCGTGGGACACAATTTCCTAGGAATGAGCCTTCCTAGCGACAATGGGCGTGACTTCCTAGGAATGAGCCTTCCTGGTGATGTGGGACCTAAACTTCTAGAAATAAACTATCCTAGCAACAGGAAACCAGTTCAGAAAAGGGAGGAAAAATCAACCTGTAGCCAAGAACCCATATTCCTTTTAAAATGCTTCCTTCAAAAGATTTTAAATAAAAAAAGAGGGGAAACCTGAAAGGAAATTAAATTTTGGGACCCCCCAAACTCATTTAGCAAAAGGCAAAAGTCAAAATGGGAACTGGGTCATCCAAACCTGCCTCCCCCTTTTGGTTCCTCAATAAAATTGTTACAAGATGAAAAGCTACATGTCTCCTCCATATTTTGCCCACAGAGAAATTTCTAGTGAGTTGTTAAAATTTCACCATGGCAATGCAAATCGATAGCTTATCTTTACAGGTGCAGTCGCCCCTGGCCCACCAGACATAAATGCATATCTGAGTGTTCCCCTGCCCAATTTTGTCTATGTTATCTTATGTAAAATGCAGATTCCCCAGATTTTTCCTCTGCCCCTTTTATGTCATCTTTTATTTATTTATTTATTTATTTATTTATTTACTTATTTATTTTGAGATGGAGTTTCGCTCTTGTTGCCCAGGCTGGAGTGCAATGGCACGATCTCGGCTCACAGCAACCTCCGCCTCCTGGGTTCAAGCAATTCTCCTGCCTCAGCCTCCAGAGTAGCTGGGATTACAGGCATGCACCACCAATCCCAGCTAATTTTTGTATTTTTAGTAGAGATGGGGTTTCTCCATGTTGGTCAGGCTGGTCTCGAACTCCAGACCTCAGGTGATCCACCCGCCTCGGCCTCCCAAAGTGCTGGGATTACAGGCGTGAGCCACCACGCCTGGCCTTTTTGTTGTTATTTAGTTTTATTTCATATCATAAACTTAACTCTGCAATCCAGCTAGACATGGAAAGGAACAAGGAAAACATGGAACCCAAAGGGAACTGCAATGAGAGCACAAAGATTATAGGCTATTGCCAGCAAATGGGGTGGAGGGGTGCTCTCCTGAGCTACAGAAGGAATGGTCTGGTGGTTAAGATAAAACACAAGTCAAACTTTAATAAGTTGTCCATAGTCAGCAATGGTGATCTTCTTGCTGGTCTTGCCATTCCTGGACCCAAAGCATTCCATGGCCCCCACAATATTTATGCCTTCTTTTACCTTGCCAAAGACCACATGTTTGTCATCCACTCAGTCTTGGCAGTGCAGATGAAAAACTGGGAACTGTTTGTGTCCAGCATTTGCCATGGACAAGATGCCAGGACCTGTATGCTTTAGGATGAAGTTCTTGTCATCAAATTTCTCCCTGTAGATGGACTTGCCACCAGTGCCATTATGGCAATGTGAAGTCACCACCCTGACACATAAACCCTGGAATAAGTCTGTGAACGCAGGAACCCTTATAACCAAATCCTTTCTCTCCAGTGTGCACAGCATGAAATTTTTCTGGTGTCTTGGAAACTTGTCTGCAAACAGCTTGAAGGAGATGTGGCCCAAGAGCCCACCATCTATGGTGATGTTGAAGAACAAGGTGGGGTTGACCATGGCTGATAGTACGGGGCTCCTGGCAGCAGCAGCATCTGTGAAGTGGCCATTCTATGTTATCTTATATTTAAAAAATGCAGATTTGCTGAACCAGACAAAGGCATGAATGACTATTTTTCCCTACCCCCTCTTACATGAAAATTGTTTACTTCTCAATATCCTACCCTTTCCCCTTTAAATTTGAAGCCCTCAAAATCACCTTCGGAGAAAGGCATAGACCTGTCTCCTGGGCACGTCCTTAACTTTGGCAAATAAATCTAAAATCATTGGGACTTATTTCATCATTTTTCTCAATTGACAAAACATTTAAAAAATAATACAGACTGGACCCAGCCTGCCCAACTCCCAGTGGAGAGCAAGGTTTCCTTCTATTTTCATAGGCAACCAGAACAATGTTCTATGCACATTTTGTCCTCAGTAAGAGGGCCTCTGGCCAAAATTTGGCTAGCGGCCCATTGGGATAAGAAGCTAACCAAAGCCCCTGTGTTACAGTGTAATTTAGAGAGCAGCATGGAGAGTATCATCTCACCAAAGGTGAAGATAGCATTACGGACATCAGGACATCTCTTACTGGGAGTAGTTTGAATCTATCACAGGAAAGCCAAATATCTTCTTGCAGACTGTAATGAAGCATTCATTAAGATAAAGATGGCTTTTTGATCAGGTGTTGACCTGCCTGAGGAAAATCAGGAAGCAGCTTATAACACCATTACTTTACTTGAATAATTTCATGACTTTGATCAGCCACTGCCTGACTTAGATGACATCGATGTGGCCCAGAAGTTCAGCCTGGGTCAGAGTAGAGTGGAAGAAATAACCGTGAGAGAAGAAGTTGGGAATATCAGTATTTTACAAGAAAATGGTTTTGGCGATTTTGGAATGGATGATCATTGAGATCAGAGAAAGCAGTGCTTTTGAGGATGATGACATGTTAGTAGGCACTACTGCTTCTAATCTCCTATTAGAGTCTGAACAGAGCACCAGCAATCTGAATGAGAAAATTAACCATTTAGAATATGAAGACCAATATAAAGATAATAATTTTGGAGAAGGAAATGATGGTGGAATATTAGAAGACAAACTTATTAGTAATAATGATGGTAGTATCTTTGATGATCCCCCTGCCCTCTCTGAGGCAGAGGTAATGTTGCCAGAGCAGCCTGCACATGATGATATACGGGTGAGGATGATAATACATCAATGGGTGGGCCTGATAGTCCTGATTCAGTGAATCCTGTTGAACCAGCCAACTATGACTGATCAAACAACACTTGTTCCAAATGAGGAAGAAGCATTTGCATTGGAACCTATTGATATAACTGTTAAAGAAACAAACGCCAAGAGGAAGAGGAAGCTAATTGTTGACAGTGTCAAAAACTTGGATAGCAAGACAATTAGAGCCCAGCTTAATGATTATTCTGATATTGTTACTACTTTGGATCTGGCACCACCCACCAAGAAATAGGTGATGTGGAAAGAGACAGGAGTAGTAGAAAAACTGTTTTCTTTACCTGCTCAGCCTTTGTGGAATAACAGACTACTGACGCTCTTTACATGCTGTCTTACACCACTTGTACCAGAAGACCTTAGAAAAAGGGGGAAAGGAGGGACAGATAATTTGGATGAGTTCCTCAAAGAACTTGAAAATCCAGAGGTTCCTAGAGAGAACTAGCAACAGCTACACCAGCAGCATGATGTTATTGATAAGCCCATTTTGGAAGAGCCAAGCCATCTCCAGAAGTCAGTGATGAGGCCAGCAGAACAAATCTGGATGAGTCAGCTATGCCTCCACCACCACCTCAGGGAGTTAAGTGAAAAGCTGGACAAATTAACCCAGAGCCTGTGATGCCTCCTCAGCAGGTTGAGCAGATGGAAATACTGCCTGTAGAGCTTCCCCAAGAAGAACCTCCAAATATCTGTCAGCTAATACCAGAGTTAGAACTTCTGCCAGAAAAAGAGAATGAGAAAGAAAAGGGGAAAAAAAGATGATGAAGGGGAAAAGGATGAAGATGTTTCAGGGGGTGATCAAGATCAGGAAGAAAGAAGATGGAAGAAAAGGACTCAGCAGATGCTTCACGGTCTTCAGTGAGCTCTTGCTAAAACTGGAGCTGAATCTATCAGTTTGCTTGAGTTATATCAAAACACAAACAGAAAACAAACTGTTGCAAAGTTCTACAGCTTCTTGGTTCTTAAAAAGCAGCAAGCTATTGAGCTGACACAGGAAGAACTGTACAGTAACATCATCGCAACACCCGGGCCAAAGTTCCATATTTTATGAGGAGCTAGAAGCATTATAGCTAGTGTTCATTTCACTAGTGCTTACAAATTGCCCCCATGTGTAGGAGACACAGAACCCTTTGAGAAAACTTAGATTTTTGTCTGTACAAAGTCTTTGCCTTTTTCTTTCTCATTTTTTCCCAGTATATTAAATTTGTCAGTTTCATCTTTGAGGGAAACTGATTAGATGGATGTGTTTGTGTTCTGATGGAGAAAACAGCACCCTAAGGACTCAGAAGATTAACAGTTCAGAACAGATGTGTGCAATATTGGTGCATGCAATGATGTTGAGTGGCAGTTGAAAGTCATGATTTTTATCTTAGTTCTTCATTACTGCATTGAAAAGGAAAACCTGTCTGGGAAAATGCCTGACAGTTTAATTTAAAACTATGGTATGAGTCTTTGAAAAGAAAAAAAAAAAGCCTTTCCATCAGTAGTAACACTGGCAATCTTCTTGTTAACCACTCTCCTTAGGGATGGTACCTGAAATAACAAAGGTCACCCTCTTGAGATTCGTTTTAAGTGTAATTCCCTAATGAGCAAACGTGTACGTGAAATTGTGTTGTGACTGATACCCTTCAGCTACAGATAGGACTGACTTGGTTTAAAGTGTTCTATTTTGTAAATCATTCCATTTGAGTCTTTCTGATGAACTTCGCTATCTCGAAATCTGTCATTTTAGTGAGGCTCCAAAATGAGCAGAAATAGGCCTGATTAGAGTAGAGTGACTATCAAATAGCAGACTTTCTAGGACCTATAAATAGAAGTTTTAAAAAGATGTTTGGATATATTTGACTATTCAGATCATGAAAACAGAAATTACCCTGCCTACTACAAGGACAGACTGATGGGAAATTATACACCAGGTCAACTTAACCTTTAAGCAGACAATGCTGTAAAAACTAATGGCTTCTCTGATATTTATTGTAAGTTTTAGTACTGATCTCCTTTTCCAGTGCTGCACACTCCTGTGTTTGGAACTTTAATAGCTTTGCAACGAAATCCTATATCCGGTTTCCTATAATTTAACTGAAGAAAAACACATCCAAATAAAGGTCTATATTAACAGACCAGATAGCATCAGAAATCATGTGACTATTATGATTATCAGAATATGTCTTAACTTTTTAGGGCAAAATTAACACTGAAAGTTCTAGCTTAAGTGTTGACACTTTCGTGGGGAAAAAAATCACTTTTGAAACAGACTTCAGTGTATACTCAATAATTTAAAATTATGTGAAATGTTTTAAATTTGTGAACTCATTACTGTTTTAATGATTCCGTTTCTTGAGAGTTTAACCATAAAAAATTGCTATTGCAGATTTATTTTCAATATGCTGTGCCTGTAAACCATGGAGTTTTCCCTGTTTGTAAAAAGACATTGTAGATAATTGAATGTTTGATTTTAGAAAGGTCATTGGTTTCTTGTTACACATTTTGTTAGTCTGTTTTTTTTGCTTATTGGGTTTAATATTGTTCTTGAAAATAGTTGATGCTATGTTATGTATAACTCTTCTAATAAAAGTTGTGTTATAAGTTGAAACAAATTATAGTATTACAGACTGGCTACAATAACTTTATAGGAAGTCTGAAAAATACTCAAAGTTCTATAGCAACCAAGCAAACACCTAGTCAAGAAAACGATACAGTCAAAATGGTTAGAAATTTTGTGACATTTTTACTTGCCTGTACCCCATCCTTCCCTCCTGGCACACCTGGGGAAGCAGCAGCCCTGCTCCCAATTCCCTCCCTGGAACCCCAGAGAGAGGAAAGTGGACTTTATTTGCAACATTCTAACCTGTCAAGGGGCTGCCTGAGGTACTGGTCTCTGTTTTACCTAATTCGGAGGTCAGACAGGGAAAAGCAACATGGCTGGATACTCAGGCTCAGGAAAAGCCACAGGAAATGATGGGCACTACTCATGAACACTGCAGGGGGCCTACAAACTCACAGATACCTGGAGCAAGAGATCAGAAGTAGAAGAATACAATAGAACATCTAAGCCCACCTTCTGAGAAGCAGAGGTGAGACTCTTTAGGAAATTGAGACATTTTAAGCAGTCATGCATTCAAGGGAACTGGAAAACAACAACAACAACAACAACAACAGATACCCAGGCCAAGGCAAAATGCATAGCCAAAAGAGGTCTAAGAAGACCTTAAGACCTCACATGGGGCTGATCCCAAAGCTGACAGCATGCCCTGCTAATTAGTGAAGGTCTTCCCTGGCACAGAACCTACTTGTAATGACTAGCAGAGGTGGCTGTTTTTTTGAATGATCAATTTTAAAAATGAACAAAAAAATAACAAACCATGCAAAGAAACAGGAAAATATGGCCCATTCAAAGGAAGATAATAAACTGTCAGAAACTGTCCCTGAAGAAACACAAGCATCAGAAGTACTAGACAAAGACAAAATGTCTTAAATATGCTCAAAGAGCTAAATGAAAACTCAAAGAACTAAAGGAAATGAGAAAAATGACACATAAACAAAAGAGAATATTAACAAAGAGAAACTATAAAAAGGAACCAAACAGAAATTCTGGAGCTGAAAATACAGTATCTGAATTGAAAAACGCCTAGAGGGATTCAACAGTAGATTCAAACAGGAAGAAAAAAGAATCAGTGAACTTGAAGATAAGTCCTTTGAAATTATTGAATCTGAAGACCAAATAATAATAATAATAATTAAGAAAAGTGGACAGAGACTAAGAGACCTATGGGATACCATCAAGCTAACCAATATATGCATTACAGAAATCTCAGATGGTGACGGGATAAAGAAAGGAGCAGAGGAACTATTTGAAAAAATAATGGCTGAAAACTTCCCAAATTTGAGGAAAGGCATTGATTCACAAATCCAAAAATCTTGCTGATCTCCAGGTAGGATAAACCCAAAGCAGTACATACCAAGACACATTATATTCTAACAAAAGCCAAAGACATGGAACACTGCAGGGGGACTACAGACTCACAGAAACCGGGGGCAAGAGATCAGAGGTAAAGGAATACAATACAAAGTCTAAGGCCCCCTCAAGAATCTTGAAAGAAGCAAGAGAAAAGTAACTCATCATGCACAATGGATCTTCAATAACATTATCAGTGGATTTCTCAGCAAAAACCTTGAAGGACACAAGGAATTGAATACCATATTTAAAGGAAATTTTTTAATTGTTATTTTTCCATAAGTTATTGGAGTTCAGGTGGTATTTGGTTACGAGTAAGTTATTTAATGGTGATTTGTGAGATTTTGGTGACCTGTCACCGAAGCAGTATACACTGCACTGTATTTGTAGTCTTTCATCCCTCACCCACCTCCCACTCTTCCCTCCAAGTCCCCAAAGTCCATTGTATCATTCTTATGCTTTTGTGTCCTCATAGCTTAGCTCCCGCATATCAGTGAGAACACGTGATGCTTGGTTTTCCATTCCTGAGTTACTTCACTTAGAATAATAGTCTCCAATCTCATCCAGGTCACTGCAAATGCTGCTAATTCATTCCTTTTTATGGCTGCACAGTATTCCATCATATATATATACCACAGTTTCTTTATCCACTTGTTGATTGCTGGGCATTTGGGTTGGTTCCATGATTTTGCAATTGTGAATTGTGCCGCTATAAACATACATATGCAAGTTATCTTTTTTGAATAATGACTTCTTTTCCTCTGGGTAGACACCCAGTAGTGGGATTGCTGGATCAAATGGTAGTTCACTTTTAGTTCTTTAAGGAATCTCCACACTATTTTCCATAGTGGCTGTAGTAGTTTACTTTCCACCAGCAGTGTGGAAGTGTTCCCTGTTTACCACATCCACACCAACGTCTACTGTTTTTTTTATTATGGCCATTCTTGCAGGAGTAAGGAGGTATTGCATTGTGGTTTTGATTTGCATTTCCCTGATCATTAGTGATGTTGAGCATTTTTTCGCCATTTGTGTATCTTTTGAGAATTGTCTATTCATCTCCTTAGTCCACTTTTTGATGGGATTGTGGGTTTTTCTTTCTTATTGATTTGTTTGAGTTCGTTGTAGATTCTGGATATTAGTCCTTTGTCAGATGTATAGATTCTGAAGCTTTTCTCCCACTCTGTGGGTTGTCTGTTTACTCTGCTGACTGTTCCTTTTCTGTGCAAAAGCTCTTTAGTTTAATTAGATCCCAGCTATTTATCTTTTTATTGCATTTGCTTTTGGGTTCTTGGTCATGAAATCCTTGCTGAAGCCAATGTCTAGAAGGGTTTTTCCAATGTTATCTTCTAGAATTTTTATAGTTTCAGGTCTTAGGTTTAAGTCCTTAATCCATCTTGAGTTGATTTTTGTATAAGGTGAGAGATGAGGATCCATTGTCATTCTCCTACATGTGGCTAGCCAATTACCCCAGCACCATTTGTTGAAAAAGGTGCCCTTTTCCCACTTTGTTTTTGTTTGCTTTGTTGAAGATCAGTTGGCTCTAAGTATTTGGGTTTATTTCTGGGTTCTCTATTCTGTTCCATTGGTCTACGTGCCTATTTTTATACCAGTACCACATTGTTTTGGTGACTATGGCCTTATAGTATAGTTTGAAATCAGCTAGTGTGATGCCTCCACATTTGTCCTTTTTGCTTAGTCTTCCTTTGGCTATGCGGGCTCTTTTTTGGTTCCATATGATTTTGGGAATTGTTTTTTCTAATTCTGTGAAGAATGATGGTGGTATTCTGATAGAGATTGCATTGAATTTGTAGATGGCTTTTGGCAGTATGGTCATTTTCACAATATTAATTCTACCCATCCATGAGCATGGGAGATGTTTCCATTTGTTTGTGTCATATATGATTTCTTACAGCAGTGTTTGTAGTTTTCCTTGTAAAGGTCTTTTAACTCATTGGTTAGGTATATTCTTAAGTGTTTTTTTTTTTTTTTTGCAACTATTGCAAAAGGGGTTGAGTTCTTGATTTGATTCTCTGCTTGGTTGCTGTTGGTGTATAGAAGAGCTACTTATTTGTGTACATTAATCTTGTATGCAGAAATTTTGCTGAATTCTTTTATCAGTTCTAGGAGCTTTCTGGAGGAGTCTTTAGGGGTTTCAAGGTAAATGACTGCTATATATAAAGTTTCAGTGGCACAAAAGAAATAGCACTCAAATATAAAATTTTCTTTTTAATTCTCAGCAAGGCTAGTTACTTCTCTATAGAAGGGTGTGCCCTTACAGATGGAACAATGGTGAGCGCACACTTGGACGAGGGGAAGGGATTCTTATCCCTGACACACATGGCCCCTGCTGCTGTTGTTCCCCTATTGGCTAGGGTCAGACCGAACAGACTAAACTAATTCCGACCAGCTAATTTAAAGAGAATGACGGGGTGAGTGCTTTGGAGGGAGTCAGGGCAGAGCAGGTAGCAGGTAAATGGAATGAGTTAGGGTGGAGCAGGTGATTGGAATGTAGGGTGGAGCAGGTGATCAGAATGAGTCAGGGTGGAGTAGGTAACCGAAAAAGGTTGCTTTACGAGGAAGTTAAGTTTAAAAGTAGAAGGCAAAGAATTGAACATACTGACATATTAATTCTTCGAAAAGAAATTTAGAACTCATATCTAACATGATCATATCATCAGCAAACAGTGACAGTTTGACTTCCTCTTTACCAATTGGATGCCCTTTATTTCTTTCTCTTGTCTGACTGCTTTGGCTAGGACTTCCAGTACTATGTTGAAGAGGAGTGGTGAGAGTGGGCATGCTTGTCTTGTTCCAGTTCTCAGAGGGAATGGTTTCAACTTTTCCTCAATCAGTATTATGTTGGCTGTGGGTTTGTCATAGATGGATTTTATTACATTAAGGTATGTCCCTTGTATGCCGATTTTACTCAGAGTTTTAATCATATAGGAATGCTGGGTTTCGTCAAATGCTTTTTCTGCATGTATTGTGATGATCATGTGATTTTTGTTTTTAATTCTGTTTATGTGGTGTATAACATTTATTGACTTGTGTAGGTAAAACCATCCCTGCGTCCCTGGTACAAAACTTACTTGATCATGGTGGATTATCTTTTTGATATGTTGTTAGAACTGGTTAGCTAGTATTTTGTTGAGGATTTTAGCATCTGTGTTCATCAAAAATATTGGTCTGTAATTGTCTTTTTTGGTTATGTTCTTTGCTGGTTTTGGTATTAGGATGATGCTGGCTTCATAGAATGAATTAGGGAGGGTTCCTTCTTTCTCTGTCTTGTAAAATAGTGTCAAAAGGATTGATACCAATTCTTTGAATGTCTGCTAGAAGTCTGCTGTGAATCCGTCTGGTCCTGGACTTTTTTTTGTTGGTAATTTTCTTAATTACCATTTCAATCTCACTGCTTGTTGTTGGTCTGTTCAGGGTATCTTATCCTTCCTGATTTAAACTAGGAGGGTTGTATTTTTCCACGAATTTATCCATCTCTTCTGGGTTTTCTAGTTTATGTGCATAAAGGTATTCATAGCAGCCTTGAATGATCTTCTGTTTCTGTGGTGTCAGTTGTAATATCTCCCATTTCATTTCTTTCCTTTTTTTTTTTTTTGAGATGGAGTCTCACTCTGTCCCCCAGGCTGGAGTGCAGTGGTGCCATCTCAGCTCACTGCAACCTCCACTCCTGGGTTCACGCCATTCTCCTGCCTCAGCCTCCCGAGTAGCTGGGACTACGGGCACCCACCACCACGCCCAGCTAATTTTTTTTCTGTTTTTAGTAGAGACAGGGTTTCACTGTGTTAGCCAGGATGGTCTCGATCTCCTGACCCCATGATCCGCCCACCTCAGCCTCCCAAAGTGCTGGGATTACAGGTGTGAGCCACCGCACCCGGCCCTCTCCCGTCTCATTTCTTACTGAGCTTATTTGGATTTTCTCTCTTCTTTACTTGGTTAATCTTGCTAATGGTCTATCAATTTTATTTGTCTTTCAAAGAACCAGCTTTTCATTTCATTTACCTTCTGTATTTTTGTTCATTTCAATTTCACTTAGTTCTGCTCTGATCTTGGTGATTTCCTTTCTTCTGCTGGGTTTGGGTTTGGTTTGTTCTTGTTTCTCTAGTTCCTTGAGGTGTGACCTTAGATTGTCTGTTTGTGCTCTTTCAGACTTTTTGATGTAGGCGTTTAGGGCTATGAACTTTCCTCTTAGCACTGCCTTTGCTGAATCCCAGAGGTTTTGATAGTTGTGGCATTATTGTCATTCAGTTTGAAGAGTTTTTAAATTTCCATCTTGATTTCATTTTTGACCCAATGCTCATTCTGGACCAGGTTATTTAACTTCCATGTATTTGCATGGTTTTGAAGGTTCCCTTTGAAGTTGATTTCCAGTTTTATTCCACTGTGGTCTGAGAGAGTGTTTGATATAATTTCAATTTTCTTAAATGTATTGAAGCTCATTTTATGGCCTATCATATAGTCTATCTTGGAGAAAGTTCCATGTATTGTTGAATAGAATGTTTTATTCTGCAGTTGTTGGATGAAATGTTCTGTATATATCTGTTAAGTCCAATTGTTCCAACGTATAGTTTAAATCCATTGTTTCTTTGTTGACTTTCTGCCTTGATGAACTGTCTATGGCTGTCAGTGGAGTAATGAAGTCCTCCATGATTATTGTGTTGCTATCTATCTCATTTCTTAGGTGTATTAGTAACTGTTTTATTAATTTTGGAGTTCCAGTGTTAGGTGCCTATATGTTTAGGATTGTGATATTTTCCTGTTGGAAAGGCCTTTTACCATTATATACTGTCCCTCTTTGTCTTTTGTAACTGCTATTGCTTCAAAGTTTGTTTTGTCTAAGAATAGCTACCCCTGCTCGTTTTTGGTGTCCATTTGCATGAAATGCCTTTTTCCACCCCTTTATTTTAAGTTTATGTGAGTCCTTATGTGTTAGGTGAGTCTCCTGAAGGCAGCAGATAGTTGGTTGGTGAGTTCTTATTCATTCTGCAGTTCTGTATCTTTTAAGCGGAGCATTTAGACCATTTATATTCAATGTTAATATTGAAATGTGAGGTACTGTTGCTTTCATCATGCTCTTTGTTGCTTGTGTACTTTGGTTTTTGTTGTTTTTGCTTTTTAACTTATATTTTTGTTTCATAGGTCCTCTATGATTTATGCTTTAAAGAAGTTCTGTTTTTATGTGTTTCCAGGATTTGTTTCAAGATTTAGAGATCCTTTTAGCAGTTCTTGTAATGGTGGTTTCCTAATGGCAAATTCTCTCAGCATTTGTTTGTCTGAAAATGACTGTATCTTTCCTTCATATATGATACTTAGTTTCTCTGGATACAAAATTCTTGGCTGATAATTATTTTGTTTGAGGAGGCTGAAGATAGGTCCCCGGTCCCTTCTTGCTTGTAGGGTTTCTGTTGAGAAATCTGCTGCTAATCTGATAGGCTTTCCTTTATAGGTAACCTGGTGCTTCTGTCTCACAGCTCTTAAGATTCTTTCCTTGGTCTTAAGTTTGGATAACCTGATGACAAAGTGCCTAGGTGAATATCTTTTTGCGATGAATTTCCCAGGTGTTCTTTGTGCTTCTTGTATTTGGACATCTAGGTCTCTCGCAAGGCCAGGAAAGGTTTCCTCGATTATTCCCTTAAACATGTTTTCCAGGCTTTTAGAATTCTCTTCTTTCTCAGGTACACTGATTATTCTTAAGTTTGGTCATTTAACATAATTCCAGATTTCTTGGAGGCTTTGTTCATATTTCCTTATTCTTTTTTCTTTGTCTTTGCTGGATGGGGTAATTCATAGACCTTAAAGCTCTGAATTTCTTTATTCTACTTGTTCAGTTCTATTGCTGAGACTTTCCAGAGAATTTCACATTTCTGAAAGTGTGTCCAAAGTTTCCTGAGTTTTTGACTGTGGTTTCTTTAAGCTATCTATTTCCATGAATATTTCTCCCTTCACTTCTTGTATCATTTTTTGAACTTCCTTGTATTGGGCTTCGCCTTTCTCTGGTCCCTCCCTGATTAGCTTAATAACTAACCTCCTGAATTCTTTTTCAGGTAAACCAGGTATTTCTTCTTGGTTTGGATCCATTGCTGGTGAAGTACTGTAATTTTTGGGGGGTGTGGAAGAGCCTTGTATTGTCATATTACTGGGTATCTCAGCCGTGGATACCAGCACCTGTTCCAATGGAGGTGGCGGAGGGTGCAATGGACTCCGTGAGGGTCTTTAGTTTTGGTGATTTAATGCTCTATTTTTGTGCTGGTTGGTCTCCTGCCAGGAAGTGGTGCTTTCCAGAAAGCATCAGCTGTAGTAGCGTGGAGAGGGACTGGTGGTGTGCAGGGCCCTAGAACTCCCAAGATTATATGCCCTTTGTTTTCCACTACGAGGGTGGATAAGGAAGGACCATCAGATGGGGGAAGGGCTAGGCGTGTCTGAACTCAGACTCTCCTTGGGTGGGTCTTGCTAAGGCTGCTGTGGAGGATGGGGGTGAGATTCCCAGGTCACTGGAGTTGTGCACCTAGGAGGATTATGGCTGTCTCTGCTGAGTCATGCAGGTTGTCAGGGAAGTGGGGGAAAGCCGGCAGTCACAGGCCTCACCCAGCTCCCACACAAACTGAAGGGCAGGTCTCATTCCCACCGTGCCCTGACCAACAGCCCCAAGTCTGTTTCCATGCGGAGAGTGAGAAGGGCTTGAAAACTTGCTCAAGGCTATCTGCCTCCCAGCTGTGAGAGAAAAGGGCTTTAATTCTTCTCCCTGCCTGTGAAGTATGCATGCCCAATTCACGCCCTCCGCTGAGTTCTGGCCAGGAGGCTTCTCGCCACATTCAAATTGTTACAAAGTTCAGCTAGAGAATTCCTTCTCCCTGTGGAGTTTCACCCCCTGCTCCTCTGGCCGATGGATCCCTGTGGTGCCAGGCAGGAATGGGCTGCTTGGGTCCCAGCAAGTTCCTGGGTCCTCTACCTCTGTATTTCACTCGGCTCTCTAACTTGACTCAGCTCCAGGTAAAGCTGGAAACTTCACCTGCAAACAGACCTTCAGCCTCTCCAGTGGGGGTGTGTCTTCAGGAGAGGAGGGTCTACCTTTCCCACTTCCGCAGTTGGGAAACTCACAGGAATTTTTTTTTTTTAATGTCAACAGATAATTCTACATCTTGGAAAACTGCCCTTCAGAAATGAGGGACAAATTAAGACATTCCAAGATAAATAATAGTCAACATTGCATGGGAATTTTTGGCCAGAACAATTAGGCAAGACAGAAACAAAAGGCATCCAAATTGGAAAGGAAGAAGTAATATTATCTCTGTTTGCAGAGGATATGATCTTACAGGTAGAACACTGTAAATATTTCCCCAAAATCACTGTTAGAACTAGTAAATGAATTCAGCAAAAATGCAGAATACAAAATCAACACACAAAAATGAGTTATGTATCTATATTGGCATTAAACAATCTGAAGAGGAAATTAAGAAAACAATTCCATTTACAGTAGCATTGAAAATAATAATATTCTTAGAAATAAACTTAACCAAAGAGGTGAAAGACTTGTACACAGAAAACTACAAAATGTTGCTGAAAGAAGCTAAAGAAGACACAAATAGATGGAAATACATCCCATATTAATGAGTTGGAAGACTTAAAATTGTTAAGATGTCAATACTACCCAAAGTGATCTACAAATTCAATGCAATCCCTATTATTAAATAAAATCCTAATTATGTTTTTGCAGAAATAGAAAAATCAACCCTAAAATTCATATGGAAATTCAAGGAATCGCAAAGAACCAAAACAATTTCGAAAAAAAAAAATTTTTTTTAACTTGGTGGTCTCTCACTTCCTGATTTCAAAACTACAAGCTACAGTAATCAAAACCATGTGGCATAAAGACAGACATACAGACTAATGGAATAATAAAGAGCCCAGAAATAAACCCTTGCATATATGGTCAAATAATTCTCAACAAGGGTGCCAAGACCATCCAATGGGGAAAAGAAAGTCTTTTCAACAAATGGTGCTGGGAAAACTGTATGTCCACATAGAAAAAAATGAAGTTGGACCCTTACCTTGCACCATGCAAAAATTAATTCAAATTCAAATTAGATTAAAGACCTAAATGTAAGAGCTAAAACTATAAAACTCTTAGAAGAAAACATAGGGGGAAATTTTCGTAACAAGATTTAGCAAAGATTTCTTGTATCTGATACCAAAAGTACAGGCAACAATTTAAAATTATATGAGTTGGACTCCATCAAAATTAAAAACTTTTGTATATCAAAGGACACTATCAGCAGAGTGAAAAGGCAACCCACAGAATAGGAGAAAATATTTGCATATCATATATGTGATAAGGGACTAATATCCAGAATATATAAAGAACTCCTATGACTCAACAACAAAAAAAACAAACAACCTGATTTAAAAATGGGCAAAGAACCTGAACTTCAAAGAAGTTATACAAATGACCAGTAAACATATGAAAAGATGTTCAACATCACTAACCACTAGAGAAATACAAATCAAAACCATAATGAAATACCATTTCACACCCCCTAGGATGGCTATTATAAAAAACAGAAAATAACAAATGTTGGCAAGGATATGGAGAAATTGGAACTCTTGTGCATTGCTGTAGGAATGTAAAATGGTGCAACCACTGTCAAAAAGAGTATGACAGTTTCTCAACAGATCAAACATAAAATTACCATGTATATTAGTCAAGGTTCTCCACAGAGACAAAACCAATAGGCTATATATAGAGAGAAAGATACAAGAGGGGATTTATTAGGGGAATTGGCTCATGTGATTATGGAGGCTGATAAGTCCCACAACAGGCTTTCTGCAAATTGGAGACCTTAGAATGCCAGTAGCATGGCCCCATTCAAGTCTGAAGGCATGAGAACCCAGGGGGCTGCTAGAGTCCAAAGGATAAAGAGCCTGGAGTGCTGATGTCTAAGGGCAGGAGAAGAGTGTATCCCACCTGCAAGAGCGAGAAAAATCTCTCTGCTATTTTTGTTCTATCCTGGCTCCAGCTGATTAGATGGTGCCTGCCCACATTGAGGGCAAATCTTCCCCACTTAGTCCACTCACACTCACATGCCAATATCCTCTGTAAACACACTCACAGAAACACCAAAAAATAATGCTTCACCTGTTCTCTAGTTATTCCTTAATCCAGACAAGTTGACACCTAAAACTAATCATCACACCATGGGACCTAGCAATTCCACTTCTGGGCACAAAAGAACTGAAAGCCGGGACTCAAAGAGATACTTGTATACCCATGTTCATAGCAGTATGATTCACAATGGCCAAAAGGTGAAAGCAACCCAAGTGTCCATTAACAGATGAATAAACAAAATGTGTATTTATATATAATATATATACAATAAAATATTCAGTCTTAAAAACTAAAGAAATTCTGACACATGGATAACATAGATGAACCTTAAAGACATTATGCTAAGTGAAATAAGTCAACCACAGAGGGACAAATATTGTATGATTCTACTTACATGATGTACCTAGAGTAGTCAAATTCATAGAGACAGAAAGTAGAACAGTGGTTGTTAGGGGCTACGAGGAGGGGATGGGCAGTTAGCATTTAATGGGTATGAAGTTTCATTTTGGGAAAATAAAAAAATTCTGGAGATGAATGGTGGAGACTGGCGCACAACAATATGAATGTACTTAATGACCCTGAACTGTACACTTAAAAATGGCTAAAATGGTAAATTTTAAGTTATTTATATTTTACTACAAAAAAAAGGTAACATACTAAAATGATCTCATGGGTTTTGTGAGAATCAAATGAGATCCATGTAGAGAAGCCTTGTAGTCTATATAGCCCTTCGCAAATGTTAGCTCTTCTTAGTCATTATCACTCCATTTTCCCCAATCTGATACCATTATCCACACACTTTACCCAGCCACACTTACCCAACAGCACACTGTTTGAGTTTGAGTGCTATCTGGTGAATACTCATCTTCATTTTGCTAAACCCTGGATGCCATGTGCTAGCCAACAATATCCTATTGTTCTGGTTCTTAAACAAAACAAAATCTCAAAGACTTCTTCCTCTTACCTAGTTTTACCCAATGATTGGCTTTGAAGCAGTCCTTATTCAGTAATAAGAGGTCACCATGCCATGGCCAAGAATAGGGCAAATCTTCCTCCAATTCAGTTGAACTCCCTGGCCGTCTAGCAAACAACATATCTCATAACACATCCTTTGAGCAGGTGAACAACTCTGAACCTTCTTTGAAGGAACAGGATTCTGGGAAAGGAATAAAAGAAATGCATGCAGTGTGTATTGAGAATAAAATCTATTAGCTAAGAAATAAAAAATGAAAATGCTACAACATGATCAGTTTTGATGGACTAGACAACTCTCTGTAGAGTAGCCACAGGGCTGAACCCTCAAATATTCCCAGAAAGTATAGACATTGCTGTAGAACCAGCCTGATAATGCAGCAGTGCAGAACTTAAGAATGATATTTCTTTCTAGAAAGCAGACCAATTGATATCTTCATCCTGTTATTGATCAGAATCCACGTCAGCATTCAGGTGCTCTCTGGCTACAAGTTTCCTTAGCTCTTGCAGGCGCTGCTCATTGAAGATTTCTCTTAACACAGGTAATGCTACCAGTCTCATCTGGCACCTTTTTCATGCAATGACAACTATCCAGGAGTTGCTGCCTTTCCAGATATCCCCTGCGAGACCAATGAGGGATTTTATTCCATGACTCTTTGAAGAGGTTCAAACATGGATCAAACATGAAGTAGTATGTACCCCAGCCTTAGAAATTTAATCTTTTATGACTGGGAGAAAGAACCCAAGTCTCTGTGCCTTCACAGTCTTGAATATCTCTGCTTGTTTCACTTACGTTTACCTCACTCAAGATTCTTAGTGTCATCGACATGACTGGTTAAGAACTCAGGACTTTTCAACAAAGTTTTCTGCCAGTGCCCCACAAATCATGACTGTGGTCTCCCAAATTCTTTGATTCTCCACTAGGTTCCCTTTCTCCTCCATTCAAAGCCCCAAATAACATTTACCCTATATATTTAGTCCCGTTTTTTGTAGAAATGCTTCTTTGCTTGTGTTCCCCCTACCTTTTCATATCATACCTACATCGTTAACTGAGGCTCAGTCATAACATCAACAACAGCATGAAACATCCCACCTTCTGTCTTCATTTTGCTATAAACTGGAGGCAAAGGAAATGCTGTCACTCAGGGAGTATATCAATGAAGGGAAAGACTCTCACAAGACAGGCACTGAGGCAGGAGTCACTAGCACACAGTGTATAAGTGAAATCTAAATATAAAAAAGCAAGCACTTGGGATACATCCCTTGCACACACCTCCTCTTTTATAACCAGTAGAGTGAAGTTGGTTGCTGAAGTCACAGAATCAATAGTCTATTTCCCACAGACGGCTGATGATAGCAGAACAAGCCCTGGCTAAGTCCCCCACCCTTTTCTTGAGTAGCTCATTGTTATGAGCCACGGACCCACCATCACCAGGTCACATGTTCTGTACTCTTTCCTAAAAACAGTGACAAAATATGCTGAGCCATCCATATTTCCTCAGTTACATTGAGAGGCAGGAGATATAACAATTAAGCAGTCTCTGGAGCCAGAGCAACCTGAGCTCAAACCATGCCTTAGCTTGCTTGTTGTGGGACCTAGGCAAAGTTACTGAAACTTCTTTAGACATGTTTATCAATAAAATGGGTACAGTTGACTGGCTCCAAGATTTCTTGACCTCTTGATGTATTTGCCCTGCATAATTCCTAAGACTGTGATTATAATGGATTTTACTCTTATGATTAGGTTTTCACATAGCACAGTTGACTTTAATACAGGGAGATTATCTGGGTAGGCCTTGCCTAAACACAAGAGCCATTTAAAAGCAGAGTTCTCCCCAGCTGGTCAAAAGAGAGAATCTCTGGTCAGAGATTCACAGCATAAGAAGGTTTCAATGTGCCATCACTGGCTCTGAGATGTAGAAACCCACATGTAAGGACCAAAAAGAAGCCCTTAGGAGCTAAGAGCTACAGCCCTCCAGCCAATAGCCAGCAAAGAAACAAGGACCTCGGTCCTACAACCACAGCCAACCAAATTCTGCCAACAAGAAAAATGAGCTTGGAAGCTGATTCTTCTCCCAAAGATTCCAGATAAGAGTACAACACCTTGATTTCAGCCTTGTGAGATCCTAAGCAAAGAACCCACTCATGTCCACCCAAACTTCTGACCTACAGAACTGTGAGCTAACAAATGAGTGTTGTAAGCCACTAAGTTTGTGGAAATTTGTTACACAGCAATAGAAAACTAATACAATGAGGACACAGCAAGTGCTTAATAAATGTTAGCTTTTATTATTACTAACTCATTGGGATCAGCTACACAGTTGTAAGAAGGCTAAAGTAAAAATTATTTATGCAAGGCTGGCAGTGCAACATAGCATTCAGATCCAGGGTCCATTTGGTCTAATATGGCTGATATTAAGTGTTTCTCAAGGGGAGAGACATTATTGGCATTCAGTGGGGGGAGGGGTTCATCCTGTAGAACTGCCTTGGACATGGCAGTCCATTTATCATCTCTGGCTTCTCTTCCCCTAGCAGTAGTCATTGCAACAACTGAAAATGCCACTGTACATTTCCAAAAATGCTCCTCCACAAGGGTTGAGAACTTTGAGAACTACTTTAAGGGAAATTTCATAAGAAAGCATGCGTGTCTTAAATGCTGCCATAAAGCTACCTCAATAACTACAATGCTACTCAAATTACCTGACCCTAAGAATCGCCAGTGGCACTTGTTTAAATATAACGATTCCCAAGTTCTTTCCCTGGAGTCCCATTCCATAGGGCTGGGGTGGAGCCCCAGGAATCTATACTCTTACTCAAAGACCCCAGGTTAATCTTTTGTTTATGTAAGTTTGCCAAACACTGAGTTAGAAATATACTCAGCCGTACATGCATTTAGCAAAAGTTCACCACAACGGAACAATGACACACCAAAACTCTTTGAAACTGTGCCTTCTACAGAGCTGTAAATCTCCTTTTGGACCATTCCATTACACAAGGTGTCCTCTTGGTCACACAGTGATTGCAAATGGGACTCTAGAGTCATGGAAATGGGTATACTCTTCTCAAACTTTCCATCTTTACCAGAATTACTTCTTAAAGTGATATGCTTCATGGTGTAAACTAGCACTTATTAATTTTTTCTAAATATTTATCATATTTCATATACTTTTATTTTGGAGATGGAGTTTCGCTCTTGTTGCCCAGGCTGGAGCGCAATGGCAGATCTCGGATCACCGCAACATCCATCTCCCGGGTTCAAGCGATTCTCTGGCCTCAGCCTCCTGAGCAGCTGGGATTACAGGCATGCGCCACCACGCCCGGCTAATTTTGTATTTTTAGTAGAAAAGGGGTTCTCCATGTTGGCCAGGCTGGTCTCCAACTCCCGACCTCAGGTGATGCGCCCGCCTCGGCCTCCCAAAGTGTTGGCATTACAGGCATGAGCCACCGCGCCCGGCCCATATACTTTTAATACATGTGGAATTAATAAAAACGTCCATGCCTCCAATTCCGTGGCTATTTTACCGTCTTCCTTTTTCGGACAAGTCCCTCAAAGGTAGCGCTCTTGGCTCCTTCCTTTGCTTATCCCCTAACCCTGTCCTCCTGAGGTGCCCCCTGGATTTCCTCCAACCCCGGCAGGGTCTGCCTTTCCGGGATGATACAACGACCTGCCCTGCATGCCATATCCCAGGCGCGTGGGCACCAAAGTGTGGAAAAACCGATGAATGACGTTTTCTGTTTCCGATACTCTGCCTGCCAGAATCCCCTGCCGCACCGCCCCACCACGAAGCACATGGAACCCACGGACTACACGAGGACAGAGGTCTGTTCTCCCTTTACCTCTCCCATTTCTTTAACTATGCTTCTCTCGGCTGGCATGCCCTTTCCTCATCTCACTCCACACACGAACAGGTTTAGCAAATAATATGCACGCTGCTGGGACGGGCCCAAGCATTTCCCTCCCTTGATAGGGCGGAACTAAAATGCAAGCCCCACAGTTGTCAGCAAAGGACTTCCCTGTTACCATGGTAAAGCCGCTGCGCCTTTATTGTGGTTGAGGAGTACTTGCATCAACCTAAGAGAAAATTAATAAGAAGGAAGTCTGCAGGCTGAAACCCTTCAAATTAGCCTGGACTCGCCTGCATCTGGCTCGGAACAGAGTTAATCTCAGGAGTGAGAATATAGCCCTCCGGTGGACGCAACTCGCGCCTGCGGCTAACAGAATGTCTCCAGGGGAGGGGCTCTGCGTCCGTTCCGCCCAGGCCCTTCCGGCTCACGCGCCGTACGGAAGCGTGCTCAGCGCTGGGCTTGTGCTCCGTACGGAAGTGTGCTTTGGCGCACCGGAAGCCGACTCAACAGAGCTATGGCGGGTTTGACTGTGAGAGACCCAGCGGTGGATCGTTCTCTACGTTCTGTGTTCGGTGAGAGGAATTCGTTGTAGTCAAGCTTCGGGGAGGGACTCCCCTCTGCACCTTCTATCTCATGAATCGCTACCGGAGCCGCTGACGGTTCGGACGTGCAGTTCTCCCTGCTTATCCTGTAGGGCGTCCAACCTGGTGGACTCATGAGCAAAGAGATATTCCCATTCTGCCGAGGTCTCGTAGGCTTTCCGCAATATCAGTGGGGAAGTTAGACTAGCGTTCAGCTTCTGTGCGTTTCTCCTTTCATGAGCTTCAATTATTCTCTAGAGGAGAAGGCTCACGGTAACAGCTCCTCACTGTCCCGTACTACTTCTCATCCTCTGCCCCAGAATACAGACTATATGCTGAGGGTATAGATCCTAGTGTCCACTTACTGTCCTCTCCTAAGGACTTTCATCCTTTGCTTTTTATCTGTAACATTTTAGTGCATCAATAGTGGTAGCGGCCACCTGGTGTCCTGAGATGGCTTGTAAGTGAATGAATGAATGAACTATTAAGATCTCCTCAGAGGAATTTTAAAAAGGATCGAAACGATTCTGAATTATCTTTTTGGCTGAAATAAGTTGTTTTTAAAAATACGTGTGATTATTTTAGAGTACCATTTGAAAGGGACATGACAAAGTAGTTCAGAATACTTTTTAAACATCTTTCACTACATTCATCGTCATTCTCCCTTAAATGTTGTATGTGTGGAAATACATAGGAACCTGTTTTAAAAATTATATTAAATAACATTGATATTTTTTGTAGTCACTGATGAGACTTGCAGATCTTTAGGTAAATACCAGTGCCAAAGTATTTATTTGCACCAAAGTTAAGGAAAATCTAACACGTGTCAGATCAGTCTGAGAACTAACATTTGAGAGTACCTACACATTTTGTATTTAGTTTCAGTGGTATATTTCCTTTGTTAAGAGGTCTGAAGAAATACAATGGAATTGGGATTGGAGAACACTATTTTGAGTCTTATATTTGATGATATAAGTTTACTTTCTCACTAAAGATCTATGTTATAAACTCAGAATTTTAATGTTACCTATTTTCTTCCTTAGTGGGGAACATTCCTTATGAAGCTACTGAAGAGCAGTTGAAGGACATCTTTTCTGAGGTTGGACCTGTTGTTAGTTTCAGGTGAGATCCCCTTTTCCTTCATGGTGGGAGCTTCTTAAAAATCACCACAGATTTGGCTCTTAGTAATAATGGCAGGTTTTCTTTACTGGTGACTTTTCACATACATTTTGTTCTTGTAACAGCTTTATTGAGATATAATTGATACACTATACAATTGACATTTATTCTTACCTAAAATATGTTTTTTTCGTTAAAAATGTTTTTTAGGCAGGGCATAGTGACTCAAGCCTGTAATCCCAGCACTTTGGGAGGCCGAGGCAGGCGGATCACCTGGGGTCAGGAGTTCGAGACCAGCCTGACCAATGTGGTGAAACCTTGTCTCTACTAAAAATACAAAAATTAGCCGCCGTGGTGGCCCATGCCTGTAGTCCCAGCTACTCAGGAGGCTGAGACAGGAGAATTGCTTGAACCCGGGAGGCAGAGATAGCAGTGAGCCAAGATCATGCCACTGCACTCCAGCCTGGGCAACAGAGCAAGACTCCATCTCAGGAAAAAAAAAAAAAAAGTTTTAAAAAATATTTCTGTGAGGCTGTCAGAGATATAAGGTTATTTATGTTACAGTGGGCCCAATTAAAGCATGGCAATGTTAGCAGGAACCCTGTATGTGTGTAACATTTGTTCCTGACACTTGGTTCTGCTCTCCAGATTGGTATACGATAGAGAGACAGGAAAGCCAAAGGGTTATGGCTTCTGTGAATACCAAGACCAAGAGACAGCACTTAGTGCCATGCGGAACCTGAATGGGCGCGAATTCAGTGGGAGAGCACTTCGAGTGGACAATGCTGCCAGTGAAAAGAACAAAGAAGAGCTGAAGAGTGAGTACAAATCCAACTTGGATGCAGTATGAGTTAGTAAAGATGTAACAATGAAGATTTTCCATTTCTGATATGTTTTAGAATATGCTGAAATGGTTAGCCACGCAGCTTGTTTATTACTTGACTGACCTGATGTGCCTGAGTTAGGCAAGTATTATATATATCTTTTTAAAAACTTTTTATAAATTTTTTTTCAAGTAATTGTCTGAAATTTCTATACCCTTGCTCTGGATGGAGCAGGGCAAGGCCTCAAACCGTTTCAAAACTGTTCTGGCAAGCACTGTAGGGATGCATAGGGTCACTGCAGACCTAAGCATGCTGGAGGCTTGCTAGTAAGTGTATATCTTTAAGAAACAGATAAAGTTGACATTAGAAATTCTTCAGTTGCTCCAGCCTGGGCGACAGAGTGAGACTCTGTCTCAAAAAAAAAAAAAAAAAAAAGAATTTCCATTGCTAAGGAGTTATTTCCAGTTAAAGATGAATTCAAATTCATCAAGCCATTAGTAGTACTAACTGTGGCATTAGTCATTCCTGTCACTCTTTTCAGGAATTTTTGAAGTTAGCGTATTTTTCTCTTTTAACCTTTTGTTTCTGAAATGACTTGTTAAAAGAAGTCAATGTGCCTAGTTCTCTAACTTAGGTTAACATTGTCCTTCCATGTGATCATGATCCCCAGCTTTCCTCTGAGAACAGAAAATACACTCTCACTTTCCTCCACAGAAACAAGAGGCTTTCACATCATTTATTTCTCAGCTCTGGAGAATCTAAAATTATCAGCTGGTTCTTACAGCAGCCCTGAAAAGTAGATATTTGAAATGATTTAGCTTTTTGTTTTGCCTCCCTAACTTTCTTGTACTTTCTTCTTGATTAGGCCTTGGCACTGGTGCCCCTGTCATTGAGTCACCTTATGGAGAGACCATCAGTCCTGAGGATGCCCCTGAGTCCATTAGCAAAGCAGTTGCCAGCCTTCCACCAGAGCAGATGTTTGAGCTGATGAAACAAATGAAGGTGGGAGGAGGCATTAGGTTATGAATAAAGCAAATCACATCAGGTTTTCAAGGAGTTACTTGAATTAGTTCCCTGAGCTCAAATAGAAATTGTCTGTAGACCACCATTTCTTGCACCTTCAATATTCTGTATGTACACAGTATATTTTACATTTTGTACAAAGAGCTTTCTATTTTTGTACACAAACACAGCTATCCAAACAATCCAGCTGGAGTTTTGTGGCCCATAGATGTCAGATGTAGATATTAAAATTTGGCTTTTTTCCTAAATGATAATATCACAGTATTTGAAATGCCTCTTTCTTCTCTTGCCTGCCATGACCAAGGTTTTTTTGTGCCATGCAAAAACTAATGATAAAGAGCCTCTTGAATATTACATTTCTCAGAGGGGAATGGCTCTAAATCACTATCAGTTTCTAAGTCATAAGTATTAAACCTGAATCTGCTTATCTTCTCAGCTCTGTGTCCAGAATAGTCCCCAGGAGGCACGGAACATGTTACTTCAGAACCCTCAACTGGCTTATGCTTTGCTGCAAGCACAGGTAGTGATGAGAATTGTGGATCCGGAAATTGCCCTGGTGAGTGCTTCTGGTTCTTTTATGGAAATGGTCGGGTAAACCTTGAATGGGATAGGAACTACCTGATTGCTTTGTTAAACAGACAGCTCATAGGTTTGTCTTTTCACTTTTTAGAAAATTCTGCATCGCCAGACAAATATCCCAACGCTGATTGCAGGCAACCCTCAGCCAGTCCATGGTGCTGGGCCTGGCTCAGGATCCAATGTGTCAATGAACCAGCAGAATCCTCAGGCCCCTCAGGCCCAGTCTTTGGTAGGGCTTTATCCCTTAACATTTTTTTGTATCTGTCTTAGAATGTCATTTTCTTTTTAGGAGAATATATTGAAAGAAGAATGGTCAGGAACCAGAGATGATAATTTCAATTTCCAGGCATAAAAGCAATTTCCAGGTTGCAGAGCACATGACATCTGAATGAATATAGATTCGATTCCAAGTTTGTAAAACAAAGAGATCCTTCCCGTATGCCCTTTTCTTATAAGCTAACTTTGTGTGTATGTGCATGCCTGGCACTGTGGTTGGCACTTCGTTATTCCATATGCATTATCTCATTTAATCCTCAAAGCAATTGTATGAGGTTGGCACTCTTATTATCTCCATTCTTACTGATGAAAAAAGTAAAGCTTGCTTTCAAAGCATGACACAAAACCTTAAAGCCATAAAAAATTGATACATTTGAAAACTAAAAAATTTCTATATAAAGAAAAAAATAAGTATCAAAGACATGACAAATTGAGAAAAAGTATTTACCACACATGTGATGGAAAACAGACTAATAAAGAGCCCATAGTCATTCACAAGAATGTTTATTGCCTTAGAGTGAAAAATTGGAAATGTCCTAAATGTACGTCAGTGGAAGAATGGAGAAAATGTGTGGTACATTCATCCAGTGAAATACTGTACAACAGTTAAATAAACTACACGTATCAACATGAATGACTTTGAAAAACATAATTCCATACAGCAGTTAAGATGAACTAGGATACATAATATCAACACAACTCCAAAACAGTGACATACGGACATGAAACTAAGTGAATATGGATGCATTCCCGAAATGTAGGATATATGTTTCTGCATAAATCCCCAAAATATGTGGAATGAGTTGCAAAATAATATATTGAGTATGTAATGATTCATATAAAATTTTGAAACATTAAGAAGACGTCTTAGTGGTCATCAAAGGAGAAGAGAGCACAGGATGCAATTGGGGAAGACCGTACAGGCCATTGGTTTATTTTATTTACTTATTTATTTCCTAAGCTGGGTGGCTATTTTATTTTCTATATGATTTGTATATCTGTAATTTTTCATAATAAATTTTAAAAGGCCTCCTATAAATTAGTAAGAAAATTTCCAATAACCCAGTAGAAAAATGGGAAATAGACATAAATATTTCACAAAAGGAGAAATATAAATATATAAAAATTTATTCAACTTCAAAATAAGATAATGTAATAAATTATCATTTATATATGTAATGTTATAAGATAATGTAAATAGAAACTACAATAAGCTACCATTTTTCATCTCTCAGGTTGGCAGAGGTACAGGGCAGGGACCAGCAAACATTTTTCTGTAAATGATCAGACAGTAAATATTTTTGGCTTTGCAAGTCACAGGATCTGCCACAGCTACTCTGCCATGGTAGTATGAAATCAGCCATAGGCAATAAGTGAACAAGTGTGTGTGGTTGTGTTCCGTTAAAAGTTTGTTTATAAAACCAGGCAGTGAGCCCGATTTGGCCCATGGGTCATAGTTTGCCAACCCCTGCTCTAAATAAATAAATACATTTTCAGAGATAGAAAAAAAAAGCTAAGGCCCAGAGAGGTTAGCTGGTCCAAAAATTGACACAATTATAAGTGGCAGATCTATTTCTGAACCTGGTTTTATCTGACCTCACAGCCAGTTTTCTCTTAACTACTTTCCTATACAGCTCTTCCTTTTCTTTTGTAGAGTTTTGTGTTCCTTAAACGTATATGTGATTTTTTTTATATAACTTGGCTTTTATTCTTTATTTATTGAGCTGTTTCTAATTCAAGGGACTACTCAGTTTTTTGGGGAATGCACAGATGAAAAGATGACATTCTCTTTTTCTCAACGAGTTTTAATGTAGCATTTAAAAAAATATATTTCACATTCCCCCAAAACCAGAATTATATCTAAGGACAGGAGTGAGAAAAGATTGGTTAAATTAAAAAAAAAATTTAATTTTAAAAATGTGGACTACCAGCAGTTGTTTTTTTTAAAAGAGTCCCAGTCTCCTTTTATGTTTCTTGGGTTTAGGGCTTTTTTTTTTTTTTTTTTTTACTCTTATTGGCAGCCCCAATCATGAAGTTAACAGTAGGTGTTATGTGCTGCCTTGCCACACAGATAAGACTTGTCAATCTCTACATTGAGAATATGTTCCATCTTAACCGTGTTCCATATAACCAGGCTCATGACGTATATTGCTTCTGTGGAGTTTAAAGTGTGTGACAAATCTAATGCTGCATAAGACATGCCATACAAAAAGGATGTTTAGTAGTGTATTTGGGGCTGTTCATTTGAAGAGGACTTTTAAGGTCGTAGACTTAGTATATTGAGTATCCACAGAGGCATATACATACTCTGTTTTTTTTGCTTGGTCAGGGTGGAATGCATGTCAATGGCGCACCTCCTCTGATGCAAGCTTCTATGCAGGGTGGAGTTCCAGCACCAGGGCAAATGCCAGCTGCTGTCACAGGACCTGGCCCTGGTTCCTTAGCTCCTGGAGGTAAGTTTCATTTAGTCTTCACCATTTCAGTACTTGCTAAAGTTTTGTCATAGCCACTGTTGCAGTGCAGCCAAATATGATAATGGGATCCTTAGGTAAAATTAATACACAGCTAGAAAGTATATATCTTAGGTGGAGGAAATAGTAGATTTCTTACGTTAAATCCTGTATGTCTAATTATAAGAACAGGGAAAGGGACAGTAAAGTGAAAGAGCATAGTAAAACTTCCAAGTTAACAAGGGGGAAAATGGAATGAGTGGAAACAAAATCAAGCCAGCAAAAATAGAGAAGAGGAAAAAAGTAAGAGACAGTGTAAAATAAGTAATAATAAATGTAGAGTAAGATGGAAGGAATAAAAACTAATGTAGTTGTTACTCTGCTAAATATGAATGAACTGTCAGATTAGGTTCAAAAGCTCATGAAGAAAACAGACAAAAAAATACAAGGTCACATTTGTTATAGCATATTAAACTGACATAAAATTGTATTTTAACAAACATAATCAGAACAAACAACAAAAGGGAAAAAGAGAAATTTAAAAGCTATGTACATTTATTGAAAATGTATAGATCGGCAATTAATAAGAGTATTGCTCATATACTTGTAACTGTTCCTTGTTCAACAATTGTAACTAAGAAGATTGAGTGAAATAATGATTCCCCATATGAAACATCTGTATGAACACATGATGTATTACCAATATTTAAAGTTTTTTTATGTAACAAACTTGGTTTTTGTTAATTTATCTAATCTAGGGTAGGTTGAGTACAACACTACTCATGGAGAATGATTTAATTCTAAATTGTTCTGTTCTGTAGAGAATCCAGTCTGCAGAGCTAAGTTGATGAGGAATGGAAGAAGAGATTTTTTGAAGAAATTTCTGCAAACTCAGGAATTTTTTGTATCTACTTTAGGATTGTTATGTATCTACTTTATCCTAATAGAGTTATACTTGTATTTAAATTATCTTTCATGACAGGAGGTCCATGGGTAAGTGACATTGTTTTCCTGTATTATAGAAGAGCTTCCTGCCAAGAGTTTGGTAACCAATGAAATGAATTATTCTTATTGAACTCACTATTCTGTCACTGAAACATAAAGTACAAATTGTAAATATACTAACAAACCCCATCTTCTCTCTCATTGCATTGTTGAATATCTTCCTTTGTAGGTTTCTGCTTGTGGAGCAGAATGAGGAAATTTGTAAACTCAGCCACTGTTCTAATTTTTCTTTTCCGCTGTTCTAATTGGTGTTTTTTCTTGTCTGCCCTTTATCTTCTAGGAGGAATGCAGGCTCAGGTTGGAATGCCAGGAAGTGGACCAGTGTCCATGGAACGGGGGCAAGGTAAATAAATATTAATGTCTGACTAATGTTAATTGGTCATGGAAGTGTTCCACATCCACAGTATCTAATATGGCAGCCACTAACCACCCATGGCTATTTCAATATTAAGTTAATTAAAATTAAGTAAAATTTAAAACTCAGTTCCTCAGTCACAATAGCCACATTCCAAGTGCTCAGTGGCCACAGGTGACTAGTGGATACCATACAGGACATTACAGATATAGAACATTTCTATCATCGTAAAAAGATCTATTGGACAGTGCTGGTCTAGACTTTCCACCTGGTGATTCAGAGTCCAGCTCTACAAGAATTGATAATGAAGCAAGTGGATCGTTTGTTTCCTGATTCCTAGTCTAATAATTCCACTGACATGTTCTCTCTCCCTGTATGGATATCTGTTGACTGAGTAAGGAATTTTAATAATGAGCATGTAAATATGTGGCTGGGTATGTAGAAGACTAGATTTAAACCCCAGAGAAAACTGGGAGGGAATCATAGGTCTGTAACGCCTACTTAATGAACATATGTTGTACCGTGGCTGTACTGCTATATACAACAGTAGCTGCTGCTCCAAAATCTCCATGTTGTTTCTTCATGTTACTGGAGTTTGAAGGACAAGAAAGTGCAGTGGTTCAGTTGGAAACAATGTTAGGAGGAGAGATCGTAAGAAAAGAGAAGGAACTGAGTGCATACTATATGCCAGGCACTTTAATTTTCATAAATAATCTTGTGAGTTAGGTGGCAGCACCTCAGTTTTACAGGCAAAGAGTTGGAAGCTCAGAATAAGTTACTTTCTCAAGGGGACAAGGTAAGTAAATATTAATGTATGAGTAATGTGGACTGGATTTGGTGCTCTTATTTTCTCTTCCAACTAGTAAGTGGCAGAGCTAAGATTCAGAAGTCTTTGACTCCAGAATCTGTCCTCTTTCTGTCACTCCACACTGCCTCTGTTAACTTCCAAGCATATTCTTCAGTGTCTTCTACTCTTATTCCTTGGGAATAAAATGATGGGAAAGACTGCTTTGGACAAGCATAGAGAAGCTTAAGGTTTTTTCTTTTGTAGCATATGGTTTATAAGTGGAACCCATTTAAAAAGCAAAATATTGGCCAGGCGCAGTGGCTCATGCCTGTAATCCCAGCACTTTGGGAGGCTGAGGTGGGTGGATTGCTTGAGCTCAGAGGTTTGAAACTAGCCTAGACAACATGGCAAAACCCCGTCTCTATAAAAAATACAAAAACTAGTTGGGCAATGGTGGTGTGCACTTGTGGTCCCAGCTACTTGGGAGGCCGAAGTGGAAGGATCACTTGAGCCCAACAGGTTGAGACTGCAGTGAGCCATAATCGGGCACCACTGCACTCCAGCCTGGGCAACAGAGCAAGACCCTGTCTCAAAGAATATATATATATACACACACACACACATATATATACACACATACATACATAAACATTAATATACAAGCCTGTGGTTTTTACACTGGGGTTGGTTGCTGAAGTGACAGAATTAACTTTTTCTTGTTAGAAGTCTGACAGCAGGACAAACTCCCTGGCCAAATATCTCATATTTTCTCTAAGCATCCAATGCTTTTGTGCTATTGTACATCCCTCTATCCCCACCGCACCACTGTCAATAGATCATATATGTTCCCCAGAGTATTTCTGCAGTAATGAGAAGGTATTAGGGTTTCAGTCATACTTCTGCCTGTCATGGGGCCAGCCCTCAATCCATCAGGTTTTAGCTGTTTAACGCATACTTGCACAAGACATCTTCCTATTATAGTTATCTTCACCTTTTTGTCAGAAATTGGCAAAGGGAAGTGACTCATGTTTTGAGGGTATTTCCAGGATGTCTTCATGCAGAGACTAAGTGAGATGAGCTTTCTTTTATAGTTTCCTTCAGTACCCAGCAGAGGAAGCAAGAGTCTTTTCGTGTGTGCCTAGTTTGTCTTACTTTTCCTGAAATCCATGCTGCTTTTAATGCTGAAAGGAGATGGAGATGTTTGAGAAGATACTTCTTGCTTCCCTGCCATGTTTGTTTAGTGTCGGTTCCCATGTCATCTCATTAGTCTTTGTTTGCTGTTGTCATGATGTTTATTATCAAAGACTTGCTGTGGCAGAGTATTTCTTGTGGAGTGATATTCTCTTTCATCATGTAAAGTTCATTCACTGCATTTCCCCATCTGATACATTTTTGACAGCAGAAATTTTTGTGCTTTAAAATGTGACAAAAATAGAATTGCCGTACTTCAGTTATGGCCGTTTCAGAATGAATCTTGCCTTCCAGATTCAGTGCAGTTTCTTTTATGTTTTGCTTCTGAAACTACATTTATGTTCTTTGCATAACTAGAAGATTCAAAACTATCCTTTTTATATATTTTTTTCCTAATGATTTCATAAGGAGACCTAACGGAAAACTAGTAGCAGAGGTGAAAATCGAAAATGTCAGGTTATTCCCACCTAGATCAAACCAGTGCCCCCATGGGATTCCCTTTCAAAAGCTATCTGGTCAAAATGGAACTATTTCAGAGACCCAAAGGAGCTAGTGTAGTTTAGGGAGATTTTGTAGCCTGGAGCAAGCCGATGAACTCTTGGCTTTTTAACTTATATATGTAAATCTCAATCTCCATGTGTGTGTGTTTCTGCGTGTGTATGCAAGCTATTTTAAGTGTCTGCTCTTTCTCCTTTTGAACTTACTGCTTACCTAGGAACCCTACAGCACTCGCCCGTGGGACCCGCCGGGCCTGCATCAATTGAGCGAGTTCAAGGTACCCATTGTATCTGTGGGTTTCCTTTTGCTTGTGGTGTTCAGGGTGGGACGTTGAGAGGAAAAGAGCTGCGTGGCAGTCATCCTCGCGTTCAGAACCCAAAAGGGTAGTGTTTTTGGGTTTTTGTTTTTTTAATTTTTTCCTGTTGAGGCCACAAGCCTAAGATTGACCTCTTCACACAGGGCAGAGAACATGGATGATATGGGCATCTGTCCGAGGCTGTACTCCCTCCCTACTGGTGTCAGGAGGCTTGGATGGAATAGCAGTCTGTAAGGAGACAGCGGGTTCTTGCAGAGCCATGGCAGTGTTCACATATGCCAAGACTCTACCTCTGTTTTGTGACTCTGGTCCTTGAACTAAGATTGATTAGAAGGAAAACCAGGAGCATAAGTTTCTCCAGGTCGCAGTGCTAGTCCTTGGCAGGTTGCTCCCCAGTTTGCTCTTTATATAATTCCATCCATACCTCTGACATGGCACAGATTCTGCCTACACCCTGCTTCTGTTCTTGAGCTGCAAGAGGATTCTGCTGTGGTGAGGTTTCACCCACTCTAAGGTGTCTGAATTATGTTGTCAGTGGTATATAGAGTCATTTCTTGTTTGCTTATGTGTCTTTCACAGCAGTAACTCCCCGTTTGTTTCCCTGTCAGTGCCGATGCAAGACCCCAGAGCAGCTATGCAGCGGGGATCCTTGCCTGCGAATGTCCCAACCCCTCGAGGCTTGTTAGGAGATGCTCCGAATGATCCACGGGGAGGCACTTTACTTTCTGTAACTGGAGAGGTAGAGCCTAGGTAAGCACTAACATAGAAGGAAACAGTTGAAGAAATCAGAATTGTCCCTTCTTCCCTGAGAACAAAATCTTTCTGTACCAGTTGTACCTGTTTGCCTACTTCAAAAGGTAGATCAATATTCATGGCCACTGTCCAAGGGTAAGCACTTCTCCTAAGGCAGAACTATGTACTTGAGTATGTCATTTTGAGCTATTATATTTTTAGAAATTGGAAATTTTAGTATACATACTTGAACAGGGAAATTTATAGTAGTGGAAATATTAATAATAGCAATAATAGGCCGGGTGCAGTGGCTGACGCCTATAATCCCAGTACTTTGGGAGGCCAAGGTGGGTGGATCACTTGAGGTCAGGAGTTCGAGACCTGCCTGGCCTACATGGTGAAATCCCATCTCTACTAAAAATAGAAAAATTAGCCGGGCGTGGTGGCGGGCGCCTATAATTACAGCTACTGGGGAGGCTGAGGCAGGAGAATCGCTTGAACCCAGGAGGTGGAGGTTGCAGTGAGCCGAGGTCATGCCACTGCACTCCAGCCTGGGCAACAAGAGTGAAACTCCATTTCAAAAGTAAATAAATAAATAAAATAATGATAGTAATAATAATTGACATTAATGGGGATCATGCCTCTGACTCTGCTCTGAGTACTTTACTTAGATCATCTTATTAAATCCACAAGATCCTGTGAGATGGATACCATTATTAGTCCCATTTTACACGTGAAACTGATGTGTGGAAAAGTTAAATAATGTGTCCAATATCACACAGCTAATAAGTGATAGAGCCTAGATTTGAACCCATACAGTCTGAATCCAGAGCTCATGTTCTTATGCATTGTTCTGCAAACTCATACATATAATGAATATTCGTTGATTCCTCCCTAATTATGAACCAAATAACGAAATTCTAGAATACATGGATTTATATCTCTGTAGCTTTTCTTCCATCTATTTGGTGTTATTTTCTTGTTAGTATTCATAGACTACATCAGCTCTTTGTTGGATGTTTACTTACTGATCTGGTTGGTACTTTGTTGTTGTTTTGTTCTATTTTAAAATACAACGTTTTTCTCCATCTCCAGAGGTTACTTGGGACCACCTCATCAGGGTCCACCCATGCACCATGTCCCTGGCCATGAGAGCCGAGGACCACCCCCACATGAACTGAGGGGAGGGCCATTACCCGAGCCCAGACCTCTAATGGCAGAACCAAGAGGACCCATGCTAGATCAGAGGGGTCCACCCTTGGATGGCAGAGGTAAGGGGAGATCACATTGCAAATGCCATAATGAACTCAACTGTCTTAGGCTCTAATCTGGGATAAAGAATGCTGGAACAGTAGGTTTGCAAGCATCTTTAAGGTTTATCCACAAATCTGAGAAACTGGGGAGGAGACAATAGTCTCATATGTTAATAGCTGAGGGGACAAATGTGACTAGAAGAGATTTCTATCTTTCTTGGATTGTTCATCATTCTTGCAGTACATGCAAGTAGCTACATAATGGTTTTGTTACATTTTTCTTTATAGGTGGAAGGGATCCCCGAGGAATAGATGCACGAGGGATGGAGGCCCGAGCCATGGAGGCAAGAGGGTTAGATGCCAGAGGATTAGAGGCCCGTGCAATGGAGGCCCGTGCGATGGAAGCTCGTGCAATGGAGGCCCGAGCGATGGAGGCCCGTGCAATGGAAGTCCGAGGGATGGAGGCCAGAGGCATGGATACCAGAGGCCCAGTGCCTGGCCCCAGAGGACCTATACCTAGTGGAATGCAGGGTCCCAGTCCAATTAACATGGGGGCGGTTGTCCCCCAGGGATCCAGACAGGTATGTGTAACACTGACTTCTGGCATCCAAGTGAAATCTTGATCTATTCAGGAATTGATTATTGAGCCTAATTATTACTGCCTTCTGACTTGGGCTGTTTCTTAGCTTGTTAGAAAGGGAAGACTTGGATCTCCCTGTAGCTTCTCTGTCCCTTAGGGTGGTGATTTTCTGGCTATCAGGATTGTAGTTCAAAAAAAAACAACCTTATCCCACAATAAATAGCTATTCATTTGGAGCAGAGCCCCTGAAAATTTAGGGGTTAGAAAGTAGTCTTGATTGGGGTACAAACCAACATCATGTACACGGTTTTTTCCAAGATATACTTGCCCGGATCTCATCCGAGGTATAACTCAGAATCTCTTATTAGTAGGATCTGAGCATGGATAGTTTGAAAAACTTCCCCCAAATGATTCTAATGTGAACCCTGACTGGGAACCACTGGGTTAGAGTATATGAAGAGCTGTTAGTGGCCATTTAGATAATCTTAGGTTTAGAGAGACCTGTGTTAATTTATTGTCATCACATAGCCTAAGTGAACAGTGGAATGTGAAAGGCAGTTTATTAATAATCACCTTAAAAGGTGTGGAACCGAAGTCTTGTCTCCTCTCTTTTATTTGGATCTCTCTGCCTGTGTGTACATGCTCCCTCTTCATCTCGACTTGGTTGTGGAGAGGTGGTATGTGTGTTTCTTCCGTGAGTTTTTATATGCTGGCACCTTCATTTCCCTCTAACTGCTCCACCTTCCTTTTCCCCCCTTCCTCTGCGTACTTCTCTCTTCTTTTTTTATGTGTCTTCCTCCCCATGTCTGTGTGTATGAGAGAGAGAAAGATAATGGCAGAGCTGGAATGGAATACATCAATCATCTAATTCCCTCAGTTTATAGATTTGGAAATTAAGGCCCAAGAATTCAGGTGACTTGACCAAATTCACATGACTAAAAAGTGGCAGAGCAAGGAACAGAAGCCACTACTTTTTCCACTTTACTACTCTGTCCTGTTATCTGCACATTTGTGTGTGTGTATATGTGTGGATATGTGTCTACCCCCTCCTCTGTAATATGAAATACAAATAGAGGGTTTTTTTGCTATGTGTAGAATAAAACTGTTCTCTATTGTGTTTGAAGTGTTTGTGGGCCTTGATTTTTATTGTACTCTCTATGGTCAGTAGCCTAGTAACAGAAATGGTTTTTATGCATTCATTCTGTCACTCAGCAAATATTTATTGAGCACCTACTATGTACCAAACATAGATCTAGGTACGGGGGATACTGCAGTGTGAACAGAACAAAGCCCCTTCCCCCATGGGCTTACATTCTAGTTGGGAAGACAGATAACAAACAAATAACTACATAATGCGCTTACATAATTTTACTGGTAGTTCTATGATGCAAGACATTGCAAGTAAGGGTTGGAAGAACATTTCTGGATAATATTTTGCTCCTTTCTCTCTGCTGGTACTTGAACTTATTACCCTAATACTAGGTTTATACCATTTTTATTAGTAGATTCGATAAAGCCAATTAGATCTGAGGCAAGAGAAAATACAAATTTTATCTTCAAACCTTTAAAAAAATTTTAAATTAATATATTAACTTATAAATATATATATTCGTTCATCTATAAAAGATATATGTATTAAGAACTTCAAGCCAGGCATGGTGACATGCACCTGTAGTGCCAGCACTCTGGAGGCTGGGGCAGGAAGACCATTTAAGTCTAGGAACTTGAGGCTGTGGTGCATTCTGATCGCACCTGTGACTAGCCACTGCACTCCAGCCTGGGCAGCATATTAGACTCCCATCTTTAAAAAAAAAAAAAAAGCCAGGGTAGAATCCTGTAGTCCCAGCTACTCTGGAGGCTAAGGCAGGAGGATCAGTAGAGCCCAGGAGTTGGAGGCCCGCCTACACAAGATAGTGAGACCACATCTTAAACTAAAAGGAACCTTGCTTCCTCTCCTATGCTTGTCTCCCCTGTGGCCCTCTAGGTCCTGTAGATAATCACTTTTATTAGATTTTTCATGTTACTTTCTGGAAAACATGAATATATATTATTTTTCCCCTTTCACTGTTCTATACCTTTTTTTTTTTTAACTTAACAACATGTCCTTAATTCATACTTTTAAATTAGATTTTAAAATTAACTCTAGTCCACTTAGTTAGAAACTTGTGGGCAAAAGGCTTATTATTACTAGGGTGATTATATAATTTATCATCTAAAGGAGAACATGAAAGAAAGTGCTGTTACTTTACTTGGAGGCAAAAACATAAACTGGGACTATCTTAGGGAAACCAAGATGTATGGTCACTTTTGCTAGTACTTGTCTGCCTAGAACAAGCACACCTAGAAACTTAAAATGGCCGTTATTGAGTGGTTAGATCACAATTACAGTACCTCAGATTAAAGCTTCAAAAAGATTATACTCAATTCCGAATTGTGCTGCTATAAACTCATGTGACCAAACACCACCTGTTCCCCAATAACCTATGGAAATAAAAAATTTTAAAAAAAAAGATTATACTCATAGGTGTTTCAGACCCATAATAGCTCGTTAATGTTCAGACTGGTCTCTGGAAACTTGTCTCTGGTTTCAGTATTGATAATGAACAGAACAGTGATAATATTCTAGCAGTCTATACAAATCTGTACTAATGTTTCATCTATCCATTGTCTTTGGGAAATGAGTTAATGCATGTAAGTGAATGTTCCAGATAATAGAACTATTCTACCAAGTTTTTTAACTTTTTTAATAAAAAATTATAAAAAGTATTTGATATTTCCTTTCTTGAACAGGATACAAAAAAATAGTTTAATCAGTTTTGACTACTCAAGGTCATCATTGAATAGATTCATTATTGTCTATACCGTAATATAAAACATAGTTATCTCCTGTTTGGTTTCTGGTCTCCTTCACTGTCAGGCCGTCACCTGGCTCTTCATATTACTGAAGTGGTATCTGCTCCTAACAGTTATTTATCCGTATTTCTTTTATGTTTTGCTGCTTCTAATCTGCTGGGTAAGCAGGTAACAAGTTTGTTAACAATATGTGTTTATTAAGAGAGTACCTAAGCTCTGGGTGAATGCCTGAGTGTGAACATAATGCTTGTATAGGGACATTCTAACAGTTAGATTTGGTACTCAAGAGGTCTTTTCCTTGGGTTCTGGTAGTCTTGCAAAGGGTTGAACTCATTGAAGATCTTAAGTACCAGTAAGTATGATATCACTGTACTTGGTTTTTTCACTCCAGTCAGTCATATTTTTTGGTCTACATTTAGCAGAAAGCATCTGCCATATGTTCTCTATGGAAAGCTATAAACAGCAAATGTTGGGCTAATAGCAGTCTTTTTCCTGGAGGCCTTCCCATTGCCTTTCTGCCTCTCTGACATTATGAACATCTCTGCCTCACTTGTGGGATAGGGCCCTTTGGGACAAACTACCTGTATCTGATTGAACTAGGGTAGGGGGTGGCCCTGTGAATGTAACTTCCCCAGTGGACCAGCATACATTTTCTCTAGACTCTGTTGGCTTTCATTTGTATTTCCAGTGAGCACTAGTTTCCAGGGTGTTCTCAGTTTTCACTGTGCTTATTTGGCTGAATTTTGATTAATTCAGTGGTATCCAGTTGTGCTGTGTAATATTTGTTGATGATGCTGGAGGTGTTGTAAGCAAGTATGTCGAACTTGCTAGTTGATCTCTGGCTAAACCCTGCCTTCTGCTATTGCTAACAGTAGAAAATGATCTTCAGAGTCATTGATTTGCTTTTTTTACTCATATCTGTATAGAGATCATAATTTGTCACATTATTACTGAATTCAGGTTACCTATACATTAAAAATGCCAAAAATCTCTCTTTTCTCTTTGTACACATAGGTCCCAGTCATGCAGGGAACAGGAATGCAAGGAGCAAGTATACAGGGTGGAAGCCAGCCTGGCGGCTTTAGTCCCGGGCAGAACCAAGTCACTCCACAGGATCATGAGAAGGTAAGCAACACTGTCTGACTGCCTCCTTATGCACAATTCTAGCCTTTTTGATTCCTCTTTTCACAGTTACCATGTGACGATCCTGGGTCTTCAAAGTCCCTTTGGAGGTGATGTTTATTCTAACTTAGAACTCTTTTATGATCTTGTTACCTGAAAATTTGTGAGTCTGGTCCTGAAGTTCCTAATGGATGTGAAGTTCTTAAGTGGATGTAAATGGCAGCTTATTTTATATTTCACACTCATCTGCCAATAGCAGGTTTTTCTTGTTCAGGCCAGATTGACCTGAAAATCCACACCCTTTTTCCTTCCCTTTCTACTTTATCCCTAAAAACAATAGTAGATTCCCCATGATTATATCTTTCTGTTTTTATATTTGACCATTGTGGGGAGCTTATGTCTGATGGAAAGGCTAAAATTTGTGAAAAAGAGAGACTTTCAAAACAGGATTAAAACTTGAAGGATTTCCAGGGCTCACAGATACCATCTTAGTCTCCAGGAACTTTGAGTTCATGAAGTTGTCTGTTTTGAATCGTCTAATCTTAGGTATTTTAATTTATACTTGTTCTTTTCATTGTACCTTTTCTCACCAGTTTTTTTTTATTTTTTATTTTTTTTGGAGGGGGGCTGTTGGTTTTTTTCTGTGTGAAATGTTCTTCCTTTTTCCATTTTGCTTCATATCCCACTACAGTAGCTTTTTGGACAGAAGCTGGTGGTGGGTTTTTTGTTTTGTTTTGTATTTTTTAGCTGCCATCATTAAAACTCACTACCTTTTTTTTTTCCTCTGCACAGGCTGCTTTGATTATGCAGGTTCTACAACTGACTGCAGACCAGATTGCCATGTTGCCTCCTGAGCAAAGGCAGAGTATCCTGATTTTAAAGGAACAAATACAGAAATCCACTGGAGCACCTTGATAGGTGAGCAAACTTAATCCCCATCTGAGTAGGACTAGCTCCTTGTCTATTCTGGGTATATACTTTTAACCTTAACCAACAAGATTGTTCTCTCAGCGGCCCTCAATCCACTCAGCTAGACTCTTCTTTACCCTTCAGTAGGTCAGCTCCTGTAGGGATAGAGTAAGGCTATACAATGTTTGTTCAGTTGTTGAATTGCTTATAATCTTTCCTAATGACAAAGGTAATGTATGATCAGTTTAACAAAAGTAATCATATACAGAAATGTAGAAGGTGAAAGGTAAAAAGCCCTGTTTCCTCAATCTCATTCCCCAGACAAAACCTCTAAATATAGTTTGGTGTGTATCCTTCTACAATCAATTGTATTATTTTATTCCAAACTGTCCTGTCAAAATGGAAAAATACAAAGCATTTCAATAAAATGTGTAAATATTTTGTTTCTTGTATTTATTTTATAGGGAATATTTTGATGTTGAACTATAGTAGCACATAATTTAAGGTAGTAAATGTCCGTCATCACCATCAGTTTCTATATATTTTGGAGATCGCTGTACCCTGCTACCCTTATTTTTCTTGCTCATCATTTAGGCAGAAAGAATCCAGGGGCCAAGCACAGTGGCTGAGCCCTGTAATCTCAGCTTTGGCAGGCTGAGGTGGAAGGATTACTTGAGACCAGGAGTTCAAGACCAGCCTAAGCAACATAGTGAGACCCCATCTTTACAAAAATTTTTTAAAAAATTAGCCAGGCATGGTGAGATGCGCCTATAGTTCCAGCTACTTGTGAGGCCGAGGTGGGAGGACTGGTTGAGTCCAGGAGGTCAGGGCTGCAGTAAGCCATGATTATGCCACTGCACTCTAGCCTGGGTCACAGAGTGAGACTCTGTGTCAAAAAAAAAAAAAAAAAAGGATCCAGGTAACCTGCTTCATAAATAATCATGTGACAACTTGATTACACATACATGTATCAGTGTTTCTTTTTTAAAAAAAATTTCCCCAGCATTTTGTATTTTATAAACAGTTCTTTTTTCTAAAAACAGTTTAAAATTCATGTTGCCCCACTATCAGGTAGGACAGCACAATTTAAATTTCTACTTTTTACCCCATCCATATTATAATTCCTATTCTTATGTTATATAATAGTGAACTCATTTAACTATTAATAATTACCACTCTTACAAAATATATCATTTTAATCCATACTTGTGATGTCTTTAAACATTTAAACTGCGACTATGCATCATATATGTATTTAGACCTTAAATGAATTAATGAGAAGCTATCATAGATAGAAGGCTCAGTAGACTTTTGGTACCTTAACGTTTTATTCCACAAACCCCACATATTCTTTTTTTTTAGTAAAAGTATAGACTACCTATTACATTCAGAGGAATAAATAAAAATTATTTCTTTTACTAATTTACTTAAGCCAGAGAAGGCATTCCCTACAATGTGAGAAAATTACTCCTTACTGTTTCTGGATAGTAGAGGTAGAAATGTTTCTGAAATTTCTTTCATTATAGTTTTGCTTATAGGATGTTTAATTTAAGGCCTTGCATATTAACCACAAGGCAAAGTTTTTGTCTATTTTTTTACCTTTTATTTTTAAATAATCATAGACTCAAGGAAAGTTGGAAAAATAGTACAAGGAGTCTCATGTACCCTTCACCCAGTGTAGTGCAAAACCAAGAAATTGACATTGGCACATTACTGTTAACTTGACTGCAAACTCAGTTTTCACCATTTTAAAAAAACTATCATGATTTGTGTATATGTATGTGTGGTTCTATGCAATTTTATGTGGGCAAGATTTTATTGTGTGTCTACTGGTGTTTGTGCATACCATGGCTAAAGTGTTGGGTTTTCCTCCATCCTATACCTAGCTAGTTGTGATCCATCTCTGCCATCATGGACAGGCTTCTATACTGTTGTCATTAGAGATGAATGGTTCTCAAACAAGGGCAGTTTTGCCCCCTAGGTGACATTGTCTTGAGACGTTTTTGGTCATCACAACTTTAGGGAGTATGGCATGCTACTGGCATTCAGTGGGTAGAGGCCAGAGATACTGCTAAACATCCCATAATGCACAGGATGGTCCCCCTCACCCACTTCCCAATAGCAACTAGTACTCCAGCCCAAAATGTCAGTAGTGCTGAGGTTGAGAAACCCTGCTGCAAGGGCTGATTGCTTTGAGGAGTCAGGAGGCAGGAGACAGATACTTTGCAAATCTGTCCTGGTGATTTGATTATATGCCTGTCCTCCCTCCCCTAGCCTTTTTATTTTTTTTCCTGAAGTTTTTCCGGAAGAGAGCTTTGTCTTCACTTCTAATGGCTTTGTCCTAACTTCTTCTTACAGGTTTTCAAAAATACCTGGCAAGAAATCTGGAAATTCTATAATTTTGTTGAAATATTGAAAAAAGATGACCTGCATCCTAACCCTTGAATGACTCAAATCAGTGCCAGGTGGAGGACTCCCATCACCTTCTCTCAGAACAAAATCACTTCATTTTATTGTCTTAGTTTGTATATTTTCTGTGACTTGAAATAAACTTTGAACACAATTTTAGTACACTGCAAATTGATACACATGACCTTTTTGCTTTTAAAAAGCTTAACACTAAGGGTGAAACCTTAGATGTGTTTTCTACCCTTACTGCAGTATTGTACTTTAACATATTGCCATAGTTTTGTTTTTAAGTTAACCACTTATTCTTCTTGATGATATTTGAGAATTTCTCAGAAGCAATGTTTTCTGGAACTTGGTTTTTGTTTAGTTTGCTTCCAGTAAGAATTATTATAAGGCTTTGCCCTCTGAAAATATTCTAGCACTTCGGAGTCTTCTAGGAGAAAATATCACATGCTTAGAGCTATAAAATGGTCAGAAGGCTAACAGAGCAAAGAGCCTAGCACAGCTGTGTGTTTAGTTTAGAAAAATCCAAATATCAAAATGCATTTGTTTCAATAGCAGGTCTGAACATGTATAATTCAGAGTTAAGACAAAAATTGTTTTAGCACTGGTTTGAGTGTGTCAGCAACACAAGAGACTGTTGACATTTACTTGTGTGTTCTTAAACTTATCAGTCTAGGCAGTCAACTTTGAAAGTTTAAAAAGCCACTGATTTTTCACATGCTCAAGATGAAATAAAAACAGAAATCAAATGAACAAAATACATTTCATCCTATCTTCCAGGCAGTCCCTAACCTGCAGCCCTACCCTGTAACTACGTTTATTCTGGGAACTTACAACACAGAAAACCCTAAAACTTGTACATTCTTCTCATTTTAAGTGGACCAAATGTAGAGCACAGTCAGATTGCTCATTAGGTCTGCTCCTGCCTGCTTCCTTGCGGATAGGTATGAACATAATTAGTGCCATTAGCTCTAATCTATGGGTCTTATTGCCTAGTATTTCTCTCTCTCGCCGCGCCGCCGCCTCCTCCTCTCCCCCCACCCCAACCCCATCTCTCTCGTAGTGGCATTAAGGAGGAACATGGTTTCTCTCTATCAGGCCAACCTCAAGAGGTTAAGAGTTGCCTTAATAATCAGTAAAGTTCTACTGGAACTACTTTTGAGCCAATTTATATTCTTGGAATTCTATCCCCTGGGTTAGGATTATGGTCAGGTGAATTAAAAGCCTGGCATAGGCTTAGAGAATGTAATAGCATATTGCTTACATGTCAAGCAAAAGAATGCAAAGATAATCAACTTTTTGAGTGACAATGAAATTGAGGGATTTTCTACTCATATAAACATTTATAAGAAATTTGTTGATTAAGGTATTTCATATTACAACTTTGCAAGAAAAACTTGCTCAAAGCAGGTGAGGAGCTTTCTGTGTATCCTGCTCATCCCCAGTTCAACTTGGATGTTGGCTATGCATAGGATTTATTATATTCATTACCATGAATATAATCACGAATTTATGCCTACTCCCATAAATATTCAAGCCTTGGGATATTGATTTTGGCAGCCATCATATCTTGAAGTGAGTGTGTCAATATATTTAGACATGGAGACCAAGAGTGATGCCTTTCTCATTAGGAACTCGTTGTAAGTTTCAAGATTCCAAATCAAGGTCATTGAAGATGAAGTTGTCATTTGGTCAGTAGTTGTCTAATAAGAATCATGTCTTCAAGGTTTCATTGTGCATTTTCCCAAAGCCTTATTAAACCTGAATTAGCTGAAATCCGGGTGAACAAATTGGCAACAGCAGTGGTATCCCTCCCTATGTAAACAACCATCAGTATTGTTTTACTGTTGTAATAAATGAAACATGATTAGCCACCATGAGTTCATGACCTACCTTTATTGTGCTCAGACTAGTGACAAAAAAAAACCAAAAACAGTTTTATCCCTCAAGCCGTAGAGGTTCCTAAACTATTAGAAACAACCATTTGTTCATTCGTGGTCACTTAATGGTAGAAAAAATAGATAATATAATGCTAATTCAGTACAACCATTCTTCTAATCTATAATGAGTTGAATTGTCTGGGCACAATGAAGTGTGAGGTTTCTCTCTTAAGAGCCCTGGGCTTCTCTCCTTCTAGGGATTCACTGTGACGACTAACATCCCAGAGCCAGTGTGGTCCTTGTAGGCCGAGGTTGGGTAGATGGCAGAAATAAAAAGCATTCTGATAGAGAATGAAGGCATTTTGCTTATGTTATTAGCTGAATGATTCCTTAGCGATATAGGTAGGAGTCCACAAAAATCTATGAAAATTATAAATTGTTATTTTTTAAACTAGACATTAATAAACTCCCTTAATAGTGATAAAGAGCTCCTCTTGACTAAATAAGTCATCCTAACATGGAGTTCAAGTTTTCACAATCGCTTTTAACAGAATAATACAAGATGACAGTATAGCTGACTTGCAATTATAATACAATTTCAATTACAATGAGCATACTTTCTAGATTTTCTTTCCCAAATGGAGAGCCCAAAAAGAAGTAACAAAAGACTCATTCATCAAGTGAAGAAGAAAATCCTTTATTTTTTGATGAGCAAAAATAAGAATAAATTGCTGTTCACACTGGATAAGACCATATCAAAAGTGACAGTAAACATGTACACTGTTGGTGTTATATGGGGATGGGGTTCTCGGTAATTTTGTTTATTATTTATGTTTATTATTATGTTTTATCATTAATTATTCAATAAATTTTTATTTAAAAAGTCACCCTACTTAGAAATCTTCTGTGGGGGTGGGAGGGACAAAAGATTACAAACCAAAACTCAGGAGATGGTAACACTGGAATTGATAAAATCACCTGGGATTAGTTGTATAACTCTGAACCACCAAACCTCTGCTATCAAGCCTTGCTACAGTCATGGCTGTCCAGAAAGATTTACAGTTATTTTTCTGAGAAAGGATCCATGGGCTTTAAGAACTTCAGAACTTTAAGAACTTCAGAAGTTCTTAAGTTGCTGAAGCTCAAGTAACGAAGTTGAATGCAATCAAAAAAAGAATACCAGGGAGTCAAGGCTTGAGAGGCACATTCTTATCCTAAAGTGACTGCTCAAACCTGACGAGACCAAGTAAATTACTGAAGATACAAAGAGACAAAATGCAGATTACCGTCCTTATTCCTATAACTCAAAAATTTTCTTTGTTGAAGTAGAATTGAACCTTTCTAGGATCCAGACTGGAATATCGGTGACAGCATTTGCGCAGGCTCTTTGCCAAAGTCCGAGGGCCACATAAGAAAACTCCCACTACAGACCTGTAGGAACAGAACAATAGTAAGGGCTAGAATGCAGCAATGACAGAATGGAGAAACTGCCTCTGTTAGGCCTCTACTACTTCCAAGAACCTTGAATAAAAATTCGGTTGTTTACTCCCACGTTCTTCATGGTAGTTTTTTAACCTTTTCTGCGCACAAACCCCAAATATGCTCTCAGCCCTTAACACTCTCAGCACTCAGCCTTCCCTGTTTTGAGAACACAGATGACAGACATAAGACAGTGCAGTGGCTAAGTGCCAGACTGTGCAGCCAGTCTGTCTGGGTTGTCTGGGCTCAAATCTCAGCTCTGACATTTATCCCACCTGTGGGACTTTGGGCACATTTCTTTTTTTCTTTTTTCTTTTCTTTTTTTGAGATGGAGTCTTGCTCTGTCCCCCAGCTGGAGTGCAGTGGCACAATCTCGGTTCACTGCAACCTCCACCTCCCAGGTTCAAGCAATTTTCCTGCCTCAGCCTCCTGAGTAGCTGGGACTACAGGCACGCACCAGCATGCCCAGCTAAATTTTGTATTTTTATTAGAGATGGGGTTTCACCATGTTGGCCAGGCTGGTCTCAAACTCCTGACCTCAAGTGATCCGCCTGCCTCAGCCTCCCTAAGTGCTGGGATTACAGGCGTGAGCCACAATGTCCGACAAGGGAAAATTTCTTAACCTCTCTCTGTTTCAGCTTTCCCACCTGTAAAATGGGGATAAAAATAGTACTTACCACATAGGGTTGTTTTAAGGATTAAATAAGAACATGTAAATAAATTAGAAAAATGCCTGGCACATAGCAAGTACATATGTATTAGCTCCCATTAAACCCATCCACTGTGAGCTTATCCCTACCTCAAAATTTCTCCTAGTGGAGAGGTAGTGTTCTTTCTTGCCAAAGCTAATCTTTCCAACTATGCTCTGGGTCTCACCGTCTTCTTCCTTCTCTCATACCTTTCTCTCCCCCTCTTTTTTAAAAATATAATTATGGTATAGTTTCTATACCATAAAATTCGCCCCTTTGAAGTGTGCAATTTGTGCTTTTTAGCACAGCCACAAAGTTATGCAACCATCACCACTATCTAATTCCAGAACATTTTCATCATCCGCAAAGAAACCCCATCCACATTAGCAGTCCTCATTTCCTCCCAACTACCCTGTCCTACCCAAGACAATCACTTTACTTTCTGTCTCTGTGGGTATGCCTATCCTGAATGTTTCACATAAGTGGAATCATACAATACATGGCCTTTGGTGTCTGGTGTTTTTCAGCATGATGTTTTCAAGATTTGTCCATGTTGTAGCATGATTCAGTACTTTGTTTTTTTTTTAATAGCTAAATAATATTCCAGTATGTGAATATACTACATTTGCTTCATCCATTCATCTATTGATGGATGCTTGGCTTGTTTTCACTTCGGGGCTATTATGAGTAATGCTGCTATGTACATCATGTACAAGTTTTTGTGTAGACATATATTTTCATTTCTCTTGGGTGTATAACAAGGAGTGGGATTGCTGGGTCATATGGAAACTATGTGTTTTTTTTTTTTTTTTTTTTTTGAGACAGAGTCTTGCACTGTCACCCGGGCTGGAGTACAATGGTATGATCTGGGGTCACTGCAACCTCCACCTCCCGGGTTCAAGCGATTCTCCTGCCTCAGCCTCCCTAGTAGCTGGGATTACAGGTGCCCGCCACCATGCCCAGCTAATTCTTTTCACCTTTTTTTTTTTTAATGGAATCTCGCTGTCGCCCAGGCTGGAGCGCAGTGGCACGATCTTGGCTCACTGCAAGCTCTGCCTCCTGGGTTCACGCCACTCTCCTGCCTCAGCTTCCCAAGTAGCTGGGACTACAGGCGCCCGCCACCGCACCCGGCTAATTTTTTTTTGTATGTTTAGTAAAGACAGGGTTTCACCGTGTTAGCCAGGATGGTCTCGATCTCCTGACCTCGTGATCCACCCACCTCGGCCTCCCAAAGTGCTGGGATTACAGGCATGAGCCACCACGCCCGGCCTAATTTTTTGTATTTTTAGTAGAGACAAGGTTTCACTATGTTGGCCAGGCTGGTCTTGAACTCCTGACCTCGTGATCCATCTGCCTTGGCCTCCCAAAGTGCTGGGATTACAGGCGCGAGCCACCATGCCCAGCTGGAAACTGTGTTTAACACTTTGAGGAACTGCCAAAGAGTTTTCCCCGAGTGTGGTATCATTTCACATTTCCACAAGCAATGTACTAGGATTGCAACTTCTCCACTTCCTTGCCAATACTATTGTCCATCTTTTATTATGGCCATCTTAGTCCTCTCCCCTCTTTCATGTATTTATTTTATTTTATGTACTGGTCCTTGTTCTGTCTATAAATATGCTTAAGCTAAATGAACATTTCCTGACCCTGCTACTCTTCCAACACTATTGACCACGCTTCTCTAATATTTGCTCCCTTGGGTTCTGTGACACCACTTCTCTGTGTACTCCTATTTCTTCCCTGGTTTGTCTTTTTCCCTTCCCATATAACCTAGGCAGCATTCCTTGGTACTCTGTCCCTCGCTAGTCTCTCTCTCTCCCTCCCTCTCTCTCTCTCTCCTGACAACCTCATACTCTCTCAAAACTTCAGTTACATTCAACATGATAATTAGCATCTTTTATGCTTATATGCTGCTTTAAAATTTACAAAGCATTTTTTCATATATTGTCTCACTTAATTGTCATAACAACCCTGCAAGTGAGTAGAGCAGGCATTCACTAATATGACCCTTGTCTTACAGATGAGGAATCAAGATCAGAGAGTTCAGAAGTTCAAGGTCTCATAACTAGAAAGTGTCAGAACCAGAATAAGGGCCGGGCATGGTGGCTCATGCTGTAATCCCAGCACTTTGGGAGGCTGAGGTGAGTGAATCACCTGAGGTCAGGAGTTCGAGACCAGCCTGGCCAATATGGCGAAACCCCATCTCTACTAAAAATACAAAAAATTAGCTGGATGTGGTGGTGGATGCCTGTAATCCCAGCTACTCGGGAGGCTGAGGCAGGAGAACTGCTTGAACCCAGGAGGCGGAGGTTGCAGTGAGCCGAGATGGCACCATTGCACTCCAGCCTGGGTGACAAAGCAAGACTGTGTCTCGAGAAAAAAAGAGAGAACCAGCATGAGGACCCAGGATCATCTGAATCCAAGTCACTAAGTGCTCTAGCCACTGCCTTCCTGAAGCCTTTCCTAATCACCCCATGTGGCCGTAGACTTTTCTTCCCTCCAGCATCCGTGAACCTCTTTCACGGAGTGCATTATTCTGCTTTGAGGTGATTGTGTGCATCTCTTATTCAAATGTATGTTCCTTGTGGGCAAGAACCATATCCTATTTCTCTTTCAACCTCCAAAGCTTCTAGAATGGTGAGAGCTGAGCTTATAAAAGGTAACCAAGGCGGGGCTTGGTGGATCATGCCTGTAATCTCAGCACTTTTGGGGGCTGAGGCAGGTGGATCACCTGAGGTCAGGAGTTCGAGATTAGCCTGACCAACGTGGTGAAACACCATCTCTACTAAAAATACAACAAATTAGCTGGGCATGGTGGTGGGCACCTGTAATCCCAGCTACATGGGAGGCTGAGGCAGGAGAATCGCTTGAACCCGGGATTCGGAGATTGCAGCAAGCAGAGATCGCACCACTGCACTCCAGCCTGGGCGACAAGAGCGAAACTCCATCTCAAAAAAAAAAAAAAAAAAAGGTAATCAAGAATATTTGTAGCATTGAATTGATCATCACCTCCCTACTTGTTCAGGGAATCTCAGCTTCATCTCCTTCCCATTGGAATGGCTGATTTCATAGCACCAGGATTTTTTGTGCTGTAACATGTCTCAAAACCCTCCAGAAAGATTGAGCTCAGGTGGCCAGTAAACTAGATAATACCTTTGTTACTTTAAGTAGAGATTATTGAGTCCCCTCCCCGCAAAAATGCATTTGAATTGCTCCAGTTCTCTAGTTTGTTTGGTAGTATAGATCAGAAGTGGGTCCACTTGCCTCACTGTTTGAATGGAGTTTGCTGGGGCAAAAAAACCTCTTTTCATCATTTTCAAGATCATGACCCTATTTTTCTAAAACCCCAGATGAAATTTCCTCGGTCTTCACCAAGAATCTAAGAATGGCACAAAAGATTTCTGCCCCAGAGATCTTTTCTTAAGAGTGTTCAACATGTTGTAATACCTTTCCTAAATCCTAACTCCGCACTCATCTTTTTTTTTTTCTTTTGAGACAGAGTTTCTCTCTTGTTGCCCAGGCTGGAGTGCAATGGCGCTATCTCAGCTCATTGCAACCTCTGCCTCCCAGGTTCAAGCAATTCTCCTTGCCTCAGCCTCCCAAGTAGCTGGGATTACAGGCATGTGCCACCACGCCTAGCTAATTTTTGTATTTTTAGTAGTGACGGGGTTTTGCCAAGTTGGCCAGACTGGTCTCGAACTCCTGACCTCAGGTGATCCACCCACTTCGGCCTCCCAAAGTGCTGAGATTACAGGCAGTAAGCCACCACGCACGGCCCCTGTAAACTCATCTTACTAGAGGAAAATATACTTACTTGGGGTGGGAGGTAGCTATTGTAGAAAACTCATTGTCCCACATTGGTCTCCCAAAGGAGGTTTTCTGTTTCAGACCTGTCACGATGTCAGTGGCCTTGTCAAAGTTTAATGCTGCATGACCAACCTGGATTCAGAGGAATAAAAGTTAGAAAAACCAAGTCCTAGGCTGGGTGCGTGGCTCACGCCTGTAATCCCAATACTTTGGGAGGCCGAGGTGGGTGGATCACCTGAGGTCAGGAGTTCGAGACTAGCCTGACCAACATGGTGAGACCCCCATCTCTACTAAAAATTCAAAATTAGCTGGGCATGGTGGCGCATGCCTGTAATCCCAGTTACTCGGGAGGCTAAGGCAGGAGAATTGCTTAAACCCAGGAGGCAGAGGTTGTGGTGAGCCAAGATCGCACCATTGCACTCCAGCCTGTGCAACAAGAGTGAAACTCTGTCTCAAAAAGAAAAAAAAAAGAAGAAAGAAAGAAAAGAAAAACCAAGTCCTGATAGCTGCCTCTTCTTTCCACCACTTTTAAACTTGTGTGTGAGTGTGAGGGCAGGTAGGAAATCATAAGAAATAACTTCTAATCCATATGCACTATCCTTTGTCTGACATTCGTCTTATGTTTAGTAGGGGAATTAGTGTGTTATTTGGACTCACAATATTGCTGTCCCATCCGGTGAGGAAGAGACGGTAGTTTAGAAAACCCACTTTGCCTAATTCCTCCATCTCCTGTTCCAGGGAAGTCAACAGGTTGTTGAACCAGGAAAAGGCACCTGTCTCCCTGCAGATCCAGTAGAAATAGATCTGAAATCAGCAAGAGAGAACATAGCCTTATTAGGTGACCTTAAAAGTCACATTTATAGAGCCGCAAACTTTAGGCAGCAGGAATGTTCAGAGTTCTGACAATTTTCCTTAGGAACGAGCCTTCCAACATCTTTGGTCAGGGTGATCTTAAACTCCAAATTGAAAAGAAGACCCTGTTCTTATGATAAATCTGTAGAAGTGGATGTCCTGGCCAAGAGAAGTGATCACTTATTCTCATAACTCCAGGGATAGGTTGCTCCCTTATCAATTGTAAAGAGCTTAGCCCAAGAAGGCAATAGACTTGTCAGACTCAGGCCAGAAGAAAAGTGATATACGGGATTATACCTTTTTTGTTTTGAGGTTGTGGTCTGCACACTGGAATTTGTACCAGATGGATTTCAAGATAGAAGCAAAGGGGGTGACCCCAATTCCTGCTCCAACCAGCACAGCCACTTCATACTGGAAAACATCCTCACTGGCTGTGCCAAAGGGACCATCCACTTCAATCCTGGCAGAAGACAGAAGATAACGGGCAACTGAAGACTCCCCTCCACCTCCAACCTCAAACATCCTCCCAGAAATATAGTTGTTCTCATGGCTGACTTCTGCATATTTATTATAATCCTATTCTATTGTACCAAACTTAAGATTCAACGAAGAATTGCTTTCTCTTTTCTGCCAGTCTGCATCCTGGTCTGGGACTCTCCTGGTCTCAAGGACCTACCTGGGAATTGGTGAATATTGTTGTTCGAAAGCCCTTATGAGATTTTCTGTCCAGTCCCCTGCTGCTCGGATATGAATGGAGAAGAAATCTTCCTCTGGAGCAGAGGTCAAAGTAAAAGGATGCCATTCCAGGAGAGAGATTGAGGGGCAATTAACAAAGATATACTGCCCCACTTCCATGCTGAAGCCACGCTTGTTCATCTGCAATTCCAAAACTTTGGATGGGTGCATAACAACCTGTGAATGAAGCACATAGACCAAAGAAAGCAAACTCTAATGACGACAGGGACAGGCAGATAAAGCAAATGAGTGAAGCTGGAGGGCTGGTGACAGTGGTGAACTACAAACACAAGTCCTCTCTAAAGAGGGCAGCAGCTACTTAGCTCCAGACAGTGGTTGCGATATGGAACCATGACAGTGTTATCAGGTTTCCTGATTCTTCAAGAGAAGCAAGAAATAGCTTTTAAAAAATCAAACGAAAGCTTCCATCCAGATTTTTAAATGTTGGCAACCAATTCAACTTTATAAACAAACATTGTGTGCACCAAACAAAATATAGCTGTGAACTAGCTCTGGCCCAGGCTGCCTGTTTGCAACCTCTGATATAGACTCATCCTGATGATTTCGGCCAAGCCCCTCTTTCCCAGTTCTGTCCAGTGCTGGAGGAACTGAGGTATGCCAAACCCAAGTTCTTCTTCTTTTTTTTTTGAGACAGAGCCTCTCTCTGTCACCCAGGCTGGAGTGCAGTGGCGCTATTTCAACTCACTGCAACCTCTGCCTCCCGGGTTCAAGCGATTCTCCCGCCTCAGCCTCCCAAGTAGCTGGAATTACAGGTGGGCACCACCACGCTCAGCTAATTTTTTTTTTTTTATTAGAGATGGGGTTTCGCCATGTTGGCCGGGCTGGTCTCGAACTCCTGACCTCAACAGATCTGCCCTCCTTGGCCTCCCAAAGTGCTGGGACTACCACCCACTGTGCCCAGTTTCCAAGTTCCTCTTTCAGGGTGACAACATAAAAATTTAGTTCTGTAGTCCGGTAGAAGATAACTCTTATCACAGCAAGAGGAAAGTGCATATTCTTTACCTTGGTAATCACAACCTTCTGCTGGGAGCGGTAAAACCGGAGGATCCTTTCACAGATATAAAGAATGACCGGTGCAAGGATCCACTTCCAAGACTGCACAGAGACAGGGTTAAGAATGAGATTACACACTAATTTCTTGTTTAGGACTTATTTGTGTAGCAGTTCATCCTTCATTCTTTACTGAGTTCTCCAATGTGTATCATTTTTAAGCTACTAATTTCACCAAATCTGGAAGATGGAAATAGAAAAAATAAAGGACAATGGTTTCGTTTGCTAATCTGTTATTCATAAAACAGACCATTTCCTGAAAATTTACAAGTCTGACCAAGAAGCAGGAGAAAAGCACAGAAATGGAACACATGGTAAATATTCTTATTCTTAAATTACATATAAAATTTAATTTTAAGGCCTGGCACAGTGGCTCATCCTAGCACTTTAGGAGGCCGAGGCGGGCAGACTGCCTGATCTCAGGAGTTGGAGACCTAGCCTGGGCAACATAGCGAAACCCTGTCTCTACTAAAAATACAAAAAATTAGCTGCGCGTGGTGGTGCATGCTTGTAATTCCAGCCACATGGGATGCTGAGGCATAAGAATCGCTTGAACCCAGGAGGCAGCAGAGGTTGCAGTGAGCTGAGATCACACCACTGCACTCCAGCCTGGGCAACAGAGCAAGACACTGTCTCCAAAAAAATAAAATAAGATTTAATTTTAAGAATCTAAGACTGTCTTCGAGGACAGCTTGTCCAATCTAAAAAACCAACAGAGAAAGTAGATGTGAAATAGAGGCAGATGATTAAAAACAAAACAAACACAAAAAAGGGAAAGTATGTGACTGATGCTACTGGTACATAAAACTCAGTACTTATCCATCACCTCCTTTCTCAAGTGCTTAAACATTTAACATAGTAATATCTTTTTTACCTTGTCTACATTTTTTTTAAAGGCAGCTTTTTGGCCAGGCGCAGTGGCTCACGCCTGTAATCCCAGCACCTTGGGAAGCCAAGGCGGGTGGATCACTTGAGATCAGGAGTTCAAGACCAGCCTGGCCAACATGGTGAAACCCCATCTCTGCTAAAAATACAAAAATTAGCCGAGTGTGGTGGTGGGTGCCTGTAATCCCAGACACTCGGGAGACTGAGGAAGGAGAATCACTCGAACCCAGGAGGTCGCAGTGAGCCCAGGTCGCGCCACTGCATTCCAGCCTGGGTGACAGAGTGAGACTCCGTCTCAAAATAAATAAAATAAATAAATAAATAAAGCAGCTTTTCTATCCCTGAGATCTTTGCAAAGCAGCAGTTTGCTTCTACCTGCACAGGAACTACTAAAAATATACTTCCTAGCAATACTAAATTATGTCCTTTCTTGCACAGTTGCTCAAGTGTGATACATTGGGACTGTGTGAAGTGAGGTTTCTTAAGCTGGTGCAAGCAAATAACTTCCTTGAGTATCTCTAGGGAAGGAAGAGGCAGAGATGGGACAAATCAAACAGAGTGAACATTATGCAATTCAGTGCTATTTCTTATTTGAAGAAAATTCCCCAGCTCAATTTGAGGAAAAACATATTTAAGAAATGGATAATAACAATGTGAAAAAAATATTGGCCTCAGAAATAGTCAGAGTAATAAATATTAAAACAAGATACCATTTTAGTCTCTCAAATTGAAAAACAATTTTAATTAATAATGCCCAGCATTAACTGGGATTCAGGGAAATGGGAGTGTTCACGTGGGCATGCAAATTGAACATGCATTTCACAGGGGTGAAAATGCAAATTGGCAACATCTTCCCAGAGAGCAGTTGAGCAGTATGTCTCAATAGCCTCAAAAGCATTCCTTCTCTTTTACCCTGGAACTTCACTTCTGGGAAATGAAGATAAATAATTAAGGTGTGAAAAAGTATTATGCACGAGTAAAGTAATGGCCACAATGTTTACTTTAAGAAATGATTAAAATGGTATATATACCATACACATATTTTCCTTCTCTTTCTCTTTCTTTCTTTTTCTTTCTTTCCTTCCTTCCTTCCTTCCTTTCTTTCTTTCTTTCTTTCTTTCTTTCTTTCTTTCTTTCTTTCTTTCTTTCTTTCTTTCTCTCTCTTTCTCTTTCTTTCTTTCTTTCTTTCTTTCTTTCTTTCTTTTCTTCCTTCCTTCCTTCCTTGCTTTCTTCCTTGCGTCCTTCCTTTCTTTCTTTCTTTTTTTTTTTTGACAGAGTCTCACTCCGTGCAGTCACACAGTCTCGGCTCACTGCAACCCCCGCCTCCCGGGTTCAAGCAACTCTCCTGCTTCAGCCTCCCAAGTAGCTAAAACTACAGGCATGCACCACCACACCTGGCGAATTTTTGCATTTTCAGTAGAGATGGGGATTCACCATGCTGGCCAGGCTGGTCTGGAACTGCTGGCCTCGAATGATCCACCTGCCTCAGCCTCCCAATTAGCTAAAACTACAGGCATGCACCACCACACCTGGCGAATTTTTGCATTTTCAGTAGAGATGGAGATTCACCATGCTGGCCAGGCTGGTCTGGAACTGCTGGCCTCGAATGATCCACCTGCCTCAGCCTCCCAAAGTGCTGGGATTACAGGCATGAGCCACCACTCCTGGCCAACTATTTTAAAACAAATGTTTCAAGGCCGGGTGCGGTGGCTCACGCCTGTAATCCCAACACTTTGGGAAGCCAAGGCAGGTGGATCACCTGAGGTCAGGAGTTCGAGACCAGTCTGGTCAACGTGGCAAAACCCCGTCTCTACTAAATATACAAAAATTAGCAGGGCGTGGTGGTGCGCGCCTGTAGTCCCAGCTACTTGGGAAGCTGAGGCAGGAGAATCACTTGAACCCAGGAGGCAGAGGTTGCAGTGAGACAAGATCACACCACTGCACTCTAGCCTGAGTAACAGAGGGAGACTGTCTCAAAACAAAAAAAAATGTTTCAAAGGAAAGCATCCATTATATCAATCAAGGAAAAACATTATTTCCTCTAGGTGGTAGAACTCTATGAAATTTTTTATTTACTTCTAGTATTTTTTGTATTTTCCAAACTTTCTACAATAAATGTATATTATTTTTCTAATTTTTAAATGGGGTGAATATGGAGAGAGTATTTTTTAAATGTTTATGGAAGAAACAAAGCAATACATTCAGGTGGCAAAACTGGTATTCTCTCTCTTAGAGTATTACACGACCAACCAAAGCAACCCCTAAGTTTTAAGGATACCAAATAGACCAACTATAACTTAACTCAGGTAATAGATGAGAAAAAGACAGAAGCTGATGTGCAAGATAAGACAAGGTATTAACCATCTTAGCTAGTAAGCTTTCCTAATAATCTTTAAATAGCTCCCTATCTTTTTTTTCAAGAGAATTAAATTGTTTATTGATTACACATGATAATGGATGATACACAAGCTTCATTCCCATCTATAATTTTATCTGGTACCATTATTCAACGTAGATATATTGCATAGGATGTGCCAACAATTATTTTTATAACCAATAATTCCATGATTTTGCTTGGGTAGTCCCTTTTAATGGTGAACTTCAGGTCACAACAGTAACTATCAATTCAATTACACCAAGGTTTCTGAAGACAATGGCTTCTCCACCCAAGCAGGTTGTATATAAATTCCAAATAGAACCTGGCATCACCCTGAAGGAATGCTAACTTCACACTGTTGGGGAAATTTACCAAGATGGCTTCAGTGTAGACTAACTTTACACAGCACATTAAAAAAAAAAGACATTTATTCAGTGTCATGATCAGACTATCACATATAGCAATTTTTTGCATGGGTGCAAAAAAAATCTACATTAAAACCCTTTGTTGGAATGCTTTACACTTTCCATAGAACAGAAACTAAAATAACCTGTTATACAATTAGTCACAAATACAGTCCTTGACTTTTTTGCCCATAAACATGAGTATTTGTATAAAACATGTCTTCTTTGTGGCAGCTAGGCCCTGCCACCACTGTGTTTGGCTGAGTTCATGAATCTGTTGTAACCTGTAGCTTCTCTGTCACTTCTCTGGCTCTCCTCTCCTGCTAAGCTTTGATTCCCAATTAACATCTTCTGCCACTGCCATAGCTACTGCTGCTACTGGAACCGCCATAGCCACTGTGGTTTGGTGGTTTGGCAAAGTATTGGCCTCCATCACCCTAGGGGCCAGAGCGTCTGCCCCAAAGTTTCCTCCCTTCATGGGTCCAAAATTTGAATACTGATTGTTGTAATTGCCAAAATCATTGTAGCTTCCACCACCTCCAAAATTGCTTCCACTACCACTGCCAAAGCCGCCTCTGCCTCCCTTGTTACAGCTGTCATAGCTGCCACTCCTGCCATAGCCACTGTCCTGATTTCCACAACCCTGTCCACCACTTCCATAGCCTCTGCTTCCTCCAGAGTAACCAGGGCCGCCTCCTGGATAACCACCATCATTACCAAATCCATTATAGCCATCCCCACTGCCACCATATCCACCACCATCATGGCTGCCACCAAAGCCACCATGACCACTGAAGTTTCCTCCACAACCAAAGTTTTCATTCCCACCAAAACCACCTCCACGACCACTTCGACCTCTTTGGCTGGATGAAGCACTAGCCATCTCTTGCTTTGACAGGGCTTTCCTAACTTCACAGTTGTGGCCATTCACAGTATGGTATTTCGGAATGACAATCTTATCCACGGAGTCATGGTCGTCAAAAGTTACAAAGGCAAAGCCCCTTTTCTTGCCACTGCCTCAGTCATGATTTCAATCACTTCCATTTTTCCAAACTGTTCAAAGTAATCTCTTAGGTGATGTTCTTCCGTGTCTTCTTTAATGCCACCAACAAATATCTTTTTCACAGTTAAGTGGGCACCTGGTCTTTGAGAATCTTCTCTTGAGACAGTTCTCTTTGGTTCCACAACTTTTCCATCCACCTTGTGTGGCCTTGCGTTCGTGGCTGCATCCACCTCCTCCACAGTGGCGTATGTGACAAACCCACAGCCCCTGGAGCGCTTGGTGTTTGGATCTCTCATTACCACACAGTCTGTGAGCATTCCCCATCACTCATAATGGCTCCTCAGGCTCTCGTCAGTTGTTTCAAAGCTCAAATCTCCAATGAAGAGCTTCCTCAGCTGTTTGAGCTCTTTAGGAGACTCTGACTTAGACAAGATGGAAGGGAGAAGAGAGACTTTAACGATGCTTCTTCAGTGGCGTACACGGGCGGAAAGGCAATAGCTCCCTATCTTTAAGGTCCTCTTGTCTACTAGTCCGCTAATACAGATCCCTGGTTATGATCTTATAATTTCCTCTGACTTTAGAAATGAAATGTGCTATTAACATATCCCAGGTATGTCCTTCCAAAATTACTTTTTTTTTTTGAGATGGGGTCTTTCTCTGTCAACCAGGCTGGAGTGCGGTGGTGCCATCACAGCTCACTGCAGCCTCAATCTCCTGGGCTCAAGTGATCCTCCCATCTCAGCCTCCCATGTAGCTGGAACCAGAGTCGTGCACCACCATGCCCGGCTAATTTTTTAATATTCTGTAGAGACAAGGTCTTCCTATGTTGCTCAGATTGGTCTCGAACTCTTGAGCTCAAGCAATCCTCCTGCCTCAGCCTCCCAAAGTGCTGGGATTACAGGCATGAGCCACTGTGCCCCACCCAAAATTACTTTTTTTTTTAACTTCTATTTTAGGTTCAGAGGTACATGTGCAGTTTGCAGGTAAACTACATGTCACAGGGGTTTGGTGTACAGATTATTTCATCACCTAGGTAATAAGCCTACTACCCATTAGATAGTTTTTTGATCCTCTCTCTCCACCCTTTCTCCATTCTCAAGTAGGCCCCAGTGTGTTATTCCCTTCTTTGTGTGCATATGTACTCAATGTTTAGCTATCACTTATAAATGAGAACATGTGATATTTGGTTTTCTGTTTCTACATTAGTTTGCTTAGGATAATGGCCTCCAGCTCCATCCATCTTGCTGCAAAGGACATGATCTTGTTATTTTTTATGGCTGCGTAGTATTCCATGGTATATATGTACCACATTTTCTTTATCCAGTCTACCATTGATGGGCATTTAGGTGGATTCCATGTCTGCAGTTTTGAATAGTGCTGCAATGAACACACAAGTGCATGTGTCTTTGTCATAGAATGATTTATATTCCTTTGGGTATATACTCAGTAATGGGATTGCTAGGTCAAACGGTAATCTGTTTTCAATTCTTTGAGGAATTACCACACTGCTTTCCACAATGGCTGAACTAATTTACATTTCCACCAGCACTGTATAAGTGCTCCCTTTTCCTTGCAACCTCACCAACATCTGTTATTTTTTGACTTTTTAATAATAGCCATTCTGACTGGCGTGAGATGGTGTGTCATTGTGGTTTGGATTTGCATTTCTCTAATGATCGGCGATGTTGAGCATTTTTTCATATGCTTGTTGGCTGCGTGTGTGTCTTCTTTTGAAAAGTGTTTCTTTATGTCCTTTGCCCACTTTTTTTTTTTTTTTGAGACTTTGCACACTTTGTTATGGGATAATTTGTGTTTTTTTGTTGTTGTTGTTAATTTGTTTAGGTTCCTTATAGATGCTAGATATTAGACCTTTGTCGGATGTGTAGTTTGCAAATATTTTCTCCCATTCTGTAGGTTGTTTGTTTACTCTCTTGGTAGTTGCTTTTGCTGTGCAGAAGCTCTTTAGTTTAATTAGATCCCATTCATCAATTTTTATTTTTGTTGCATTTGCTTTTGGTATCTTCATCATGAAATCTTTGCCAGGGCCTATGTCCTGAATGGTATTGCCTAGGTTGTCTTCCAGGGTGGTTGTCTTCTACGGTGTTTATAGTTTGGGGTTTTACATTTAAGTCTTTAATCCATTTTGAGTTGGTTTTTGTATATGGTGTAAGGAAAGAGTCCAGTTTCAATCTTCTTCATATGGCTAGCCGGTTATCCCAGCACCACCTATTGAACAGAGTCCTTTCCCCATTGCTTATTTTTGTTGACTTTGTTAAAGATCACATGGTCATGGATATGCAACATTATTTCTGGGCTCTCTATTCTGTTCCATCAGTCTGTGTGTCTGTTTTTATACCAGTACTATGCTGTTTTGGTTGCTGTAGCCTTGTATAGTTTGAAGTTGGGTAACATGATGCCTCCAGCTTTGTTCTTTTTGCTTAGGATTGCCTTGGCTATTTGGGCTCTTTTTTGGTTTCATATGAATTTTGAAATAGTTTTTTTTTCTTATTCTGTGAAGAATGTCATTGGTAGTTTGGTAGGAATAGTGTTGAATCTGTAAATTGATTTGGGCAGTAGGGCCATTTTAATGATATTGATTCTTCCTATCCATTAGTATGGAATGTTTTTCCATTTGTTTGTGTCATCTCTAATTTCTTTGAGCAGTGTTTTGTAACTCTCATTGTAGAGATCTTTCACCTCCCTAGTTGGCTGTATTCCTAGGTATTTTATTTTTTTTGTGGCTATTGTGAATGGGATTGCATTCTTGATTTGGCTCTCAGCTTGGGTGTTGTTGGGGTATAGCAATGCTACTGATTTTTGTATATTGATTTTGTATCCTGAAACTTTGCTGAAGCTGTTTATCAGATCTAGGAGCTTTTGGACATAGACTATGGGGTTTTCTAGGTATAGAATCATATTGTCTGCAAACAGGGATAGTTTGACTTTTTGTCTTCCTATTTGGATGCCTTTTATTTCTTTCTCCTGCCTGATTGCTCTGGACAGGACTTCCAGCACGATGTTAAATAGGAGTGGTAAGAGAATGCATCCTTGTCTTTTTCCAGTTTTCAAGGGGAATGCCTCCAGCTTTTGCCCATTCAGTATGATGTTGGCTGTGGGTTTGTCATAGATGGCTCTTGTTATTTTGAAATATGTTCCAGCAATGCCTAGTTTGCTGAGAGTTTTTCATATGAAGGAATGTTGAATTTTATTGAAAGCCTTTTGTGTATCTACTGAGATGATCATATGATTTTTGTCTTTAGTTCTCTTTATGTGATGAATCACATTTATTGATTTGCATATGTTGAACCAAACTTGCATCCCAGGGATAAAGCCTACTTGATCGTGGTGGATTAGCTTTTTGATGTGCTGCTGGATTCAGTTTGCCAGTATTTTGTCGAGGATTTTTTCATCAATGAATGATCATCAGGGATATTGGCCTGAAGTTTTCTTTTTTCGTTGTATCTCTGCCACGTTTTGGTATCAGGATGATGCTGGCCTCATAGAGTGAGTTAGGAAGGAGACCCTCCTCCTCAATTTTTTTGCAATAGTTTCAGTAGGAATGGTACCAGATCTTCTTTGTACATCTGGAAGAATTTGGCTGTGAATCTATCTGGTCCTGGGCATTTTTTAGTTGTAGGCTTTTTTATTACTGATTCAGTTTTGGAACTCAATATTGGTCTGCTCAGGGATTAAATTTCTTCGTGGTCTGGTCTTGCGAGGTTGTATGTGTCCAGGAATTTATCCATTTCTTCTAGGTTGTTTTTTTTTTTAGTTTGTGTGCATAGAGATGTTCATAGTAGTCTCTGAGGGTTTTTTTTTTTTTAATTTCTGTGCGGTCAGTCATAATGTCCTCTTTGCCATTTCTGATTGTGTTTTTTGGATTGTCTCTCTTTTTTCTTTATTAGTGTAGCTAGTGGTCTATTCTTTATTTGTGTAGCTAGCATTCTATCTATCTTATTAGAAAATTACTTTCTAAATAGGTAATATATGTATATGGTACAAAATCTGAAAGTACAACAGTACAATAGTAAAAAGCAAATCCTCCTGCCCCTCCAGATCCCCAGAGGTAATGTTATTATTTTGTGAATTCTTCTGGAGAACATGCATTTAAATGATCTTTTCAATGCAAATGATAGGAGACTCTACACACTGCCCTGCCTTTTGCATTTAACATCTTAGAGACTGGTCCCTATTAGTGTCTATGGTACTGTCTCTTTCGTTTTACTGGTTGCAGACTATTCCACTGCATGAAAGTCCCAAAATGTAACTAGTTCCCCACTGATGGACACTTGTTTCCAGTCTTTTTTTCTATTCAACAATGCTGTAATGAATAACTTAATGCATGTAATTTAACACATATTTAAGTATATTTGTGGAATAAATTGGAAGTCGAGTTTTAAACCTTAATTGCTACTGCCAAATCACTCTCTACAAGCAGTTGTATAGGTTTACACTCTCACCAGCAATGCATAAGAGCATTTTTCCACACTTGCCAGCACCATACATTAGCAGGTTTTTTAATCTTTGCTAATCTGTTAGGTTAACAGATTCTTGTAGTTTTATTTGGCATTTTTTTCCATTATGAATAACATTAAGCATCATTTCATATATTTAAGATAAGGATATATCTCCATTTCTGAGATTATTCTGTTCACATCTTCTGTTTCTCTTTTTATCATGTTATTAGGCTTTTTCTTATTGATTTCTAGGAGTTATTTATATATTAGAAAATTAGTCCATGCCCTGTGAGTTGTAAATACTTTTCCTACTTGGTAATTTTTTGTCTATCTTTATTTACAATGGGAATTTTTGTTTATTTGTTTGTTTATTTTGACACAGGATCTCACTGTCACCCAGGCTGGAGTGCAGTGGCATGATTACAGCTCACTGCAGCCTCAGCCTCCCAGGCTCAAGTAATCCTTTCACCTCACCCTCCACACCACCATGCCCAACTAATTTTTGTATTTTTTGTAGAGATGGGGTTTTGCCATGTTGCCCAGGCTGGTCTCAAACTCCTGGGCTCAAGCAATCCACCCACCTCAGCCTCCCAAATTGCTGGGATTACAGGTGTGAGCCACCGTGCCCGGCCCGATGGGGATTTCTTTTGCCATGCAAAATTATCTCTTCTTTTATGGCTTCAGGGTGGTTTATCTTATTTAGAAACATGTTCCTCCACTTCAGTATTAGAAAAAAACTTCCCACGTGGTCTTAAGGTGCTTTTATGGTTTTTTTGCTTCATGTATCCTCGATTCATATTTTAGTGCAAGGCGTGAAATGAAGATATAGCTTTTTTCCCAGATGATGATCTTATTGTGCTAAAAATTATTCATTTATCCTTTTCCTGCTGAATTAAAATGCCAACTTTAGAAGACTTTTTGTTTTATATATTTTTCCTGTTCCAGATGAGAACTAAGCTATTGCTCTTAATCCTGAATCTGATTTAAAGACCTTAATCATTCTCAGAATACTCTGAGGCACCACAAATCAACCTTCCCCTTCCATTTACTCCTCAATATAACCTATTTTGTGAGCAAGCAAAGGTAAATAATAATATCCGCAAGAATTACCCTGGGGCACACCTTGAGTTCCCTAGAACACAGTTTCATAATCACCCAGTATCTAACAAAAATTTCCAAGCATATTCTTAGAACACCAAAGAAAGCCCACTTCAAGAATGCTTTATTTCCCCCCAGAATTTGACTGGAATATCACGGCTGAGCTTTGGGACAGTATAGTGGTCAAGAGTTCAAACCTTTGGAATCCAAAAGGCCTGGGTTTGTATTCAAGCTCCACTACTTACTGTAAGAGCTTGTCAGTTTACTTAATCTCTTGGAATCCTGTCCTTTTGTTTCAAAATTTAGACAAAAAAGAAGTAATATCTCATAGGCTATTGCTATATATAAATGAAATAATCCATATTATGCAGCAAGGCTGGCAGATGATAAACACAATTAATAATGTGGGCTATCATTATTACCTTTGCAGAGGGTCTCACAACATGCAAGAACTATTAGTTTTTTCTCTTCAAGATCCCCTTGTAATTGCCTGTTGCCAGTGATACTGGAAGTTTCTTAAAGGTAGGAACCCCATAGATATCCTTCATAAGACCCAGCACAGGACTGAACTAATAATAATGATGATAATAACAATAAGAGTAATAATAAGAATAATAACAGTAACAGCTCCTAACAAGAGTCTGTCCTTGCCCGTAGGGCTCTTACCTCAGGGGGATGCCCTTCAAACTTAGGGCGCCTACAGTGGGAGTCACGATCATCCCACATCTCAAAAGACTCTGCACACTTGCGAGGATGACTCTCATTCATGCTCTCCTCTGTTTGACCCCGGACAATTCCACTGAAATAGACAAAGAAGGATGGTTTGGGACAAAGAATTATGCAAGGTCAGGGGCTGGGGCATGAGAATGAGGGTTCGAGGATCTTACCCAATGCCGTGAATCCCTAAGCCAAGGATATAGAAGATAAAAAGGTGGTGAGTATACCAGAAGACTTCAAAATAACTCCTCCGGATGAACTCAGTAGCTGAAGTTACCATGAGAATCAAGGCTATTGTCATGATCACTCCAGTGAGACCAGCAATGCTGGTGAATGTCACATACTCCACTGTCTGTGAAAGGAGAAATGTCAGCCTGACACAATGTCCACCTGTGCACTTCCTGCTCATGACCAGATCTCAGATGCTTTGCTAGAAAGTCAACTCACCGTGTTTCGGGACTGGATGGGATTTAGCCAAGAACCCCCCTTTTTCTCATCATGAGATAGGCTGGAGAGAATGGAGGCAAGGGAGCCATCTGTGGCCTGTCGGCTTCTGCTATAGCAGTCAAAGTTAAACAGGTGTGCAATGATGTGAATAGCTAAATGGAAAGATGAAAAGAAATGTTAAGAGGCATCTCAGCAACATCATGGCAGGTGTGCCCCACTAGACTAGAAGAATCCTACATTATAGTGCTTAGCAGAATGCTGAGTGCACAGAAGGTGCCCAATAAACCCTCGATTGCGGAGAGATCTTTTTTATATTTACTCTGTTCCCAAAGGAATAGAACTTAAGCTCCATGAAAACAGGCCAAGAACAGTGCCTGACAAATAGTGCCCAGTGCTCGATAAATATTTTTTGAATGTGCATATGGATGGATGAATGAAGCAAGATTCTGAATGCCCTGGAGTCTGCAGATTCATGGATTGCCTGAGTTACCTGTATGTAGGCAGATCATATAGGCCACCAGCTTGTGGAAGGTGAGGTTGTGATCCAATTGCTTTCTCAGTGTGCGGCTGCAAAACTACAAATGTAGAATGATCATGGTCAGATGTCGCCAGCCAGCTTTATTAAATTCACTAACCCATAACCAATATGTCTTGCATATAGCATGCCAATACTCACCCGCACTAACCCACCCCCTTAGCTACCAAAGGAGACTTCTAGCTTCCATTCCTAGGAGCATGGTGTTGGACTGTCCTACTGAGGAGTCTGGGGTCTCCTTCTTTAATGTGAAAGTTGACTTAGGAGTGGTTGGGACTCACTGAGCAGGTGCCCCTCAGGAAGGACAGCAGATTGCGACACACAGGAAGCAGGATCAGCGTGCTGTTAAAATTCAAGCAGAGAGCAGACGCTCGGGCACAGGCCAATGTTGACTACAGCAGAGGAGAAAAAGAGACCATCAGCTGCTTCATTTCACCATCTAGCACGTGAGCAACTGACCCAGCCCACTCATCTGAGGCCTGCAAATGAACAGGGCTACAGCTGCCTCTCCTCTCTCTCAGTAGCTAACACCATCAGGCCAGGCTCTGTTTGCAAAATACATAAAACATACTGAATTTAATATTGAGTTGAGAAATTCCCATGACAGTAGTTTGGAAATGTTTGACTACATTTATTAACATGAAAGAGAATAGGATTTAATGATTACATGTTAGCAAAACATTCTATGGCTGTAACATTTTACTTAATACTCTTTATTATAATTTTGTTATTTGTCACTTGTAAAAGAGTCCTAAGGATCAGATATAGATATAGATATAGATATAGATATAGATTTTTCTTTTTGAGACAAGGTCTGGCACTATTGCCCAGGCTGGAGTGCAGTGGCGAGATATCGGCTCACTGCATCCTCTGCCTCCTGGGCTCAAGCCATCCTCCCACCTCAGCCTCCTGAGTAGCTGGGACTACAGGCGTGCACCACCATACCCAGCCAATTTTTGTATTTTTGGTAGAGACAGGGTTTTGCCATGTTGCCCAGGCTGGTCTGGAACTCCTGAGCTCAAGAGATCTGCCTGCTTTGGCCTCCCAAAGTGCTGGGATTACAGATGTGAGCCACCATGCCTGGCCAAGGATCATATATACCTTTATTTGCATTTTAAATAAAGCTCATACTTAGAGGTACAATTACAGATGGTATTTTATTCTTTTCTGTATTTTCTAATATTGCAGTTATAAGCACATAAGAGTTGTATAATAAAAACACTTAAAATTTTTAACCAATTCTATTTAAGATGTCTTTAAAAATTGAATAAATTTAGTCAAGACTAGCAAACCTCTTGGAGCAAAATTTTTAAACAGGTAGATATTTGAGAAGGGAGAACTTCAGAGGAGCAAAATTTTAAGCTGATTTCCTTGGGTGGCCAGGCAGCATAAATCAAGAACAACCTGATCCAGCAGTAGAAGCTGCTAGCAAAGGAGACAAGGAATCAATGCTTCAAAGAAGCATTTAGCCCCAAAAAACAGGCCTTACTAGGTATAAGCTGGACAGAATATGCTTAACTCCATGGCAGCTAAATCTGACTTCTCTCCTCAACTCTGTACAACCGGTCTCTGAGTCTACTTCATGAACTTGGGACTGCTATGGAGTGTGACAATGTTGTAGCAGAGGAGCTGACAGCAGCAGCCAGGCAATTTTTGTTGCACTTCTGCTGACTGGCCAGCCTTACATTGTGTGCCTGTCAAAGACTTTCTAAAAGGAGGGGTATGGGTTAAGGTTAACAATTTCTTGGCCTTTTTGTAATTATCTATGAAGCACAAAATTGATTTTTCCTTATATCGTAAACCCAGGAACATGTGATGTTAGTTTAATAAGCCAGGACAAGATCTGCCTAGTATCTATAATGGCTAAGAATGTCAGGCAATGTGGTGAACAAAAGCTGCCCTACTGTTTTCCATTTCTGGCTTTTCCACATGACCTGTGTTTTCTCCCTCTGCTGACTCACACCCTGACTGTTTTTGGTACAGACAGCCTGTTCCACTTCTGAGTAAATTTCCTCTGCTCATCTCAGAGATCCTGCATTTCCACATTGGTTCCCACTACTTGCTTATTTGAATCACAGAGATTTCTTAAAGCTAAAATTGGCAAGTGAATTGAAAATATAGGACTATAATTTCACAGTTCCATATTCTGTGGTGGCTATCTGTATAGGATGAATTCTTTTTAGAGAAAACATTTTTTCCTCGTTGCAGCACATTTAAATATGCCAATGTATGTTCATTTCTCTAGATCTCCACTCACTGGTGTTATAATTGAACTCCTGCTGTCATTAATGCATAATTGACTATGGATTTAAACTTCTTCCTCTGCTGCTTATCTGCTCTACTTCATAGCGAATCAAATTGTTATCTGTATTTTCCCAAGGTGAGCAGAGCATGAATTTAAGAAATAACCTGTGGAATGTTTCAATAAATTATGGCATATCAATGCAATGAATTGTTATTCTCTTAAAAGGCTGAGAGCTCTATGCAGTGATGCAGTGATGGTAAATGTTTTAATGACTAGCTTTTTGGGAGGAAGGGGATTCCTGATTTCCAGCATTTGCCAATTTTGATGATGTAAATACTCCCACCATGCCAGATTTCAAGACACTAACTTGATGTCATTGAACACCACTGAATGCAGAGTTGGGAAGAGATGCACGCAACTGGCATTGCAACCTGGTATGAGCTGGTTTCAGCACACCACTGGTTAGGCACTCACATGGAAAGATATCTGAGGCTGGGAGCAGTGGCTTACGCCTGTAATCCTAGCACTTTGGGAGACCAAAGCGGGTGGATCACTTGAGGTCAGGAGTTTGAGATCAGCCTGGCCAACATGGTGAAACCCCGTCTCTACTAAAAATACAAAAAATTAGCCAGCCATGAAAGTTCGCACATGTAACCCCTGCTACTTGGGAGACTGAGGCAGGAAAATCGCTTGATCCCAGGAGGTGGAGGTTGCAGTGAGCAGAGATTGCGCCACTGCACTCCAGGCTGGGCGACAGAGTGAGACTCCATCTCAAAAAAAAAAAAAAGAAAGAAAGATATCTGAGATATATTAACATAAGCAATTTCCAGCCAATATCTACAAAGTGATCCCTTTTTTGGTTAAAACAAAAAGCTGTGTGTCTTATTATATGTGTTTACCCAAACTCATAGAACTGTATACCAAAAAACAGCAAATTTTACTATATGAAAATGAAAAAGTGAATAAACGATAGTACCCACCTCAAAAACAAAACCTGCGTGTCTGATACATTTGTGAGCTTATGTCAGTGTGTGTGTCCCTGTGTGTGTGTGTGTGTGTGTGTGTGTGTGTGTATCTCTGGGGAGTAGGATGGGAGGGAGATTTTCACATTTTACTTATACACTTCTATTCGCTTGGTGCAAAAGTAATTGCGGTTTTTGCAAACAGTTTTAATAGCAATAATTTTTGCACCAAACTAATATGTGCTTTGATCTCATTGGAAGCAGCATTATTGATAATTAAGGTTTTAAAATAGGGATTTAAAAAATGAAATGTCCTACAGAGTGGAATAATGGATATTGGAGACTACAAAATGTGGGAGGGTGGGAGGGGAGTGAGGGTTGAAAAATGACCCACTGGGTACAATGTTCACTATTCAGGTGATAGGTAACTAAAAACCCAGACTTCATCACTATGCAATATATGCATGTAAGAAACCTACACTTGTGACTGGGCATGGTCGCTCACACCTGTAATACCCGGCCTTTGGGAGGCCGAGGTGGGAATATTACTTGAGCCCAGGAGTTTTGAGACTAGCCTGAGCAACACGGAGACCTCATGTCTACAAAAAAAAAGTATTTATTTATTTATGTATTTATTTTTGAGACAGAGTCTGGCTCTGTCGCCCAGGCTGGAGTGCAGTGGCGCGATCTCGGCTCACTGCAAGCTCCGCCTTCTGGGTTCACGCCATTCTTCTGCCTCAGTCTCCCGAGTAGCTGGGACTACAGGCGCTCGCCACCACGCCTGGCTAATTTTTTGTATTTTTAGTAGAGATGGGGTTTCACCGTGGTCTCGATCTCCTGACCTCGTGATCCGCCCGCCTCGGCCTCCCAAAGTGCTGGGATTACAGGCGTGAGCCACAGCGCCTGGCAAAAAAATGTTTTTAAATTATGGATTTAAACTTCTTCCTCTGCTGCTTATCTGCTCTACTTCATAGTGAATCAAATTGTTCCCTGTATTTTCCCAAGGTGAGCATGAATTTAAGAAATAACCTGTGGAATGTTTAAATAAATTATGGCATATCAATGCAATGAATTGTTATTCTCTTAAAAGGCTGAGAGCTCTATGCAGTTATGCAGTGATGGTAAATGTTTTAATGACTGTGGAATGTTTAAATAAATTATGGCATATTAATTAGCCAGGCTTGGTGGCGCACACCTGTGGTCCCAGCTAATCAGGAGGCTGAGGTGGGAAGATAGCTGAAGCCTGGGAGAGTCGAGGCTGCAGTGAACCATGATCATGCCACTGCATGCCAGCCTGGGTAACAGAGAAAGACCCTGTCTCAAAATAAAAAGAATGAAAACAAAGAAAGAAAGAAGGAAGGAAGGAAGGAAAAGAAAAGAAGAAAGAGAGAGAGAAAGAGAGAAGGAAAGAAGGAAGGAAGGAAGGAAAGAAAGAGAGAGAGAAGAAAGAGAAAGAAAAGGAAGGAAGAATAAAGAAAGGAAGAAAGAGAAAAAAGAAAGAAGGAAAGAAAGAGACCTGCACTTATACCCCCTACATATGTAAACAATTTTTAAATAATTTTGAAAAAAAAATGTCCATGGGACATCAGCATAATTTATTTTTGTGCTGCTGACATTTTGGTCATGTAGTAATCAAGCTGTTAATAACTAGTCACATTTATTGCATCATTCTCTTAGTAAAAAGCTATTTTTAAAGCAAATTAATACCTCCTTTGGAGTTATAGTTTCTAAAGAAGGATCAAGGATGAACATTTAAAATGGAAAACAGCAGGGTGAAATAAACCATGAACAGAACGTTCAAATTAGTTGTGATCTCAACATGGATTCTTTGATTATGGAGAGAGAAAAAAGCATTTTTTAAAAGGACAAGCTGTCTTTAAACATGTACATTGGGAAGATACCAAAAGCTACTGAAAAAATGACACTGTCAAGATGAAAGTGATTTAAAATCCTCTATCTGTTATTGCATAATAGACTAGAGGTAGCAGTCAAATATGCTCTTCTAACCAGGCAGCATCCGGGTTCATCAGCCTGTGAGAGAACCATCCTCAACTCCGTGCTTCCTCCTGGTCACCTCCACACCCCTGTGCCCTACCCACTCCCTCCCTCCCTCTTCTGTTTTTGATCTGCCACTTCCCCAAGCTTCTCAGGTTCTGTAACCTTGACCTGAGCCCTCCTTTCTGCAGGCCTTGAATTCTGTAGCACCCATGAGACTCCCCTAAGTATCCCTCCTATTTGATAGAGAGGTATGTTTCCATGACAGCAGTGTTTTCAAGTTGTGTTTGTTTTTTCTTTTTTACTTTCCTTTTTTTTAAAAAAAAACCAAACTCTTTCTTAAAATTGTAAGCAGGTGTTCATAGATAGATATAGTCTGCTTTGGTTGAAATAGGGGCAGGAGCATTAATCCATCTTGAATTGATTTTTGTATAAGGTGTAAGGAAGGGATCCAGTTGCAGCTTTCTACATATGGCTAGCCAGTTTTCCCAGCACCATTTATTAAATAGGGAATCCTTTCCCCATTGCTTGTTTTTCTCAGGTTTGTCAAAGATCAGATAGTTGTAGATATGCGGCATTATTTCTGAGGGCTCTGTTCTGTTCCATTGATATATATCTCTGTTTTGGTACCAGTACCATGCTGTTTTGGTTACTGTAGCCTTGTAGTATAGTTTGAAGTGAGGTAGTGTGATGCCTCCAGCTTTGTTCTTTTGGCTTAGGATTGACTTGGCGATGCGGGCTCTTTTTTGGTTCCATATGAACTTTGAAGTAGTTTTTTCCAATTCTGTGAAGAAAGGCATTGGTAGCTTGATGGGGATGGCATTGAATCTGTAAATTACCTTGGGCAGTATGGCCATTTTCACGATATTGATTCTTCCTATCCATGAGTATGGAATGTTCTTCCATTTGTTTGTATCCTCTTTTATTTCCTTGAGCAGCGGTTTGTAGTTCTCCTTGAAGAGGTCCTTCACATCCCTTGTAAGTTGGATTCCTAGGTATTTTATTCTCTTTGAAGCAATTGTGAATGGGAGTTCACTCATGATTTGGCTCTCTGTTTGTCTGTTGTTGGTGTATAAGAATGCTTGTGATTTCTGTACATTGATTTTGTATCCTGAGACTTTGCTGAAGTTGCTTATTAGCTTAAGGAGATTTTGGGCTGAGACGATGGGGTTTTCTAGATATACAATCATGTCATCTGCAAACAGGGACAATTTGACTTCCTCTTTTCCTAATTGAATACCCTTTATTTCCTTCTCCTGCCTAATTGCCCTGGCCAGAACTTCCAACACTATGTTGAATAGGAGCGGTGAGAGAGGGCATCCCTGTCTTGTGCCAGTTTTCAAAGGGAATGCTTCCAGTTTTTGCCCATTCAGTATGATATTGGCTGTGGGTTTGTCATAGATAGCTCTTATTATTTTGAAATATGTCCCATCAATACCTAATTTATTGAGAGTTTTTAGCATGAAAGGTTGTTGAATTTTGTCAAAGGCCTTTTCTGCATCTATTGAGATAATCATGTGGTTTTTGTCTTTGGCTCTGTTTATATGCTGGATTACATTTATTGATTTGTGTATATTGAACCAGCCTTGCATCCCAGGGATGAAGCCCACTTGATCATGGTGGATAAGCTTTTTGATGTGCTGCTGGATTCGGTTTGCCAGTATTTTATTGAGGATTTTTGCATCAATGTTCATCAAGGATATTGGTCTAAAATTCTCTTTTTTGGTTGTGTCTCTGCCAGGCTTTGGTATCAGAATGATGCTGGCCTCATAAAATGAGTTAGGGAGGATTCCCTCTTTTTCTATTGATTGAAATAGTTTCAGAAGAATGGTACCAGTTCCTCCTTGTAAAAAAAAAAAAAAAAGAAATAGGGGCAGGAGCAGGAGCAGGAGCACTGCCCAGTTAGCCTTCCCCTCATACCCTGTAGGAACACCTGAGTTTCTGGAAACCAGTTTGAAAACAACTGCCTAATAGTTTTCTTTATTGCATGTTTCCTTTATTGGGTCTGGGTAGTGTGCCCTAGATGGGGTTATCAGATTTATTTAATAAAAATACAGGATGCTAAGCTAAATTTTAACTTCAGACTTTTTAAAATAAATATTTTAGTATACCTGTGTTTCATACAGTATTTGGAGCATACTTACATAAAAAAATAATTTGTCATTTATCTGAAACTCAAAGTCAGTTGGGCATTCTGTACTTTTTCTGGCAACCCTAGCCCTAGAGAATATCAGGGCATTGGGTCACAAAGAAGCTGGAATCAGAGATAAGGAAAACAATAGAGATTCTATCCGTGACAACCGTGATACTCACCCCAAGGATTTTTCTTGTGTAGTAGTATTTGTCGGCCTTCTCATATTTCAGGAAGGCATCCACAAACAGGAAAACATTCAGCCCTAACCAAACAACCTAGAGAAAGAAAAAAAAACATGCAAAGAATAAAGTGAAATTTGAGTATGGGAAGGAGTAAATAAGGGATAGGGATAGCAATAGTGTCGCCGTTTTGGCTATTTTGTGTTTACCTGTTTTCATTTTAAATGAGTGCAATCCTGCTAGTATCTAACTGGCTTTCAGAGTGAGTTAGCACTTTGAGACATGCATTAGACTAGAGCAGGGTCAGCAAACTGAGGCCCATGGCCCATTACCTGTTTTGCCACAGCCTGCAAGCTCAGAATTGTTTTTTATATTTTATATTTTCAAATTTGCTAATGGTTGAGAAAATCGAAAGAAGAATATTTTGTGGCATGTGAAAGTTATATGAAATTCAAATTTCAGTGACCATAAATAAAGTGGTATTGGAACTTAGCCACTGCTACTCATTTTTGTATTGTTTATGGCTGTTTTTGTGATACAATGACGGAGTAGAGTAGTTGGGACAGAGACCATATGGCTTGCAAAGCCTAAAATATGTACTATCTAGATTTTTACAGAAACATTTGCCATTTCTTGGACTAGAGCATTCAAACTGTTGCACCTAAAAGATGGCAATAAGTGAATAAATGGATATCTGAAGAAACAAAGAACAAATTTAGCACCTATAACAATACCTAACTGAAAAGAACTAAACCATTCCAGATGGGCCTGCCTTTTTAATTACACCCTGACACACATTTTTCTGTTTTCAGATTGTGAGTCTTTTTTCAAATTAATCTATTTTTCCTTTGGACTTTTTTGAGCTCTTAAGACTGCTTTTGCCTGTTCCAAGTTCTGTCTCTGCACTGGCTAAAGGTGAAATTTGGAACTCACTGCCCATTGCCTTGAGGACCAACCAACTGGTCTCTAGCCCAAGTGTGGAGGTGCTAGTCTGTAATTCGACAGGTCTCCAGGGCGCTAGTATATATCCCTCGCCCCACAGTATGAGTCAGAACCATCTCAGCACAACAGGCAAAGGGCCTTTAGCCTAGGACATGGCCTATTCAGACTCCCTAGATCTAGACCACTCACACACCTTTAGTACTATAATATAGTGATTTAAAGTGTGATATTGGAGTCAAGTTGTAGCATCACCAATTAATAGCTCTATAATCTCAGACAGACATATGATTTAAATTTTCTAAACCTCAATTTCTTCACCTGCAAAATGAGGATAATAACAGGACCTACTTTATAGTAATGCTATGAGGCTTACGTCAGATAATGCGTGTAAAGTGATTAATGCAATGCTTGGGGCTTAGTAAGAGATCAATAAGTGCTAGCTACAGAGTTGTGTCACCACCGAACCTGCTTTACCAATCAATTTCTTCCTGCCTCCTTTGCTCAGTTACCCTTTTCCAGAGCTGAGTGTCTTCCAGAGAAACGTCTTTGAAAGAAAAGAAAGTCAACAGTCACAGACACCTCAAGAATTTGGAAGACAGAGGAGAGAAGTTTATTTAGAGGGAGCAGAAATATTTCTGGATCGCAAAGAGACACAGGGGCAAATAACTGTGTCAGCCCATCATCAATTGTAGGCAAGGCAAATGATGAAATACAGTGATATCTAGGAGTAAGGCATTCCATTCCCCATCTTAGCTGTCATTTCCTCCACTATGAACGTCAAAGAAGGTAAACTACAAGACCTGGGAGGAAGGAGGAATAAAACTATTTTTAAGTAATTTATTTTTTATTTAAAAATCAGTGCATAGGAGTATATGTCAGAGATAATGAGAAGTCTAAGCTTGCCAGCTGGTTTGGTGGGGGATGAAAATTCAAAGCTAGAGAGTTAAATGTGAGTCACCATCATAGCTGGTAAACTCTCCCAGCAAAAAATAAGAGAGGGGGAAAAAATGCAGGTAAATGTGGATTTTAGAGCTAGAAACACCCTTATATTTGTATCTAATCTAGTCACTTTATTAATCCCCTGCTCCCCTCCCCTGCCCAATTCCCCCCACCTACACACCCACAGGACCTGAAGTCTAGAGAGGATAAATAATTTGATCGAGATCACCCAGTTAGTAGCAGAATTCAAAGTACTTGCCAGGTTCCCTTTCTCCTAAACTAGTGTTCTTTCCATTATAGTGCAAAAGGAACTCAATATAAGGCATTGAGCATTTAAAATATGTCATGGGATAACCTGACAAAATAAGCACTTTTGTTAAATGTAAAACAAACAACCCTCCAGGGAAACTCCACATATTTTTCCCTGGAGCACCTGGTCGGGGGGCGGGGGGGTAGACAGGAATAAAAAGAAGCATCACACCTTCTCTCTTCTGTTTTGCCTGTGGGACCCAAAAGCAAAACAGGAGAAAAGAGAAAGAGTAATGAATGAAGATCTAGGAAAGTGAGAAAGGACACAGGGAGCCCCAGGCTCAACTGTGGCTCAGAAATGGAAGAATGAGAGTGGAGAGAGGTGTTAGAGTGTTAGGAGAAAGGGATTGTGCATACAAAGGGTGATAAAGGGGTTCTGGCCTGAACGTCATTGGGGAGCTGGGTTCGAGTGATGCCAATTCAGTCAATTCATTGTGTGACATCTAGGTCTTATTTTCCTTTGTACAATCAATAAGTTGGTTTACATCTGCACTATGCAATGCCACAGCCACTACCCACATGGGGCTGCTGAGCACTTGAAATGTGGCTAGTCCTCACTGAGATGTGCTGTGGGTATATATACACATCAGATTTGAAAGACTCAGTAAAAATAAAAATATGTAAATTAGCTTCTTAATATTTTCAATATTGAATACATACTGAAAGGATTTGTTGATATGTTGGGTTAAATGAATTATATTGTTAAATATTAACTTCACCTGTTTATTTTTACCTTTTCGGTGTAGGTATTAGAAAATTTAGGAATTACATTATGTGGTTTGCTATATTTCTAGTGGTCAGTACTGGGCCAGATGATCTCTAAGATCACTTTCATCTCAAACATTCAGTGACTTTTTGAAATCTTGATGGGACCAGTATAGGAAAGATAGAGAGAAATCAGCACTCATGGTAGTAGTTAGAAGTGAGATGGAAGAGAAAGGGAGATGACAGAAAATGAAAACAGATTGAAATTCCAAATACTTGTGATTTGACAACATGAACAATTGCATGTTATTTGCCTCTGTCCTCTCATCTGACCCACAGTTGTATTTTTTAACTAACTGGTCTTGATGAGCCCAATAATCGGCATGGAATCATCTTTCTCTTTCAAATTGCTTTACAAATATTAAAAAACATGATTTCTCCTTAATCCTTCCTAATTAATAGGAAGTCAAACATCACTTACCAGAAACAAAACTGAAAACCAGTGGTTAACCACCCAGTTTCCCATTGTCAAGAGGTGGTTTGGAGCCCTTCTAGGCAACAGGGAAGATTCAGCAATCCGGATTCTGGAGAGGTCCTTCAGGAATGGAACATTTGTCCAGCGCAGGGTCTGTGAGCCTTTAAGATGTGAAAAACACACACCTACCCCAAGAGTTCCTGGGAATGAATAAGTTTATTCTGCCTTCCTTCTCTGGACAGAACTGTGCTATCAGCTTAGATAGACCAGCCCTATCTATGAGAACCACAAGGGTTTTACCTGTGGGGATTTTACTGCTTCAGGAAATAGCAACATTCTTGGATGAAAATATTCTCTCTCATCATCTTATCAACATGACCTAATGTGAAGCATTGCCTTCCTAGATAAAAGATTTGCTAAAGTTTCTCATAAAAAAGATTATTAGTCTGGGTCTGTAAACAGATTACTTCAGGAGAAGTAGGGAGGGAAGCGTGTGTGGTAAGGAAGCTGTTTCAAAGTGCACTTTTCAAACTGTTGCCACATCTGCCGGCTGCCATTTGGATTTCAGCCTGGCTAGCTCAGAAACTTTAGCATACCAGTTCCCCTGGAGGATGATCTGTGGTTGACATATATGATGATGGCTTTGGGGAGAACTTGACTGGCTGGAAGGACAAGTGAAAAGAAGGGCCAAATAGAGCAAGAGAAAATTTAACAAGTATAAAAGTGCACTTTGGTTCAAAATAAACAGAGGCAGAGCACTCAAAAGAATGGAGATGATTGTCTTCTAGTATGATAGATTTACTAGAGTTGTGTGTTCAGCTCTGGGCACTGATTTTTTTTCCCTTTTCTAAAATGGTGAAATATACACAGAAGAGTATATAAAACATACATATGTAACTTAAAGAATAATTTTAAGGAATAAGTATCTATGTGTTCACTACTCAGATTAAAGAAAATAGACTATTTTTCTCCAGTATCTTAAAGCTCTTTGTATTTCCCTCCCTGATCACATCTATCTTCTTCCCCTCCTCTACCCCACCGGATGTAATCACTATCCTGAAATTTGGGGTAATCATTCTGTTATTTTTCTTTATATTTTTACTAACTATAATTGCATCCCTAAGCAATATATTGTTTAGTTTTTCCTGTTTTTGAACTTTTTGTAAATGAAACCTGGCAGTGTGTATGTATGCTTCTGTGGTTTGCTTCTTTCAACATTGGGTTTTTGAGATTCATACATGTACATGTAATTGCGGTTCACTTACACTGCTATCTAATATGCCATTGCATGAATGAATATACATTAATGTATTCATTCATCCTACTACTGATGGATATGATGATGGAACAATGTTGATCAAATGTCACACATATGCTACAGTTTCTCTAAGGTATATACCCAGGAGTAAAATTCCAGGGTCCTGAGATTTGCACATATTCTACTTTGCTGTGTAATTCCAAACCCGTTCCGAAGTGACCACCTAAATGTATACTACAGAGAGTTATGAATGAGAGTTCTACTTCCTCTACATGCTTACCAACCCTTGGTATTTTCCAGACTTTTTTGTTTTTATAATTCAAGTAAGTGTGGAAAACTATCGTATTATGATTTTAATTTGCATTTCCCTGATTACTAATGAGTTTGAGCATCTTTTAATTCAACTGCTGGCCATTTGAGTTTTCTCTTTTTAAAAGAGCCTATTCTGAGCCTATTCTACTTTTTGGTCTATCTTTCTATTGGTTTTTCTTTTGCTTTTAGATTCTTAGGGTTCTGTTTATAATCTTATACTAATCTTTTATTGCTTATGTTTATGGCTTGTCTTTTCAGTCTCTTAATAGTGTTTTCTGATAAATGGAAGTTCTTAATTTTAATGCACTCTGATTACCAGTCATTTCTTTTATGATTTATGCATTTTATGTCTTGTTTTAGAAATCCATCACTACCCAGATATCAAGATACTCTTTTATATTTTCTTCTAGAAATTTTATATTTTTGCATTTTACATTTATGTTTTGAATCCACCTGGAGCTGATTTTCATGTATGGTATCCAATTTACTACTTTTAAATATGGAAAACGAATTGCCCCAGCATCATTTTTGAAAAGTACTTTTTATTTTTATTTTTATTTTTTTGAGACAGGGTCTCACTCTGTCACCCAGGTTGGAGTACAGTGGTGTGATCTCCCTTCACTGCAACCTTCACCTCCTGGGTTCAAGTGATTCTCATGCCTTAGCCACCCGAGTAGCTGGGATTACAGGCAAGCGCCATCATGCCTGGCTAATTTTTGTATTTTTAGTAGAGACAGGGTTTTGCTGTGCTGGCCAGTCTGGTCTTGACCTCCTGGCCTCATGTGATCCACCCACGTGGGCCTCTCAAAGTGCTGGGATTACAGGCATGAGCCACTGCGCTCAGCCATTTTTGAAAAGTACTTTCAAAAATATACTTTCTTCGCTGATCTAAAATGTCAGTTCTATTATATATGAAATGTCTATATACACGAGTTTCTTCCGGAGCTCTCCATTCAGTTCTTCCATGCCACTGCCTTAATTACTAAGTCTTGACATCTGATAAGACAAGTTTCCCCACCTTGTTCTTCAAGAGTGCTTTGGCTATTCTTGACTTTTTGTTTGTTTGTTTCTTTGTTTTGGGGGGAGGGGGGGTTCTGTGTTTTGTTTTTATTCTTGGCCTTTTTCATTTTCATGTAAATTTTATAATCAAATTCTTGCGTCTCCTTTGTTATATTCACTTCTTCTTCTTTTTTTTTTTTCTTTGAGACGGAGTCTCGCTCTGTCGCCCAGGCTGGAGTGCAGTGGTGCAATCTCGGCTCACTGCAAGCTCCACCTCCCGGGTTCACGCCATTCTCCTGCCTCAGCCTCCCGAGTAGCTGGGACCACAGGCGCCCGCCACCACGCCTGGCTAATTTTTTCTATTTTTTAGTAGAGACGGGGTTTCACTGTGCTAGCCAGGATGGTCTCGACCTCCTCACCTCGTGATCCGCCTGCCTCGGCCTCCCAAAGTGCTGGGATTACAGGCATGAGCCACCGTGCCCAGCCTGTTATATCCACTTCTAAGAACTTTATATGTTTTCATGAGGTTGTAAATTATATATTTTAATTTTAATTTTTAATGATGGCTGTTAAAGATACAATTTGTTTTTACATATTGATTTTTATGCCCAGCAACATTGCTAAACTCACTTATTAATTGTAATAATATTTCTGTATTTTGTCTTACATTGTCTATAAACACAGTCACATTTTTCGCTCTAAACACAGTTTTATTTCTTTTTTCTAATTCTTTTTTTTTTTTTTGAGACGGAGTTTCCCTCTTGTTGCCCAGGCTGGAGTGCAATGGCTTACTGCAACGTCTGCCTCCCGGGTTCAAGCGATTCTCCTGCCTCAGCCTCCCGAGTAGCTGGGACTACAGGCGCCCACCACCATGCTCGGCTAATTTTTCTATTTTTAGTAGAGACTGGGTTTTACCATGTTGGCCAGGTAGGTCTGAAACACCTGACCTCAGGTGATACGCCTGCCTCGGCCTCCCAAAATGCTGGGATTACAGGCGTGAGCCACCGTGCCCAGCCTTCTTTTTTCTAATTCTTATAACTTTTATTTCTTTTTCTTCGCTTACTGCACTCACTAGAACTTCTAGTACAATGCTGCACAAAGGTAGAAGTAGTGATCCCCTTGCCTAATTCCCAATCTCAAAGGGGATTCTTCCATTTCACCCTTAAGTAGAATGTTTTGTATAGGTTTTGTAGATATACTGCTACATATTTTTATTTTACTTTACTTTAGGCACAAAAGCAAATATTTATTTAAAACAGAAAAGAAAGCACAGCACAATTAACAGATTTATTGAGGTATAATTTATATGCCATGAAATGTTCCCATTATAAGGAGTATAGCGCAATGCACAGCACATTTTATATTTATTGTAAAAAGCTGAAAAATCTCTTCAACATCACAAAACCCATAAAAACAACATTTTCATTAGCTGCTGAACACACCTGCAATTTAGTATCATAATGCCAGGTGAAATTGGCACAGTGGGTGGTAGGAGTTTTCCTGGAAGCCATTTCTACACTAAGGCAGCTATCAATCAGTTAACTAGATATAGAAGTGTCAGTGAACCACATAATATATATTCTCCTAAATCCAAACTAAATATACCACCAACACAACAACCTCTTATCTGTATTCCAGAAATGCTCATGGCCACTCCAGCATCACTTGACCTGAGGGGAAGTGTGACAGAGGGAAGTTGGAGTGGTAAGAGACAGTCAATCACTAGCAATGAAAATATTTTACATTTGTAAATTTTACAAAAACACTTGCCCGTGCCCAAGACCACACATTAAAAGAGAAACTAAAGCCTGTCCATGGAAGGGTGACCAAGATGATGTAATGAGTTGAAAGCATCCTATATTAGGAGGATTTAAAGAGTGTAGGGAATTTGGCCTGGAAAGAGGTTTATCGGGGACATGAGTTTATCTACATTTTTTTTAAGAAGATTTAGATTGTTTTGTATGTGACCCAAGGAGTCAACCAAGGAATAGAGGCTCTAAAGTAACACACTTTAGGTTGGGCATGGTGGCTCACGCCTATAATCCCAGCACTTTGGGAGGCTGAGGCGGGCAGATCACCTGGGGTCAGGAGTTTGAGACAAGCCTGGCTGGCCAACATGGCAAACCCCCATCTCTACCAAAAATACAAAAATTAGCCTGGCATGGTGGTGCATGCCTGTAGTCCCAGCTACTCGGGAGGCTGAGGCACTTGAATCGCTTGAATCCAGGAGGCGAGGGTTGTGGTGAGCCAAGGTCACGCCACTGCACTCCAGACTGGGCGAAAGAATAAGATTCTGTGTCAAAAAATAAAAATAAAAATAAATAAAGTAACACAATTTTTTTTCAATATAAAGCAGAATTTTCCAACACGGGTATTCAGAGAAGTAAAGAGGTAATGAGTTTCCTATTACTTGAGACTCTCAAGGAAAAATGGACAACCCCTTGTCAGCTTTTTATAAGGGGAATATCAGCACCAGGTAGATGGTTAACTAAATGTCCCTTAAATATACTCCAACATTGAGATCCTGTGATTCATAAAAGAATGATCTATAATCTGGATGACAATTTATGTATTATCTAAAGAATTATATATGCCATGCTGATTGGACCCTTATGTCTGTGAGGTAGGACCCCCATTCCCAATATCAGAGTACTAGGAAGTCTTTTGATAAGCTGGTGATCACAGAATCTGAGCTAAGATAGTCAGATGATCTTAACGGAATATTACTATTAAGCTGCAGCAGCAAACTCACTTGGCCCTTTTCAAGGTAAGATTACACCAGCAAATTCAACTAAAATATCCATGCCCCAAATCTGAAACCTCCCTCTCTTGGGCAATGCCGGACACACTAAAAACTTCTCACCATCAAGACATTTATGTGGCCAACAAACATACGAAAAAAAGCTCATCATCACTGGTCATTAGAGAAATGCAAATCAAAACCACAATGAGATGCCATCTCACGCCAGTTACAATGGTGATCATTAAAAAGTCTGGAAACAACAGATGCTGGCGAGGATGTGGAGAAATAGGAATGCTTTTACACTGTTGGTGGGAGTGTAAATTAGTTCAACCATTGTGAAAGACAGTGCGGTGATTCCTCAAGGATCTAGAACCAGAAATACCATTTGACCCAGCAATCCCATTACTGGGTATATACCCAAAGGATTAGAAATCATTCTACTATAAAGACACATGCACGTGTGTGTTTACTGCAGCACTATTTACAATAGCAAAGACTTGGAACCAACCCAAATGCCCATTAATAATAGACTGGATAAAGAAAATGTGGCACATATATACCATGGAATAGTATGCAGTCATAAAAAAGAATGAGTTCATGTCCTTTGCAGGGACATGGATGAAGCTGGAAACCATCATCCTCAGCAAACTAACACAGGAACAGAAAACCAAACACTGCATGTTCTCACTCATAAGTGGGAGTTGAACAATGAGAACACATGGGCACAGGGAGGGGAACATCACACACTGGGGCCTGTTGGGGGGTGGCAGGCAAGGGGAGGGAGAGCATGAGGACAAATACCTAATGCATGCAGGGCTTAAAAACTAGATTATGGGTTGATAGGTGCAGCAAACCACCATGGCACATGTATACCTATGTAACAAACCTGCACGTTCAGCACATGTATCCCAGAACTTAAAGTAAAATAAAAATAAGTTAAAATAAATAAACAAAACTTCTCACCATCAACCTCCCTTTTTTGTAAATTCTCCCAGAATTGCTTTCCTTCTGTTGGCTCTAGACATTATAATAGTCCCCTCCACCCTGTATTGCTTCACCTGTCTTAATGTTTGCATTTCCCAGGTTTATGGATTATGCGGCATTGACTAAATTTGAGGTTGCTTCCTGGAGATCTCTAGGGAGTACTTAAATGTCATCAGTAACTTATTCACAGTTTTACCATAGACTGCAGTCTTTTGGAAAGATTTCCTGTAGACGGTTGATCCCACCCATGGTAGGTGGATTCTTGCAAACTGTAAACACAAAGCCCTTACCTGACCTGCATGTTGTGTCTTCTCCCTGATCACTTGTGTCTGTCCTCATTTGTCCCAAATTTGCCTTTACAGTTACAACTCTTGTACACCTCTTCCAGGAATTAATATATAACAGAGAGTGTTGAATTACTTAACAGTTTAAACATGTGCTTAGGACATCAGAAAAAATTGTTTTGAGAATTATTTTAAGAATTTATAAAAGAATTTGATGGTTGGTTTTCAAAAACAAAAATTTAAGTAGTCATGGGGAAAATGATAGTTTGTTTTACTTATTTTATTGTTTATAATTACGTTTAATTTGAATCCATAGAGGATGGTGTTGGGAGGACATTCGTTTATTTATTTATTTATTTACTTATTTTAATTTTATTTTTTTTAAGACGGAGTCTTGCTCTGTTGCCCAGGCTGGAGTGCAGTGGCGCGATCTCGGCTCACTGCAAGCTCCGCTTCCCGGGTTCACGCCATTCTGCTGCCTCAGCCTCCCCAGTAGCTGGGACTACAGGCGCCCGCCACCGCGCCCGGCTAATTTTTTTTGCATTTTTAGTGGAGACGGGGTTTCACTGTGGTGTCGATCTCCTGACCTCGTGATCCACCCGCCTCGGCCTCCCAAAGTGCTGGGATTACAGGCGTAAGCCACCGCGCCTGGCCCATTTGTTTCTTTTAAATCTTAGAGCCTTTAAAGGTATTAATTTGGTCTTGATTACAGCGTCCAAAAATGAAACATCCCATAATGATAAGAGGGACTGATACATGTGGAATTATTTGAAATCAATTCTTTTTACTATGTTGGAGCAGAACCAGACCTCACCAAAGTAGCACCTTGTAAAGGCAATATGGTATGATGGAGCTGGATTTGACCTCCAGCTCCCCACTCACTATTAATGCTCCCTTGGAAAAGTCTAACTTTGCTCAGCCTCAGTTTCTTCATCTGTAACCTAGCGTACTGATCCCTCATGGAGAAAGTGTTCAAATTGTAGCCTATATTGATAGGCAGAAGGCAAAGTGGTGGTACGGAAGAGATGGTAGAGCAGTATGGTGTACTGGTTAGATATAGATTCCAGAGCCAGTCTACCTAGGTTTGAAGCCTGCCTCATTATCCATAAAATGGGTTGTTATAAGAATTAAATGAGTTAAAGTATGGAAAGCAATGAGAACACTGCCTGACATATAAAAAGCACTCCATAGTTGCTTGCTATAATAATGATGATGATGATGAGCCCTAAGAAAATATAAGCAGAGGACCTAAACTCAATGGTACTTTCTTTTGCTATTGAAAAGGGGAGCAGAAACTATAGATCAGAGACCATTATTATACAAACTTTGTAAGATTATGAAACTTTTGTCACTACCTTATGTCCGTCGGTTTTACCCTGTTTTCTCCAGAGTTTAGCAAATTTTAAATGAGCCTGTGTGCTTGGCTTCAATAGTAGCAAGAAACTGGGAAGGTGCAGAGTTTGTGTCTCATTCTGCAGCTAGGCTTGGGGAGTAATTACCAAAGAAGAAAACAGGTGGTATCCCCATGGCCATAAGGAAGAAAGAACACTGGGGGTGGCCCTAGGCCTGGAAAGGGGCCTGGGGACTCAATGATGGAAAGGTTTATGTAGTTCCCTGTTCTCCCTACTTCCATCACAGGGCTGTGGTGAGCATCAAATGAGCTGGTATGTATAACAGTGATTTTTAGGCCAGTAAGTATCATGGAGACATCACTAGAATAGCAATGAGTACTTTCATGTTACATCTGCTACTTTGGAAATCTGCCCTCAAAAGTGTATATGTGAGACTTATTCAGCTCAGAAACAATATTCAACTCTTGCCTTTTCTTGAAGACCGATTAAGCTCTGCCTCTTCCAGGAAGTCTTCTCTGACCACCTCAGTCATCATACCACACTGTCTTCCAATTTTTATAGCATGACATAGCATGAGTTCCTCATCTTCTTACCTCTCTCATAGCCTGTGAAACCTCCCATTGTTATTTACCCTTTTCTGAGCAAGTCCTATCTTATCCAGATTGCTCCTTAAGGCAGAGCACAAAGCTCTCTATGCACAGTAGATGTTCAATAAACATTTGTCATGTGATGGTGTGGTAGGCAGAATAATAGCCCCCTAAAGATGTCCACATCCTAAGCCTGTGAATACGTTACCTTGCATGGCAAAGGGGAATGAAGGTGGAATTAAGGTTGCTAATCAGCTGACCCCAAAGCAGGGAGATTATTATGGATTCTATGGGTGGCCTAATGTAATCACAAGGATCCTTAAAAATGGAAGAGGGACACAGAAGTCAGAGTGATGAGATATGAGAACATGACCCACTCTTACTGACTTTGAAGATAGAGAAAGGAAGCCAGGAGCCAAGGAATGTGGGCTGGAACTTCTCCCCCAGAGCCTCCAGAAAGGAATGCAGCCCTGTCAGCACCTTGATTTTAACCCAGTGAGACCCAATGCAGAATTATGACAACCAGAACCATAAGATAATAAGTGTGTGTTGCTTTAAGCCACCAAGTTTATAGTAATTTGTTATAGCAGCAATAGGAAAGTAATACAGATGGTAAAGAAAAGACTTTCCTGCAACCATATTTACTGGCTCTGAACTGACTACTCTGCCTGGGAAAGAAGATAAGCCGGGTGCAGTGGCTCACACCTGTAATCCCAGCATTTTGGGAGGCCGAGGCGGGCGAGTCACTTGAGCTCAGGAGTTTGAGACCAGCCTGGCCAACGTGGTGAAACCCCATCTCTACTAAAAACACAAAAAATTAGCCAGGCATGGTGGCGGGCACCTGTAATCCCAGCTAACTACCTGGGAGACTGAGGCAGGAGAATTGCTTGAGCCCTGGAGGCGGAGGTTGCAGTGAGCTGAGATCACGCCACTGCACTCCAGCCTGGGTGACAAAGCGAGACTCCGTCTCGAGAAAAAAAAAAAAGAAGAAGAAGATAAAGTCACAAGTTTTCAGAGCTAAAGGTTGACAATGTACAGTCCCTACCATCAGCATAATGTGCTGTGGATAAATGCATTGGAACTATTTCGGTTGCAAGTAAAGCAGTGTGTAAATGATTGGCCTTTTAAATAAGGAAATGCAACTGCTTTAAAAAAAAATCCTTTTCCTTTGTTGTATTAGGAGCACTTAACACATTCTTAGCGGAAGGGACCTCTCCCAGAACAGAATGCAAATATTTGCCCTCCCTTCCGGAGAGTACAAGATGAGACAATTTGAATTGTGAAGACTGAGCCCTCTTTGCAGTTAAGAAAAATATTTTCATGGTTAAGACTTTGGACGCTGCTTTGAAGCTCTTAACCATGGGTCATCAAGGTCTCTCAGTAAAAAAAAAAAAAAAAGAAAAAAGAAAATAAAAAGATAAATTGGTTGCTTCCCTTACTTTGGAATTTCAACCACTTTGGACATAACCATGAAATAACTGGTCGTTTAACAGTTTCATGGTTCCATTTCTAAAATAAGACAATGTTGCTTTTAATGGGACCAGAGCAGATGAGAGGCAGAGCAGAGTGTAAGCAGGTCAGATTGGCAGTTATCTAAGTAGGTTGTATGGATTTTTTTTTCTGAGAAATTAGAAATTCTATTCCTCCTCTCCAAACCACTAAAAAATAGCCTTTCCATTAGTGTGTTATAAGGCAGAAAAATTTTACCATTTGGAATTTTTCCTTTGAGAAAAGCTTTGTTCCTGAAAGCTATAGTTAAATTCCATTGTTACCTTGTGGTGGTGGAGGGATGAGTGGACTTGGTCTTCTGTCCAAGGGAGAAAGAGAAATAACTCATCAACCCACGATCACCTGTTGCTCATTATATTTTCACTGAGAGTAGGGTCCAGAGAGAAACACACCTAAGAGAGGTAAACTTGAAGGTGAGGTAAAAACAGAAAGATTTGTAGCAGGGGCATCTGACAAGAATTAATAGTTAGAATGGGATACTGCAGCAGTGGACTTTGAAAAACAGGAGTGCATTGGGCATTTGGAGGTGGGCTGAAGCCAAAGTGGGTGCCCAAGTGGGGAAGCTTGGAGATGCATTTGATCCATCCAACAATGCCCTCCCCTGACCTACTGAATCAGAATTTTCATTTTAGTAGGACCACCAGGTGGTTCATACCCATATTAAATTTGAGATGCTTTGTCCTAAGGTGTCTGCAACTCACAAGGGCTTAAAAACTACTGACTTAAGCAGGTTTGGAAAAAGATTAAATAGAAAAAAGTTGGAACCTGATCTCAGAAAATTGTTAAATTAAATTCTTTCTTGTGTTCATTTAAAGATTTGTCTTTTAAGAAACAGTTTTTAAAAATCAACTTTTCTCTCCTCCTTTGCTTAAATCTTCACAAACCACAAACAAGCTTACTTTCGTTATTGCAGGAAAAACCTGAATTTACTTGGATAAACATCAAAGGTTCCTGTTAGAGTCCTCTTTTGATCATTCAGAAGATATGAAAGCAAACAATAATCAAAAAATCCCCAAGAGACTTTGTTTAGATATCAATTTGTCTTAGTAATTGTCATAAGTCATATAAGAGCTGGGAGGCAGCAGGCAGGAGGTCATTAGGTTCACCACTCAATTTTCAGGCAGGTCAGAACTCGAAGTGGACAATTCTCTTTTGAAAAACCTCTGAGGAACAAAACAGCCATTGCTCTGACTTAAAGCTCTTACATTCAGAAATCTCAGCTAGAAGTCAGTTTAGGGCTGGGTGGGGTGGCTCACACCTGTAATCCCAGCACTTTGGGAGGCCGAGGTGGGCGGATCACGAGGTCAGGAGTTCAAGACCTGCCTGGCCAACATGGTGAAACCCCGCCTCTACTAAAAATATAAAAATTAGCTGGGCATGGTGGTGGCACGCCTGTGATCTCAGCTACTCAGGAGGCTGAGGCAGGAGAATCGCTTGAACCCAGGGGGTGGAGGTTGCAGTAAGCCGAGATTATGCCATTGCACTCCAGCCTGCGTGACAGAACAAGACTCCGTCTCAAAAAAAAAAAAAAAAGAAGAAGAGGAAATCAGCTTAGGCTGTGTGCAGTGGCTCACGCCTATAATTCCAGCACTTTGGGGAGGTCAAGGCGGGTGGCTGACCTGAGGTCAGGAGTTCATGATCAGCCTGGCTAACATGGTGAAACCCTGTCTCTACTAAAAATACAAAAATTAGCCAGACGTGGTTAATACCTGTAGTCCCTGTAGTCCCAGCTACTCGGGAGGCTGAGGCTCGAGAATTGCTTGAACCTGGGAGGTGGAAGTTGCAATGAGCTGAGATCGCACCACTGCACTTAGGCCTGGGTGACAGAGCCAGACTCCGCCTCAAAAAAAAAAAAAAAAAAAAAAAAGGAGTCAGCTTAGTTCCCTAGTCTTTTCTGAGCCTGTTAATCTAATGGAAGGGATCACCCTTTTCTGTCTCATAGGTGGTCCAGCCAGGCCCATTAATGTGTGCCTATCGGGCCTGAAAAGAGCTAGCTAGGCTGGAGAGAGAGCAGGTGATGGACAATCTTTGAGTAAAGATTGACAATGTGTTTCTGTCTTGGAACTAACCTCTCTTCACTCTGATTTTTGCTACCATTAAGTAGTTTCCTGGTAGTACAAGAAGAGAGAAAAAAGGCAACTGTGGGAGAGAGGAGTATTTTATTGTTTTATAATTGGTCTCTTAGATAGGTGTAGTTTATTTCAAAGGGGGAAAATGAATGTCTTTAGGAGTTTGAAATAAGCTGTATTTTCTCAGTGGAAACTTGATTCTACTGGATTTTTTAGAGACTCAATTGGAGAACAAAGTGAGTGTTCATTCAATGTTCATTCAACATTTATTAAATATTTAATTTTGAACAGGCATTATGTTAGGAGCTAATGATACAGAAGTAAGTAAGACAAACAAGTTTCTTGTCCTCAAGGAACTTATATTCTGGTGGGAGGGACAGATAAAAACAACTGAAAATAAAAGTATTTCAGGTAGTAATGAGTGCTATGAAGAAAACTGAAACAGGAAAGGGAGTAGGGAATGATGTGTGTGAGGTAGAGAGGCTATTTTATTTTTCTCCTTTAATGGAAGCCTATCTTTATGCTCATTAAAATGCTTTCTGATATGGTCATTTTTAAAAGGCCGCCCAAACACTTCAAATCTGTGGGTTTATGGAGCAGCATTAGCCAGCAGCTAGTTTCTATTCCTGGCAGAGCTTTGAACTTGAATTGTGATAGAAGCATTCAACATAATCAGGGGTAGTGGGTAAGGAAAGTCCAAATCTCTGCCATTCCCAAATCCATAGAGTTGTCATTTCATTCAAGAGAATTAAATTGTTTATTGATTACACATGATAATGGATGATACACAAGCTTCATTCCCATCTATAATTTTATCTGGTACCATTATTCAATTTAGATATATTGCATAGGATGTGCCAACAATCATTTTTATAACCAATAATTCCATGATTTTGCTTGGGTAGTCCCTTTTAATGGTGAACTTCAGGTCACAACAGTAACTATCAATTCAATTACACCAAGGTTTCTGAAGACAATGGCTTCTCCACCCAAGCAGGTTGTATGTAAATTCCAAATAGAACCTGGCATCACCCTGAAGGAATTCCAACTTCACACTGCTGGGGAAATTTACCAAGATGGCTTCAGAGTAGACTAACTTTACACAGCACATTAAAAAAAAAAAGACATTTATTCAGCGTCACGATCAGACTATTACATTTAGCAATCAACAACATGGGTGCAAGGAAAAAAATCTACATTAAAACCCTTTGTTGAAATGCTTTACACTTTCCACAGAACAGAAACTAAAATAACCTGTTATACAATTAGTCACAAATACAGTCCTCAAGTTTTTTGCCCATACACATGAATATTTGTCTAAAATATGTCTTCTTTGTAGCAGCTAGGCCCTGTCACCACTGTGCTTGGCTGAGTTCACGAATCTGTTGTAAACTGCAGCTTCCCTGTCACTTCTCTGGCTCTCCTCTCCTGCTAAGCTCTGTTTCCTAATTAACATCTTCTGCCACTGCCATAGCTACTGCTGCTACTGGAACCACCATAGCCACTGTGGTTTGGTGGTTTGGCAAAGTATTGGCCTCCGCCACCATAGGGGCCAGAGCTTCTGCCCCAAAGTTTCCTCCCTTCACGGGTCCAAAATTTGAAGACTGACTGTTGTAATTGCCAAAATCATTGTAGCTTCCACCACCTCCAAATTGCTTCCATCATTACCAAATCCATTATAGCCATCCCCACTGCCACCATATCCACCACCACCATGGCTGCCACCAAAGCCACCACGACCACTGACGTTTCCTCCATGACCAAAGTTGTCATTCCCACAGAAACCACCTCCACAACCACCACCAAAGTTTCCAGAACCACTTTGACCTCTTTGGCTGGAAGAAGCACTAGCCATCTCTTGCTTTGACAGGGCTTTCCTAACTTCACAGTTGTGGCCATTCACAGTATGGTATTTCGGAATGACAATCTTATCCATGGAGTCATGGTCGTCAAAGGTTACAAAGGCAAAGCCCCTTTTCTTGCCACTGCCTCAGTCATGATTTCAATCACTTCCATTTTTCCATGCTGTTCAAAATAATCTCTTAGCTGATGTTTTTCAGTGTTTTCTTTAATGCCACCAACAAATATCTTTTTCACAGTTAAGTGGGCACCTGATCTTTGATAATCTTCTCTTGAGACAGTTCTCCTTGGTTCCACAACTTTTCCATCCACCTTGTGTGGCCTTGCATTCGTGGCTGCATCCACCTCCTCCACAGTGGCGTATGTAACAAACCCAAAGCCCCTGGAGCGCTTGGTGTTTGGATCTCTCATTACCGCACAGTCTGTGAGCATTCCCCATCGCTCAAAATGGCTCCTCAGGCTCTCGTCGGTTGTTTCAAACCTCAACTCTCCAATGAAGAGCTTCCTCAGCTATTCGGGCTCTTTAGGAGACTCTGACTTAGACACGACGGAAGGGAGAAGAGAGACTTTAATGATGCTTCTTTGTTGGCATCCACAGGCAGAAAGGAGCAAGCTGACAAACGTATCTGGAGAGGCTATTTTAAATAGAGTGATCAGGGAAGTCCTTTTTGAGAAGGTGGCATATGAGATAACATGTGTATGCTGAGACGGGAACAGCCAGGCTTCTTTAGGGTTCTAGACAGAAAGACTTGCCATGTACAAAGGACCTGAAATGAAAATCAGCTTAGTGTGCTAGAGGAACAGCAAGAAGGCAAGAGTTATATGTTGAATTGTGTCTCCCCAAAAATTCATATGTTGAAGACATAACCTCTAGTGCCCTAGAATATGACCTTATTTGAAAATAGGGAACTGGCTGGGTGCAGTGGCTCATGCCTGTGATCCTAGCACTATGGGAGGTTGAGGTGGGCTGATCAAGTGAGGTCAGGAGTTCGAGACCAGTCATGGCCAACATGGTGAAACCCCATCTCTACTAAAAATACAAAAATTAGCCGGGCATGGTGGTGCGTGCCTGTAGTCCCAGCTACTAGGAAGGCTGAGACACAGGAATTGCTTGAACCCGGGAGGTGGAGGCTGCAGTGAGCTGAGATCGCACCACTGCACTACAGCCTGGGTGACAGAGCAAGACTCTATCTCAAAAAAAAAAAAAAAAGAAAAAGAAAAAGAAAAAAGAAAATAGGTACCTTATAGATGTAATTAGTTAAGATGAGGTCATACTGGAGTAGGGTAGGCTCCTAATCCAATATGACTGTGTCCTTATAAAAAGGGGGCAAGTTTTTTTTACTTATTTATTTATTTATTTTTTTAAATTTTTTCAGAGACAGGGTCTTCCTAGATCATCCAGACTGGTCTCGAACTCCTAGCCTCAAGCAATCTTCCTGCGTCAGCCTTGCGAGTAGCCATGATTACAGATGTGAGGCACTGTGCCTGGCTAAAAACAGGGGGAATGTTTGAATGCAAACATGCACATGGGGAGAACACCATATAAAGATGAAGGTAGAGATCAGGGTGATGCTTCTATAAGCCAAGGAATGCCAAAGATAGCCAGCAAACCACCAGAAGATAGGAGACAGGCATGGAACAGATTCTTCCTCACAGCCCCCAAAAGGAACAAACCCAGGCAGATGTGGTGGCTCACACCTATAATCCCGGCAATGTGAGAGGCTGACGTGAGTGGATAGCTTGAGCCCAGGAGTTTGGGACCAGCCTGGGCAACATGGTGAAACCCCATCTCTACAAAAAATACAAAAATTAGCTGGGCGTGGTGATGCATGCCTGTGGTCCCAGCTACCTGGGAGGCTGAGGTGGGAGGATCACCTGACCCCAGGAGGTCGAGACTGCAGTGAGCCATGATTGTGCCACTGCACTCCAGCTTGGGCGACAGAGTGAGACCCTGATAAGGAACAAACCCTGCCTCCAGAAGTATGAGGCAACACATTTCTGGTATTTAAACCACTCAATTTGTGATACTTTGCTATGGCATCCCAGCAAATGAATACAACCAGAGTTGCTGGACAGAAGTGAGGGTAGGTGGGGAGAGGTAAGTTCAGAGAGGTAGATAAAAGTCAGATTACCTAGGGCTTTGCAAATGGACCTAAACTCGTTGTTTTTGGTAGATTTAAGAAGCGTCTGAATATTAGAGGTAGGCGAGGGCCATAAGTCACCTCTCCTACAACCTCCTTACTAGGTAGAATATTAAAATGAAAGTAATTGTCAGACTGAATTCTATGACACATACAGTTATTAGCAATCAGGGACCAAAACAGTCACACAGTCTTTCCTTGTAAAGTGGGTCAAGTATAGGTTGGTGCAAAAGTAATTGCGGTTTTTGCCATTAAAAGCAATGACGAAAACTGCAGTTACTTTTGCACCAACCTAATACATGCTCTGATCTTTAGGAACTCCAGCAAGTCCTTTACATAAAAAATCCACATGAAATAGTTGGCCTAATATTATGGTAACAGGATCAACCTATCTTCTGGTTGGAACAGGAAAATCTTCTATTACGTGATACTATTTATTTATTTTATTTATTTATTGCTGTGTTACAAATTACCCCCAACATGTAGTGGCTGAAAATAACATTTATTATCACTAGGGACATCTGGCAAGCTGGCTCTTTATAGGATCACACAAAGTCTGAGGCCTAGATGCCATTCCAGAACATGCTGAACTGTTGGGCTGGCTTGCCAGATTTTTATCTTTTATTCATGCAAGCATGTACCTTCATACATGGACAAAATTTCTAGCCATTGCACATATTTTTAACAGAATTCATTTCACCAATGAAATATTATTTCTTACATCCTTTATACTAATTAATGGACTCTCTGGTACAAGATTTCCTCCCCTGAGGTTCTGTGAATAGAATTTAGGGGTGCTCTTTGGACTTTGATGGGAAAAATTAAACCTTTATTTTTATTCATTTCTAATTGAATGTAGTCAACAAATTATAGTCTTATTATCAGTGTCTGCAACTTTCTCACCAACATATATCAAAAATATTTTCATATCACATTATAGCTGTTGCAAATATCTCATAAGATCAGTTATGCTCATCACTATTTAAAAATTGTGATGATTATAGACCTGCTCTAGATCGTGCTATTTGCTAGGTTAATAAAAAAGAACACACAATATTGTTAAAATGTCCATGCTACCCAAAGTGATCTATAGAGCCAATACAATCCCTATCAAAATTCCAAGGACATTTTTCACAGCAATAATAATAAAAAATACTAACATACACATGGAACCACAAAAGGCACAGAATAGCCAAAGCCATCCTGAACAAAAAGAACAAAACTGGAGGAATTATGTTACCCGATTTCAAATTATACTGCAGAGAGATAGTAACCAAAACAGCATGGTAATGGCATAAAAAAGACATATAGACTAAGGAAACAGAATAAGAGTCCAGAAATAAATCTACACATTTATGGTCAATTGATATTTAACAAAGGTACCAATGGGGAAACAGCAGTCTCTTCAATAAATGATTTTGGGGGCCAGGCATGGTGCTCATGCCTGTAATCCCAGCACTTTGGGAGCCCGAGGCAGGTGGATTACTTGAGCCCAGGAGTTTGAGACCAGCCTTGGCAATATAGTGAGACCCCATCTCTATTCATAAAAAAGGGAAAGAAGGAAAGAAGAAAGAAGAAAAGAAAGAAAGAAAGAAAGAAAGAAAGAAAGAAAGTAAGTTAAAAAAATTAATGGTGTTGGGAAAACTGGATATCCACATGCAGAAGAATGAAACTGGACCCTTATCTTATACTATATTAAAAAAAACTCAAAATGGATTAAATACTTAAACATAAGGCCTGAAACTGCAAAACTACTAGAAGAAAACATAATTTAAAAGCTTCTTGACATTGGTCTAGACAATAAATTTTTGGATATGACCCCAAAAGCATAAGCAAAACTAGACAAATAGAATTGCACTAAACTAAAAAGCTTCTGCACAGCAAAGGAAATAATCAACAAAGAGAGACAATCTACAGAATGGGAGAAAATATTTGCAAACAGTATATCTGATAAGGGGTTAATATCCAAAATATGTAAGGAACTCAAACAACTCACTAGAAAGAAAACAAATAACTCAATTAAAATAGCTTGAATGAATGAATAAGACCTAGTATTTGATAGCAAAACATGCTGACTATAGTTAATAATAATTTAATTGTATAAGTAAAAATAACTAAAAGAGTATAATGGGAATATTTGTAACACAAAGGTTTAATGCTTGAGGGGATGGATACCCCATTCTCCATGATGTGATTATTACACATTGCATGCCTGTATCAAAACATCCCATGTGCCCCACAAATATATATACCTACTATGTACCCATGAAAATTAAAGCTAAAAAAAATTAAAATAAATGTAAAAAAAACAATTAAAAATGAGCAAAGGATCTGAATAAATATTTTCAAAAGACAACAAACAAGTGGCCAACAGGGATATAAAAAAATAATGTCCACCATCGCTAATCATCACAGAAAGGCAAATCAAAACCACAATGAGGTATCACCTCGTACTTGTTAGGATGGCTACTTTCAAAAACAGGAAAGATAACAAGTGTTGGTGAGGGTATAGAGAAAAGGAAACCCTTGCATACTGTTAGTGGGAATGTAAATTAGTACAGCCATTATGAAAAACAGTAAGTGGTTCCTAAAAAAGTTAAAAACAGAATTACCATATGATCTAGCAATCCCTATTCCAGGTATATATCCAAAGGAACTGAAATCAATACGTTGAAGGCATACCTTCGCTCTCAAATTCATTGCAGCATTCTTCACATTAACCAAGATATGGAATCAACTAAGTGTCCACCAGTGGATGAATGGATAAAGAAAATGTGGTATGTATGCACAACAGAATACTATTCAGCTTTAAAAAAAGAAGGAAATCCTTTCATTTGTGACAACATGGACAAACCTAGAGGATATTACACTAAGTGAAATAAGCCAGGCACAGAAAGATAAATACTGCATGATCTCACTTATGTGTAGAATCTTGAAAATTTGAGCTGGTAGAAGCAGAGAGTAGAATAGTGACTACTAGGGACTGGGGTGGGAGAAATAGAAAGATGTTGGTCAACATGTACAAAGTTTCGGTGAGGATGAATCAGTTCTGGAGATCTATTGTACAGCATGGTGACTATAGTAAATAATAATGTATTATATACTTGAAAATTGCTAAGAGAGTAGATCTTAAATGTTCTCACCACACAAAAATGGTAAGTATATCACTGTTGGTGAGGATGTAAATTAGTACAACCTCTACAAAAAAACAGTATGGAGATATCTCCAAGAACTAAGAAGGGAACTACCATTCAATCTAGCTATCCCACTACTGTATATCTATCCAAAGGAAAAGAAATCATTGTATAAAAAAGACACCTGCACACATATGTTTGTCACAGCATTATGTGCAATAGCAAAGACATGGAACCAACCTAAGTGTCCACCAACAGTTGATTGGATAAAGAAAATGTGGTGGCGATACACCATGGAATACTACACAGTCACAATAAAGAACAAAATAATGTCATTTGCAGCAACATGGATGCAGCTGAAGGCCATTATCCTAAGTGAACCAACACAGAAGCAGAATATCAAATAGTGCATGTTCTCACTTACAAGGGGAAGCTAAACAAATGGCACACATGGACATAAAGATGGGGCAAATAGACTCTGGGGACTCCAAAGGAGGGAGAGTGGGAGAGGAGGAAGGGGTGAAAAATTACCTACTGGGTACAATGTTCAATATTTTGGTGATGTGTACACTAGAAGCCCAGTCCTCACCATTACACATTTAATTCCCATGTAACAAACATACACATGTACTACTTGAATCTAAAATAAAAATTTTTTAAAAAGTAGGCCGGGTGCGGTGGCTCATGCCTGTAATCCCAGCCCTTTGGGAGGCCGAGGCAGGCGGATCACAAGGTCAGGAGTTTGAGACCAGCCTGACCAACATGGTGAAACCCCATCTCTATTAAAAATACAAAAATTAGCCTAGCATGGTGGCGCATGCCTGTAATCCCAGCTACTCAGGAGGCTGTGGCAGGAGAATTGCTTGAACCCGGCAGGGGGAGGTTGTAGTGAGCCAAGATTGCGGCACTGCACTCCAGTCTGGGCAACAGAGCGAGACTCTGTCTCAAAATAATAATAATAAGTACGTGAGATAATTATATTTAAATTAGCTTGACTTGGTCATTTCACAATACATACAGATATCAAAACATCATGCTGTACACCATAAATATATACAATTTTGTCAATCATACCTTAATAAACCTGAGGGTGAAGAAGCACATGTTAATGTCATAAATTGCATCTTTAATATTTTGATATCTGCATTTGAATGCATTTATGTTTTTTTCAGCCTGTGGTGTAACCATAGCTCATTGCAGCCTCCACTCCCGGGGCTCAAGCGATGGCAGGGGAGTAATCAGCCTCCCAAGTAGATGGGACCACAGGTGCACAGCAACATGACCAGCTAATTTTTAAATGTTTTGTAGAGGCAGTGGGGAGGAGTGGGATGGGATGGGGGGCTGGTCTTCCAATGTTCTTCAGACTGGCTCAAACTCCTAGCCTCAAGCAATCCTGCCACCTCAGCCTCCCAAAGTGCTGTAACTACAGGCTTACACAATTGGTTTTGATTGTAATCCTATGTATTTTATTTTGGGTATTAAAAGCATGACTCTGAAATGGGTTCACCAGTTGGCCAAAGGGGACCATGGCAAAAATAAAGTATAAGAATTTCTGAGTTAGTGCAAGTTCAGACAGGAAAAAGTGAATATCCTGGGGTATAATTACTTCTGGGATGTAAACACCTGAGTAGGATCTTTCAAATAATAACTAATCACTCCTGAGTATGTATTCCTGATTAGAATAATTCGGATGTTAACTAACCACCCCCAGAGTGTGGATTAAAACTAATTAACAATGAATTGTAAAAATTGTTTATCAGTATGAATAAACATTACCGGTTTCTCCTCCACTTCAAAGTATATACTAAATCCACCCCTTCTTCCTACCTCCACTGTCCCCAGCCTAGGCTGGTATTTCAAAAGATCATTTCATAGACAGACACAATATTTTGTTAAATAATTAATTCATGAATCCAAAATGTCATAGGTTGTAAGACTCATCATTCTTTTCTGCACCCAGAAAGAAAATTTGCTGTTAATTAAATTATGACATATTATTAATGGTAAAATTCATCCTAATTTCAGAGGTGATTAAAAGTGAAAAAGATATGCATTTTAGAATAGATGAAATAAGGTATATCACACAGCTGGTACTGAAGCATTTTGAAGCAAATTATGAACAGTATACATTGCACATATACAGTATAGCATGGTAAGGAGTTTGGATTTGATTTTCTTCACACTTAGGTAAAGTCGACATTTCCGTTCTGAAGCCTGCTGACCTGCCACAAGATGGCGAGAGCTCCAAGGAGACACAGGGAGAGGCAGCAAATGGAAGTGAAGGCCAGCACCACAGGTGAAAGATCAACAACAAAAACAATGATGGGTCTGTCTTGCGGGGCCTCCATTGGGTCTATTTCAATGTTGGTAATAATGAATAGAAAGCAAGCACTTCAGAGAAGCAGAAAGATGAACATCTGATGTTCCATTCTGCCTTGTGTATACTGGGGTATACCCTCCAGACACAGGTTCATGGGCGAGATCACTTGGTTAGTGTAGACAGCTGACAATGTAGACTCATTAGCAATCAGGCTGTCAGGGCTGTTTAACATGTTTCAGAACCTTCCTCAGCCACAGGCAGCCAGGCAAACTTGAGAAGTGGCTCATAACAAGACAAGGCTTGCCACAAAGGGTTGCTCATTCCTGCTAGGCAACCCATTTGTTTTAAGCACAGGGTATGTAATAGGAAAAATAATAGGATGTGAGCTGTGGTGTATTTCTGTGGGATGAGTGGTGAGGGAGGTGAAGTCTCTCCCAGGCCATAAAACTCAGAGTTACCAATTTGGTCCACACTGGCTCTGTGGAAAGATATAAAAAGACCTGGATTCCCTCACACATTGCTGCTGGGAATGCAAAATTGTATAGCCCATTTGGAGGGGAACTTGTTAATACATAGAGCAATCTCACTTCCTGGAATCTATTCCAAAGACATACTGGAAAAAAATGCAGAATGACATATGCCCAGTGCTATTTATTGGCATTATTTATAATATTAAAAGACTGAAAAAACCCAATATAACCACATAATGGAGTAATACACAGTTGTAAAAAGGAAAATAATTCTCATATATTCACATGGAATGATCTCTGGATGTATGAAGTGAAAAAAATCAAGGTAAAGAACAGTTTTTATCATGTATCATCTTTGTGTACAAAAAGGGAAATACACACATACATGTGTGGTTATACATATATTTGCTTATATTTTTAAATAAGAAACATTAAAAGTATGAACCACAATCTTACAAAACTGGGGGAAGGAGGGAACAGGATGAAGTAATAGGAACGGAAGCTAAATTTCTCTGGATGTATCTTGTTAACTAGTTTCATCTTTGGAAGCATAATTAAAAATAAAATTAAGTGACCAGGCACAGCGGCTCACGCCTGTAATACCAGCATTTTAGGAGACTGTGGCAGGAGGATTGTTTGAGCCCGGGAGTTTGAGGCTGCAGTGAGCCGTGATTGTGCCACTGTACTCCAGCCTGGGAGACAGAGTGACACCCTATGTAAAAAAATTATTAGAAAAAATTTTTAATAATATTAACTCAAAGGGAAAATAAGAATCAATCCCAAAAAACTAAAAACAAACTGAAACAAATGAACTTCACTGTTTATCAAGTTGGTGGCATAATCATACAAATAGAATACCTTCAAATTACTTTAAAACAATATTTTGACCGTACATCCCTAATGATATATGATCTAAGGACAAAATGAAGCACAAAGAAATCTTAAACTGCTTTCCATAGTCTTAATGTTAATAGTAATATTGGTATTGTTATTTTTAAATTATTATTGGTTTGTTTAGAATTAAGCAAATAAGTATGAAGTTAATATACTTAGAAACAAAGATTGTCAGGGTAAGAGAAAAAAGACACAAGTACAAGATAAAGAAATTGGGTAAAACCCTGTACCATTAAATTTGAATTGGAAATAGCTTTATAAACTCATTATATTTTTCACATTTAAAAATATCTTTTTCGGCCAAATGCGGTGGCTCACACCTGTAATCCCAGCACTTTGAGAGGCCAAGGCAGGTGGACCACATGAGGTCAGGAGTTCAAGACTAGCCTGGCCAACATAGTGAAACCTGTCTCTACCAAAAAATACAAAAATTAGCTGGGTATAGTAGCATATGCCTGTAGTCCTGGCTACTCGGGAGGCTGAGGCAAGAGAATCGCTTGAACCGGGGAGGTGGAGGTTGCAGTGAGCTGAAATCACATTACTGCACTCCAGCCTGGGCAAAAAAAAAAAAATCCCACAAATATATATATGTGTGTGTGTGTGTGTGTGTGTGTGTGTGTGTGTGTGTGTGTGTGTTTCCTAGTTCTTTCTACCGAAAAGCCCAGAAGCAATGACAACTCAACAGCAAAAAAAAAAAAAAAAAAAAAGACCTTTAGCACCCAGCCTTTGGTCTTTCAATACCATTTCCCACTGAAGGAGTCAGAATCCTTTGGAGAAATTGCTATCCAGGTCGGGGTCAGTAAATGTATGAGATGAGCCTAGGACATCTTGCAGCAGAAAGCAAGGAAGCTATCAAAGATTACTGGGATTCTGTCAAAAAAACAAGGAACCACTTTGGAGGGGATTCTACTGGCCAATGATAAGACAATTTGTGCATAAAAATAATGAAGGGACATCTGGTTTTGGCTCAGGCATGTTACGAGTGGCAGTGCTGTCCTTACACAAAAATTAAAAGCCGAGGTCACTAAAAATGGTGGAGTAGATAATTCCAGGGTTCTGTCCTCCATAAAGGTAACTAATAAGCTGTCAAACTGTCAGAAGCAACTTTCACAATACTTTGGAATCTAGTCAACAATTTACACTAACCAAGGGAAAGCTTAATGAATAAAGAAGCTGCTACATTGTAATAACTGAAGACTCTGGCATTTAAAATTGCCTGTCTGCTGTCCTCACTCACCAGATCAGTGGCACCTATGAAAATGGCAGCCTACATTCTTGGTGCAAGTTGCTTTTGCCAGAGGAAACAATACAGACCTCTTCTCATTGTGGATGTGTATTTTGATCTGTCTGGTGACTCCCTGAAGGAAGGGTGCAAGGGCTTGCCTTTTTTTTTTTCAACTGACTTGAAATGTTCCAAGGTCTGGGGCAGCTTACTGGGAAGATTTGCCAAAAGCATTTCACAGCAGCCTTGGCAAGAGATAGCACTTAGGACAAGCAATAGACAGACTGAAAAGAATGGGAAGGAGGAGGCTAGGAAAGGAGATACCGAGGGGAATAATGGATTTCAAAAGCTCCCACCTAAACAACAACAACAAAAAAAAAAAAACAAGAAGGCCATGCACATGCCCAGGGTTGAACACATGCTCTGTAAAGGTTTGAGAGAACCTTAAGCTTTCATGGGTGGGTGACCATCAGACTCCACATAAGCAGGACATGAAGTCTGAGGCATAGTTGCAAATGTGTTGGCTAAGCATTGAAGGACTACCCCCCAAAAAAGAGCCAATCTACAAGGCTTGGAAGAGCATTAGTTTCTTTTTCTCTTTTCTTTCTTTCTTTATTTTTTGACTCCTGGCATTAAGAAGAAAACTTCATCAAAACACTTGCTGACCACTAAGCTAATGGAACACAGACTTCATGGCCACATGTAGCAAAGAAATCAGACTTTAACAAGTAGTTTAGAAAAGTCACTAAACAAACAACAATCCACAACAAGCAGAAACAAAAATCCTGCAATAGAGAAGAATCCGAGTTCCAGAGTTCCAACTTTTAATACTCAAAGTATCCAGTCTTCTACAAAAAAATAATGAAACATGCAAAGAAACAAGAAAGCATGGCCCATATGTATACAAGAGTAAAGAAATGAATGAAACTGCTCCTGAGGAAACCCAGGTAGTGGAATCACTAGCGAAAGATTTTAAATAAACTGTCTTAAGAGAATACTAAGAACAGGCCGGGCGTGGTGGCTCATGCCTGTAATCCCAGCACTCTGGGAGGCCAAGGCAGGCGGATCACTTGAGGTCAGGAGTTCCAGACCAGCCTGGCCAACATGGTGAAACTCCATCTCTACTAAAAATACAAAAGCTAGCTGGGTGTCATGGCACTGGCCTGTAGTCCCAGCCTCTTGAGAGGTTGAGGGGGGAGGATCACTGGCGCCTGAGAGGCAAAGGATACAGTGAGCCGAGATCATGCCACTGCACTCCAGCCTGGGTGACAGAGTGGGACCCTGTCTCAAAAAAGAGAGAGAGAAATTGAGAAAGCCCATTCAAATGGAAAAGGAAGAAGTAAAATTATTCACAGATGACTTGATCTTATATATGGAAACTTCTAAAGAATCCACAAAAGCAATTCGAACTAACAAAGTTACAGGTTGTAACCTGTTGTGCTGTGTAAGATCAGCACAAAAATTCAGTTGTGTTTCTATGCACTAGAAGCAATGTAAAAGTGAAATTAAGGAAACAATTTCATTTCCAATAGCATAAAAAATAATACATAGGAGTGAATTAAACCAAGGAAGGGCAAGACTTGTACAATGAAAATTATAAAACGTTGTTGAAAGAAATTAAAGAAGACCTAAATAAATTGAAAAATATCCCATGTTTATGATTGGAAGATTTAATATTAACATGACAATACTACTCAAAGTGATCTATAGATTCAATGCAATCCCTATCAAAATCTCAGCCATCATTTTTGCAGAAATGGAAAACATGAATGTAAATTTTAAATGGAATTGCAAAAGACCCCAAATAGCCAAAATAATCTTGGAAAAGAAAAACAAAACTGAAAGACTTGGCCGGGTGCAGTGGCTCATGCTTGTAATCCCAGCACTTTGGGAGGCACAATCTCAGCTCACTGCAGCCTCAACCTCCTGTGCTCAAGTGATCCTCCTACCTCAGCCTCTGGTGTAGCTGGAACTACAGGTGTGCACCATTAGTCAGGATAATTTTTTATTTTTTGTAGAGATGGGGGTCTCACTATGTTGCCCAGGCTGGTCTCGAACTCCTAGGCTCAAGTGATCCTCCTGTCTTGGCCTCCCAAAGTTCTGGGATTACAGGTGTGAGCCATCACACCCAGCCCCAGTCCTTATTTTTTCACTAATATTACCTTTCCTCTCCAAGCTACCTGGACTCAAAATCTCAGTTGTCTTTGACAATTACTTTTTCTTGTCCTCAAGTAATAAAGAATGATCATATCCATAATTTAATATTTGATATCATTTTAAGAATGTATGTCCTGGCAGGGCATGGTGGCTCACACCTAAAATCCCAGCACTTTGCAGAGCCGAGGTGGGAGAATCATTTGAGCTAAGGAGTTCGAGACCAGCCTGGGCAAGATACCGAGACCTCGCTTCTGTAAAATTAAAAAAAAGAAAAAAAAGAATGTATGTCCTACTGGTTTTCAAAGACTGAATCTATCATATATATAAAAACACCTTAAGGGGAAGGGGGGTTTGAGAATGTAGGACCTCTGGCCCCTATCCTCGAGACCCAGCTTCACAATCTCCTTTTTTTTTTTTTTTTTTTGAGACAGAGTCTTGTTCTGTCGCCTAGGCTGGAGTGCAGTGTCACGATCTCGGCTCACTGCAAGCTCTGCCTCCCGGGTTCACGCCATTCTCCTGCCTCAGCCTCCCGAGTAGCTGGGACTACAGGAGCCCACCACCACGCCTGGCTAATTTTTTTGTATTTTTAGTAGAGACGGGGTTTTACCGTGTTAGCCAGGATGGTCTCGATCTCCTGACCTCGTGATCTGCCCGCCTTGGCCTCCCAAAGTGCTGGGATTACAGGCGTGAGCCACCGCACCTGGCCCACAATCTCCATTTTTAACGAGCTCCTTAAGTAACTCTGATGTACACCAAAGTTGGTGCCATTGGTTTGTGTGTATGTATCTATCTATATACATATGTGTGTATATATCATGTGTCATAAGTGTAAATAATAAAGAAAGAATAATGGGAGAAAAAGCCCCAAATGTAAGCAGTCTATAAGAAATTCACTTTACATTTAAAGAATTAGGTTAAAAATTAAAGAATGAAGATATACCATGCAAACACTAAGCAAAATAAAACTGGAGTAGCTATATTAATTTCAGAAAAAAAGTCTTTGAACAAAAGAGGCATTACATAATAATAAAATGGTCAATTCTCCAGGAAGACATACCATCCTAAACATGCATGCAACAACAGAGCCTAAAAATCCATGAAAGAAAACTAGTAAAACTGATAGGAGACACAGAAAAATCCACAAGTGAGAGATTTCAATACCCTTCTTTCAGTAATTTAAAGATCAGACAGAAAATTAGTAAGATACAGATGACCTTAACAGTACTATCAACCAATTTGACCTAATGGACATTTACAAAACACTTCACCCAACAGCAGCAGAATACATTCTGCCTAAGTGCACATGGAACATTCATCAAGATATCACATTTTGAGGCTGGGCATGACGGCTCACACCTGTAATTCCAATGCTTTGGGAGGCTGAGGCGAGTGGATCACCTGAGGTCAGGAGTTCAAGACTAGCCGGACCAACATGGTGAAACCCTGTCTCTACCAAAAATACAAAATTAGCCAGGCATGGTGGCACATGCCTGTAATCCCAGCTACTTGGGAGGCTGAGGCAGGAGAATTGCTTGAACCCAGGAGGTGGAGGTTGCAGTGAGCTGAGATTGTGCCATTGCACTCCAGCCTGGGCAACAACAGCGAAACTCCATCTGAAAAAAAAAAAAAGATATCACATTTTAGATGATAAAATACACTCAACACATTTAAAAGAATAGAAATCATACAAAATGCATTCTCAGACAAAAAAAAAATTAAGCTAGAAATCAGTAACAGAAAGATAGCTGAAAAGTTCCCAGATATTTGGAAATTAAACAATACAGTTCTAAATAACTCACAGGTCAAAGAATAAGTCTAGAAATTAAAACATATTTTGAACTAAATGAAAATTAAAATACATCTTATCAAAATTTGTGGAATGCAGTGAAAGCAGTGCTGAGGGGGAAAATTATGGCATTATATGCATATATTAGAAATGAAAGATATAAAATGATACCAACTGCCTATAACCTTTCCCAGAAAGTGGAAAAGAATGAAACAATTCCCAACTTATTTTATGAGGCCAGCATTACCGTAATACCAAGTCCAGACAAAACATTACAAGAAAATGACAAATACCTCTCATGAACATAGGTGCAAAAATTCTTAACAAAGTATTAGCAAATTTAATCCAACAATATAAAAAATAATAATATATCAAGAACAAGTGGGATTCATCCCAAGAATGAAAGTCTGTTCTATCATTTATAAATCAATTAATGTAATTCATCATATTAACAGACTAAATAGCAACCATATGATCCTATTAATACATACAGAAAAAAGCTGACAAAATCTAACATCCATGCATGATAAAAATGTTTGACAAACTAGGAATGGAGGGGAATTTCCTCAATTTGATAAAGAACATCTATTTTTTTTTTTTAGATGGAGTCTCGCTCTGTCACCCAGGCTGGAGTGCAGTGGCGTGATCTCGTCTCACTGCAAGCTCCGCCTCCAGGGTTCACGCCATTCTCCTGCCTCAGCCTCCCGAGTACCTGGACTACAGGTGCCCGCCACCATGCCCGGCTATTTTTTTACATTTTTAGTAGAGATGGGGTTTCACTGTGTTAGCCAGGATGGTCTCGATCTCCTGACCTCATGATCCACCCACCTCGGCCTCCCAGAGTGCTGGGATTACAGTCGTGAGCCACCGCACCTGGCCAAGAACATCTATTTAAAAAAAAAAACAAAAAACCTACAACTAACATCATACTTCATGGTGAGAAACTTGGAGCTTTCTGCTAAGATCAGAAACAAGGAAAAAAACAAAAAGACAAATAACAACAAAAAAAGGCAAGAACGTTTCATCTCAGCACTGCATTCCAACATATTGGAAGTCCTAGATAATGCAATAAAGCAAGAAAAGGAAATAAACTGTATATGGATTGGGAAGAAAGAAATAAAAGTGTCTTTGTAGTTAACATAATTTTCTATGCAGAAAATCTGAAATAATTGACAAAAAACTGCTGGAACTGGAACTAATAAACAATTATAGCAGGGTTGCAGGATACAAAATTAATATACAAAAATTAATTGCTTTCCTATATACCAGCAATGAACAAGTAGAATTTGAAATTTATAACAGATCAAGGAGCATGATTGCTGGATTGTATGGTAAGAGTATATTTAGTTTTGTAAGAAACTACCAAATTGTCTTCCAAACTGACTGTACCATTTTTATTCCCACCTTCAATGAAATGGAGTTCCTGTTGCTCTACAGCATTTGGTATTATCAGTGTTTTGGATTTTGGACATTCTAACAGGTGTGTAGTAGTATCTTGTTGTTGTTTTAATTTGCAATTCCTTAATGACATATGATGTCAAATATCTTTTCATATGCACATTTACATTAGCACCCCCCAAAATAAAATACTTAAGTATAAATTTAACAAGATAAGTACAAGTTCTATATAAAGAAAACTACAAAACTTTGATGGAAGATATCAAATAATAACTAAATAAATGAAGAAATAGTCCATGTTCATGGATAAGAAGAATCAATATTGTCAAGCTGTCAGTTCTTCCCAAATTCTTCTATAGCTTGAATACAATCCCAATCAAAATCCCAGCAAATTATTTTGTGGATATCAATAAACTGATTCTAAAGTATTTATGGAGAAGCAAAAGGCCCAGAATAGCCAACTTGGTATTGGAAAGGAAGAACAAAGAGGTTGACGCTACCAAATTTCAAGACTTACTATAAAGCTACAGTAATCAAGACTGTGTGGTATTGGTGAAAGGGTAGACAAATAGATCAATGGGACAGTAGAGATAGCCCAGAAATAGACTCACATAAATAGTCAACTGATGTTTGGTAAAGGAGCAAATGCAATACCATGGAGCAAAGATGGTCTTTTCAACAAATAATACTGGAATAACCAGACATACACATGCAGAAACAAACAAACAAACAAACAAAAAACAAAAAAAACACCCAGACCTTACACCCTTCAAAAAATTAACTCGAAATGGATCAGAGACTTAAATGTAAAACACAAAATGATAAAACTCCTAGAAGATAACATAGGAGAAAATCTAGATGACATTGGATATGATGATGACCTTTTAGATACAATACCAAAGGTATGATCCATGGAATAATTGATAAGCTGGACTTCATTAAAATTAAAAAGCTTTCAACTTCATTCTTAATTAAATAAGTTCCTGCTTTCCTGCTCTGGTGCTGAATTCCTGGCTTGGCGCCCTAAGCACATGATTCTTCCATGCCACTCCCAGGGAAGTTCAAGTTTTCTGACCTGGCTATGCCTGTTTAATCCTACTCTCCTGGCTGGGAGACAAGGAAGCTTGTCCAGCAGGTGTTGATACCTGGGGGTTGAGGCTGGCAGAAGGAAGGTCTTATGGGTAAGTGAGCCAATCCGATGGAGAAGAGCAAGTTGGAAAATCAAGTGAGGCAGGTAGAAGTTGGTAAACCAGAGAAGCAGAGCCAAACGGGTCAGGAAAGGAAGAAGGGCTGGAGCCCAAAGCCAAGAATATAAGCACATGGAGGGCAGGGAACCATATAGAGAAGGCTAAACCATGAGCTGGTTTGGATAAATATTGGAAACAGACGCCTTTTGCCTGTTTTCTGTGTGATGTATGAATAGATCTGCCCCAATTTAAAGAACCAACAATGAGTATAAAATGCTCACTGACTTCAGTCCTACCCAGTCCAGACCATGGGTCCCAACATCTATGGGAGGTAGTATAGTAAAATGGAAAGAATATGAGCTTTGGAATAAGACCAGGGCTTAAATTCTGGCTCTTTGTCTTAGTAGCTGTGTGACCGTGGGCAAGTTACTCTCAGCTTCAGCTTTTTTATATGAAAAAGAGAGACAGAATCTACCTCACAGAGTCATTGTGATGATAAAATGAATCTATATTAATGATCCAAGATGGCCCTTGGTATCTCATAAGCACTCAACAGATGATAGCCCTCTTCCTTCAAAGGCATCTATCATAACTGGCCTTGTATTTCTATTTAGTTGAATGAAGCATGTCTCTATCTTTAGCCAGATCTTAAACTTGTTGAGGGCACACACTGTGTGTGAATCATTTTCATACATATTTACTTTTTAAAGCAATGTATTTTTCTGATTACAAATATCGTGTAAATTTATACAAAATCTAAATGTTGCAAAACACTAAACACAGGAGAAATCTCTAGTATTCTCTCCCACCTTCCCAAACAGAACTGCTGAAAAAAGCTTGAAACATTTTCCTCTACCCCCCCATATTGTTGGTTTTGTATTTTACAAAAATGGGATCATTGTTAACATATGATTCTCAAAATAAATCTAAAACAAATAAACATAAGTTTCATACAAATAGAGAATTCATATGTATCAAAGATTTATTTAACTCATTGAGGAGGAAACCAGTAAGGTGGCAGCCAACTCAAAAGAGGATATGAAAACAGGTATTTTATATATAGTCAGTAAAAACACCAAAGGAATGCTAAAATAAGATTGCTAAATTAGAATCAAAGCTGGTTAATGTTCTACAGGGCAATAAGAACCAAAATAGTGGTGTCTTTTAAAAAATAATTTAATGAACATATAGTTTAAGATATAGTTTCATTTCTACAAAGATGCATTTAAAATTACAATTTTAGAGCCAAGACAGTTCTATTAAATCAATTGTCAATATTAACATAATTGATTGTTTCATCCAATAATGTTATATTCCAGGTTTTTCTTTTAAAAAAGACTACTTTTAAGAGCAGTTTTAGGTTCACAGCAAAACTGAAAGGAAGGTAGGAAGATTTTCCATATATCCCCTCCCCCCACAAGTGCATAGCCTCCCTCTTCATCAACATCCCTCATCAGAGTAGTGCATTTGTTACAATTGATGAAGATACATTGACACATCATAATCACCCAAAGTTCATAGTTTACATTAAGGTTCACTCTTGATGTTGTACATTCTATGGGTTTGGACAAATATGTAATGATATGTACCCACCAATGTAGTATCCTACAGAGTAATTTCACTGCCCTGAAAAATCCTCTGTGCTCCACTTATTCATCCCTCCCCTTCTCCCTGTGGTGTCTTCTTTAGGTGGACAGAAAACAATGTCACTGCATCTTGCCAGTTTTACAGAATTGTAAAATCACTGGAATCTCATCAATTGTGTTAAATTGCAATTATCTAGACCTAGAGAGTCAGATGACCCTCAGAGAGGCCTGTTAAAAAAATTATCTTAACATGACATTAAAGCATCAAGTAGTCATCTTTCCTTTTGTATTTGTTTCCTAGTGCTGCTGTAACAAATTACCAAAAACTAGGTGGCTTAAAACAACACACATTTATTCTCTTAACAGTTCTGGAGATCAGAAGTTAGAAATCTGTTTCACAAGGGCTGAAACAGCCATGTCAGAAGGGCCATGTTCCTTTTGGAGGTTCTATGAGAGAATATTTCCATGCTTTTTCCAGCTTCTGAAGCTGCTTTCTCGCATTCCTTGGTTCGTGGCCTCTTCCTCCATCTTTAAAACCAACAGCATAGCATCCTCAAATCTCTCTGCCTCCATCTTCGCATCACCTTTTCTCTTATAAGGATCCTTGGGATTACACCAGGCACACCTGGATAATTCAAGGTAACTCCCCTATTTCAAGGTAAACTGATTTGCAACCTTAATTCCCCCAGCTATGTAACATAACATATTCACAGGTTCTGAGGAGCAGGACATGGAGATCTTAAGTAGGGGTAGTCATTATTCTTCCCGTCTTACTCTTGCTTCCAAATTTTGAATGATTTTTTATAGCCTCATCTTAGACATTTTATTCTTCAACTTGCTTTTGTCACTTAAAAAATTTTTTTTTTAGTTTTTGAGACAGGGTCTTGCTGTGTCACCCAGTCTGGGGTGCAGTGGTGCGATCATGGCTCACTGCAGCCTCAATCTTCTGATCTCAAGTGATCCTCCCACCTCAGCCTCCCAAGTAGCTGGGACGACAGGTACACACCACCATGCCTGACTGATTTTTCTTTTTCTTTTTAGTAGAGTTGCGGTCTCACTCTGTTGCCCAGGCTGATCTCAGATTCCTAAGTTCAAGCAATCCTCCTGCCTTGGCCTCCCAAAGTGCTGGGATTACAGGCGTGAGCCACCACATCTGACCTGTCCCTTATCTTTTCATTCAGCACATGCTGTATGCAGCTACCCCATTCCTCTTAATGGGTAGATAGTATTCCAATTATGGAACTGTTACAGTTTAGTCATTTCCCCATAGATGAAAATTTAAGTTACCAGTTTTTCACCATGATAAATAGAGGGGCAATGAACACCCCTATGCATAACTCTTCGTGTAATTGTGACTATGTTTCCATAGGAAAATTTTCTGGTGGTTAAAATTCTGAGACACAATGCATGTCAATTTAATTTTCACAAATATTAACAAATCACCTTTCAAAATGTACATCAATATCTTACACTCATACCAATAATGTGTGAGAGTAACTGTTTATCTCCCACATCTCTTACACTAGTTATATGGAATTCATTTTTAAATCTTTCAGGATCTACACAGCATTTTGAGATATCCATATAGGTTTTCTTGGCAAAAAATAAAAGCTTAATCCTTGGTGAATTGAATGTTAAAACAATGCAAATCCATATGTATAACTCAGAGGGCTTATCCTAACAATGATGCATTGGTAACAGATAATGTATGTAAATGTGCTTTTCATATTATAAAGTGCTATTCAGATATTATTTTCATGCATGGAGTGTGTGTGTGTGTGTGTGTGTGTGTGTGTGTTTGAAACGGAGTCTCACTCTGTAGCCCAAGCTGGAGTGCAGTGGCATGATCTCGGCTCACTGCAACCTCCTGGGCTCAAGCGATTCTCATGCCTCAGCCTCCCAAGTAGCTGTGAGTACAGGTGCGTGCCACCACGCCTGGCTAATTTTTTGTATTTTAGTAGAGACAGGGTTTCACCATGTTGCCCAGGATGGTCTCGAACTCCTGAGCTCAGGTGATCCACCTGCACTGGCCTCCCAAAGTGCTGAGATTACAGGTGTGAGCCACTGCGCCCGGCCAGAATGTGTGTTCTTTTCATACTTAGTTCACATATCTCACACAGGTTGGCCTCACTACTTGCCAGTTTCACACAGTGTACGTTCTTTTGCCAAGACTCAACATATTTCCGCTATGTACCCCAGAGGCTCTAAGGTCTAAAGTGTGTGACTGATTGTGCCAATCCTTCAGGAGGAAAGACATGGTAAGATTATGGACATATGTGTCCTCTGAAGATAGTAAGACAGCCCAATAGCAAAGGCTTCAGAGAACAAGGGTTCCCACTCTTAAGTAGGTAAGTATTTCACAGGGCAGAGTCAGCTGATTATGTACTAAAGAATTTCCTAGATATAAAGCCCCATGGGCTTAGATGGAAAGTCCTGGTGAGTACCCTACCCCACAGATGCCTGCCCCACCCCCACCCTGGAACATGACAATAAACTCTGTAATGTTAAGGACCATGACCATATGAGATGCAGGCATGAAGGGGCTAGCTGAAAGGGCACTGAAGGTTGACCTAGGCTCTAGGGAGGGGCACTATTCTCTACTGTCCACTTCCCTTGGCCTGCTCTAGAACTAGAAGTCAGCTTCCTAGCAGGAGTAAGAGCAGTGCTGGCAAGATGAAGTGGAAGGGAATGGGCTTCAGCACTGGCCTGATTGGTTGTTCCTGGAGTCAGAGTTCATACAACCCTTAGCAGGAACTGCCCTCTCCAGTTTTCTTCCCACAACCACGGTTTGAAAGGTGTGTAAGGAAGAGCATACAGGAGTTAATGTCCTGAAATTAGAAAGGAAATGGGCCCCTCTACCATCCTTCTCCTCACTATCCCAGTACGAATCTATAAGTACATGTGAGCATATGCTCAGCTTTCATCCCAGGCGTTTTAGGACTTCTCTCTAGAGAGAATTCAGTGGTGCCTCCTGATAAGGAGTGTTTAAGGGGAAAAAATGTTTGGGATGAACCCAACCATAGCTCAGAAAATACTGCTGAAACCACTAACACATTAAAATGCTTTCATAAGGACCTAAGAGGACTTAGAGGCTTGTACCATGATTAAGAGCATAAGCTCTGGAGCCTAAGGGCATAGGACTGAATCCTGTCTCTGACACTAGCTGTGACCTTGGACAGGCCTCTTAACCTTCTTATGCCTTAGAATCATCTGTAAAATGGGAGATAACAATACCTACCTCATAAGGGTTGTTGTGAGGATCGAATGAAATAATGCATATAGGCCTGGCACAGTGGCTCACGCCTGTGATCCCAACACTTTGGGAGGCCAAGGCAAGTGGATCACCTGAGGTCAGGAGTTCAAGACCAGCCTGGCCAACATGGTGAAACCCCATCTCTACAAAAATACAAAAATCAGCTGGGCATGATGGCGGGTGCCTGTAATTCCAGCTACTTGGGAGGCTGAGGCGGGAGAATCACTTGAACCCACAAGGCGGATGTTGCAGTGAGCCGAAATCGCACCACTGCACTCCAGCCTGGGTGACAGAGCGAGACTCCATCTCAAAAAAAAAAAAAAAAAAAAAAAAAAAAAAAGCATATAAAACACCTAGTACCGTGCCAGGAATATAGTAGGTGCTCATAAATATAAGCTATTATTTAGTTCTCCCACAGTGCCTCACAGTCCTATGCCCATAGTCTTTGAAGTTCTTGTGGAGCAAATGAAATTGAAAACTATTAGTTTATTTCTTTTCCTAACATGCAAATTTGCCCATACTTAGCCTACCAAATTTCCAATAATATGAGAATAGCTGTTGTTACAATGGCCTACTTCTTTTCCCCAAACTTCATAGTTATGTCTGCCTTTTCCAGAAACCATTTTCTGGCCCTGTCTCTGCCTCCTCTCCACTCAGCAAGACTTGTCCCTACACATGTACCCTATGTTGCTTTAAGATTTAAGAGAGTAGGCCAGGGGTGGTGGCTCATGCCTGTAATCTCAACACTTTGGGAGGCCGAGGCAGGTGGATCACCTGAGGTCGGGAGTTCAAGACCAGCCTGACCAACATGGAGAAACCCCGTCTCTACTAAAAATACAAAATTAGCCAGGCATGGTGGCATATGCCTGTAATCCCAGCTACTTGGGAGGCTAGGGCAGGAGAATCACTTGAACCCGGGAGGTGGAGGTTGCGGTGAGCCAAGATCATGCCACTGCACTCCAGCCTGGGCAACAAGAGCAAAATTCCGTCTTAAAAAAAAAAAAAAAAAGATTTCAGAGAGGACTGTGCGGCCTCGGCTCGTGGGTCTCTGAGACCTGAAAATTGAGAGCATTTTCGCACCCCAGAGGCTGCTACTGGCAACTCTGCGGCCTTCACCATGCCACAGAACGAATATATTGAATTACACTGTAAACGCTATGGATATCGTTTGGATTACCATGAGAAAAAGAGAAAGAAGGAAAGTCGAGAGGCTACGAACGTTCAAAGAAGGCAAAGAAAATGATGGTCTGAAGGCTAAGCTTTACCATAAACCGTGCCATGCTGAGAAAATACAAATGAAAAAGACTATCAAGATGCATGAAAAGAGAAACACCAAACACAAGAATAATGAAAAGACTCCACGGGGATCAGTACCTGCCTATCTGCTGGACAGAGAGGCACAATCTCGAGCTACAGTACTTTCCAATATGATTAAACAGAAACGAAAAGAGAAGGTGGGAAAATGGGAAGTCCCTCTGCCTGAAGTATGTGCCCAAGGAGAAACAAAAGTATTAAAAGTTATTCGAACAGGAAAGAGAAAGAAGAAGGCATGGAAGAGGATGGTTACTAAAGTCTGCTTTGTTGGAGATGGCTTTATAAGAAAACCACCTAAATATGAAAGACTCATCAGGCCAATGGGCTTGCATTTCAAGAAAGCCCATGTAACACATCCTGAACTGAAAGCCACCTTTTGCTTACCAATACTTGGTGTAAAGAAGAATCCCTCATTCCCACTGTATACAACTTTGGGTGTTATTACCAAAGGTACTGTCATTGAGGTAAATGTGAGCAAACTGGGACTTGTGACGCAAAGAGGCAAAGTTATTTGGGGAAAATATGCCCAGGTTACCAACAATCCTGAAAATGATGGATGCATAAATGCAGTCTTACTGGTTTGACAGCAATTTAATATATAATTATTGAGGACTACAAACCAATTGAAAAAACTGCCATTACTGTGATGTTTCTGAATACCACCAAACAGCCTTATATGTCTGCAATCATCAAGAGATTTATTAAATTGCAAACATTAAAATGGTTAAAAAAAGATTTCAGAAAGTAAGAAGAGAGTAGTCAATTTTAAAAGTGTTTGCAAATGGAAGGGAGCAAGTTCCCTGCCCCACTACCATATTTCACAATTCCATCTTCTCCTGTGTATCTGGAGGATTTTTACAGAACCAAAAGGCCACCATCTGTAGGAAGTTCTAAGGGTTCATTTACATAATGTATCACTAGAGTCTTTTCTCCTTGGGTGAGGGCAGCAGGTTTTTCAGGTCAGAAACTACTCCACACCCCTAAACTCTCTGCATTCCCAGGATGTTAAGTCACTGAGGAAGCTGGGGAGAATATACAGAAGGAAAATTTTGCCTGGTCCAGTACTGAGGCACACTTTTTGCCCTGTGTAGCGTCATTTTATCTCCAATTGACTTCCTTAGATCAGTATGTGTCTATATGTTTCCATAGCACCCACTCCTTAAGTAGCTGATTCACATGGCTTTTATGGACCAAATTATTGTTCCATGCTGCTCTTGATTTTACTTGAGGGTACAGTGACTATTGGGGAGAAATTCTTGCTTGAATTCCAAAGAAGTAATGTGTTCTTCTGGAGGTCTGATAGATTAGTTCTTTCAAGCCTCACCTTGAATAACATAGTTAGAAGACAGCAGGTGAGCTTTATATGACAATAACTAAGTCTCTTCATCATGAAAAATGGAATGGGGGAGTTGGGGTTGAAGAAAGGAGCTCTCCACTGTTCCAAAGCAAGTCCATACAGTCTCTCCCAAATTAAGTTATATAATCCTTTTAGTCCCAAACAGTGGCTGATGAAGGGAAAACCATGCTAGCCATGCCAAGAAATAAGATACTTTGGTTAACAGCCCTGCTACTTAGAAGAGAGAACTCCCTCAACATAATGTCCTGACATTGGATAAGAGGAGAGGAAATGACTAAAGATAAATTCTTAGCATGCTACCAAGAGTAAAATTGGATGAGGACAGGAAGCCCTAGGTCAGATTGTTCACAATTTCTTGAAGTGTTGTGGTGGCCACGACTAGGAGTTCTTTTAATTTTCCTGGTCTGTGAGGGGCAAGCATTAGTTAGGTAAATGCTGGGATATTTGGTCCCAATAGGCAGTGGCCATAGTAACTTCAATCCCTTGGTTACCTCAGAGGTAGCTGGCTGACATTCCTATCAAAATACCCAACTGATATGAGATGTAAACATTGAGATATAGGAGAAAAGGAGACATGCATTCGTCCACTGGGGGTATAGGAACGAACAGAGGGTTGATAAACATATGTTCCTTGTTATAAAGTAAAATCCTGGCCGCGTGAGGTGGCTCATGCCTGTAATCCCAGTGCTTTGGGAGACCGAGGCGGGTGGATCACTTGAGGTCAGGAGTTCGAGACCAGCCTGGCCAACATGGTGAAACCCCATCTCTACTAAAAATACAAAAATTAGCCATGCATGGTGGCGGGCGCCTGTAATCCCAGCTACTCGGGAGGCTGAGGCAGGAGAACTGCTTGAACCCAGGAGGCAGAGGCTGCAGTGAGCCAAGATCACACCACTGCACTTCAGCCTAGAAAACAGAGCGAGACTCCATCTCAAAAAAGAAAAAAAAAAAAAGTAAACTCCTGTAGGCAGAAACCAGTACTGATGATGATTTAATGTGATCTTGTTTCCCTCCTCTGCCTTCACTCTACCTTGGAGTGTTAGTCACCCATCCCAATCGCAAACAACATGAAGGTGATGTCTCAGCCATTATTACTTTCTTCCCTACACACATACACATACACACACACACACACACACACACACACACACACATTAATGAAATACTCAGGACAACAGCAGACACAAAGCAGTCTTCATTTCTTCCACACATCGGAAACATTTTCAATTACAGTTCAGCTTCTCTGAGGTCCACATCAAGTAGTAAAATACCAAGAGCACAGAAAAGCTGGGTTGGAGGAAATCTCTGCTAATGAGGCACTAAGTGAGAGGCTTCACTTAACAATTCCAATAGACAAGCTGGAGGCCCATGCAGGTCCCTGAGAAAAAGAGTCATTTTGGCTTATGCCCTGAAGGAATTCTACTCTGCACTTTCTCCTTAGAGTGTGCCTATGAAGTGCCACTGTAAAGAGAGGTCCTTGCTGAATGGCCACTAGTAAAATCCTAACAGAGAGCTAATCTGCTTGGGGAGCAGCTTTTTTAATAGTGGTGATTTTCTTCTCAGCCAGAGCTTCTCACTGGAATTAAAAAGACCCCAGCCACACTGACAGTTGCAGGTTCCACATTAGTCAGACTGTTTCCTGGGAGGTACTCTTAGCTGGTAAGCTGTCATATCCTCTGATCAGTCAGGATATATTCTAGCGGGATTCTGGGCCTTCAGCTCAGCCCAGGAAAGCTCAGAAATGCATCAAGCAAATGAGCAGAGCTAGAAGGTCACTTTAGAGAGCCTAAAGTGTTTGAAGACAAGTTATTCCAATTGACTTGGGTAAGAAGGGTGTGAATGGTATTTCTGACCCTTTCAACTATATAGTCGATACCCCCTGTTTCCAAACATAGTGGTAACTCTTAAGAAAATAAAACCTATTTGGGAGTTGCTCTTTCTTCTGATAGGCTTAACAGAAAAGTCAAGAAAATGTACTGATGGGTATCTCACCCATGAACCTCATCCTTTCGTTCAATTTCATGGTTACTCTTGGCAACTCCCAACTCTTCCTAAAATACCCAGAAAATAGAATCAGACAACACTTTGCCTTGCTTCAGTCTCAAAGGGTGGCTCTGAGTTCTCAACCCTGGTCCGAGGGTGCTGGTGACAGCAGACACAATGGAGGTAGTCTACTACATTATGGGTGAAGAGTGAGCGCAATGGATGCAAGTACTGGAAGAAAAGGAGCATGAAGCCAATGGAAATCAGATAAGCAATAATGAGCTGCAAGGCAATCAAGGAATGACAGTAATTCAGTAACACTTTCACTCCAAAGAACTTAAAAACCAAGACCATGATCACATTCTCTACCAACCTCACACTATAGTGCAGGCCCATATGTCCCCAGTTCTGCCCTTTGTCGACGAGATCTCTGTCTGCCAACCTCAACTGCAAAGCTGACCAGCAAGAGAAGTTGATGCCAGCATAGAGGATGGTGACTGAAATCAGGACCACCAGAGTGCCGACCCGGCTGAAGTTTTTCTCAATGTTATTGGGCATCTGGGCACCACTTCTCCAGAACTTAATCCAGGGCTCAAAGAGGATGATCAGGAAGTTGAGCACTAGGAAGGGCACAGCCTTCAATTTCAAAGTGGCTGAGAAGAGCACCAGAATCAGGAGGCGGGAAGTGATCTCCAATGTCCGCCAGATGGTGATGCAGAGGACTTCTAGTGGCCCAAGGCGAATCTTGTAGTCATCGTACTTGATCTGGATAGCCAACATATTGCAAAGGGTGGCCCCATAGGTGACAGATACCAGGGAAAATACCATTAGCACAACTGTTAAAAACAAAAACAAAAACAAAAACAGGCAATCAGTCAATGTTGGTAATGAAGGCTGTACTTATAACCCAGAGGTCCAGAGAGATGACGGGTGAGACTTGAGAGCTCCAGTTAAGAGCAAATGCAAATATGATCACAGCTATGTAAACAAATAGCATGCACTTGAATAGACTTTCTCCGAAGGCGGTATACAAACGGCCAACAGGTATATGAAAAGGTGTTCAACATCACTAATCATCACAAAAATGCAAATCAAAGCCACAATGAGATATCACCTCACACCTGTTAGAATGGCTATTATTAAAAAAAAAAAGTGTTGGTGGGGATGTAAGAAAAAGGACCTTGTACACTGTTTGTGGGAACATAAACTGACACAGCCATTATGGAAAACAGCATGGAGGTTCTCCAAAAAAATTACAAACAGAACGGCCAAACGATCAAATAATCCCACTGCTGGGTGTATACCTAAAGGAAATCAGTATCTCAAAGAGATATCTGCACTCTCATGCTCATTGTAGTATTATTCTCAATAGCCAAGATATGGAAACAAACTCAGTATCTGTTGACAGATGAATGGATAAAGAAAATCTGGTGGGTGTGTCTGTGTGTGTGTGTGTGTGTGCGTGTGTGTGTGTGTGTGTATGAATATTATTCAACCATAAAATTACAGAAACTCTGCCATCCGTGACAACACAGATGAACCTAGAGGACATTATGCTAAGTGAAATGAGCTAGACACATAAAGAAAAATACTGCATTGTCTTACTTATATGTGGAATCTAAAAAAGTTGAACACCTAGCAACAGAGTAGAATGGGTGGTTACCAGGGGATGGGGATTTAGGGAAATAGAAGGATTTTGATCAAAGGCTACAAATTTAGAGTTATAAGATAAATAAGTTTCAGAGCTCTAATGTACAACATGATGACTATAGTTGACAATAATGTATTGTGTACTTGAAATTTTTAAAGAGAGTAGATCTTAAGTTTTACCACACACACACACACACACACACACACACACACGTACAAAAATGATAACTATGTGAGGTGATGAATGTGTTAATTAGTTTGGTTGTGGTAATCATTTCACAATGTGTACATACATCGAAACATCACATTGTACACCTTGAATATATACAATAAAACAAAATAGATGCACAAAAAATTGAAAAAATGAACCAAAATATCTTTTTTTGTGTGTGATAGTCTTATATCAGTTTTAGAAATCTTTTTCTCTACATTTCTCTATTTTCTAAATTTCTCATGATGAACATATACTGTAACACTTTAATAATCATATAAATATACAAAATAAACTTCCTTAAAAAGCATGGGTCTTAGAACATTGAGAAGTCACTAACGTGAGAAGAGTACATATAAAGGTATCAGGCAGACTTTGCTGATGAAGCAGGCTTCGGAGCAAACATTGAATAAGGCGGAAAGAACTCTATCTGAAAAAATCCAGTCTTAGGAGACTCATAGAGAACGCTCTTGCTAATAGAAGTCCCTTCTTTGATGTATATCTTCTTCAAGGAACTAACATTGTTTGTGTGTTTCTAGAACACTTAGCTTCAGTGATGTGTCAAAATGTGTATTGAAAATTCCATGAAGGCAGGAGGGACCATGTTTTCTTCACTGCTGTATTCCCATAGCCTAACATATTACCTGGAACATAGCAGGTGCTCAATAAATGTTTGTGGAATTAATGAAGACTTCTGAGATTAGAGAGGTGCATAAAATACCTAATTAGGCTGGGCGCGGTGACTCATGCCTGTAATCCCAGCACATTGGGAGGCCAAGGCGGATGGATCACCTGAGGTCAGGAGTTCGAGACCAGCCTGGCCAACATGATGAAACCCCATCTCCGCTAAAAATACAAATATTAGTCAGGCGTGGTGGCGTGCACCTGTATTCCCAGCTACCTGGGATGCTGAGGCAGGAGAATTACTTGAACCTGGGAGGCAGAGGTAATAGTGGGCCGTGATTGCACCACTGCGATCCAGCCTGGGCAACAGAGTGAGACTCTGTCTCAAAAAGAAAGAAAAAAAAATTAGCCAGGCATGATGGCATGCCTGTAATCCCAGCTGCTCAGGAGGCTGAGGCACGAGAATCACTTGAACCCACGAGGCAGAGGTTGCAGTGAGTTGAGATTGCCCCACTGCACTCCAGCCTGGGTGACAGAGTGAGACTCCTTCTCAAAAAGAAAAAAAATAAAAAATAAAACTAATTAGAAATCCTTGGTTCCAGCCGTGCACACGGTGGCTCACACCTGTAATCCCAAGCACTTTGCGGGGCTGAGGTGGGTGGATCACCTGAGGTCAGGAGTTCAAGACCAGCCTGACCAACATGGTGAAACCCGGTCTCTACTAAAAATACAAAAATTAGCTGGGCATGGTGGTGCATGCCTGTAAGGAGGAAGGGAAGAAAGAAAGGGAGAAAGAGAGAAAGGGAGGAAGGGAGGAAGACAGAAAGAGAGAGAGAGAAAGAAAGAGAGAAAGAAAAGAAAGAAAAAGAAAAGGAAAAAGAGAGAAAGAAAGAGAAAGAAAGAAGAAAGAAAGAAAGAAAGAAAGAAAGAAAGAAAGAAAGAAAAGAAAGAAAGAAAGAAAGAAAGAAAGAAAGAAAGAAAGAAAGAAAGAAATCCTTGGTTCAGCTGTATGGGAACTTTTGGAAGTCACTGAATATCTATGTACCTCAGTTCTCAATTCACTGAGATACTCAAGAGTTGCTTATATTTGTCATCAGCAATGTCAATTCATTACCCCCATATGTTAGGAATCTCTGAGTTTGCAGCAGAGTAGTTCAAAAATTTCCAAACCCTGTTGCCTCACCCATGACATCCATGGAACCATATGTTAGAGTAGTGGCCCTAAAGAGCCAGGATGCTCCCTAACCTACCTAAGCCTCAACTATAGATGACACAGGTGGCCCTTTCCTTTTCTTCCTTTATGTCAAAGGATGCTGATTACTAAGAAAAATCCAGTGCTCTCAAGAGAAGTGGGATGGCTGAGGAATACTCATCCAAAAGGAAAGCTGGAGTTTTCTGTTCCTATTAAAACACTTGATGTAGGGAAAAGGTGGCCATAGAGATGTCAACTTAATCTTTTACTTTTAGTGGAGGAAAAGTTAAGATTTCCCCCATGTAAACCCAAAAGGAAGCACAGCTCTGAGTTCTTCAGTTTTAAGTAGAGTGTTGGAATCTCAGAGACTGGAATTGGAGACTCTTGAAGTGGTGACTCTTGTCTTTCTCAACCATTCTCAGTCCCATCCTCAAGAGCTGATGCACCTTATGTAACTGGGAATGTGAGAGCATACATCCAGCTGTGTGGCGATGCTTTCCCTTACATTAGAACTCATTTATTGATTAGTAGTGTAACAGAAGGAAAAAAACCTGATGCTTCCAATAAATGTCAAAACATTTTCAATCTGTGTCCCTACAAATACACTCATGCCATAAGAGAACAAAATACACAGGCTCTGGAGGCAAACACCCTGAATTCCAATCCAATCTTTGCTTATGGGACCTTGGGGGAATATACTTAAACTCTCAGTGCGTCTGTTTCTTCGTCTGTAAAATGAGAATGATAATTATCTCATAGGGTTGTGGTAAAGATTAAATAAACATTTACATGTAAAGGGCTTAGAGAAATGCCTAGAACCTAGTAAATTCTTTTAGCTGTGTTCTTCTTTCTTCTTCTTCCTTCTTCCCTTCTTCCTTTCCTTTTTCTCCTCCTCCCCCTCCTCCTCTTTCTTCCTATTCTTTGTCATCTTCATCATCCCCCTATTTCCAAAAGTATGGTAGGTGGGTTTACTTTACCTGGATACTATCCTGCTACTTAGAAAATCAGGTCATTTTAAAACTGATAGAACATCTGAAAGTAAGCCTTATAAAAATGTAAGACTCATAGCAAGAAAACTATACAACTTTACTGAAGAAAACTATACAATTTTACTGAGGTACATGTTAAAATATTTAATAAAATGGAGAGATTTATCATTTCACAATATGAAATCCAACAATCCTATAAAGATGTAAATTCTCCCAAAATAACCTAAGTAATTTGATGCAAATCTCAATCGGAATCTCAATGAAATGTTTTTTTCTTTTGCTGTTATTATTTTGCTTTGTTTTTTGTAGGATGAATTAAAAAATTATCTTGAAAATTAATCTACTTAAAAGATTGGGGAAAATTGTTCTACCAGATGAGAGATGTGATAGGCCTTTGTAAGAAAGGCACAAAATCTAAAAGCAATAAAGAATTTGAATACATAAAAATGTAATACTTCAGAATGCCAGAAGATACTACAAAGTGTATTGTGGATATTAAATATATCACACACATATTACACGTATGACATGTATATACATATTTAAAATGTGTGTATGTACAAGCAAAAAATTATACAAATATATGCATACATATTCACAGCAGAGAAAGGATTAATAACAAGAATAAGTAAATAGCTCCTAAAAATTAATATGAAAAAGACAACCCACTAGAAAAAGCGAGTAAAATATATAAACAAGCAATTCACAGAACACACAATGACCAAACACAAAAAGATGCTCAGCTTCATTCATAACCAAAGAAAGCGAATTATTTTAAAAGTCAATTATTTTAAAAGCCAATTATTTTATAATTATACAAATAAAGAATATTGAGTTTAAGATATGAAGAAACAGAAACAGGCACATTTGTATACTGTTGGTGAGAGTATAAATTCATATATCTTTTTGGAAGAGTTATTTGGCAATATCAATAAAATTTTAAACATACATATCCTTCCACCCAGCAATTCTACTGCTATAAATTTATCCTACAAAGTCTCATTCATGTACACAGGTATTTATAAAGATGTTTACTGTGGCATAATTTGCAATTAGGAAACAACTTTTTTGTGAAAAATTAAAATTTGTGAGGCTGACATAGGGCTCCTGCTGCCCCTCTTTCTTCCACAGTGTGAAGTCCTTACTCATGGCCTCCAAACATCTGCAGAAGTAAAGCATCATGGGAACTTAACTAAAGCTGTCCTGAGAAGGGAGGTTGTAATGAGGGGAAAAAATAACTAGGGGAGGTTGTGCTACCTTTTTTTTTCCTTTTTGAGACAATCAATAGAATCCTATCAATAGAAAATTAGGAGAATAAAAAGTCTAATTCATATAAAGGAAATGTATATTATATATTTATTATTGTTATACATGTATATATAAATAACTTGAGAAAAGACATACTGGCATACTGTACTTTTGAAAAATACTTTGTTGACAGAATGTTTCATACAGTCCATTTTGGGGCAAAAACATGTACAATATATATTGTATGTATGTTTATGTTTACATAGTAAAAATAAGTCCAGAAGGATATATACTGGATGATTAACAGAGGTTATCTTTGGGGAGTGAGATTACGTTTCCTATTTTATATCTATTCTGTATGGTTTTTAATTTTTACTATAACCATGTCTGACTTTTGTAATTAAAAAAAGATAAAGACCAAAACTAGTAATGCATGATCACAAAAAAAATTTTCAAACCATACAGAAGAATTTTAAAAAGTAAGACTGCTGACTTTTCATTCCCACTCCGCAGAGGTAGTTTCTTGCATAGTTTCCAGAAATTTTCTGTGCAAATACAATTACTTATATGTCATTTTGTGCATGTATTACTTTTGTTATTTATTTATTTATTTATGAGACGGGAGTCTCCCTCTGTCGCCCAGGCTGGGGTGCAGTGGTGCAGTCTCAGCTCACTGCAACCTCCACCTCCCAGGTTCAAGCAATTCTCCTGCTTCAGCCTCCCAAGTAGCTGGGATTACAGGCACCCACCACCACGCCTGGCTGAATTTTTTTTTGAGACAGAGTCTCGCTCTGTTGCCCAGGCTGGAGTGCAACGGTGAGATCTCGGCTCCCAGGTTCAAGTGATTCTCATGCATCAGCCTCCCAAGTAGCTGGGATTATAAGCATCCACCACCATACCCGGCTAATTTTTGTATTTTTAGTAGAGACAGAGTTTCGCCAGGCCAGGCTGGTCTCAACCTCCTGACCTCAGGTGATCCACCTGCCTCGGCTTCCCAAAGTGCTGGGATTACAGGTATCAGCCACCATGCCCATCCTTGATTTTTTTTGTGTTTTTAGTAGAGATGGGGTTTCAACATGTTGGCCAGGCTGGTTTTGAACTCCCAACTTCAAGTGATCCGCCTGTCTTGGCCTCCCAAAGTGTTAGGATTACAGGCGTGAGCCATCATGCCCAGCCGTAATGTACACCTATTTTTATTAGATGATTTAAAGGAAAAGCATCATCATTTCCAAAGAGTTTTCTCCTCAAACTACTATGTATGTGAAAAGCTTCAAGACCAACAGAACTTCAAGAACAATTCTGAGTGGGGAAAAAAGACAAAAGAGGGCAAATTTTCTCCTTACCTTATTTGAGACATGGGACTTTGCCAAACAGGGTTAGAATCTAATAGGAAATGGTCCAAACCTGTACCCACACCTATACCAGTGCCTGCCCAAGCAGATGAAGCAAATCTCAGGCTGTTAAAATTCATTAACAACAATTTATCTCAACTTTGAAAACACTGACTCACATTTCATCTTCTGCTAGAGGTCTTACTCATTTCAGGATCCCTCTTCTACAAGTGGGAAATTAGGTCAGTGATTGCTTTGTAACTTCCTCCAAAGATCACAGTGAAGGTCAGAACTTGGTCCAGGCCTGACTCTCATTAGTATTAACCCCACGCTTTTTTTTTTTTTTTTTTTTTTTTTTTGAGACGGAGTCTTGCTCTGTCACCCAGGCTGGAGTGCAGTGACGCGATCTCGGCTCACTGCAAGCTCCGCCTCCCAGGTTCACGCCATTCTCCTGCCTCAGCCTCCCGAGTAGCTAGGACTACAGGCGCCTGCCACCACGCCCGGCTAATTTTTTGTATTTTTAGTACAGACGGGTTTTCATCATGTTAGCCAGGATGGTCTCAATCTCCTGACCTTGTGATCCACCCGCCTTGGCCTCCCAAAGTGCTGGGATTACAGGCTTGAACCACCGTGCCCAGCCCACGCTCCTTTTCTTTCTCTCCACTGGCATTAGCAGAAATGATTAAATCATTGGTTCCCAAATGTGGCTGATCAAAATCAACTGGGTACCTTTTAGAAATACATATTAAGATTGATTCAAGTCTGGGGAGTGAATATAATTTCAAAAAGAAGCTCATCACATGATTCTGATGATCAGTACTATTTGGGAACCTCTTATTAAAGACTGCCATCCTTAAACAAACAAAACAACAGCATAATTTAAACATTTTGGGCAAGGGAAAATATCCTACTGACTGCTGGTATTACTAGCTTCTTCTGGGCCCAGAGAAGGTTTATCTGTGACATTTTTAGTCTAAACAGCTTACCTGTTTAAGAAATCTGGCAGGCTTGAGATGTCTGACTCCACAAGTTATTTAACTATCTCCCAGTGCTGTCCGATAGAACTTTCTGTGATGATGGAAATGTTTATACCTGTGCCATCCAATACAGTAGTTGCTAGCAACACACGGCTGCTGAGAACTTGAAATGTAGCTAGTATTAATGAACAAGTTTTTAATTTTATTTAATTTTAAGTTAAATAGCCACATGAAGCTAGTGGCCAGTTTATTAGACAGCTTGGGTCTAGACTTCTAAGACCCTTGATTTAACTGGAGCCCTCCCCTCTCCTGACCCCACTCACCTCTACCCAGGGGAACCTCTGCAGAGATCAGGCTCACATAGAGCTGATAGGTCAGCTGGGGCACTGAGCCCAGGAAGGCTTGGATCTGTGACATACGTTTGTAGGCATTGCGGTGCATAGCCAGGGTCCGGATGGAGTGGCCCACCTCCCATTCTATCAGCACCTCCTCGCCATCTATTAGCATCTTCTTTCGGGTGAGGCTGACATAGGGCTCCTCCTGCTCCTCTTTCTTCCACAGTGTGAGGTACTTAATCATGGCCTCCAAACATCTGCAGAAGTAAAGCATCATGCAAACTTAACTAAGCTGTCCTGGGAAGGGAGGTTGTAGTGAGGGAAAAAAATAACTTGGGGAGGTTGTGCTACTTTATTTTATTTTTGAGACAAGGTCTTACTCCATCACCCTGGCTGGAGTGCAGTGGCACAATCATAATTCATTGCAGCTTTGACCTCCTAGGCTCAAATGATCCTCCCACCTCAGCCTTCTGAGTAGCTAGGACTACAGGCGCATGCCACCATGCCAGCTATTTTTAATTTGTGTAGAGAGGAGATCTAGACATGTTGCCCAGACTGGTCTCAAACTCCTGGGCTCAAGCAATCCTACTGCCTTGACCCAAAGTGCTGGGATCCTAAAGTGCTGGGATCACACGTGTGAGACACCATGGCCAGCCTGCACTACTTTTTGTCTTTTTCTCTCTTCTGTTCTGATCATTTCTCATAAGTCAAAGGGTGGATCATGCCTTCTACAAGTTACATGAATCTAAATCCATTTTTGTTCAGTCATCGACTGACCTAAGAACACTGTTTCAGAAGTACTTGTTTGAGGACTCGAGGAATTGTTTTGTCTTTTTAAGAATAGGCCTGTGGCAGGTAGAAAAGTGCCTTGAACACAAAGGTATTAAGTCGATACTGTTTTCCTAGCAAAATAATGAAGGTTCCAAAGGCCCTGTTTTCTTACCTCAAATTCGTGAGGTAAAGCATTCCTCCCTCAAAGCATTCAGCTCCATAACCAAAGTTTTAGATTCTGCTTTTTCTTTTTCTTTCTTTCTTTTTTTTTTTTTTTTTGAGACAGAGTCTTGCTCTGTCGCCCAGGCTGGAGTGCACTGGCGCGATCTCAGCTCACTGTAACCTCTGCCTCCTGGGTTCAAGCGATTCTCCTGCCTCAGCCTCCTGAGTAGCTGGGATTACAGGCATGTGCCACCATGTCCGGCTAAGGTTTTTTTTTTTTTTTTTTGTATTTTTAGTAGAGACGGGTTTTCACCATGTTGGCCAGGCTGGTCTTGAACTCCTGACCTCAGGTGATCCACCCACCTCAGCTTCCCAAAGTGCTGAGATTACAGGCATGAGCCACTGCGCCTGGCCAGATTCTGCTTTTTCAAGAAAGGGCTCACAACCATATCTCAGCCAAAAAGTCTTGGGACAGATCAGAGGAAAAAAAATATCTCATATACACAGGAAGCCATCAAAGCAACAAAAGTACTTAAAAGACGACAACTCAAACCTGAATGAACTACATAACTAGGCCCTCGAAAGATCACTGTAATAGTTACTTTTTGTGCCTCTTGTCCTGTTTGTGGACAAAAGCCTTTTAAACTGGATTCTTTCTTTACGAAGAGAAAAACATCCTTATGAAAGCCTATCATCCTTGGAATAAGGGTAAGATGACATTTCCTGCTCTGCCCCTCCCACCTCCCCCATACAAATCAGAAGTCTTTAGCAGTTCTGATGTGGTAAGTGGAAGAGAAGCAACTAGAACATCTTGTTCTGGAACACCTGAGTTACCACTTCGCCACTCACCTTTAATGAATAAAAACTGTGGACTACTTATGACTAGTAAGAACATTTGTAGTGGACATTAACACGTCTTGCCCAAGAGACTGAGGTCAAGGGTTGTATTTATCTTGTTTACAGCTCTTATCACTTAGTAGGTATTTGAGAAATATTTGCTGAGTAAATGAAAGAATAAGAAGGAAGAAAATAATACAGGGTAAGCAATTATGGGAGGAGAGGATAATAATAACAGCAATGAAATTTAACAGAAAAGTAGACCAAAGACAAGCCCAGAGGTTGATATGCTCTCTAGCCTTTAGTTCCTGATAGGAAAATTTGGAACATATGCTGGCTGCCAGTCTCCATAGATCACCCTAAGACTGATGCATGTGTACCACTCTGAAGCATGTAGTTTGAAATTGTCACCTTCTAGGGACAAACTCTAAGACCTGGGAAAGAAAAAGATGCAAAGAAAGAACAGAGAAGAAAAAGCAACACTTTTTTCCTATTCTTGTTCTGCATAAGTGCATTTTCAATGAAAAATTTTAGATTTTAACCCCAACCCATCAGTACTATTGCTAAATTGGAGAACAGTATTGGAGAAGGTGGTGGCATGAAATGTTCCGTTTACATTTACATAAATGTTCTGTTTCTATTCTCAGGGCTATTTTCTGGTTTAAGTAAGGGTGTTTGTCCATTTATAAGCTTCAATAAATTAGAGTACATTTTCATTTCGGAAGTATGCTTGCATTTCATGTAAGGCACCCAGACTCTACAAGCACCTTCATGTGCCTGATAACACTAATCAAGTTCCTACCTATCTAACAAGTAATTGGCCTTGAAAATAAGCGAATCCAGAGTATAATTTATGAGTTTTTATCTTTTCTCTGCTGTGGGCTAAGCTGCCTGAGGTTATAAATGCTTCCCAATCATTTCTAGTGGAAGCTAAACAACAAAAATGAAAAACAGTACTCAACACTCTACACAGAGGGTTCACAAAGCAAACAAAGGAAGTCAAAAAGAGGGGAGGGTGCAGCTGGGTACTTTCTGAAATTTGTATCTTGAGAGTTTTCGATTGGTTAACTCAATATATTGTATTTGAAAAAGGAGGGATGAATGGTTTATTTGCTCCTGTAGTCACAACTTTAAATTTCTTGGTTTCAAGGTCAAGATGAGGTCTTCCTTTTACAGCTTAACTTCAAAGATTTAGAACCGTAAAGGACCTTTACATCACCCAGTCCAAAGATGCATATAGGCCAGCTGAGTTATATCTGACCAACAGATATGGTTTGGTCCATCCTGTGTTGTTGTTGTTATTGTTTTAGTCAGCTGTGAAAATTTAAAATCATGACATTTCATATAAAAATCCTGTCTTGGGAGCATCTCCCGAAAAGTTAGTGGATCTGGCAATACTGGGTCTGAATTCCAACATGGAAACAATGCGCCAGGGCTCTAGAGGGGCTACCTCCTTCAGGCAGGTCATGAAGATTTCAGATTACCATGGTACTCACTACTCCTCAGTATTTCTCTGAGACTTTGTTTTCATTTATCATCTCACACAAGGCTACTGTTTTTTCTTATACTAGGCCTGCTTCATTCATTTATGATACCTGCCTGGTCCCTGCAAGTGTTTGAGTTTGAGACCCATGATTTAGACTAACCCATTTGCTTTACAGATGAGGGAACTCTATATGCCTTCCTGTGAAGCCATCTTCAGAGATTTTACCAAGAACACACAACCAGTCAATGACAGGGGGAAGACTAGACTCCAAATTTCAGGCCACTGTTTCCATTGATATCCCATATTCTCTCTGATAGAGCCTAATCGATTCCTCCCCACTTAAAAATTTATTGATAAAAAATTTTTTTGGCCTTATTGAGGTATAAGTGACAAATAAAAATTATACATGTGTACAGATATGAAATTTTATAAAGGAGTGAGTTCCATCCTTAATTAGTTTCACAGACTTTTTAGTTGTCTAATGATGAGGTATCTTCCCATTGCAACACTCTGACCCATATTCCTCGGCTGACTGCAGTTGTCTGCCTCTCTTGCAATCAAGACAAACTTGGTCCATTCCTTACTCCTGAACTCATAAGTTTTGCAACATCTCTCTACCTTGAAAACCCCATAGCATCCAGATGAGACTGTTGACACAGGTGCCTATCTCGCTAGGATTAAGTGCATTCTTTCCACTTCAAGGCAATCTGAATGGAAATACTTGATACTATTAAATTGTGCTACTGCATCCACATAGAGAGATGAACTGCCTTCCTTTGCCCCCTCCCAACTTCGTATCTTTATTGCAGAAATATACAAAGAGATAAATAGGAAACTGATAAACCGACAGAGAACTGAACTATATTGGGTTGGGGTACAGATTACCACAGATGGTTTAAAATAGTTTCCAGATGTCACATTACTCTGGAAAATTTGAAAATGGCAGTAGCACCAGCCCAAGCAGCTCAGGGTAAAGAAACTTTTATCCAATTTACAAAGCATCCAAAAGGTAGAGTCAAAATTACACACTCAGACCAGGCGCGGTGGCTCACTTTGGGAGGCTGAGGCAGGAAGATCACTTGAGCCCAGTCTACATAACGAGATCCCGTCTCTACAAAAAAAATTTTTTTTTTTTTGAGATGGAGTCTCACTCTATCGCCCAGGCTGGAGTGCAGTGGCACCGATCTTGGCTCACTGCAACCTCTACCTTCCGGGTTCAAGTGATTCTCCTGCCTCAGCCACCAGAGTAGCTGGGATTACAGATATGCGCCACCACACCCAGCTGATTTTTAGTAGAGACAGGGGTTTCACCATGTTGGCCAGCTGGTCTTGAACTCCTGACCTCAGGTGATCCACCCGCCTCAGCCTCCCAAAGTGCTGGGATTACAGGCATGAGCCACCACACCCGGCCTATAAAAATTTTTTTTTAATTAACCAGGCATGGTGACACATTCCTTTGGTCCCAGCTACTTGGAGGCTGAGGTGGGAGGTTCGCTTGATCCCAGGAGATCAAGGCTGCAGTGAGCCATGATCGCACCACTGCACTGTAGCCTGGGAGGCAGAGCAAGACCTTGTCTCAGAAAAAAAAAATTTTTTAAATAAAATTACACACTCTGCAGCTATGGCCTTCATGCACAGGGTGATCACGTCTTGTTGTTCCCATTCTAGTTTACACAGGCCAAATAGCATCGTTCATTGTTTTGGAACACAAGTACATACCACATGTTCATCATGGTGGCATTTAAGATTTCAGGTAAGTTTTCTGAATGGTAGACAGGGAAGCCGAGAGTGGGAGGAAATGAGAGAATTGATTAGAGCCATAGTATCCATCTTGTAAATCTTTCATCTTTCTCTGCCCAAGTCTGGGGTGGGGTTAGGGGGGTAAGGAAAAGATTTAAAAGTTGCTCACCTGATAACAGGTCCCAAGAGGATTAGATGCATAAATAATGATAGCGGTTTATCTTTGGCTAGATCTCTGTGGACAAAAATGAGGGTCAACTGGACCATAATGGATGAAAACATAAAGAAAGAAAAGGTGTATGTCATCCAGTAAGTTTCACTATTCTTTCGATAGATTCTAACCATGTACAAAGCAGATGCAGCCTCCCCACAGTACAAAAAGGTGGAGAAAAGGATGCTAAATGGAAAAGTAAATCGGGGGTTGGCTCCACGGATGACATCTTCCTCCAGAGATGAAACCGGATCCACATTTGGCTCCTCAGGAATTTCATAAACTCTGTCCATTGTCGAGGTTCTTTCTGAATGTTGTGGTCTTGTGTTCATAGCACCCTCCCACCCATCCCCAAGAGAACCCTATGGCCGCTACAGTCCAAGTATAGGTGAGGAGAGCTCTGTCAAGTCCAGTTTGGGAACAGAGATTCACTAGTTAGAGCAAGAAACCGCTCTCTTCTAGACTCAGATTCGACTTGGAGTCTGGGATGGAAAGCCCAGGAGTACCACTTTGAACTTGACTCTTGATTGGCCCCGATTCCAATCGTCAACATACTTGCTGTGAAACTTGAACAAGACAAAAGCAAGCATCCCAGCGCCCCATCCAGAGTCCAACTCCAGGGACGTGAAGAGTCATGAGAACAGCGGCTTCCGTGGCGGCTCCTTTCGCAGCCCCTCAGGCAGGGTGTAGCCGATCTGTCGGGGGCACCGACACTCAGCAGCTCCTCACAAAGAGTCCTGACCAGTGTGTCCTCTCAAGTCAGCGGAGAGCTGAGCCAGGGCAGAAGAGCGGGCGCAGAAGAAGGAGGGCAGAAGAGGGGATTCAGTTCAGTGCCTAGGTATCCTAGCTATTGCTAGGCTGTAGCTATCAGCTGGCCCGCTCACCTGCGCGCTCTCAGGACCTTTGCCGAGTCCAGGGTTCTCAGGATAGCTCCTCGGATTCCCCCAAGCCCCGCCCCCAAGACCGCCTGGCCCGGGAGTGGAGTATTGTCACCACCCTGTCTCCGAATGCAGTGTTGAGGGACAGAAGCAGAGCGCGCTCGCTCTACAGGATGAAGAAAAGGCTGGAGGGGCTGCTTCTCCTCGGAGAAACTTTGCTAGTGAGAGGCACGATGTGCGGGGCGCCAACCTGGCTGGACGGAGGTCGCCAAACTCTTGGACGCCGTCTGCTGCCAGGGTCCTGCCTGGTCTGCGATTCCAGCTGCGAGAGGTCGGCAGCTTCAAAAACTAAGGCACCGGGACGGCGGGGGCGGGCGAGATGGGCGGGACGGCTGCGGCCAAACAAAACCAGCCGGAGAGTTCCCGGGCAGGCGGCCAGCCGAGGGATGCTCGTTGTGGAGTGGCGGGACAAAAAGGGGCTTGGGCCGCTCTTCAGAAGCACTTCTGACCACCACCTCCAGACCCAGGCAGGAGCCACAGCTTTACTCCTCCCTAGGAGCAGCAGGCCCCCACTTCTACCCCGCCCTCCCTAACTAGTTAAGTGACTTGCTTCAACACTCACTCTACCCACGCTGTTAGGCAGGTGTGTCTCCCTCCGCCGCAGGGTGGAACCTCCCTAGGTCCTATTGCCCTCCAGATAATATCATGAAGGGGGAACCTGGGAGGAATAGGGTCAGAGTTTTCGGCGGAGGGAAGATAGAACAGGATAAAGGTCAAGACTCAAGGTCAGCCCACAGACACTGAAAGCTCATATTTTATGCCTTGATTTCTCCACTTGCAAAATGAGGCCAGGATAGGAGCTTTAGAATGAACTTACAGGTCTTTGGTTGAAAGGTTATGAAGAGGTGCCAAATTCTAAACAGACTGGCAAAGAGCCAAGAGAGAGCTGTTAGTAAAAACTGAGAGGGGTGTCTTAAAGAGCTTTGAAAATTACCTGTATTCTTAAGTGTAATCCTCCCCACCTCACTGAGCTTTTGTTTTCATATCTTCATTTGCATAATTCTAAACCTCAGAGAAAAAGAGAACACATCTGCCTCCTGGTAATAATATAGATGAAGGCCAGGCACAGTGGTTCACGCCTGTAATCCCAGCACTTTGGGAGGCTGAGGCAGGCAGATCACTTGAGGTCAGGAGTTCGAAACCAGCCTGGCCAACGTGGTGAAACCCCATCTCTACTAAAAATACAAAAATCAGCTGGTCGTGGTGGTGCGTGACTGTAATCCCAGCTACTCAGGAGGCTGAGGCAGGAGAAAAACTTGAACCCGGACGGCAGAGGTTGCAGTGAGCTGAGATCACGCCACTGCACTCCAGCCTGGGCAACAGAGCAAGATTACGTCTTAATAATAATAATAATAATAATAATAATAATAATAATAATGATGATTATGTAGCAGAGCCTGTGCCAATCTCCTTTTGCTGCAGGAAGTCAGTAAAACAAATCTATGTGAGGAGTGGCCAAGTAGCAGCCACCAAAATAATGGCCTCCAGGTTGTCCTGTCATTATGTTGTTTTTTGTTTTTTTAAGGTTTCCATGATTGCTGCCTCCTTTCCCCAGGGCTGATTCAGGGACAGATTCAACATCTAAAGGTTGTCACCTTCTGAAGCAGACTCCGCATCTTGGTCTGCACCTATGCTAGCAGCTGGGCTAGGAGGCTGCTCCTTTCTCCTTTCCATTTCATGAAGGAGGTCAACACTATTGAGAACAACTTCAGAGAGTGTTCTTTTTCTTATTAGTTGGGACATTCCAACTGGGACAAGGTTCTCCACCACCAGTATATGGTGCAGAACCTCTTGGGGCTGCTCTAGGTAACTGTTCACAAGGTGAATCTCAGGCAAGGTGACCAATTAATCCCATTTCACTGGGATAGGGTGAGTTGGTCCCCCTAAACATGAGAGAGTCAGCCGGGCGCGGTAGCTCATGCCTGTAATCCCAGCATTTCGGGAGGCCAAGGTGGGTGAATGGCCTGAGATCAGGAGTTTGAGACCAGCCTGACCAACATGGTGAAATCCTGTCTCTACTAAAAATTCAAAAATTAGCTGGGCGTGGTGGTGGGCACCTGTAATCCCAGCTACTCGGGAGGCTGAGGCAGGACAACCCCTTGAACCCAGGAGGCAGAAGTTGCAGTGAGCCAAGATAGCACCATTGCACTCCAGCCTGGGTGACAAGAGTGAAACTCCATCTCAAAAAAATAAAAATTAAAAATAAAAAAAAAAAAAAACATGGGAGAGTAAAGCTAAGAAGAAGAATGTAGAATCCCAACGTTTACCTTTTAGCCTTTCCTCCTTCTTCTCCATGGCCTTGTCTCTCCCCAAATACAAAAATTTACAATGCCTTCCTACTTTGTTCCAAAATGACTCCTTCTGTCTGTCATTCAAGGCTCTATATAATCATCACACTACTTCCCTCTCAGATTTTATTGCCCACACTACTCCTTCCACAAGGCCAGCCAGTTTTCTCACTTCTCCTATTTGCGTTGCTCACTCCCACCTCTGCCTTGTTGATGCGATTTACAACCCCCTTCACCCTTTTCTCCATTAGTCCAAACCATAACTTTCTTTCAAGGGTCAGCCGAAGTGCTCCCACCTCCAAGAAGCCTTCTGTCACCTCCCCAACCCTCATTTTTCTCTCTTCATGCTACTGGCACATGCTCTCTCATACTAGTCCTTCAACTATTTCTGTGTTTGTCCTGCCTCCCCCCAAAAATGTAAAGTTAGTGAGGGAAGGATGCTCAATGACTGTTTATTGTGGCACTTGTTGATGACAATGGTGATTGACAAATGGTGATGATGATGACGCTTCCTCCCCCATACTTCCTCCTTGAAACCATGCAAGACTCAGACACACTCATCTCTAAAAGCTGTGGCCACTGTAGCTGGGGCATAAACTCCTCTGGCTGAATGAGCACTGTCTCATTCAGCCATCAGCTCACAGAGGTTCCCAGACCACATGATCTGTCCCTTCTCAAGGATTTCTATAGCATTCTTTTGTTTATACCAGAGTGTAGCACCAAAATTATTTCAAGTATATTAATTTTTATTCCCCAACTAAATTATCACGGGCTCCTTGAGGGCAGAGCCCTTATTACTGTACTTTTGTTGGACTCCCCCATGACTGGTATAGACCTGTAAAGTTCCTGTCATCTGATCACCCTCACCCACCAACTTCTCTATTTTCAGCCCTAGGATTCTCTGGCGCTTTAGGTCACTAAATCCTCTGGTCTCTTATTTCCCCGTTCCTTTGCCCTGCTGGGAGTAGCTAACTGAGAATTTGCTGTTTCTGTCCAAACACTCTTTGCTCTCTCAGGCCATCTCAAGATTCCAGCTCTTTACTCTTCTTGGGACTAAAGATGCTGGAAATGTTGGCAGTCATAAGGCTGCTGAGGCTCTAGGAACCCCTGTCCCATTAAAAGCACTGATCTCCCACAGACTAGTCATCTGAGGTGACACCTAGGCTGCCTCCTGAATGCCAGGTAGTGTTCAAGCATAAATTTCTCCTCCTGAGAAGCACTAGAATTCTGCAAGAAAGGGGAAGAACAAGATCTGACTCCTTACCACTCTATTTCCAACCACTGACTCAACAGGAACAAAGAGCGCATCTAAAAGCCATGTGGTCTAAAAGCTCTTGGCATCTTTATCAGCATTCAGAATCCCTCTATAAGGCTCAGGGATGGGGTTGAGCTTTCCAAGCCTCTGCAGCCTGAAGACTGCCCAAAAGCCTCCAAGGAATGGATGTGTAAGAGGTGCGTGGCATCCATGAGGAAAGAGGAGAGGAAGGACAGAGATGTGCAGCAAGTGGCTGACAGTCCAGTCACAGAACACTTATTGGTGGGAGGTGATGGGCAAGGCCCAGAGAATCAATAGCCAGAATGGAAGATGGCTTCCCTCTAAAGAATGCTCAGTTTGGGCTGTTAGAATGCTTAAAAGATATCTAGAGGCCAGGCATGGTGGCTCACACCTGTAATCCCAGCGCTTTGGGAGACTGAGGTGGGAGGATTGCTTGAGCCCAGGAGTTTGAGACCAACCTGGGCAACAAAGTGAGACCCTGTCTCTACAAAAAAGTAAAAACAAAATTAGCTGGGCATGGTGACACACACCTGTAGTCCTAGCTACTCTGGAGGCTGAAGTGGGGAGGATCGCTTGAGCCCGGGAGGTTGAAGCTGCAGTGAGTTGTGACTGTGCCACTGCACTCCAACCTGGGCAACAGAGCAACTCTGTCTCAAAAAAAAAAAAGAAAAAGAAAAAGAAAAAAAGCCAGGCGCAGTGGTTCACACCTGTTAATCCCAGCACTTTAGGAGGCCGAGGTGGGTAGATCACCTGAGGTCAGCAGTTCAAGACCAGACTGGGCAACATGGTGAAACCCCATTTCTACTAAAAATACAAAAATTAGCCAGGTGTGGTGGCACACATCTGTAATCCTAGCAACTCCGGAGGCTGAGGCACAAGAATCGCTTGAACCCAGGAGGTAGAGGTTGCAGTGAACCGAGATTGTGCCATTGCACTCCAACCTAGGTGATGGTGAGATTCCGTCTAAAAAAAAAAAAAAAAAAAAAACAGAATGCAAAATCAGTCGTATCATCTAGGTCTTATTTTTCTTTTTGCTATAAACTCCCTGAGAACAAAGACCCTTGCCTGTTAGTTCTGAGCCACTCCCTCATCAGTATCATCCATAGCTGGGATTTGGGCCTGGAGTTAAAACAGAAGTAACTTCCCTGCAGCCCTCACCCCTAGCATTTTTCTTCAACAAATCTGGTTAGAAATGACATCTAAATTAGTCTTGAAGGGAAAGAAGTGCTGCCACATAATGCAGCATGGCATTTGGGATGTTGGGTGTTGCCAGGCAGCTGGCAAGCTCTATTTATATTGCCTGGTGGAAGAGAAGGGTCAGGGAGGGGAATATAATGATATTATTTAATTTTTTAAATAATACTCTTTATTTGGAAATAACTCATATGCCATACAATTCACCCATTTAAAGTGTACAATTTAGTAGTTTTAGTACAAAGTCATGCAGTCATTACCACAACTTAGTGCCGGAACATTTCATCACCCCAAGAAACCCATACCCATTAAGCACTCATTCCCCATTCCCCACTCCTCGCAGCACTAGGCAACCATGAATCCACTTTCCATCTCAATATATTTGTCTATTCTGGATAGAATCATACAATATATGATCATATATGACCTTTTGTATCTGGTTTCTTTCACTTAGTATGATGTTTTCAAGGTTCATCCATGTCGTAGCATGTATTAGTACTTCATTCCTTTTTATGGTAATACTACACTGTATGGATCTATCACAGAGAAACAACCAATTGGCACAAGGGGATGGGTGGAGATATATTTTAAGAAATTAGCTTATGCAATTTAGGGGACTGGCAGGTCTGAAACTTGGGGCAGGCTGGCAGGCTGGAAATTCAGAAAAGAGATGGTGTTGCAGTCTTGGATGCAAAGGCTTGAAATGCAGGCAGAATTTCTATATCGCAGCCTGAAGGCAGAATTCCTTCTTCTTCAGGAGACCTCGGCCTTTGCTCTTATTGCCTTAAACTGATTGGATGAAGCCCACTGACATTATGGAGGGTAATCTATCTACTGATTTTGTTAATCCCCTCTGAAAAATACCTTCACTACAACATCTAGACTGGTGTGTGACCAAACAACTGGGCACAATAGCCTAGCCAAGTTGACACATAATATTAACCACAACAGGATTGTCTCCACTTTTTGGCTCTTATGAGGATCATTTGCATGAATATGTGTTTTCAGTTCACTTGGGTACATACTTGGGAGTAAAATGCTAGATCATATGGTAACTATGTTTTGAGGGATCGCCAGACTCTTCTAAAGTGGCTGCACCATTTTACATTTCCATCAGCCGTGTTCAGCCGTGTATGATGGTTCCACTTTTTCCACATACTTGACAACAATTTTTATCTGTCTTTTTAATTATAGTCATCCTAGTGGATTTGGTTTGCATTTCCCTGAGAGCTAAATTGATTGACTGAGAGAGAGTGTGTGTGAGAGAGACAGAGAGAGACAGAGAGAGACAGAGAGAGAGAGAGTATGTAAGGGCATTTGAACACCAGCTGGTTACGTTCATTCAGTTATTTCACTTTTCTTCTTTTTTACTTAGTCAGATATAGCATTGTGGGGCATTCAGTTACTTCAATAAACATTTATTTGTAAATATTTATAATTGCAATCAGCAAGACAAAGATCTTTGCTCTTAAGGAGGTCACACAGTATAGTGGACATTTGTCCTTTGTGGGGGTTGCTGTCCAGCATATGAACCCCTTTATTTGGGAGAGGGGGCTTAGGAATCTTGGTGGGAAGCAGGTCCCCCTTGCAGTCAGAACACAGGCACATGACCTTGGCTCACCCAATCCAAGGATCCATCCCTTGGACTGGGAGCCAGCGACCCAAAGCAGTGGAAAATCTCTGATTGAGACAGCTACGAAAATGTGCCTTTCAGTTCTCCCAGCATGGGGAATGTAAATGACCTTGGCCCTAGCTAGCTGCTAGGTTCTAAATTCAGCCCAATATTCGCAGCTTTTCTTTGAGGCCACATTGCTTCCAGCCAGTGACTGAGCACAGCAGTGATACTAAGTCAGATCCATTTCCGGAAGACAGAACTATTCCAATAGGCAGCTTTGGCTAAAGGACTCCCATCAGCTAGGGCAAATTTTATTAGAACTGCTCTTCAGGCCAAGACTCTTCCTTCCGAAACTTCTTCTTGCCTTCTCTTATCCATAAATGTCAGATTTACATTGCAGTCTGACAGTTCTTCCAGCCTCTTCCAGTTCTCACGCTTTCTGTCATGGGCATTTCCCTCAATCAATCTCTTGCATATCTAATTCCATCTTAGTATCTGCTCCTTGGAGAATCTGAGTTAACACTGATGGCAGTTAGAGTGGTGGTGGTAGGCACTCACTAGTGCTAGGGAGGTGATCTGGTAATGGCCCAAGATTCGTGAACTTTCCTGTTGCTTTCAACTCTTAGCTTGTCCATTGAGTCATCATGTAGTCCAGGGAGAGTCCCTTTCTCCTCTTGGTGGTAGTAACAGTGGCAGCTGTGATGTTGGCTATATAGGCCTGAGTCTAGTTCTCCAGTCCAGCTGGTGATTTTGTGAGCTATTCAATATGCTTTCAATATATACGTTTTCTGCCTAAATTAGCCAGTCAATTTCTGTTGCTCACAACTGAAAACCCTCTGGATTATACAGGGAAGTGACAAAAACATTCAATCACAATACAGCATGATAAAGGTTGTGTATTAGTCCATTCTCACACTGCTATAAAGAAATACCCATGGCCGGGCAAGGTGGCTCACACCTGTAATCCCAGCACTTTGGGACGCTGAGGTGGGCAGATCACTTGAAGCCAGGAGTACAAGACCAGCCTGGCCAAAATGGTGAAACCCTATCTCTACTAAAAATACAAAAATTAGCCAGGCATGGTGGCGTGCACCTGTGGTCCCAGCTACTTGGGAGGCTGAGGCAGGAGAATCGATTGAACCCAGGAGGCAGAGGCTGCAGTGAGCTGTGATCATGCCACTGCACTCCAGCCTGGGCAACAATGCCAGACTCTGTCTCAAAAAAAAAAAAAAAAAAAAAAAAAAAAAAGAAAAGAAAAGAAAAGAAAAAGAAGAAAGGAAGGAAGGAAGGCAGGCAGGCCGGCTGGCCCAAGACTGAGTGATTTATAAAGGAAAGAGGTTTAATTGACTCACAGTTCCACATGGCTGGGGAGGCCTCAGGAAACTTACAATAATGGCAGAAGGGGAAGCAGGCACCTTCATCACAAGGCGGCAGGAAAGAGTGAGTGCAGGAACGAGGAAGTGCCACACTTTAAAACCATCAGCTCTCATGAGAACTCACTATCACAAGAACACCCCCATGATCCAATCCCTTCTCACCTGGTCCCCCCACCCCCCACACGTGGAAATTACAATTCGAGATAAGATTTGGGTGGAGACACAGAGCCAAACCATGTCAGGTTGTAACAGAAGCACAGGGTCTGTGGGAGCACATGGGGCACCTAACACAGCCTTTTTTTTTTTTTTTTGAGACAGGGTCTCACTCTCTTGCCCAGAATGGAGTGCAGTGGCGAGATCTCTGCTCACCGCAGCCTCTGCCTCCCAGGGTCAAGCGATTCTCTGCCTCAGCCTCCTGAGTAGCTGGGATTATGGGCACGTGCCACCATGTCCAGCTAATTTTTGTATTTTTAGTAGAGACGAGGTTTCACCATGTTGGCCAGGCTGGTCTCGAACTCCTGAACTCAAATGATCCACCCGCCTTGGCCTCCCAAAGTGCTAGGATTACAGGCATAAGCCACCGCGCCCGGCCACCTAAAAGTAGTATTTACATCTCCCCAAATGACATTAACTGTACACGACCTGGAATTGCTAGTCAGCTCTTATCACTAATTTTATAAGCTGCTTCAAATTGAAAGACTTGTGACCATCTCCCCAGTTTACCATTTCTTAGGCAGTAGTTTTCATAGTTAAGTTCATATAAGAATAACTTGAGGGCAGAGAAGGACTACTTGCAGACTCCAGAGTGCCAACTTTTGAACAATGCAGGTGGTCAGAGGACTATACTTCGAGAAAAACTGTCCTAGGGATAGCTCTACAGTCTACTCCTAGTACAGTTTTATCCATCATCCTAGTGTTGATTTCAAAAACGTTTGTAGCAGTTTACACCTCTGTGTCCTGGGCCAGAGTTAAGGTCAACTTCAGAGTCATTCGCACACAAGGGTCTGTCCCTGACACCAAGGCTCTTGATTTCCTTGGGCTGCAAACAAAGAATATTACTTCCCTAATATAATTCAGTAATAATGAAACTCTGTGTGCACATTTTCATATTCTTCCTTATTGGGTACATTAAGCACTTGTTGGACCTTAAGCTGCTCAATCTTATGGTCAAGAAAAGGAGATATTCCAGCAGTGCCAAGAGAAGAAAAGGACTCTCTCTAGACTACATCATGATGACTCAATGGACCAGCTAACAGTAGAAAGCAATGGGAAAGATCATGAATCTTGGGCCATTACCAGATCACCTCCCTAGCACTCCTGCCTCACTTATTTGCCTTTACTACTAAAGAAAGGATCCCGAAACCATAAAGGACTTTGGTTTTAATTTTAAAAGAAAAAAGTAGTTATTATTAGAGTAGTTATTAGTAGTGTCCAGAGCAGCAGAGAAAGTAGGGAAAGTCAGGCTGACAGAGTCAGACCCTAGAAAGAGAAATCAGGTAGACCGGATAGTGACATCACAGTGGGCCGGAAAATGCACAGTCCTGCTTTTTAGGACAGAAATCAGGCCATGCCAAATCTCTCTCACAAACAGCAGTGTGGTATAGTACAAAGAGCTACATTATGGACTGGAGTAAAAAACTGTGGGATTGGCCGGGTGCAGTGGCTCATGCCTGCAATCCCAGCACTTTGGGAGGCTGAGGCGGGCGGATCACCTGAGGTCAGGAGTTTGAGACCAGCCTGGCCAACATGGTGAAATCTCGTCTCTACTAAAAACGTAAAAATTAGCCGGGCGTGGTGGCATGCTCCTGTAATCCCAACTACTCGGGAGGCTGAGGCAGGAGAATCGCTTGAACCCGGGAGGCAGAGGCTGCAGTGAGCCGAGATCATGTCACTGCACTCCAGCCTGGGCAACAGAGCAAGACTCTGTCTCAAACAAACAAACAAACAACTGTGGGATTTAGTCTTGAATCTGCCTCTAAGTCTTCATGTAATCTTGGGTTTCTCTGGAATCTCTAAGATCTCTTCTAGCTCTAACATCCTGTGACTCCCTATTTAAGCATGGCAAATTGATTCTACACACAGCACTGTGGTTATACAGCCACTTGAAGAGGTCAATCACCAAAGTGTCCTAACCAATTTCTCCTAAAGATATACTCTCACATGTGAAATATGTATAATCATGTTGATAATCACCAAAGATGAGATGCAATGCAAATATCCATCAATAAAGAACTGCTAAAATACATTCTGGTACATCTGCAGTAATTATGAAATACTTAGATTCCACATAGTGCTGCCCTATAGCCATAAAGAAGCTCTGTATGTGCTGATATGAAACAGTCTCCAGTATATATTAAAGGAAAAAAGCAAGGTGCAGGATATCATTTATGGTATGCTACAATTTGTATAAAACTTAAGGATATAAAGAAAAAATATAAGGTTATACATATACATACATGTATAGCAGATCTCTGAAAGGATACACAAGAAACTGGTAGCTGATTGCCTCCAGGGAAGTGAAATGGACAACTAGGGAGATGGCAGGGAATATATGTATTAATCTTGTCAAAACATTAAAAAAAGAATCTTAACCAACTGTGCCATAGACCTCTCTTTTTCAACTATCTAACAGAACCTAAGAGATCAAAGTTAGGAGTGACTTTGTTTCTTAAAGCAGAAAGAAGATTTTGAGGCAATGTTTTGGCTCAGCCTGGCTCAGAAGTGTGTAGGTAGCTATCGTGGGTCTTAGCTGTTTCCTTCCCTCCCCGCCCTTGACTTGCAGGTGCATCTTGAGAGTTGCTTCAGGCAGCTGACAATGCAAAGGAAACTGGAGAGGCTAGAAGCCTCTGTGTCAGTGAGGCCTGGAAGAAGAGTGAAGCAGCAACCGGAAGTTCACGTATTCCCAAGTAAGGCACCTGAAGAGACTTTCTCACCCCTTCAGAAACCTGTTGCCACACCTCCAGGGTAAGTCATGGGATCAGCTGACACCAGGCCACATGCCCAGATAACAAATCAAATTTTATTTCCACTATCAGTCCCCCTGAAGAGCAAAAGAGTGTCCATTCTTTTCTTCAGAAATAAATATCACAAATAGCATCCACTGAAAGCTAGTAGCAATCTAAAAAGGACAAAGTTTAAAAAGATATATCATTCATAGCCAAGAACTAATCACAGATTAACACAATCAGTGGGAAAAACAATTCATCCTGTTTAGACTTATTTTATGAAGGATAATCATATATAAAATTAACTGAAGCACTATGCTTTGAAATACAACTCATTCAGCAAAAAGCCTAGCACTCAGTTTTAACATACCAAATGGGCACATTTAACATGTTTTTGTGTGTGTGAAAGGTAATTGACTGGTTTTAACTATTATACAAATTGTAATAAACTAAGGGGCTCTTTAGTTTAAATAATATTAATACCAACATTTATTGAGTGCTTACTATGTGCCAAGTACTGTTGTGAGCCCTTTATGATCTAATTTAACACCTGCAATGTCCTTATGATTTAGGAGCTATAATCATCTCCAATTTATAGAAAAGGAAGTTGAAACGCAGAAAAGTTATGAAAACTTGTCTAAGCTAAAATCACTTAGGTAGTAGAGCTCAGATTTGAACCAAGGAAGTCAGGCTTTGGTCCCTGGGCCCTAGTCATTTAAAACAGCAAACAAATTGTGTTGAAAATTAAAATATGGCCTGCAGGGAAATTTTAGGAGTCAATTTGACAATTCCAAGGGTACCAGCCAGAAAGAAAATCTGAATTTGTGAAGTTCATATCTGAACTACTTTAACAGTCACCTAACTGGTTTCCTTACTCTAGTTTCTACATCCTACACTGTCCCACCCTATTGAGCTTCCAAAGATACTGCTATTATCACATCACTCCCTTCAGCAAAAGCTCCCATGGGCTCCTTTCTGTCTATCTAATAGATCTCAAACTTGAATGTGCATCATCAACATCTGGGGAGCTTGCTCAAAATACTGATTTCTTAGGCTCCAACCCAGAAAATTTGATGTAGTAGGTCAAGGTGGGGCCTGAGAATCTATGTTTTAAGCAAGCCTGGCAAAACATCAGCCTATGTGGACAGCCCAAACTCTGTGTGATAGCATTCAAGACTGTCCATGACCTGGCCCAAACACGCCTAACTCCCAATATGAGTGCTCTATTTTAGAATAGTCATTGTCCTCAAACTTCTCATGTAGGAGATATTTTTTAACTGCAAACATTTGCCCACCCCCTCCAACCCATCAGAATAACCTCTTGCCTTCTTTTCTCCTATCCACTGTACATCCCTCTAGCTCAAGCCCAAGTTTCACTTACTTTATAAGACTCTCTTTAAATTCTCCGGCCCAGTGGATATTTGTTTTCTGAATAATTAAGTCTCTACTGTCTGACCCCAATTCTTTTGGTATTTAACTGGTCTCAAGAGTATATGCCTTGCTTCCCTAATAACAATGATGGCTTTTTCAGGGCAGCTAGAGCTGTCCATTAGGGTAGCCACAAGCTACATAGGGCTATTTAAACTTAAGCTAATTAAGATTAAATAAAATTAAAATTTCAGGCCTGGTGTGGTGGCTCATGCCTGTAATCCTACCACTTTGGGAGGCCAAGGTGGGTGGATCACCTGAGGTTAAGAGTTCAAGACCAGCCTGGCCAACATATAGTGAAACCCCGTCTCTATTAAAAATACAAAAATTAGCTAGGCGTGGTGGTGCACGCCTATAATCCCAGCTACCTGGGAGGCTGAGGCAGGAGAATCGTTTGAACCCAGGAGGCAGAGGTTGCAGTGAGCCGAGATTGCGCTATTGCACTCCAGCCTGGGTGATAGAGCCAGACTCTGTCTTAAAAAAAAAAAATTAAAATTTCATTTCCTCAGTCACACTAGAGCACTAGCATATTTCAAGTGCTCAATAGCCACACATGTATGGATAGCGCAGATATAGAAGATGTCCACATGACAGAAAGTTCTAATGGACAAGCATAAAGAGTCTGCTGTGGCTGTCACAGCTGCAGCTACCTTCTTACATATTCTCCCTATAAACATTGCTTCCTGTGAACTTAACTAAATATGTATCCTGAGAACAAAAAGTGATGGAATTTCTTCTTAAACTCTGATTCCCATTTCCAGTAAAAATAAGGAGCTCAGAAGATGGGTTTCAAATGTAAATATCACTCAGCGTTTCTTTTCTTTTTTTTTTTGAGACTTGGTCTTGGCTCACTGCGACCTCCGCCTCCTGGGTTCAAGCGATTCTCCTGCCTCAGCCTCCCGAGTAGCTGGGATTACAGGCACACACCACCGCACCCGGCTAATTTTTGTATTTTTAGTAGAGATGGGGTTTCACCATGTTGGCCAGGCTGGTCTTGAACTCCTGACCTCAGGTGATCTACCCGCCTCGGCCTCCCAAAGTGCTGGGATTACAGGCATGAGCCACTGCGCCCGGCTTATCACTCAGCATACTATTATTATCTCCATTTTACAGATGAGGTATATGAAGTTCAAAGAAGTTAACTGATCTGCTCAAGGTCACTGAAATAGAGGTATTAGGACTAGAACCCAAACATCTTCCGAGGCTCTCCTCATGAGTCATTACTAGGTCAAATGCATAAAAAACAGCAGGTCAGATCATCAAAGAACAGAAACAACACATTCAAGAGAGTCTCCTCTTTTATTTTCCTCCTTTTTGCCTGCCCTTCTAAAACTCTCTTTCTTACTCTATCTCACATACCCTCTGGTAGATTTTCGAGGTCTTAACAGCCTGGGGAATTTAAAGGCAATTATTAGGTAATTGAGAAAAAAGTAACCACAGTCAATCTGGGAGAGCAGGGGCCATATACTGCCTTTCATTTTCCAGAATTTTGTCTTATCCTATACCCTGTAGACCCTGTACATGAAAACCTATGTTGTTCAGAACTTAGAATTTTGATCCAACTACTATGCCAATAGTCCATTTTAATCACACTGGAGGCCATTTATAGCTTTTTGGTTCTCTGGGTTTATCTCTGTGTCCAGCAGCTCCTGCCAGAGCTAGTCAAACATGACTGAGAAGTGCTAGAGGAGTTCAGCTTTAGGTTCAAACTGTCACCAGCTTACTAGTGTTTCACATTACCTTGTTTACTGATACCCTTAATCAGGTGAAACTCAGCATTCCTGGCCAGTAGACAGGGGGTCTGAATGTGGAAAAAAAAAGTTTATAGCAACCTTGCCCCCTGCCTTCATGTAAAAGAGATACTAACTCCACTCCCCCCAAACTCACCATGCTCCCATAACATGTTCTGAGCTATACAAAGCCTAGCTACAGGAGACAAGAAGCCAAGTTAATGACCATGCAGACCATTTAGATTTTGTTAGACTAAGGAAGAATAAGGAAAACTGGCTTCTCATCCTAGTTATGCAACTAACTGACTGTGTGTGTGTGTGTATGTGTGTGTGTGTATTTAGTGAGAGCTCTTTTCCTTTTACTCTCTATATGCATGCCATAAACATTAAATCTATGCATGTACCATAAACATAAATATTTTTCTTAACTTTCCTTTTACTATCTATGCATGTACCACAAATAATATAACCTATAACATAATAGGATATTGTTTTATGTTTTTATACTTTACGTTAATACTATTATACAGAATTTTCTATAACTTTTTCACCTTTTTTCCTCAACAGTATGTTTCTGTGTTTTTGTGTGTTTTTTGTTTTGTTTTGTTTTGTTTTGTTTGAGATGGAGTTTTGCTCTTGTCTCCCAGGCTGGAGTGCAATGGCACAATCTCGGCTCACTGCAACCTCCGCCTCCTGGGTTCAAGCGATTCTCCTGCCTCAGCCTCCCGAGTAGCTGGGATTACAGGTGCCTGCCACCATGCCCAGCTAATTTTTGTATTTTTAGTAGAGACAGGGTTTCACCATGTTGGCCAGCCTGGTCTCGAACTCCTGACCTCAGGTGATCCGCCCGCCTTGGCCTCCCAAAGTGCTGGGATTACAGGTGTGAGCCACCGTGCCTGGCCAACAGTATGGTTTTCATATATTTTGCTATAGTTCTGTGTTGCTACATACAGCTATAATTCATTCATTTTAACTGCTGCATGGAATCCCATCAGATGAATACATCATAGTTGATGTATTCATTCTGTTGATGATCATTTAGGTTGCTTTTCGTTTCTTACTGTCTCAAACAAAATCCTTCAATGGACATCTACATATATACGTGTATCCTTATGTACATGTGGGAGATTTTCTCTTGGTTAAATATCTAGGAGTGGTATTACTTGGTCATTGGGGTATGCCTAAGTTCAGTTTTGGTAGACACTGCCAAATAGCTTTTCAGAGCAGTTGTACCAATTTATATAACCACCAATAGTGTACAAAAGTTCCAATAAATCCCCATCTTCACCAATACATGGTAATGTCAGTCTTTTTTCATTTGAGCTCTTCTGATGGGTGTGCAGTAGTATCTCATTGTGGTTTTAGTTTGAATTTCCCTCATTACCAGTGAGATAGAGCACTTTTCATAGATTTATCATCTGATATGCTTTCTTAAAGCAGGTATCAACAGAAACAAGAAAAGGGTGGCATGATGGACATGGAGGAGAGGTAGTGACTATGAAATGAGGGTGGGAAGTGAACACTAGAAAGGAGAGTCTAAGGACATTAAATCAACGTTTTTGTTTTGTTTTGTTTTTTGAGACTGAGTTTCACTCTTGTCACCCAGGCTGGAGTGCAATGGCGTGATCTCGGCACACTGCAACCTCCGCCTCCTGGGTTCAAGCGGTTCTCCTGCCTCAGCCTCCCAAGTGGCTGGAATTACAGACGCCCGCCACCACACCCAGCTAATTATTGTATTTTTAGTAGAGATGGGGTTTCACCATGTTGGCCAGGCTGTTCTCGAACTCCTGACCTCAGGTGATCCACCTACCTCGGCCTCCCCAAGTGCGGGGATTACAGGCGTGAGCCACCATGCCCAGCCAAATAAAACTTTTTGAATGCACCAGTTTTTCTGAGAACTAGCCAAGTATACATGAATTTGGGAATTTCTAAGCACAGCAGTTAATGGTGCATCCTTGAACTCCAACCACAAAAAATTCCTGGCAGTGACCTGAGGCCAAGCTCTCCTTTCCACAACAACAGCAGTTCATGCTGTTTCCTGGCATCTCTCACCAAGTTAGTTTCCCAACTGAATCTCAATGCCCTTGTCTCAAAAATGGCAGCACTGGCTTGTCAGATTCCAGCTAGAAAGCCATATGACATCAGTGTTAAAGAGCATAGAAGGGTAAATGCTCTTTGTACCCAGCATCAATCAAACAGAACTTTCTATAGCAGTCTGTAATAGGCAGACTGTAATAACAACATGGTTTATAGTATTGCTTCTCAAATTTTCTTTTGTTTTTCTTTTTTTTTTTAAGACAAGTTCTTGCTCTGTCACCCAGACTGGAGTGCAGTGGTGTGAACGTGGCTCACTGCAGCCTCGACCTTCCTGGGCTCAGGTGATCCTCCTGCCTCAGCCTCCCAAGTAGCTAGGACTACAGGTTATGCACCACCACACCTGGGTGATACACACACACACACACACACACACACACACACACACACACACAGTTTATTTTGTAGAGACAAGGTTTTGCCATTTTGCCCAGGCTGGTCTCAAACTTCCAAACTCAAGTGATCTGCCTGCCTTGGTCTCCCCAAGTGCTGGGATTATGGGCATGAGCTACCATGTCCAGCCCTGCTTCTCGAACTTTAATATGAATGTGAATCACCTGGGATATTTCTAAAATGCAGATTCTAATTTAGTAGGCATGAGGTAAAGCCTGAGACTCTACATTTCTAACAAGCTCTCCAATGCTGCTAATCTGAAGACCACATTTTTATTTTAGAACATGAGCTATGCAGTCAGGCAGACCTGAATTTCAATCCCAGTTCCACTGTTTTTTAGCTATGAAATCTCAGTAGGCTATTTAATCTCTCTGAGCCTTAGTTTCCTTGCCCATAAAAAGGAGATAAACAGGGAGGCTGAGGCAGGAGAATTGCTTGAACCCGGGAGGCAGAGGTTGCAGTGAGCCGAGATCGTGCCACTGCACTCCAGCCTGGCAAAAGAGTGAGATTCTGTCTCCAAAAAAAAAAAAAAAAAAAAAAAAAGAGATACAATTACCACTTCCTAGGGTTGCTGTGGAGATTAAGTGAAACAACGCACATAAAAACATGCCTAGCAGCCAGGCATGGTGGCTCACGCCTGTAATCCCAGCACTTTGGGAGGCTAGGCGGACGAATCACCTGAGGTCAGGAGTTCGAGACCAGCCTGGCCAACATGGTGAAACCCTGTCTCTACTAAAAATACAAAAAATTAGCTGGGCATGGTGGTGGGTGCCTATAATCCCAGCTACTCGGGAGGCTGAGGCAGGAGAATTGCTTGAACCGGGGAGGCGGAGGTTGCAGTGAGCCGAGTTGGTGCCATGCACTCTAGCCCGGGCAACAGTGTGAGACTCCGTCTAAAAAGAAAAAAAAAAAAAAGCCTAGCATGGTGCATGGAAAGAGTAAGTAAGTAATAAATGCTACTTATTATTAATATTCCATGAACTGTCACTCTCAACACATCTATACGCTAAAGACTGCAGTTCAGAATGATTATCTGAAAGCACTGCAAGAGCCTACATTAATCAGAGAGAGACAGATTGAATCACATTTAGTCATATTTTGTTAGGCTTATTTCATTGGATTCTAATTCTTTGAAAATTGAGACCTCATCTGTATCAGTCAGGGTCCCAGCAGGAAACAGATGGCACATTCAAATTAGCATAATTGGTGGAAAGTTTAACAAAAGGACTATCTACAAAGGTGTGGGCAGGGTGTAGGAAAACCAGCAGAGAGAGAGAATGCATAACTTGGGGCCATTACTACCCAATGCACAAGAGGATGAGGGAAGAAACACATAGAAGAAAAAAGAAGAATGTGATACAGAGAGTCCTCACGAGAAAGCTGTGACCTTTAGTTAAGGGACAGTAGCTAGCCTGAGGCAATCCTGCAAGGAGGAAGCCAGAAATACACACCCTGACCTCAATTTCTTCCCTTCCTGTGATGTCCTGCCAGGGATCTCCACTGCTCAAACCCTACCAGAAGCCAAAAATGGGAAAGGAACTCACTGATGTAATCCACATAGTTTGTTCTCCGGCAGCACAGAGCAGGGTATAAAAGGGTGAAGAGTAGATCAGGAGGGTTAAGTAGAAGATACCTGGTACACCACCTGTGACACATACATTCAACTAAAATACATCCAAACCAGAACACTGTATTCCTCTGACCAAGCCAAGAGAGAACAGACTACTGTTTTGGACAAGGTTAAGCTCAACTAATTTATCACGAAATGGGGATCAATAATTTCCAGAGTATCTCCCCATTACATGTCCTATATCATCTAAAACCCAACACAACTAAAACTGAATTCATCTTCCACTGCCAACCTAATTTAGCTTTCCCATTTCCCTACCATGGTAGCCTTTGGATATGCCAGTTTCTCAGCCAGCAACATCCTTTCATTTCCTCTGTGCATATTTACATCTTACTTACCCTTTAAGGTCCAACTCAAATACTTCTCCCTCCTCCAACAGGTCTTTCCCCCAATTACTTTAGCCGCCACTGATTTTCCTTGTGTATGAACTCCCGTGGTGAGTAATTTAGTCACTATTGTCAAGTACTGCTATTTAACTGCTTTGTGTATACATATCATCACGCTAATTAAATACTACACTTCTGAAGGGTGGGAACTATGTATTAACTTTCTTTTCCTCCTCATCAAAGGAAAGCAACTTAGACTTATTGCATATAATGAGTATACAATAAACACCTGAAGAATAAAGATAGGGAAAAAATAGCAGGGAACCAAATTTCCAATCTCATTTGTACATGAAAGCTTTTCAGGAAAACCCTAGCTCTCTGAGGGCCTGCCTGGGCTTATGTGGAAATCTACAGGCACAAAGCGCAGCTCTGCTTATCATCTATCCACTTGGCATTTGAAAAACAGTCTTCTAAATAACCCTTGAGTTAAACAGAGAATCAAAACAGAAATTACAAACTGTAAAAATAATCAGCAGGAAAATCGGAACCCATCAAAACCTATACTATGCAGCTAAAGTGGTACTCATAAGAAAGTTGCAGCATTACATTCACTTATTTATTCCAATATATTCAAATGTATTTCAACTGATAATACATGAATTTTTTTTTTTTTTTGGAGACAGGGTCTGGCTCTTTTGCCCAGGCTGGAGTGCAGTGGCATGATCTTGGCTCATTGCAACCTCCTCCTCCTGGGCTCAATCCATCCTCTTACCTCAGCCTCCCAAGTAGCTGGGACTACAAGCACAAGCCACCACGCCCAGCTAATTTTTGTATTTTTTTTTTGGAGGGACAGGTTTCACCATGTTGCCCAGGCTGGTCTTCAACTCCTGAACTCAAGTGATCCAACCATCTCAGCCTACCAAATTGCTGGGATTACAGACGTGAGTGACCACGACCAGCCAATACATGAATTATTTTCATTGACAATAAATGCACTAAACAGTCACCTCAAAAATACAGGTAAGTAACAAAATAGCATAACCAAAGAAAGTAGAAAGAAAGAATTAAGTATCTTTTTAAAAAAATCAATGACCCATTTCTCACTACTCCTCCCTCTTAAAATAAAACAGAAAACCTTGATGTAAAAACAATCAAGCATGGGAAGACTTTGAAAGGTGGAAAGGACAAGGTGGATTACCTAGAGACCTTAGGACCTAAAGAACACTACACTAATGAGCTGTCTACCATAAATCCCAGATGGGGCGCTGGAGAAGCCTGCAACCTGAAACTGCCAATAGGCCCAGACCCAAAAAAAGAGCCCCTTTCTGTTTCCTTTAGTTAAATGACTAGGAAAAGGGTGGCCTAGCAGAAGAGAAAATCTTTTTGATAATATCCACTCTACCCTAATCAAACATCAAAGGAAAATTTCCCCCTTCCCTGTGGTGTCAGCTGTGCCAAACAGAGATACCCATGTCTGCCTCCACATGGCAGCAGTTAGGCAGGGCAACTAGGCCCTGCGCCTCCCCCACAGGGGTGGTATCAGCAGGACCAAACAGGAGTGAACTTCCACCCTATCTCCCCAGTAGCAAAGAGGTGGAACCAGGCTATGAGAAGTGGTGCTAGATGGCCCTCCAGTTTCCCCACTGGGGTAGTATTAGTGGGGCCATCCCTACCTGACAGCAATGAGTTGGTGCAAGTCATCCCTCCATTCCGCATTCCCCCACCTGGAAGGGGTCTGGCAGTGAGGTGAACTTCCCTCCTTCCCCACAGTGCCAACAAGGTAGAACAAAACAGTGTGGCAGTATTCTGCTTCTCTCTAATCCCTGTGTCAGTCGACAAGGCCCGACAGGGAGCAGAACTTACAATCTCACCCAGCAGCAACAAAGTGATGTGAGTCAGTTCTATGCTTTTGCCAGGGAGGTATCTGCAAGGCTGAGTGGGGAACTAAACTTTCACTTCCATCCATTGGCAACAAGATGGGGCAAGGTGCTTCACTTTTGCCAGTGTCAGCAGGGTCCAGCAGAAAGCTGTATATCCACTCCAACACAGACCTGCACACCACATTTAACCCAGGGTGACTGCCTGCAAAAAAGGAAAAAGAAACAGGATGTTTTTGGTTGTTTTTTTTTTTTTTTGAGAGAGACGGAGTCTTGCTCTGTCGCCCAGGCAGGAGTAGAGTGGTGCAATCTCAGCTCACTGCAACCTCTGCCTTCCTGGTTCAAGTGATTCTCCTGCCTCAGTTTCCCAAGTAGCTGGGACTATAAGGCGTGCACCACCATGCCCAGCTAATTTTTGTATTTTTAGTAGGACGGGGTTTCACTAGATGTTGGCCAGGCTGGTCTCAAACTCCTGACCTCAGGTGATCTGCCCACCTCGGCCTCCCAAAGTGCTGGGATTACAGGCATGAGCCACCATGCCCAGCCAGAAATAAGATGTTTAGTCTCACAACACAATACCTAAAATGTCAAAAATACAATAGAAAATCACTTATACCAAGAATCAGAAAAATCTCAATATGAATGAGAAAATAAAATCCACAGACTCCAGTGCTGAGCTGACACAGATGTTGGAATGATCTGACAAGGATTTTAAAGCAATCATTATAAAAATGCTTCAACAAGCAATTTAAAGTATGCTTGAAACAAATGAAAAGAAGTCTCAGCAAAGAAACAGAACATATAAAAAAGAACCAAATGAAAATTTTAGAATTAAAAAATAAAACAATAAAAATTTTAAAACTCACTGGATGGGCTATAGCCGAATGAATATGACAGAAGAAAAAAATCAGTGAACTTGAATATAGAACAACAAAAATTACCCAATGTGAACAAGAGAGAAAACAGACTAAAAAGAAATGAACAGAGCCTCAGGGTCCTAAAGGACAATGAAGAAAAACAGAACATTCGTATCACTGGAGTTCCAGCAGAAAAATAGAAAGACTAGGGGGCTGAAAAAGTTCTGAAAAAATAATAGCTGAAAACTTCCCAAAGGTTAAAATGTTGACAGTAGAAGACTGTGGTAAATTACTTATGTATAATGCAATAATTAGAACAACCACTTAAATATCCATATAAAATATATATTCATAACCTATATAAATAAATGAAAATGGAATTATATGCACCAAACAACAGACTGCAAAATACATGAAGCAAAAACTAATAGATAGGAAAGTGCAAATAGATAAGTCCACAATTGTATTTAAAACTTGTAACATTTCTCTCTCAACAAATAACAGATCAAAATCAAAAAGGATATAGAAGGACTGAACACCACCATCAACCATCAAGGTCTAATTGACATTTACAGAATATTTCACCCACCAACAGCAGAGCAGATGTTCTTTTAAAGAGCACATGGAATCTTCACCAAAACAGATCATATCCTGGGTCATAAAATAAACCTAAACAAAAGGACTGAAACTATGTTAAAAGAACTAAAGCCATAGAGTATATTTTCTGAGCACAAGTTAAACTAGAAATTAATAACTAAAAGACAATGGGAAAATCTCCAAACATTTGAAAATTAAGCAACACACATAAATATACCATAGGTCAAAGAAGAAGTCTCAAGGGAAATTTAAAAAATATATAAAACTGAATGAAAATAAAAATACAATATATCAAAATGTACGGAATGCAGCTAAAGCAGTGGTGACAACAAAATTTATAGGACTAAACACTTACATTAGAAAAAAGGAGGACAGGGCTGGGTGCGGGGGCTCACACCTGTAATCCCACCACTTTGGGAGGCCAAGGCAGGCGGATCACCTGAAGTCAGGAGTTCGAGAGCAGCCTGACCAACATAGTGAAACCGTGTCTGTACTAAAAATACAAAAAATTAGCCAGGCATGGTGGTGGGCGCCTGTAATCCCAGCTACTAGGGAGGCTAGGGCAGGAGAATCGCTTGAACCCAGGAGGTGGAGGTTGCAGTGAGCCGAGATCGCATCATTGCACTCCAGCTTGGGCGACAAGAGCGAGGCTCCATCGCAAAAAAAAAAAAAAAAAAAAGGAGGACAGAGGGAGGGAGGGGGACAAAGGTTGAAAAACTACCTATTGGGTACTACATTTGCCACTTGGGCAATAGAATCATTAGAAGCCCAAACCTCAGCATCATGCAATATACCCATGTAACAAACCTGTACATGTACCCCCGATTCTAAAATTAAAAATTAAATTAAATTAAAGAGAATCCCCCGGGGGTGGGGGGTGGGGGGGAAGAAAAAGAAGAAAAGGAAAACACTCAAACAAATAATCTAAGTACCCATCTCACCTTAAGAAACTAGAACAACAATAGCAAGGCAAACAGAAGAAAGGAAGTAACAATGTTAAGAGCATAAATCAAGGAAGTTGAAAACAGAAAAACCATACAGATGATGACTGAAACAAACAGGTGATTCTTTGGGGAAAAAAAATCAATAAAATTGATAAACCTCTAGAAAGACTGACAAAGAAAAAACAGAGAAGACACAATTCACCAATATCAGGAATAAAAGAGGATAATAAGAGAATACTATGAACAACTCTGCATGGATAGATTTGATAACTTAGATTAAATAGACCAATTTCTCAAAAAGCACAAACTACCACAACTCATCCAATACAAAATAAATAATTTGTGAATAGCTTTATAACCATTAAAGAAGTTAAACTTATAGTTTAAAAATTCCTAAAAGAAAAATCTCCAGGCCCAGATGGTTTCACTAAGAATTATGCCAAACATTTAAAGAATTAATACAAATTCTTCATAATTTTTGCCAGAAAAAGGGAGGGAATTCCAACTGATTTTATGAGGCCAGTATTACCCTGAGACCAAAATCAGACAAAGACAGTACAAATAATAATAATAATAATAATTATACCTCACAACTAATTGTGGTTTATTCTAGGTATACAAGTCTGGTTCAATATTTGAAAATCAATGTAATCCACATATCAACAGGCTTAAAAAATAAAAACCACATGATCATATCAAACAATGTAGAAAAAGCATTTGACTAAATTCAACATCCATTCATGATAAAAGCTCTTAGCAAACTAGGAATACAAGGTAACTTCATTAACCTAGTAAAGAATATCCACCAAAAAACTAGAGCTAACATCATACTTAAGGTTAGGGGTGGCAGTGGCAGTGGCATGGGGGTCGCTGGCCTCCATTAAAAAAAAAAAGTTGAAAGACAATGCTTTCTCCAAAGATCAGAAAAAAAGGCAAGAATGTGTGCTTCTCACCACGGTGATTCAACATAGTACTGGAAGTTCTAACTTGCTCAATAAGGCAAGAAAAATGAAATAAAGGAATAAATATTGGAAAGGGAGAAATAAAATCATCCCTATCCTCAGACGACATGACTGTTTACGTAGAAACTCTCAAAGAATCAACACACATTAAAAACAAAACAAAACAAAAAAAACCCTACTGATACACACAACAAATTAGATGGATCTAAAGGGAATTATGTTGAGTGGAAAAGCCAATCTCAAAAGATTCCATTTATATAACATCCTTAATGATGAAATTACAAAGATGGAGAACAGATTAATGGTTGCCAAGTTTAGGGACATGGGAGGAGAAGAGGTGAGTGTGACTATACAGAGGTAGGAGGATCTTTGTGGTTACAAAAAGTCCTATATCTTTATTTTGATGGTGGTTACACAAATCTATGCACGTGTTAAAACTGCACAGAATTTTGGGACAACTGGATATCCACCTGCAAAATAATTAAGTTGGACTCTTACTTCACACCACATACAAAAATTAATTGAAAATGGACGACAGGGCTGGGCATGGTGTCTCACACCTGTAATCTCAGCACTTTGGGAGGCCAAGGGGAGGATCACTTGAGGCCAGCTGGGCAACATCGTGAGATCCTGTCTCTACAAAAAATGTTTTAAAAATCAGCCGGGTATAGTGGCACATGCTTGTAGTCCCAGCTACTCTGGAGGCTGAGGTCAGGGGATCACTTGAGCCCAGGCGTTCAAGGCTGCAGTGAGCTATGACTGCACCACTGCACTCCAGCCTGTGCGACAAAGTGGGACACTGTCTAAAAAAACAAAAACAAAACAAACAAACAAACAAACAAAAAACACTAAACTAAACTAAAATGGATGAAAGACTCAAGTGTAAGAGATAAAATTTTAAGACTCTAAGAAGAAACAGGCATAAATCTTCATGAACTTGAATTAAGCAGTGGTTTCTTAGATATGAGACCAAAGGCACAAGCAAAAAAAAAGGTAAATTGGACTTTATCAAAATTAAAAACTTTTCTGCTGCAAATAATACTATCAAGAAAGTGAAAATACAACCCACATAATGGGAGAAAATTTTTGCAAATCATATATCTGATAAGGGACTTGAATATATAGAATAAATAAATACCTCTTAAGGCCAGGCGTGGTGGCTCATGTCTGTAATCCCAGCACTTTGGGAGGCAGAGGTGGGCGGATCACCTGAGGTCAGGAGTTCAAGAACAGCCTGGCCAACATGGCAAAGCCCTGTCTCTACTAAAAATAGAAAAATTAGCTAGGGGTGGTGGCATGTGCCTGTAATCCCAGCTACTCAGGAGGCTGAGACAGGAGAATCACTTGAACCCGGGAGGTGGAGGTTGCAGTGAGCCAAGATCGCACCACTGCACTCCAGCCTGGGCAACAGAGTGAGACTCTAAAAAAAAAAAAAAAAAAAAAAAAACCTCTTAAAATTCAAAAATAAAAAGACAAATTACCAAATTTCAAATGAACAAAAGGCTGAAATAGACATTTCTCCAAAGAAGATGTACAAATGGCCAATAAACACATGAAAAGATGTACAATATCATATTAAACATCAGAAACACGCAAATCAAAACCACAGTTAGATGCCACTTCATGCCCATTAGGATTGCTAAAATCAAAATGACAGCCGGGCGCAGTGGCTCACGCCTGTAATCCCAGCACTTTGGGAGGCCAAGGTGGGCGGATCATCTGAGGTCAGGAGTTTGAGACCAGCCTCGCCAACATGGTGAAACCCCATCTCTACTAAAAATACAAAACTTAGCCAGGTGTGGTGGCAGGCACCTGTAATCACAGCTACTTGGGAGCCTGAGGCAGGAGAATCACTTGAACCTGGGAGGCAGAAGTTGCAGTGAGCCAAGATTGTGCCACTGCACTCCAGCCTGGGCAACAGAGTGAGACTCTGTCTCAAAAAAAAAAAAAAGTGGCAAAATTGGAACCTACATACATTGCTGGTGGGATTGTAAAATAATACAGCTGCTTTGAAACTGATCTGGCAGTTCCTCAAAAGGTTAAGTATGGAGTTAACATATGACCTAGCAATTCCACTCCTAGGTATATAACAAAGAGAAATGAAAATATATGCCCATAAAAAACTTGTACATGGATATTCATCACAGCATTATTCATAATAGCCAAAAAATGAAAGCAGCCCAAATGTCCATCAACTAATAAATGAATAAACATAATGTGGTATATCTATACAATGGAACATTATTCAGCAGTAAAAAATAAATTACTGAAACATGCCACAACATGGATGAATTTTCAAAACACTGTTAAGTGAAAAGTGCCTGTCACAAAAGATTACATATTGTATGATTCCATTTATATGATATGTCCAAAATAGGCAATCCATAGAAACAGAAAGTAGATTCCTTTTGTCTATGGCAAGGGTAGGGAAAAAAGGCTAGTGGCTGTTAAGTGATACAGAGTTTGGGGCACGGGGGGAGTGATAAAATGTTTTTAAATTACTGGCAGCGATAGAGGCAAAATTCTTTAATATACTAAAAAACGATGAACTGCACATTTTAAATGGGAGAATTGTATGATATGTGAATTATGTCTCAATAAAACTGTTATTTTAAAAAATGCGGCCTGCTTCCTGGCCACTGGTGTGGGCGTGGACAGGAAAAGAAAAAAAATTGTTTTAAAATAATAAAAATGCATAGGCCTATATACACACAAATGAGTACATGCAAAACTGGTGAAATCTGAATACAGTTTATACATTTTATCAACACCAATTTCATAGTTCTGATATTGTACTATAGTTACACAAGTGATTACCATTAGCTAAAACTGGGTGAAGGGTACATAGGACTTCCTTATACTATTTTTACAACTTTCTGTGAATCTATAATTATTTGAAAACAAAGAGTGGCTGGGTTCAGTGGCTGATGCCTGTACTCCCAGCACTTTGAGAGGCCGAGGCGGGTGGATCATCTGATGTCAAGAGTTCAAGACCAGCCTGGCCAACATGGTGAAACCCTATCTCTACTAAAAATAAAAAAATTAGCCAGGCATGGTGGCGGGCACCTATAATCCCAGCTACTCAGGAGGCTGAGGCAGGAGAATAGCTTGAACCTGGGAGGCGGGGGTTGCAGGGAGCTGAGATCATGCTACTGCACTCCAGCCTGGGTGACAGAGCAAGACTCTGTCTCAAAAATAAATAAATAAAGAGTTTTCTTTTTAAAAAAGCAAAAACAAAAATCCTCGATATGAATGTTTATAGCAGCTCTATTTATAATTGACAAACATTGGGAAACAATCCAAATGCCCTTCAAAGAACAGAATAAACTGTGGGTATATCCATACAATGGAATACTGTTCAGCAATAAAAACAAACCATGTATACGCACAACAGCTTGGATGAATTTCAAAGCCATTACAATGAATGAAAAAAGCCAGCCTCAAAAGTGATTGCACCAAGTCATCGAATCAACCTAAATGCCCATCAATAATAGACTGGATAAAGAAAATGTGGTACATATGCACCATGGACTACTATGCAGCCACAAAAAGGAATGAGATCATGTCCTTTGCAAGGACATGGATGGAGTTGGAAGGCATTATTCTCAGCAAACTAATGTAGGAACAGAAAACCAAATACCACATGTTCTCACTTATAAGTGGGAGCTAAATGATGAGAGATGGACTCATGGTAAGGACAACATACACTGGGCACATGTGGGAGGAGGTGGGGGGAGGAGTTGCATCAGGAAGAATAGCTAACGCATGCTGGGCTTAATACCTAGGTGATGGGATGATCTGTGCAGCAAATCACCATGGCACATGTTTACCTATATAACAAACCTGCACATCCTGCATGTATACCTCTGTACTTCACATAAAAGTTTTAAAAAATTATGATTTTTTTAAGTTATTGCCCTACTGCACTCCAGCCTGTGCAACAGAGTGAGACCCTGTCTCTAAAGCAAAAACCAAACCAAACCAAAACTAAACTAAAATGGATGGTTCCATTTATATGACAGTCTTGAAATGACAACACTGTCATTAGAGAACAGATTATTGGTTGTCAGAAGTTAGAGGTGAGGGGAGTGGATAGGAGGGTTAGACTGGAGATAAAGGCATGCAGTATGAACTCTTTTTTAAGAAAGCAGATTTTATGGAATATAGACATGTGACCCTCTTCCGCCCTTTTGGACCTCTCATGAAAGTGAAGAGCAAGATGATTGACATCATTAGATCAATTATTATTAATATCATTATGCCACTTGCTGAAAGAACTGAAGCACTTGTACAGTTTATGCAGAACTTCAGGGAGGTTTGTATTCATCAAGACAAGATTCATCTCACAGTAGTGTATTTTGGTAACGAAGGACTGTCTAAAGTCAAGTCTAGCCTAGAATTTGTCACAAGTGAGTCTAATTTTCACAATTACACTGTGGTCCATTGAATGAAGAATTTAATCGTGGATGAGGACTAAATGTGGGTGCCCGAGCTTGGGACAAGGGAGAGGTCTTTATGTTTTTCTGTGATGTTGATATCTATTTCTCAGCCGAATTCCTTAACAGCTGACAGTTAAATGCTGAGCCTGGTAAGAAGGTGTTTTACCCTGTGGTGTTCAGTCTTTACAATCCTGCCATTGTTTATGCCAACGAGGAAGTGCCATCACCTGTGGAGCAGCAGCTGGTTCACAAAAAGGATTCTGGCTTTTGGAGAGATTTTGGCTTTGGAATGACTTGTCAGTATCGATCTGATTTCCTGATCATTGGTAGATTTGACATGGAAGTGAAAGGTTGGGGTGGAGAAGATGTTCATCTTTGTCAAAAATACTTACATGGTGACCTCATTGTGATTTGGACTCCGGTTACTGGTCTTTTCCACCTCTGGCCTGAAAAACGCTGTGCTGATGAGCTGACCCCCGAGCAGTACCGCATGTGCATCCAGTCTAAAGCCATAAATGAGGCCTCTCGCTCCCACCTGGGAATGCTGGTCTTCAGGGAGGAAATAGAGACGCATCTTCATAAACAGGCATACAGGACAAACAGCGAAGCTGTTGGTTGAAATCATAATTAATGCGTTACTGTGTGAACCGCAAACCAGCACTATTTATTTAGCCTTAATTCCACTTCCGGATGCAGTGCCTCTTTTGGAGAAGACATGTTTATTTTTCCTTTCTGACATTACTTTAGCAGTTCAACTTGATGAGAGATGAAAAAAACAAATGTTTCAACACAAAGTCTCTGTTTTGTGAAAATACTGCACTATGGAATAATTGACAAATTAAAATCTCGTATTTGTCCCAAAAGTTGTTTTGAGTTAGTTCTACCTGGTGCCCATGTTCTGATTGTGTGTGGGATTGCATGGTGTCCTGATTGCATCTAGGTGGAGCGGATGGAATGTGCTGGGCTGCTGTTGGGTGAAGAGCAGCACATTCTTACAGAGGAGATGGAGTGCTATGAGCATAGTGTGTGGACAGGTATCTTCATCTGCCCACCCCTGAGTCAGCGTGCTTGATTTGATAGCTTGAAGAATCCTTTTCCACTGAAGCAGAGGATAATTATTTGACACATCTGAAATCCTCAATCAATCAATCAAGAGAAAGGTAGAAATAAAAACTCCTTAACTTACTGTTGCTTAGCCTCCTGAAAGTCTGTTTTTAAGCAAATGGGTAATAGTAGAAAACAGGTTAGAATCTATGGCTTGATTAAAAATATAATGCTATTACATTATCATCATGCTCAGGATTAGTAGTCAGAGTTGCTATAGACTATTTTGCACAAACAGAAAAGAACACGGAAACCTTTTTAACAGAGCATTTAATTATGTTGGAGTACAGGATCCTAGCTGTGTCTGGGAACATTAGTTTATGTGCGCCAGCTACATCAGGGTCTTCCCATGGTGGTTCAGAATAGATGAGCATAGCAAGGTTTTGTTTTTGCTTTCGATTTTCTCATTTGGCATGGACCCATATGTATTTGCTATCCTTTTTTCTAATATATTAATATATGCTACATTTGTATTTGCATTACTATAATACTTTGAGTTGAAAAAGAGTTTCATTGTGGGGAGAAAAAGCAAATGGTATACCACAAGGTCACTCTGATTTGAGAAAAGAGAGGAGGAGGGGAAGATAGTCTGAATGGAAATCTGAAATATGGAATGTTTTAGAGAAATATATCACTTGCATATAGAATGTTTTGAGGTATAAATTAATGAGACAAAGTGAAGAAGAAATTATATTCAGATAGGACTGCACTATGTGTGATTATTTGTCACACATGGATCTGTTACCATCAGGTCAATTCCTAGCATGCATAAATTTTTTAACCTTCAGCTTTTAAAAGAGACCTATGTTGAATTCTATTAGTATGTAAACCCCTGAAAATTCACTGAAGAAAAATCATTACTCTTTTTCTCAGTAAATCATATCATCTGAAATATTACAAATTTCAAATTTCTAGGTGCTATATTAATTCAATATTATAATAACTCTTACCTAATTATTCTTACAAGTTTTGAGTTGTGGTAGTGTTTAGGGATTTTTTTAAAGATGTGTGAAATATTCTCTGCAAAATCAGGCCACTGTCTCCTTTTATATATTAATACAATTGTGTATTACAAAGACCAGTGAATTATAATATTTAAAGTGAGATAACGTAATTATTTGCAAAGGTAAGTTACAGCTTGTTTTTCGAGAGAATCAAATGAGTTTACTTTTCCTCCTATTGTTTTTAAACTAGCTTTTAGTTTAAAGATGGAAGCTAACCAATGGAAATGTTACTATGTTTTTGACGTTTATTAAACAGTACCAATAAAGTATTTTATTGCCAGAAAAAATAAATTTTTAAAAATGGTATAGATGTGTTTTTAAAAAGTCAATTTTAATATGTGATAATTTTTAAAGAGAAAGAAAAGATAAAAGAGATAGGAAACCAGATTAAGAGAGATATTGAAATATCAAGTTTTTAAAAAATGGGCAATACTATAGTATATAGGGGAGTGACATCAGCAAAATAGCAGATTAGGTAGCTCTAAACTCCTATTCCTCCACAGAAACATAGAAAAACAAACAGAAACTGTCAAAGCCAACTTTTTCAGGACTTTGAAAAACAGTCAAAGGTGAACACTGAAACAACAACAAAAAAAGAAACTAAAATGGCAGGAGAGCTTTGTGGCATTTTTACTCATCCTTGCCCCACTCCTCTGGCTTGGTGGTGGTTTAGAAGATGGCACCCTGCATTCCCAGTTTAAGACCCTGTTCTCTGGTTCCAGAGACAGCAGAGCAAATCTTATTCACAAATTATTGTGTAGGTCTGTGTATTAGTCCATTCTCACACTGCTATTAATATAAAGAAATGACTGAGACTGGGTAATTTACAAAGAAAAAAGGTTTAGGCCAGGCACGGTGGCTCATGCCTGTAATCCCAGCACTTTGGGAGGCTGAGGTGGGCGGATCACTTGAGGTCAGGAGTTCAAGACCACCCTGGTCAATATGGTGAAACTCCGGCCCAACTAAAAATACAAAAATTAACCAGGCATAGTGGCGCAAGCCTATAATCCCAGCCACCTGAGAGGCTGAGGCAGGAGAATCACTTGAACCTGGGAGGCAGAGGTTGCAGTGAGCCGAGATCGTGCCAGTGTACTCCAGCCTAGGTGACACAGCAAGACTCCATCTCAAAAAATATAAATAAATAAAAATAAAAATAAAAATAAAATAAACTGCTTCAAAAGAGGCTGAGCATAGTGGTGGACACCTGTAATCCCAGGCTGAGGTGGGTGGATTGCTTGAGCTCAGGAGTTCAAAACCAGCCTGGGCAACATGGCAAAACCCTGTCTCTATTAAAAAATAAATAATAAAGTGCTGAAAGAAAACAAAATATTATCAACAAAGAATTCTATATCCAGCAAAACTGCCCTTCAAAAATGGAGTAATAAAACATTCCCAGGCGAACAAAAGTTAGGGGAGCTCGTTACCTGTAGACCTGCCCTGTGAGAAATGCTAAAGGGCAGCCTTCAAGTTGAAACAAAATGACACTAGATAGTAACTTGAAGCCATATGAAGAAATGAAGATCTCCGGTAAAAGTAACTGCATACAAATAAAAGCCAGTAATACTGCAAGTCTGGTTTGTAACTCCATTTTATTTCCTACATGATTTAAAAAGCAAATGCTTAAAAATAATTTTAAATTTATATTACTGGGCATACAATGTACAAAAATGTAAGCTGTGACAACAAAGTGGGGTGGAGCTACAAAGGTACAGAATTTTTATATGCTATTAAAACTATGCTGGTATCAATTTAAACTAGAGGGTTATAAATTCAAGATGTTGACTGTAGGGCCGGGCGCGGTGGCTCACGCCTGTAATCCCAGCACTTTGGGAGGCCGAGGCGGGTGGATCACGAGGTCAGGAGATCGAGACCATCCCGGCTAAAAAACGGTGAAACCCCGTCTCTACTAAAAATACAAAAAATTAGCCGGGCGTAGTGGCGGGCGCCTGTAGTCCCAGCTACTTGGGAGGCTGAGGCAGGAGAATGGCGTGAACCCGGGAGGCGGAGCTTGCAGTGAGCCGAGATCCCGCCACTGCACTCCAGCCTGGGCGACAGAGCGAGACTCCGTCTCAAAAAAAAAAAAAAAAAAAAAAAAGATGTTGACTGTAGTCCCCATAGTAACCACTAAGAAAATATATTTTTAAAAACCCTATACTGTCTAGAAATGCATACATAGATGATAAAAACCATAAAGAAACACAAGGAAATAATCAGCAAAAAAAAAAAAAAAAAAGAATCGTGGCTACTTTTGCAGGGAAGGAGGGAGCTGTGATTTGAATGTGGCAAATGGAGGAGCCTCTGGGATGGCTCACAACATTCTATTTCTTGACCTGGGTGGTGGTTACAAGGGTGTTCACTTTAACTCCTTAAGCTTTGTTTTGTGTAGTTTTCTCTAACTGTGCTTTATTTTATATTTAAAAACTTGTTAAAAATAGCAGAGATAGAAAGGGGAGATGGAACCAAGATGAGTCAGGGAAGGCTTCTTTGAGGAGGTAACATTTAAATCGAGCACTGAAAGATAAGAAAGGGCTACTAAAGTAAAGGGTGGGGCCGGGCACGGTGGCTCACGCCTGTAATACCAGCACTTTAGGAGGCTGAGGCAGGTGGATCACCTGAGCTCAGGAGTTCAAGACCAGCCTGGCCAACATGGTAAAGCCCTGTCTCTACTAATAATAAAAAATTAGCCAAGCATGGTGGTGCACACCTGTAATCCCAGCTACTCTGGAGGCTGAGGCAGGAGAATCCCTTGAACCCAGGAGACGGAGGTTGCAGTGAGCCAAGATCGTGCCATTGCACTCCAGCCTGGGCAACAAGAATGAAACTCCAACTCAAAAAAAAACATTTTTTTTAAAATAAAGGGTGGGAAGAGAGTATCTGAGGCAGAGAATAGGTGGCAGAATATAAGGAGTAGGATATAAGAAGGCCCTGAGGCAAGACTATGTAGTTGTTCCTACTCCAGTAGCTAACGGTTGGGGCTGGAGTCCAGTGGGCATGGGGAAAGCTTGAACAAAGAGGAGGAACTTGAGAGGTGGGTAGGTGTAGATTGCTCAGCGCATTTTAGCATGAGAAAGGAAGTTTGAAATTTATTCAAAGTATAAGGAAAGGCATTGAAGGTATTTATTTATTTATTTGAGACAGAGTCTCACTCAGTCACCCATCCTGAAGTGCAGTGGCACAATCTCAGCTCACTGCAACCTCCACCTCCTAGGTTCAAGCAAGCACGTCCAGCTAATTTTTGTATTTTTAGTAGAGGCAGGGTTTCACCATGTTGGCCAGGCGGGTCTCGAACTCCTGACCTCAAGTGATCCACCTACTTCGGCCTCCCAAAGTGCTGGGATTACAGGCATGAGCCACCATGCCCGGCCACTGAAGGCTTTTAACCAAGAGAGTGCCATGTTCTCATTTAGGTTTCCAAAGAATTATCTTGCCTATTAGATGGGAAAATATTTGGAAAAGGGCAAAAATAGAAATGCAATGAGGCTATTGCAGAAATGCAGGGAAGAGGTGATAGGAACTTGCAGGTAGATGAGAGCCATAGATCTGAGAGATACGGGTAGTTTCTAAATTCTCTTTTTTATAATATTACACAACAATCCACAGTTATCAACTATTCAAAATAACCACTAGAACAAAACAAAGAAAATAATAATAATCTTCCTCACTATTCCACTTTGCTTTCCCACCTCTGCCCCTCCAAGGTAACAAATGTGGTTCTGATGTTGTCAAATCATTTCTCCATGCTCATACAGACATTAACAAATATATATACATGTTTATAGATTGGAAGGGTTAATTATGTTTTGCAGAAATATAACTATCCCATAAAAATAGCCGAGCTTGCTGGTGCATGCCTGTAGTCGCAGCTACTCAGGAGGCTGAGGTGGAAGGATCACTTTGAGCCCAGGAGTTTGAAGCCAACCAGTGCAACATAGCAAGACCTCATTTCTAAATAAATAAATAAATAAATAAATAAATAAATAAATAAACGAATATTACAAAAACAAAATAAATTATGAAATAGAAAATAAATTGTCAAAAAATCCCAGCAGAATTGATCAATAAAACTAAAAGACCAATAAATCAGAGACCTAGAGATATTGTGACAGGCAGTACTACTAGGTTGGTGGTAAATATAAGAAAATAAAATAAAAACATTTGAAAAAAGGTGCAAAAGAAAAATAGCTGGGCTGGGTGCAGTGGCTCACGCCTGTAATCCCAGCATTTTGGGAGGCTGAGGCGGGCGGATCACAAGGTCAGGAGATGGAGACCATCCTAGCTAACACAGTGAAACCCTATCTCTACTAAAAATACAAAAAAAAAAAAAAATAGCCGGGCGTGGTGGCGGGTGCCTGTAGTCCCAGCTACTCAGGAGGCTGAGGCAGGAGAATGGCGTGAACCCATGGGGCGGAGCTTGCAGTGAACCGACATCGCGCCACTGCACTCCAGCCTGAGTGACAGAGCGAGACTCCATCTCAAAAAAAAAAAAAAAAAAAGAAAAATAGCTTTGTTTTCTGAGTCATGAAAGAACCCTAATAGGCAACTCAGGTTGGGTTAAAAGGGAAGTGTCATACCAGGGTCAGATCAGTAGAATCCCACAACCAACAAAACTATACCCACTGGGGGAACTGCCGTATTTACTTATGCCCCTCTAATATTTCAGTTTAAAAGCTATAATTTATTCCTGATGACACATAACACTAGGCAATTCTGTTCACTCTTTGCTGATTCTATCTCTACTAATTGTCAAGATAATATTAAATAATACCATATATGCTCATCTGCTTAGATCCAATCTCGTCATAAGCCTGCTCTTCACCAGTCCTCATGCTAACCAATCTAATGTTAGCCAATTAGTAACAAGAAAATGATCCCAGTTATTGCTAATATTTTACCTTGCATGAGGTCTGATATGGTTTGGATGTTATCCCCTCTAAATCGCACGTTAAAATATAATCCCCATGTTGAAGGTGGGGCCTGGTATGAGGTGTTTGGGTCACAGGGGTGGATCCCTCATGGTTCAGTGCTGTCCTTGCAATAGTGAGTGAATTCTCGTGAGATCTGGTTGTTTAAAAGTGTGTGGCATCTCCCTCCCTACTCTCACCATGTGATGTGCAAGCTCCCACTCACCTCCTGCCATGAGCAAAAGCTCCCTGGGGTCTCCCCCAGAGCCAAACAGATGTTGGTGCCATGCTTCCTGTACAGCTGGTAGAACTGTGAGCCAATTAAAACTCTTTTCTTTATAAATTACCCAGTCTTGAGTATTCCTTTATAGCAACACAAGAACGGCCTAACACAAAAAATTGGTACCGGATGTGAGGCATTGCTATAAAGAAAACATGGAAACAACTTTGAAACTGGGTAATGGGTAGAGTTTGGAAGAGTTCAGAGGGCTCAGAAAAAAGACAGGAAAATGAAGGAAAGTTTGGAACTTCTTAGAGACCAGTTAAATTGTTGTGACAAAATTGTTGATAGTGATATGGACAGTGAAGTACAGGCTGCCAAGATTTCAGATGGAAATGAGGAACTTGTTGGGAACTGGACAAAGGTCACCCTTGTTATGCCTTAGCAAAGAACTTAGCTGTATTGTGTTCATGCCCTAGGGATCTGTGGAAGTTTGAACTTAAGAGTGATGACTTAGGGTATCTGGCAGAAGAAATTTCTGAGCAGCAAAGCATTTAAGATGTGATCTGGCTGTTTCTAATAACTTATGCTCAGAGGCAGGAGCAAACAAATAACTTACAGTTGGAATTTATAATTAAAAGGGAAGTAGAGTGTAAACATTTGGAAAATTTGCAGCCTGGCCACGTGCAAAGAAAGAAAAAGCTTTTTTGGAGGAAGGATCCAAGCAGGCAGCAGAGATCCAACCACTTGTTACAGAGTTCTGCATGACTAAAAATGAGCCAGGTTCTGATAGCCAAGACAATGGGAAAAAGACTTTGAAGGCATTTCAGAAATATTTGAGGCAGCCCTTCCCATCACCGGCCCGCAGGCCTAAGAGAAAATAACGTTCCCTGAGCCATCCCAGGGCCCTGCTGCCCTGCACAGCCTCGGGACACTGCTCCCTGCATCCAGGCTGCTCCAGCTCCAGCCTTGGCTCAAAGGGCCCCAGATACAGTGTGGGCCACCACTCTGGAAGGTGCAAGCCATAAGCCTTGGTGGCTTCCATGTGGTGTTAAGTCTGTGAGCACATAGAGTGCAAGAGTGAAGGAGACTTGGCAACCTCTGCCAAGATTTCAGAAGATGTATGAGAAAGCCTGGGTGCCTAAGTAGAAGCCTGCTGCAGGGGCAGAGCCCTCAGACAACCTCTACTACAGTGGGCAGTGCAGAGCAGAAATGTGGGGTGGGAGGACCCATACAGAGTCCCCAATGGGGTACTGCCTAGTGGAGCTGTGGGAAGGTGGTCACCATCCTCCAGATCCTGGCATGGTAGATCCATCAGCAACTTGGACCTTGAGCCTGAAAAAGCTACAGGCACTCAACTTCAACCCGTGAGAGCAGCCACAGAGGCTGTCCCCTGCAAAGCCATGGGTATGGATTGCCCAAGGCCTTGGGAGCCCACTCCTCACACCAGAGTGCCCTGGATGTGGGCCATGGAGTCAAAGGAGACTATTTTGGAGCTTTAATATTTAATGACTGCCCTGCTGGGTTTTGGACTTGCTTAGGGCCTGTAGCCCCTTTCTTTTGGCTGATTTATTCCTTTTGGAACAGGAATGTTTAGCCAATGCCTGTACCTCCACTGTATCTTGGAAGTAAATAACTTGTTTTAATTTTATAGGCTCATTGGTGGAAGAAACTTATCTCCAGATGAGGCTTTGGACTTGAAATTGAGACTTTTGAGTTAATACTGGGATGAGTTAAGACTTTGCAGGACTATTGAGTAGGGATGGTTGTATTTTGAAATGGGAGACGAACATAAGAATTGAGGGGGCAGGGCAGAATTATATGGTTTGGATATTCGTACACCCAAATCTCATGTTGAAATGTAATCCCTGGCTGGGCACAGTGGCTCACACCTGTAATCCCAGCACTTTGGGAGGCCAAGGTGGGCGGATCACCTGAGGTCAGGAGTTTGAGACCAGCCTGGCCAACATGGTGAAACCATGTCTCTACTAAAATATAAGAATTAGCTGGGCATGGTGGCAGGTGCCCGTAATCCCAGCTACTTGGGAGGCTGAGGCAGGAGAATTGCTTGAACCCAGGAGGCGGAGGTTTCAGTGACCTGAGATTACGCCACTGCACTCCAGCCTGGGTGACGAGAGTGAAACTCCGTTTCAAAAAAAAAAAGCAATGTAATCCCTAATGTTGGAAGTGGGCCTGCTGGGAGGCGTTTGGGTCATGGGGGTGGATCCCTCATGGTTTGTCCTCATGATAGTGAGTGAATTCTCCTAAGATCGGGTTGTTTAAAAGTGTGTGGCACGTCCCCCCAACTCTCTTGCTCTTGCTGTCACCATGTGATGTGCCTGCTCCAGCTTCACCTTTTGCCATGAGTAAAAGCTCCCTGAGGCCTCCCCAGAAGCCGAGCAGATGTTGGTGCCATGCTTCCTGTACAGCCACTAGAACTGAGAGCCAATTAAAACTCTTTTCAGCTCTCAGGTATTCCTTTATAGTAGTGTGAGAATGGCCTAATACAAGGTCTAATCAGAATTTAGCCTGTCTCAGTCACGTTTCCTGTCTCAGTCACATTTCCATTCACCTTCTTCAGTCAAAACTTTTCCTCCATACTTCTAAGCAGGTACCAAAGAAAATAACATGAATTCAGAGTCATCTATAAAATAAGAAAACAACTAAATCAAGATAGGGGAAAGGTACAGTAAATTATTCCTCTACCTAACACATTTCTGGGCATGACAGAAAAACAGCAGTATCAACTGGGTTACTTCCCTTGATGGCTAGCACAAGATCTCAGCTATAGACAGCTCCCCTTGGATGGCAAGTATGGAGAAAAGAAAGGGAAAACGCAACCTCCAGTTGGCCAAAAATCAATCTACATATTTAGAAAAGCCTTCAGCTGAGACCTTTCAAAGGACTGTAAAGTGCCTCATTCAGATAAAGATAAGTGTTCATATAGAGTATCATCCAAGCCTGGACACTTTTGTGCATGAAAGGAGGCACTATTAGTAATGATTCTGGGATGGAGGTTGGCAAATTTTTCCTAAAAATGGCCAGATAGTAAATATTTTAGGTTTTAGAAGACACATACGGTCTCTGTCATATATTCTTTTTCTTTTTAACCCTTTAAGAATGTAAAAACCATTCTAAGCCCAGACACCGTAAGAAAACAGGCCAGGAGGCCGGGCACGGTGGCTCACGCCTGTAATCTCAGCACTTTGGGAGGCCGACGGGGGCGGTCACCAGAGGTCAGGAGTTCAAGACCAGCCTGGTCAACATGGCAAAACCCCATTTCTACTAAAAATACAGAAAAATTAGCCAGGTGTGGTGGCACAAGCCTGTAATCCCAGCTACTCAGAAGGCTGAAGCAGGAGAATCGCTTGAACCCGGGAGGTGGAGGTTGCAGTGAGCCGAGATCGCACCATTGCACTTCAGCCTGGGCGACAAGAGCAAAACTTGGTCTTAAAAAAAAAAGAAAGAAAGAAAGAAAGAAAACAGGCTAGGATACAAGTTTGGCTATGGGCTTGGGGGAAAACACACATCAAGTCTGTTCTGGTCAAATAGATACATAAGTCACCCTAGCTGAAGGCCTGGTCTGTGATCCAATTCAAAATTTAGAATTAAGAGTAAGTATGTGGGCCGGATGCGGTGGCTAATACCTGTAATCCAAGCACTTGGGAGGCCAAGGTGGGTGGATCACCTGAGGTAGGAGTTCAAAACCAGCCTGGCCAACATGGTGAAACCCTATCTCTACTAAAAATACAATAATTAGCCGGGCATGGTGGTGTGCGCCTGTAGTCCCAGCTATTTGGGAGTCTGAGACAGTAGAATTGCTTGAACCTGGGAGGTAGAGGTTGCAGTGGTCTGAGATCGTGCCACTGCACTCCAGCCTGGGTGACAGAGCAAGACTCTGTCTCAAAATAAGAATAATAAAAATTTTTAAAAACCTACAATGATGAGAGTATGTCAGAGGGAGGAGTCAACTGAAAGAGCTCCCCAGGCCAAAGTTGGAACGACTTGAGCAAGAAAATAAAGAGGTATTGATTATAATCAGAGGATAAAATAAATATATGTGAGCCCATACTGTATAAATGAATGATTTAATAAACAAATGTGTAAGAATAGACAGACCCCCCCCCCATACAGAAGAATTCCAAACAACTTTTGTAGATACTCCACCTCAAGGAGGTGGAGGATAACTCCCCATTCTATAAGTATGGCCAATGCATACTGATTTCCTTCTAAAGAGTACAGGATAGAAAGTAGGGGGAGTATCTTTACAGTGGAGAAATCTGATAAACACTGCCTCGGCCAGGTGATCAAGGTTAACATCATCAGTGATAAGTCATGTTGACAGCATGTATCCTTGATATGATGTGATGAGGATGGCACGTTACCTCTGTGGCCTTCCTCCCAAGAACACATAACTTCAGTCTAATCATGAGAAAAACATCAGATAAACAACAAGTGAGGGGTATTCTACAAAATACCTGATGAACACTCCTGTCAAGGTCATCAAAGACAAATAGAGTGGCTGGATGTGGTATCTCATGCCTATAATTCCACCCCTTTGGGAGGCCACAGTGGGAGGATCACTTGAGGCCAGGCTTCAAGACCAGCCTGGGCAATATAGCAAGACCCTTCTCTAAAAAGAATAAAAAATAAATTAGCCAAGGATGGTGGTGCATGCCTGCAGTCCTAGGTACTTGGGAGGCTGAAGCAGGAGGATTGCTTGAGCCCAGGAGTTTGAGGCTGCAGTTAGCCATGATCACACTACTGCACTCCAGCCTGGGCCACAGAGCCAGACCTTGTCTCCAAAAAACAAAACAAAACAAAATCTGAGAAGCTTAAGTTAAAAACTAAGGAAATCTGAATGAAGTATGGACTTTAGTTAATAACAATGTATTAATACTGGTTCATTAATTGTAACAAATACAGCATCGTAAGATGTTAACAATGAGGGAAATTGGGTGTTAGGGATGGTTACTCACTGTACTGTCTTAGCAATTTTTCTGTATATCTAAAACCATTCTGAAAAATAAAGCATTTTATAAAAAGTTCACTAAGTATGATACAGTTTGGCTAGAAGAGATAGAGATACGCAGAGCAGAGGCAGTTTCTCTGGTATCTGAGGTCTGCAAGACCTTTGACCTAATACAGACCCTGAAGCCAGAATGCCTAGGTTTGAATTCTGGCTTTACCATTTATTAGCTAGGTAACCTTTGGCAAGTTATGTAACCCCTTTGTGAACAACTTCATCTCTGAAAAGTAGGAATGATAGCCCCTACTTTGTCATGCTGTAGTAAGGATTAAATGAATTAATGTGTATAAAGTGCTTTAATGAGCCCTGGCACAAAGTAAATTCTATATAAATATTTTGTAAAATGAATAAAAACTATGATGACTTAAAGTTCCTTTAGTAATTATCTATAATCATACAAGGTAAGGAGATATGAGTTTGGTTGCTATGAACCAGGTAGTGGTTGCCACAGACATGTCAGTACCGTGACAACCATTATTAGGACATTGCCATAGCTTTTATAAATGGACAACCTAAGCTGTGTTAATCTGACAAGAAGGCTAGAAAGCTCAATGCGTCTTCCTATTACTCTGCATATCTTATGTCTTCCATCCAAAAAGAATCAACTTATCAGATAAATAACCACCTCATGGTAAGCAAAATATGTCACTATCTTCATTTTACAGATAAGAAATTTGGAAATGGTAGGTTTAGTTGAGGTGATTTCACTTCAGGCTACCCAGAAGAGGCACTAGAAATAAAGGATCAGTCCAGCAATCCCTAATTCAATCATTTTCCCAGTTGGGTTTTCATACCTACCCTTCCTTATAAAGGAAGAACTTGTGTGATGCCAATTTGACACTTCTTGGTGGCACTGACAAACACAGAGAGCCTGACATCAAGTTAGAAGGCTCTGCCAATTATTAGGAAACAGACATGAAGCGGTTACTGGCCTCTTCTCCAAGGGAGATGGCTATCAAGGAACCCAGACAATTAGGCTCTGATGTTTCAGGCTCCTGGTCATATCAGCTTCATGTGCAAAACTGGAGTAAGGCTGGTTTTGATCACAGGCCATATATAAAGTTTCTTTTTTGTCTGGCATAAGCCAGAGCCATTCTCCAGGAGGTCCTTATGGGAAACCTAATGATCTCCTAGGGTCTGAGCTGTGCTATAAGAAATGCTATGAAATGTTAGTATTTTGGAATGGCAACTCTCCAGAACAGTAAATGACTGGATGACTCTGCAGAACCCTGATAAATTATCCATTGATAAGCTGGCACATAAACTGTGCTCATCAGATAGCTAAGCAAAGCCCATCGAAGCATTAACTGAAGTACTTTGCTAACCCAACCAGGGCTTCCTCCAATTTTGGGCTTCAACATACAGTCGTCCCTCAGTAAACTCGGGGGAAATGGGTTCCTGAACCCCCTCATATACCAAAATCTGTGCATTCTCAAATCCTGCAGTTGGCACTGCGAAACCCATGTATATGAAAAGTTAGCCCTGCATATACGTGGGTTTCACATTCACAAATATCCTCATTTGGTTGAAAAAAAAAAAGCCTGGTATAAGTAGACTCATGCAGTTCAAACCCATGTTGTTCAAGGGTCAACCATAATTAGTCATTAGGAAAATGTAAATTGAAACCACAATGAAATACCTACCTCACACCCACTAGGATAGCTGTAAACAAAAAACAAGCATTACTGGTGGGAATGTAAGATGTTGTAGCCACTTTGCAAAACAGTCTGGCAGTTCTTCAAGAGGTTAAATATAGATTTATTATATAACCCAGCAGTAATACTCCTAGGTATATACCCAAGAGAAAAGAAAACATATCCACACAAAAACTTATATACAAATGTTTATAGCAGCATTATTCATAACAGCCAAAAAGTAGAAACAATCCACTTTCCAAGGATGAACCTTGAAGTGATTGCCTAAATTATCCTTTTTACTTAGGCATTCACTTCCAAATCCAGCTGCGCATTGACATCACCTGGGAAGCTTATGCAGCTCCCTGGCAATCTTTGAGGATGGGATACCTGGATTAATGTTTGAATCCAGACTAGACGATCTCTAAGGTCCCTGATAGCCCCAAAACTTGTATAAAATCTCTAATAGTGGGTCACCAATGCCCACATCTTTGAAGAAGAGACATTATTGGTACTTGGAACAGGTCTCCCGATAGGTCCGTCTAGAAGCCTAAGTTGGTTCTTCTCTTAGGCATCATCCCAACCTCCGCAAGGTTGAATAAACATATTCTTAACAAGGATGAACTATGGCTGAAGGGATAGGTCACATCTGATTATGTCTGTGTAGTCTGCTATACTAAGAAATCACCCCATTTTGAAGAAAGTTACTCATTAGCACAGAACTTGTCGCTGCAGTTGAGAATAACCAGTTCCTCCTTCTATGACATTTTTTTTTTTTTAAATGAAATTTTTCAAAATAACTTTAATAACCACTTTTACACTGAGCAGAATATGTCTCTCATTCTCTCAAAAATGGTCAGGAGATAATTTTTTCATTTATGAGTTTCTATTGCAGCTTTCATTTTCTTTTTTTTTTTTTTTTTAATTTATTTTTTTATTGATAATTCTTGGGTGTTTCTCACAGAGGGGGATTTGGCAGGGTCATGGGACAATAGTGGAGGGAAGGTCAGCAGATAAACAAGTGAACAAAGGTCTCTGGTTTTCCTAGGCAGAGGACCCTGCGGCCTTCCGCAGTGTTTGTGTCCCTGATTACTTGAGATTAGGGATTGGTGATGACTCTTAACGAGCATGCTGCCTTCAAGCATCTGTTTAACAAAGCACATCTTGCACCGCCCTTAATCCATTTAACCCTGAGTGGACACAGCACATGTTTCAGAGAGCACAGGGTTGGGGGTAAGGTCACAGATCAACAGGATCCCAAGGCAGAGGAATTTTTCTTAGTGCAGAACAAAATGAAAAGTCTCCCATGTCTACTTCTTTCTACACAGACACGGCAACCATCCGATTTCTCAATCTTTTCCCCACCTTTCCCGCCTTTCTATTCCACAAAGCCGCCATTGTCATCCTGGCCCGTTCTCAATGAGCTGTTGGGCTCACCTCCCAGACGGGGTGGTGGCCGGGCAGAGGGGCTCCTCACTTCCCAGTAGGGGGGGCCGGGCAGAGGCGCCCCTCACCTCCCGGACGGGGCGGCTGGCCGGGCGGGGGGCTGACCCCCCAACCTCCCTCCCGGACGGGGCGGCTGGCCGGGCAGAGGGGCTCCTCACTTCCCAGTAGGGGCGGCTGGGCAGAGGCGCCCCTCACCTCCCAGACGGGGCGGCTGGCCGGGCAGGGGGGCTGACCCCCCCCACCTCCCTCCCGGACGGGGCGGCTGGCCGGGCGGGGGACTGACACCCCCACCTCCCTCCCGGACGGGGCGGCTGGCCGGGCAGAGGGGCTCCTCACTTCCCAGTAGGGGTGGCCGGGCAGAGGCGCCCCTCACCTCCCGGACGGGGCGGCTGGCCGGGCGGGGGGGCTGACCCCCACCCACCTCCCTCCCGGACGGGGCGGCTGGCCGGGCGGGGGGCTGACCCCCCCACCTCCCTCCCGGACGGGGCGGCTGGCCGGGCAGAGGGGCTCCTCACTTCCCAGTAGGGGCGGCCGGGCAGAGGCGCCCCTCACCTCCTGGACGGGGCGGCTGGCCGGGACGGGGTGGCTGCCGGGCGGAGACGCTCCTCACTTCCCAGATGGGGTGGCTGCCGGGCGGAGAGGCTCCTCACTTCTCAGACGGGGCAGCTGCCGGGCGGAGGGGCTCCTCACTTCTCAGACGGAGTGGTTGCCAGGCAGAGGGTCTCCTCACTTCTCAGACGGGGCGGCCGGGCAGAGATGCTCCTCACCTCCCAGACGGGGTCTCGGCCGGGCAGAGGCACTCCTCACATCCCAGATGGGGCGGCGGGGCAGAGGCGCTCCCCACATCTCAGACGATGGGCGGCCAGGCAGAGACGCTCCTCACTTCCTAGATGTGATGGCGGCTGGGAAGAGGCGCTCCTCACTTCCTAGATGGGATGGCGGCCGGGTGGAGACGCTCCTCACTTTCCAGACTGGGCAGCCAGGCAGAGGGGCTCCTCACATCCCAGACGATGGGCGGCCAGGCAGAGACACTCCTCACTTCCCAGACGGGGTGGCGGCCGGGCAGAGGCTGCAATCTCGGTACTTTGGGAGGCCAAGGCAGGCGGCTGCTCCTTGCCCTCGGGCCCCGCGGGGCCCGTCCGCTCCTCCAGCCGCTGCCTCCCGGGCGGCGCTCGCCGGCGCGGCGGCAAAGACTGAGACAGCTCCGCTGCCCGCTGAACTCCATCCTCCCGGCGGTCGGGCGGCGGCGGCTGCCTTCTATGACATTTATAGACACAGTTGGATAGAATGAAGTAATAGACTTCTAACAATCCCAGGCTTTCTGTTTATCAGCACCTGTTTAGTCATAAGCTGACTAAAGGCTCAGTGTTTATAACAGGACTTACTTCTTATTTTCTTTCTTCTCTTAATATTTAAGAACTAAGATGAATCATGTTCCGGCTTTTGTCCTCCTGCTGCTCTTGCCTAAGGACAACAGAAGAGACACGAAGGTAATATTACAATTATTTCCCTAGGCCTATTCCACTATTTCCTCCCACAAATCTGCCCATAGTCCCTCAAGGGACAAATCTTCATAATATATATTGTTAGGTGAAGTGATTAAGCAGTGTTTGTAAGATTGGGGGCAGGGTTGAGGAGGGATGGCCAATTGTACAAGGTTAAGTGAATCAGGGAAGAAAAGCATCCTTGGGGGCTTTGGTGAGGGGCTCCCATACCACCTTCTACTGCTTTGGCTGGGCCTTTTATGGTACATGCATTGAGATTACTGCAGGCAGAGTCCCAAACAATAAGGAAGAGTATAACTCTCTGTTTAGCCTAAAACCTACCTGTTTTAAGACTTTGGGCTCATTTTTCTTTTTCATTTCTAGGAATGTGACCATCCCTATCATTGGCTTGAACAACTCTGGCAAAACTGTTCTTGTGGAGGCATTCCAAAAATGTAAGGAACTAAGAGCATTAGATACTGGCGTGGGTCTCCCATGGACCCCAGAATCCAGTGAAATAATCCTTCCTTCCTAGCATTACTTCATGGCCCTCAATTTCCCTCTTTTTGTGCATAAACACCTCCTAACACACACGCACACACACACATACTCTATCTCTCTCTGTCTCTCTCTCTCTCTCTCCCCCTTCCCTCCCTCCCTTCCCCACATTACATAAACAGCCTGTTTATGTAATGTCTGTCACCTGCTCCCTTTACAAGATATCCTAATTGAAAGTCCTTTCATAGGGTCAGTAGGCGTGAGTTCAAACTACGTAAAGCATTGCAGTCAATTATGAAGGATAGCATGTTTGAAATGATGTCTAGTTTCAGGGCTCAATTAAAGTGGAATTTGGTCTAGATAAGAGAGACAAGTGTGGGATGATAAAGAAGTTTAATAACATGAAATTCTGTGACAGCTAATATAGAGAGTTGGAGCTTGAGAAATGTCGTCAGTTCCGATATGTCCAAGTTTAATACCAGGTCTCTAGTTCAGTATCTTGACATTTCAAGAAGCAGTTACACAGAATTTCAGAAAGCTACTACACTACTTATTAAGGACCAATCAAAGAAGCCAGCACTGTCTGTCACAGGATGCCCTCCATCCATGTTTATTGGATAAATGAAGTAGTATGATGACGTGGTTGAGTTTTAGCTAACCTGGCATCCCTGAACAAAAAAAGCTAACCTGACTCCTCTGCCACTGACCTACCTGAAGTGCTCATCAATTTCCCTGAACTACAGCAACAGCCTTCTAGCTGATCTTGTCATCTCCATTTGTCCCCCCCAGTATTCAATCCACATAGCTACCAGAAAGGACTTAATATAAAAGTCTGATCATGGCACTTCCCTGCTCAAAACTGTTCAATGCCATTATCTTCAAGATAAAACTTAAGTTTCTTAGCAGCACACAAAGCCCTCTATGAGTTGGTCCCTGAGTCCTCCTCCAACTTCATTTCCCATGCTCTCTGCACATGCCCTCTGATACAGCCACAACAAATGACTTGCCATCCCCCTTTTCTAGTTCTGTACATGCTGTCCCACTACCTAGCATTTTATCTCCATCATTATCTACCTGCTAAATCAAAAGCCTCAAGTCACAGCCCAGCTTGACCTCAGGAAAGCCTTCCCTATCAGTGCCCTCCTTCCTCAGCTCCCACTCTATTCCACGCATCGCTCTGGCATGCACTTATTACAACATCATCAGGCAATTGCAAGTCCATCCCCTAAATTGTGAGCCTCTTGAGGAGAAATAATGGATTTTTTCCTCTCTGTATCTTTAGCCTGTGGCCTTTTAGCATTTTCAGGTAGGTATTCAATAAATATTCATGGAATGGATGTTCTCCCCCATTCCGCCATTCACCTGAGACAACATGTTGCCATTTTCTTTGCTTTTTTTTTTTTTTTCTCTGAGACAGAGTCTTGTTCTGTTGCCCAGGCTGGAGTGCAGTGGTGCGATCTCAGCTCACTGCAACCTCCACCTCCCAGGTTCAAGCGATTCACATGCCTCAGCCTCCCGAGTAGCTGGGATTACATGTGTGCACCACCACGCCTGGCTGATTTTTTTGGATTTTAGTAGAGATGGGGTTTCACCATGTTGGCCAGGCTGGTCTGGAACTCCTGGGCTCAAGCAATCCTCCTGCCTCAGCCTCCCAAAGTGCTGGAATTACAGGTGTGAGCCACTGCGCCCGGCGACATGTTGCCATTTTCTATAACAACTTCCTCTGTCCCATTAGCAGCTCCAAGCCTCACATTTTAGCCAATGGGTTCAGCCTTTTATCCCCCCTTGTAGGAAACAAACTTAACTCCTTGCTTCTCCCAGTTCTCTGATAGGCAGAAATGTTTAAGAAGGTAAATAGCAGCAGGAAAAATCCAGGAGCCAGCAAAAATCACAAGATTATTGAAAAACGTGGGGATAATTTTCTAGAGCCCCAACTCAACCTCATCCCTGGATTCCCTTTAGTCTCGGTGGGCCCTAGGAATCTATATTTTAAGAACTCCTCAGGGGTTTCTGATGGCCAGCCAGCTTTTGGAAGCACTCACCTGGAATTACCAGTATGCTATTTTGCCTGTGAGAATGGTGTGTTTCCCATTTTAATTCCTAGAGGACACTGCCTAGAGTCTATTTATTTTGTTACTGCATAACTTGCCCTGTGCTCAGTGAATACCTGGGGGATTATTCATAAATCTATTGGTTGTGACTACATTCACAGATAATTTTTTTAATGGGCACTGATATCACATTCTGAAGAATGTCTCAGGCCACCTCTGTCTACGCAGGACCATCAGAATCAACCTAGTAGGTTGCTCTGTGCCCAAAATTGAATAATTCACCTCCCTTGTCCCTGCAAATGTTTTTGTTGTTGTTGTTAGTTAGTTTTTTGTTTTTTGAGACGGAGTTTCACTCTTGTTGCCCAAGCTGGAGTGCAATGGCACAATCTTGGCTCACTGCAACCTCAGCCTCCTGGATTCAACCGATTCTCCTGCCTCAGCCTCCAAGTAGCTGACATTACAGGCATGTGCTAACTTTTTGTATTTAGTAGAGACAGGGTCTCACCACGTTGGTCAGGCTGGTCTCAAACTCCTGACTTCAGGTGATCCACCCGCCTTGGCCTCCCAAAGTGGTGGGATTACAGGCTTAAGCCACTGCACCCAGCTGCTGCGAATGTTTTTTGCCAAGAACAGATAATTGCCTAGGAAGGAAATGCCCGTCTGTAAGTAAGAACTGTGAACACTTGAAGACACTAGCTATAAAACATTTTGGCACACAAGCCATTTTTTAGTGGTTTTTAGAATTTGTTAAATTTTTATGGGTACATTGTAGGTGTATATATTTATGAGATACGTGAGATACGTTGATACAGGTATACAATGTGTAATGATCAAATCAGGGTAAATGGGGTATCCATCACCTCAAGCATTCACCATTTATTTGTGTTACAAACATTCCAGTTGTACTCCCTCACTTACTCTAAATGTACAACAAATTATTGCTGACTATAGTCACTCTGTTGTGCTATCGAATACTAGATCTTATTCATTCGAACTATATTTTTGTACCCATTAACCATCCCATTCCCTCCCCTCACTATCCTTTCCACCCTGTAGTAATTATCCTTCTACTCTCTTCTTTTTTTTTTTTTTTTTTTTTTTTTTTTTGAGACGGAGTCTCGTTCTGTTGCTCAGGCTGGAGTGCAGTGGCACGATCTCGGCTCACTGCAACCTCCACCTCCTGGGTTCAAGCAATTCTCCTACCTCAGCCTCCCAAGTAGCTGGGATTACAGGCGTGTGCCACCACACCTGGCTTATTTTTGTATTTTTATTAGAGACGAGGTCTCACCATGTTGGCCAGGCTGGTCTCGAACTCCTGACATCAGGTGATCTGCCTGCCTCGGCCTCCCAAAGTGCTGGGATTATAGGCATGTACCACCACACCCGGCTGTGTCCTTCTACTCTTTATCTCCATGAGTTCAATTATTTTACTCTAGGGCTTCCACAAATGAGTGAGAACATACGAAATTTATCTTTCTGTGCCTGGCTTATTTCAGTTAACATAATGTACTTGTTCTGCCCGTGTTGCTGCAAATGACAAGATCTTATTCTTTTTTTATGGCTAAATAGTACTCCATTGTGTATATGTACCACATTTTCTTCATCCATTCATCTGTTGATGGACTCTTAGGTTGCTTCCAAATCTGGGCTATTGTGAACAGTGCTGCAATAAACATGGGACACCAGATATCTCTTCAACATACTGATTTCCCTTCTTTTGGATACATACACAGCAGGTGGATTGCTGCATCACATGGTAGTTCTATGTTTAGTTTTTTGAGGAACTTTCATAGTGGAACATAATTTATATTCTCAACAACAGTGTATGAGGGTACCCCTTTCTCCACAGCCTTGCCAGAATGATCAATATGCTGAGGAGAATAATGTATATCCTACATTCATTGGATGAAATGTTCTGTAAATATCTATTAGGTCCATTTGCTCTATAGTGCAGATTAGGTACAATGTTTCATTGTTGATCTGGATAATCTGTCCAAACTGAAAGTGGGGTGCTGAAATCTCCAATTATTGCTGTATTGGGGTCTATCTCTCTCTCTTTAGCTCTAATAATATTTGCTTTGTATATCTGGGTGCTCCAGTGTTGGGTGCATATATAATTGTTATATACACTTGCTGAATTGATCCCCTTATCATTATATAATGACATTCTTCGTCTCTTTTTATAGTTTTTGTCTTGAAATCTGTTTTGTCTGAAGTATAGCTACTCCCGCTCTTTTGGGTTTCCATTTGTATAGAATATAATTTTCTATCCCTTTCAGTCTATATGTGTCTTTATAGATGAAGTGTGTTTCTTGTAGGAAACAGATCATGTGTTTTTTTTTTTAAATCCACTCAGCCACCCTATGTCTTTTGATTGGAGAGTTTAGTCCATTTATATTCAATGTTATTATTAATAAGGACTTACTACTGTCACCTTGTTATTTGCTTTCTGGTTGTTTTTTGGTCTTTTCCTTCCTTCCTTCCTGTCTTCCTTTTTGTGAAAGTGATTTTCTCTGGTAGTATGTTTTGATTTATTGCTTTATATTTTTTGTCTATCTGTTGTAGGTTTTTTGATTTGAAGTTACCATGGGGCTTGCAAATAACATCTTATAACCCATTTTTTTTTAATATTCACCCACTGCCCCCTGGAAACCCCATTACTTTAAACTGATGACAACTGTGATTGCAAAAACAAGCAAAGAGAAAACTAATATTAATTGTACACTTTAACTTCATCCCCTCTGCTTTTTAACTTTTTGTTGTTTCTATTTATATCTTATTATACTGTCTTGAAAAGTTGCTGTGGTTGTTACTTTTGATAGGTTCATCTTTTAGTCTTTGTACTCAAGCTATGAGTAGTTTACATACCACAATTACAGTATTATAACAATATTCTGTATTTGTCTGTATGAGTTGCTGTTACCAGGGGGTTTTATACCTTCAGGTGATTTCTTATTGCTCATTAACATCCTTTTCTTTCAGATTGAAGTACTCCCTTTGGCATTTCTTGTAGGAGAGGTCTGGTGTTGACAAAAATCCCTCAGCTTTTGTTTGTCTGGGAAATACTTTATTTCTCTTTCATGTTTGAAGGATAATTTTGCTGGATACAATATTCTAGGATAAAAGTTTTTTTCCTTGATATACTTTAAGTATATCATGCCACTCTCTTATTTCAATCTTTGTTAAACTTATCTGATAAATTCTGAATTCCTTCTTTGTGTTATCTTGGACTTCACTGACCTTCCTCAAAACAACTATTTTGAATTCTCTGTCTGAAAGGTCACTTATCTCTGTCACTCTGTAATATGTTACTGGTGCATTATTTAGCTCTTTTAGTGAGGTCATTTTTCCTGGATGGTCTTGATGTTTATTGATGCTCATCAGTGTCTGGGCATTGAAGAGTTAGGTATTTATGCAGGCTGGGGTTGTTTTTACCCATCCTTCTTGAGAAGGACTCAAAGGGAATTGAGTGTTGTCATCAAATATTTGGTCACTGCAGCTGTATATGCATTAGGGGACACCCTAAGCCTAGTAATGCTGTGACTCTTGTAAAGCTGTAGAGGTACCATTTTGGTGGTCTTGGGTAAGATCTGAGAGAATTCCCTGGTTTACCAGGCAAAGTCTCTTGTTCTTTTCCCTTACTTTCTCCCAAACAAATGGAGTCTCTCTCTCTGTGCTGAGCTGCCTGGAGTTGGGGAAGGGGTGATACAAGCACTCTTGTGGCCACGACCACTGAGACTGTGCTGAGTCACACATGAAGCCAACACAGTACTGAGTCTCACCTAAGGCCTGTGGCAACTATTTCCTGGCTATCCCTGATATTTATTCAAGGCCCAAGGGCACTTTAGTCAGTAGGTGATGAATCCTGCCAGGACAGGGTATTTCCCTTCAGTGCAGCAGGTTCCTTTCTGGTCCAGGGTGGGTCTAGAAATGCCACCAGGAGCTAGGGCCTGGGGTCAGGGGCTTTAGAAATCTGCTTGGTGCTTTATTTTACTGGGGCTGAGCAAGTACCCAGGTTGCAAGACAAAGTCCTCTTTATATTTCTCTCCCCTTTCCTCAAGCAGAATTGGCCACCACAGCCCCAAGCCCATAGCGACTATAGCCTGGCTACCACCAATGTTTATTCAAGGCCCGAGGGCTCTTTAGTCTGCAGGCAGTGAGTCCTGCCAGGCCTGGGTCTCTCCCTTCAGGGCAGTGTGTTCCTTTCTGGCCCAAGATGAGTCTAGAAATGCCCTCCAGGAGCTAAGGCCTGGAATCAGGGACTTCAGGAGTCTGCTTGGTGCTGTATTTTACTGTGGCTGAGCTAGTACTGAAGTTGCAAGACAAAGTCCTTTTTACTCTTCTCTCTCCTTTCCTCAAGCAGGAGTCTCTCCTGATGGCCACCACTGCTGAAAATGTGCTGGGTCACACCTGAAGCCAGCACAATACCAGGTCTTGGCCAAGGCCCATGGTGACTACTGCCTGGCGCTTGCTTGGGATGTTTACTAAAGGCCTAAGGGCTCTTTAGTCAGGTGGTGGTGAATCCTGTCAAGACTGGGTCCTTCCTTTCAGGGCACTGGGTTCCCTTCTGGCCCAGGATGGGTCTAGAAATGTCATCGGGGAGCCATGGCCTGAAATGGGGGCTTCGGGACTCTGCCTGGTACTTTATTTTCCTGTGGCTGAGCTGGTATTCAAGTTGTAACACAATGTTCTCTTTACTCTTCCCTCTCCTCCTGGAGCTGCAAGCTGTGCTGCCCGGCACTGGTGGGAGGGGTGACACAAGCACTCCCTTGGTCACTCTGGCTGGTGACTCACTAGGTTGCATGCCCCCTGAGTCCTTGGCTCCAAGCCCATCACAGCACCAGGACTTGTCCAGGAACCGCAGTCCTTGTGGCCTGGACTGCCTTTTAAATTTATTTAGCACCCCAGAGCACTTCAGGCCATGGTGGCAGGGCTTGCTGGAACTCAGGTTCCAACTGTTGGAATGGACAATTTCCCTCTGGCTAGGGCTGGTCTAAATGCTTCCTCCGTAAGTGCTGGGCAAATTCTGCCCTATGTAGTTTTCTGCTGTGACAGGGCAGCACTGAGTTCCAATCCAAAGTCCTACAATCACTGCACTCTCTCTTTCAAGCACAGATTCTCTCTGTGCCATGTGGTGCTGCCAGGGGATGAGGAAAGGGTGGTGCTGGTGATTCAAGACTCTTTCCCACCCTCTTCAGTGCCTCTTTCCTTGACATGATGTTATAACCAAGGTGGGGTGCGGGGGCTCATGCCTGCAATCCCAGCACTTTGAGAGGCCAAGGCAGGCAGATCACTTGAGCCCAGGAGTTCAAGACCAGCCTGGGCAACATGCCAAAACTCTCTACAAAAAAAAAAAGAAAAAAAAAAATTAGCCAGGTATGGTGACACATGCCTGTAATCCCATTTACTCAGGAGGCTAAGGTGGGAGGATCACTTGAGTCCAGGAGGTCAAGGCTGCAGTGAGCTGAGACTGAGCCACTGCACTCCAGCATGGATGACAGAGTGAGACCCTGTCTCAAAAAAAGAAAAAAATACAGATGTTATAACCAGGTACTGTGATCGCTCACCTAATTTTTGGTTCTTATGAAGGTGCTTTCATGTGGATAGTTGTTCAATTTGGTGTTCCTGCAGGGGTGACCATCACTGAAGGATTCTATTTGGCCATCTTATGCCGCCATCTCCAAGTCATTATTATTGACCATTCACTAAAACTGTTTTGTCTGGCATGGTCATGAAAGGCAAGAAGAAACCCAACCACTGGCACAAGCAGGTGTCCTAAATGAGGACATTTAGACTAGCGCCTTTCAAACCTGGCTATATATTTCAATCAGCTGGGGAGCTTTTTAAAAAAATCATGATGCTTCAGCCCCACCCCAGATCTATGGACTCAAACCTTGAGAGAACGAGGCCTGGAGGTGGCTGGGTGTGGTAGCTCACGCCTGTAATCCCAGCACTTTGGGAGGCCAAGGCGGGTGGATCACCTGAGGTCAGGAGTTCGAGACCAGCCTGGCCAACATGGTGAAACCCCCGTCTCTACTAAAAATACAAAAATTGGCTGGGTGTGGTGGTGGGGGCCTGTAATCTCAGCTACGCAGCAGGCTGAGGTAGGAGAATTGCTTGAACTCGGGAGGCAAAGGGTGTAGTGAGACGAGATGGTGCCACTGCACTCCAGGCTTAAAAAATAAATAAATAAATAAATAAATAAATAAATAAATAAAATGCTCTACAGGTGATCATGGAGAACAGTGGATACTGAGAACCAATAACCAGAATCACCTGGGGAGCTTTCAAACCTACTGACGGGACCTGGAGATTCAAAAGTTTGGTCTGGGAAGGGCCTATGGAATCTACAGTTTTCTTTTTTTTTTTTTTTTGAGACAGAGTCTCACTCTGTCACCCCGACTGGGGTGCAGTGGTACAGTGGTGTGATCATGGGTCACTACAGCCTCGATTGACCAGGCTCAAGCGATCCTCCCACCTCAGGCTTCCAAGTAGCTGGGACTACAGGTGTGTAGCATGGAATCTGTATCTTAACAAACTCACCAGATGATGCTGAGACACAATCAGGCATGGGTTTCATGGCTCTCTAGAGTAGTGGTACTCAAGCTTTAAAGTGCAGAAGAATCACCTCAGGATTTTGTTAACCATAGGGAGTTCATTAAACATGCAAATGCTTGTGTCCCAAGCCTAGAGGTTTTGATTCATTTGGTCTGGACTAGGCTTTAACAATCACCCCCATGTAATTCTCAATTATATGGTGCCCGGACCATGCTTTATGAAACACTCCACTAGGGATACAGAAATGAAATCAGACTCAGTACCGGTCCTTAGAGTGTTTATACGTTAATAGAGGAAATAAGATAAATGTAAATTGTCAGGGAACAACCGCTCACAGCATCTAGGGTTCACCAACAATAGAATGCACTAACTGAAGGAACTGGTAAGGTTTCAAGTAAAAAGAAAAAGAAAACTAGGAAAAAAATTTTTTTCTCTGACAGGGCAAAAAAAATATATAAAGCTTTTCTCGATGCAGGAAACTCTAATATTACCTTTAGAGTTTTAACCTATTCACTTTTTTTTTTGAGACAGACGTCTCGCTCTGTCACCCAGGCTGAAGTGCAATGGTGAGACCTCAGCTCACTGCAACCTCTGCCTCCCGGGTTCAAGTGATTCTCCTGCTTCAGCCTCCCGAGTAGCTAGGATTACAGGTGCCCGCCACCACGCCTGGCTAATTTTTGTATTTTTAGTGGAAACAGGGTTTCACCATGTTGGCCAGGCTGGTCTCGAACTCCTGACCTCAGGTGATCTGCCTGCCTCGGCCTCCCAAAGTGCTGGAATTACAGGTGTGAGCCACCGTCCCTGGCCCACTTGTTATTTTTGAGTAGTCTAATACAGATATAGCAAATATCACATCAAAGTTTTGGCTGAAAATTATTTTATCTGAAAACTATAATTTAACAGTTCATTGCCTAACATGAAATCAGAAGAGATGTTATGAAAATCACATTTAAACATAATAATAATATATACATATACACACATATATATGTACTCTCATTTCCAAAGACCCAAAAGTATATTACTAACTTTTCACGTTAATGACTCATTTTAGCAATGCTATGGAAAATGTCACATGCAGATCTAAGACTACAAATAAGAAGTTATGCATTCTAGTCTTAGTGCTCCCAGGTATGGGTGCAGAGAATGTATAAAGTCATTTTGCTACTAATGTGGGAAGAGAGCTAGGCTAGAACGGTCAGTTCAACAGACTGGAACGCATATAAAGGCTGCTGTTTTCCATTTTCCTTCTTTTTTTTTTGTTTTTTGTTTTTTTTTTTTGAGATGGAGTTTCACTCTTGTCCCCCATGCTGGAGTGCAGTGGCGTAATCTCAGCTCACTGCAACCTCTGTCTCCAGGGCTCAAGCGATTCTCCTGCCTCAGCCTCTCAGGTAGCTGGGATTACAGGCGTGTGCCACCGCACCCGGCTAAGTTGTTTTTTGTTTTTTTTTTTCTTTTTTTGTATTTTTAGTAAAGATGGGGTTTTGCCATGTTGGCCAGGCTGGTCTTGAACTCCTAACTTCAGGTGATCTGCCCGCCTCAGCCTCCCAAAGTGCTGGGATTACAGGCGCGAGCCACCGTGCCCAGCCAAGACTACCGTTTTCAACTCCATTTCTATGGGAGTTGAATGAGGTATGGAATTCCCTATGAGATTTTGTGTTCTGGCTATAGCTTTTCAAAGGAAAATGTGTCTAAGTCTAGCATGGTTTCTTGGAAGAGATATGTGGGAGACAACTTCATACCCTCATCTACAGTAACAACCACCATAAACATTTATTGAACACCTACTGTGTGTAAGGTAATACAGACATCCTCCCTCATATAGCTTACGTTTTAGTTGGAGAGACAAAGCAAGCACAAAAAGAGGTGAAGGACCAGCTCAACAGACCATGTGCTCAACAAGAAAGAGAGAGAGAAGTGAGAAGTGGACAGACCAGAGAAGTCTTCCTAAACAGTACTTGAGCTGGGTATTGAAGGGTGGGAGAGAAGGACCTCCTGTTCATTCATTCATTTATCAGATTAATCCAATAATGAATGTGCTTGGCATCATGAATGTAATGGTGAATAAATTTCAATAAAATTGAAAGGGTTCCTGTCCTGTTGCAGTTTACAACCCAGATAAATAAACCATAGAATTTACAACACTGTAATATGTGCTATGACAATGGTAAACTCAGAAGAAAGGTACCTTATCCAGATGGCTGGTGTGTGGGAAAACTCCAGAATAAACAAGATCAAAATTGACATTTTAAAAAATAGGCATTAACTAAGCAAAGAGTAGAAGTGTTCTAGGCAGAGAGAATGGCATCTTGTAACATCCCAGGGCAAGAGAGAGCAAGACATTGATGTAGAGTGGGAGAAGTAAGGGCAAAGGAGCCAAGGGAAGAACAGATTGGGTATGTACTAGGGACAGTGTGGACACTTGTCAGGTTACAGCGCTAGGAGATAGGTCTGGCAGGTTAGGAGGTGAAGGAGTCTGTATTATCTCTGGAAGCAGTGGACACTCACTAAAGGTTACTGAGCCAGGAGAGGATAGCATGGGTAAAGCGATGATTTAGGAAGATAGCCCCCAAGTATGGGCAGGGTGGCAGGATGCTTCAGTGGGATTTCTCAGAGCAGGCTCTAGTCAGGGTTCAACAAATTATTTGATCTAACTATATTTCCCTACTTTGTGATTGCTTTTCCTCTCTTCCCCTCTGCATAGTACTTCCCAGCAGGATAGACAACTGCATGAAATCGGAACCGACTCTACTCCTGTTAGATGAGTATGGAGTTTCGATCTAAGTGATTGCTTCTCCTCTTTTCCCCTATGCACAGTACTTCCCAGTAAGACAGACCATTGCATGAAATCGGAACTGACTACACTTTTGTTAGATGAGTATGAACTTTCCATCTATGACCTGAATGGAGACCTGAAGGGCCGGGAAGCATGGCCAAACTACTATGCACAGGCCCATGGGCTTGTTTTCGTCCTGGATTCCAGTGACATAAGACGCATGCAGGAAGTGAAGATCATCTTAACACATCTGCTGTCCGATAAAAGAGTGGCAGGGAAACCCATCTTAATGTAAGATTCTGCCTTTCTGTCCTATTTCTGCTTCCCAATTTGTACCCTTAAAAGTATAGAAATGAAGGGTGGGGTGGTCCCTTTGTCACACCCAGCTAGGCCTCCTGTTCCCTTAGGCTCAGTGAGGTAGAGCGGCCCAATTTTCTGAGGTTTGTTCTCAAGAGCTACTTTCTACCACACACTGCCATGGGGGACAAGTTACCTAACTGTACAAAGGTAATTTTGAAGGGAAGCATCAAAGGGAAATGAAAAGTGGTATCCACCACCTCCACCCCTTGACTCTTCCTGAAGACTATCTTCCTGAATTTGCTTATCATCTTTTCTGGTTTCGGTCTCTGATCCTGAAACCTCATGATAGCAGAGAACTCCTATCTTGTATAATTGATGCCAATGACCTCCTCTCTGATCAGATTGCTCAAAAGTTACATAACTAGCACTTATTCCAGGGTGATAATGCAGGTGGCCAGTCAATTCTCATCCCCGCCCCCATCTCCCTTTATGCTTCTTTCATTCCTCATTAGCAACCCCAACTAGAGCATGAACAGAGTTTGGGAAAGGATGTAAAAACTCCAAATATGTTCATAGCCCAGTTAGCAATTCTAATTAAAGTTTGATAGCATAATGTAGGGGAAGTGAGAAATGAGCCCTGGGGGGACTATCTTGGATTCAAATGATTTGTGCTATACTTTCCATCATTGGAAGTTGACTAGAAAAATGTCTAGCTCATCTCATTAGGTATGTCTTTAAACCTAATTCCTGGATATGTAGCAGTTATAGTAGAATTTGTTCTCCTCCTCTTTCCCTTCTTTTCTCGCCTTTTGCTTCTGTTTTGGTTTCACTCTTCCACTCTTTTCCTCCCTCTCTCATATGCTGTTTTAGTTTAGCAAACAAACAAGACAAGAAGAAAGCCCTCATGCCTTGTGATATTATTGACTATCTACTTCTAAAGAAGCTAGTGAAAGAGAATAAGTGCCCATGCCGAGTAGTAAGTGTCAACCTCTTCCTTCCCTCTTCCTCTGGAGCCCAGCTGATGCAGCCCTTGGCCCATTCTATAGTCAGTCCCATATGTTGGGTTTGGGGCAAAGTCTCTCCCTGTCAGGCAACACCCACAGTGATTCCTGACTTGATGGTGATAATAAATATTGCATTCTGCCTTCAAAATAATTCTGTAAAGGGGACACATGAATATCCCCATTTTATGGATAAAAAAGCCAAGGCTCAGAGACTCTACGTGACTTGCTCAAGGTCACACACCCAAGACACCACAGCCACTTTATTAAAGGACCTCAGATTTTATGTCTGTCATTTGCCTTCTCAGATGTGAATGCTGTGTGTCTCCTAGAAGTCTCAGAGCCTCTCTAGGCATAGCAGAGTTTATGTGTTCCTTCACTCTTTGAATGAGAGTGACTGGTTCTGCGGGCCCCAGGGGTCCCAGGCTCCAGGTCTGCAGCCTTCTCTTCTCTTTTGTCACAGGAGCCATGTTCAGCCATCAGAAACCTTGAAAGAAGAAACCATCAGCCCATAGTTGAAGGACTGCGCTGGCTATTAGCTGTCATTGATACTTGCCAACTACCACCTACCTCGAGCATCTCAATCTCCAAGAATAACACAGGCTCTGGAGAAAGATGCTCATCACACAGGTACTGAGATGCCGCTATGAGATTTGCTGATAAGAAAAGCTGCAGGGATCAGTCTTTCTCACGAGCAAGGAGTTCTGGGAGGTGCTTGGATCCTGGGTGGCATTGAGCAAGTCTCTTGATATCATTGGCTCAAATGGGGCTAGGGCAGTGCCCACCAACACTCCAACATTGTTAGGTATACCCCATCCCTGGCATAACTTGAGTGGTCATATGAGGGGAATGATTTTCATAAAGGTAAGCCAACCTATCAGCATTAGAGCTTCCCCAAAACAGGGTTTCTAATATCTGATTTGCCATGTGGAGGAGAAAAGGAACATGAGCCCCTTAAGGAGCCTACTGGCATTATTCTATGGATAAATGCCATGAACCTACTCAATATTCTCAGCCTCTAGTTCTATAATCCTCCCAATAATGAGGAATGATGGGAGAGGACAGAAATGTTGAAAAGACGAAAAAGAAAAAGAAAATAGGAGGTGATCAGAGTTTTGAGGAGCAAAAGGCCTAAACATCCTCTTGCTCTGTTGTCACTTTCATTGCCCAAAGGCATATGGCAGGGATGGGGTAGTAGCTGCATTAGATAAAGAAGCTTGAAGTGTGTCCGTTTCTACTACTGCTGTCCTTTCCATCTTCCACCAGCTTCTCCACCAGAACAGGAATGTCAAAGGAGAAAAGACAGCATCTAGAACAATGCTCAATCGAAGCTAAGCCTCTAAAGTCAATCCTACAGGTAAATGGCCCTTTAAATGTTAATATTCAGTGACCAATCCCTGAACACGTGGGCACCAACTAACTTTCCCCCCCATCATCTTCTTGCTGTACAGAAAGAAGGTACGAGATTATGGTCTAAAAAGAATATGTCAGTAACATTTGCTTTAGATGAACCCATGAAAGAAGGTGAATGTTCTAGGAGAATGAGAGCTCAGAATACTACGAAGCTTTGCTACAATTGAAGGAGTGGCTTATAGACTCCAGCTCCATATGCTGATGACAATATTTTTGAAGGTAATGCTGGATCAGTGGTTAGAGAAGAAAATTTACATAGGCCTTCCCTAACAATTTCTACAATAGTATTCCAATTTTGAGCCTGAATTTCTTTCCTCACTCTATGGTTGGTGATTAGGAGAAAAGCACCTTCCTGTAGGAAGGGTGCTTGGGTACCATCTTCTGGTAGTCCAGCATGATGCCCCAGCACTGGTTGACATAAGATCTTTAGATGGCTATAGGGTTATCTTAAAGTTTATTATTCCAGTGGTGAAAGTACAAGAACTTTATATATATATGAGATAATATATCTCATATATATATATATATATATATATATATATCAAGAATTTAAAAACATGAATACACTATGAACCAGTAATCTCAATTCTTGAGCTGTCTCCAAGGATAATTACGCAAGTACCCAAAAAACGATGCTCAAGGATGTTTAATCACAGCACTGTGTACAATAAGTAAAAGTAGGAAACATCCTATATGTCCAACAATGGAGAATGGCTAAATAAATTAGGATGCATCTATGCCATGGAATACTATGCATACATTAAAAAGGCTAATGTGGACTTATATTTACTGACATGGAAAGTTTTCCACAACCTGGCATTTTTGTTAGGGAAAATAGCAAGTTAGAATACAGCACGTATAGCACGATACATATACAGATATAGAAATACCTGGAGGAATATCACTGAAAGATACTAGGTGGTTGTGAGATGTAAAAGGCCAAGGTGCCTTTCCTTTGGATTTTTGTTTTATTAGAAATTTTCTCTTTTTGGCCAGGCGTAGTGGCTCACACCTGTAATCCCAGCACTTTGGGAGGCTGAGGCGGGCGGATCATGAGGTCAAGAGATCAAGACCATCCTGGCCAACATGGTGAAACCCGGTCTCTACTAAAAATACAAAAATTAGTCGGGCATGGTGGCGGACGCCTGTATTCCCAGCTACTGGGGAGGCTGAGGCAGGAGAATCGCTTGAACCCAGGAGGCGGAGTTTGCAGTGAGCCGAGATAGCGCCACTGCACTCCAGCCTGGCAACAGAGCGGGACTCCATCTCAAAAAAAAAAAAAAAAGACATTTTCTTTTTTTATAATAAGCAGATATCACTTCTCCCAATACAAAAATAAGCTATGAGGGCTTAAAGGCTGTAGTTACTGGCCACTCATTCTCAGTATTCCTTAGCACCTCAGTCTCCAAGATTGTCAACTGTCAATATTATAATGTCATCTCAGCTCTGAAAGGGACATGGCCTTTTATATCCCTGGCTACCTTGGAGCTTTGGGTTGTCACACCTACATGGAGGGGCTTGGACTTGGCCTGGGCCACTAACAAGGAGACAGACACTGCTCTGGGGACAAGGGGTGAGGATGAGAGCAGAGAGTAGAGCGGAAGGAAGTGGTAGAAGAGGAAGTGTTTTTTTAGATAACTACCCCTAAATCTTTGTCCAAAATTTAAATCCATTTTCCTTTCTATAACTCCAGAACTTATGGCAAAAAAGAGAATGGATACCTGGGACACAGATAAGATGTTACTGGAAAATTCCTGTGAAGAAGCCTTTGGTTCCTATAGTTAATACTACTTAAATGAAGGGCAGAGGGGAGAGAGCAAGAGTGAGAGAAAGTACGAGGCCAGGGCAGAGGATGGGCACCTCATGGGGTGCAGTCTATACCCTGTTGGAAACTGGCCAATACCCTCCTACCATGAAATGGTCTGGGAAGGACAGGAAGCCTGGCACTTGGCTTCACTTACAATAACTGACCTTTTTCTCTTTTTACTTTCAACAGAGAAAGTAAAAGAAAGTAACAGAGAAAGTAAAGAGAAAAACAGAGGGAAACCAAAAGAAACAGTTGATATCCCTCCCTTAGCAAACAGGTTCATCTCCAGAACTATCAGGACTACCCGGTTTTTAAATTTCCATTTGATAATATTTCTACACTCCCCATACAACTCCACCTACTCTAATATCACATCCCTGAGAACCCCTGTTGTTCCTGTATATCTATATTCTAGCCATCAAATCAATCCTATACTCACTGAGAGGCTCAAGAAGAGTGAGATGGCATCCATTGAGAATGAAGACCACCTTGGTAAAAAAGAACAGAGACTTTACATCTTTGTACCGAGATGCTGCTGACAAAGCTTGTGGACAATAAGTCATGGGTGATCAACCAAAACTGAGCCTTAGAAATACAGGGTTCATTTAGAAATAAGTATTTTTTTCTTTAAGGTTCTTAGGCAGAAAAGGATTGGCAAAAATAAATAGAACTTCTTTGCTGAGAATTATGCTCTACTGAATCATTTTCAGTCATACCTCCATAAACAACTTTGTTTTAAAGCCCCAGACACTGTCTGTGAAGCCCAGAACAATTGCTTTGCTGTCCCTTCAGGAACAGCAACTGCTGCCTCTACCAACAATTTGGTTAGCTATGCAAAAAAATGTAGGCACTTGAATGCATTGATCCCTCTATCCCAAGGGTGGCAGTGGTAGTGGTAGTAGTTATTTACCATTACTACTACTATAGGTTGAGTATCCCTTATCTGAAATGCTTGGGACCAAAAGCATTTCAGATTTCAGATTTATTTTCATTTATGAATATTTGCATTATATGTACTTACTGGTTGAGCATCCCTAATCCAAAAATCTGAAACATTCCAATGAGCATGTCCTTGAGTGTCATGTCAGGACTCCAAAAGTTTCTAATTTTAGAAGATTTTGGATTTTGGATTTTCACATTAGGGATGCTCAATCTATATTACCTTCACCATGAGCAGCACAGCCACCATTTATTGAGTGCATTCTGGATGCCAGGCACAGTGCTAAGTTTTTGTTTTGTTTTGTTTTGTTTTGAGACAGAGTCTCACTGTCTCCCAGGCTGGAGTGCAGCGGCGTGATCTCGACTCACTGCAAGCTCCACCTCCTGGGTTCACGCCATTCTCCTGCCTCAGCCTCCCAAGTAGCTGGGACTACTGGCGCCCACCACCACGGCCAGCTTTTTGTATTTTTAGTAGAGACGGGGTTTCACCGTGTTAGCCAGGATGGTCTCGATCTCCTGACCTCGTGATCCGCCCGCCTCGGCCTCCCAAAGTGCTGGGATTACAGGCATGAGCCACCGCGCCCGGCCCACAGTGCTAAATTCTTTATTTCCATTATCTTATTCACAACAACCCTTGGGGGTAAGCACTATACCTGACTGCATTTCACAGATGAGGAAACTAAGGGGCAGAAAAGTCAAATTTGCCCAAGGTCCCACTGCCTACAAAAAGCAGAGCAGGATGTTCTCACTCACATGTGGGAGCTTACAAAAAAAGTGGATCTCATGAAGATAGAGAATAGACTGGCAGTTTCCAGAGGACAGGAAAGTGCGGGGCGGTGGGGGTTGGGGCGGGAGATGAAGAGAGGCTGATTAATGGATACATATATACAGTTTGACAGATTGGTAGGGTGACTATAATCATCTATTGTATACTTCAAAATAGCTTGAAGAGAATAACTCAAATGTTCTAGCATAAAGGCAAATATTAAAGGTGATGGATATCCCAATTACACTGATTTGATCTTCATAAATTAGATGATGTATTATCATACATACCCACAAAATGTGTACATATATATCAATTTAGAAATTAAATTGAATTTTAAAATTTGGGGGTGAGGAAAAAAAAAAGCAGAGCAGGGAATTCAATCCCGATCTTTCTGACTCTAGAGCTACTTAAAGCCAGAAAGAAAGAGAAAGCTTTATTTAAGAAAAAATGCTGGCCGGGTGCAGTGGCTCATGCCTAGCACCTTGGGAGGCCAAGGCAGGTGGATCACTTGAGGTCAGGAGTTCAAGACTAGCCTGGCCAATATAGTGAAACCCCATCTCTACTAAAAATACAAAAATTAGCCGGGCATGGTGGCACGAGCCTGTAACACCAGCTACTTGGGAGGCTGCGGTCGGAGAATCGCTTGAACCCCAGAGGTGGAGGTTGCAGTGAGCCGAGATTGCACCACTGCACTCCAGCCTGGGCAACAGAGTAAGATTCGGTCTCAAAAAAAAAATGTTGAAGTATATCCATGCCCGTGTCAGGAGAATTAAGTTAATATCAATAAGCACACCAATAGTGGTAGCACACATTGTTGATTCAGCACTTCCATTTTGCCAGGTGCTGGGCTAAGTGCTTTATATATATAATTACCTTTCATCTTCAAAACCCTCTGAAGTTGATTCTACCACCACCATCTTACAGAGGCAGAAAATGATGTTCAGAGAGGTTAAATAATTTTTCCCTGGGGACCCTGGGACAGGAGGTGGCAGAAATGGTTTTCAAACTAAGGTCCTACTCCATAACCCTTGCTCTACCCTATACCATCTCACCAAGCAGTATAAATGAACTAACTCATAACTGCTTCTGAGGGATAGAAACTTTGTACAGAAAGATCCCTCTTACAACCCCATCTGGAAGGTCTGACACTGTAGATGGTTGCATCATTTGCTCTTATCTTCAAGGAAACCATCCCAAGCACCTTATAGGTCTTTGATAGGATTCTGACTGAGGCACAGCTTAGAATTATGAAGCTGAAAGGAACCTTACAGAGCCTCTGGTCCAACCCCTGTTGTTATAAAAATGAGGAACTTGAGGTGCAGAGAGGTTAAGTGGCTTGCCCAAGATGGTACAGCTGATGGCTGGCAGAGCTGCTCCTAAAAATCCAGATCTCATGTGCCCAAGCCAGTGCTCTACTCTGTTCAAAAATACTGTATCCTCCCTGGGTCTTCTTTGGCCTTTCAGCCCATCTACCTTCCTCCAATTTGCCTGATAAATATCGCTGGAGAATTCTGCTGACAATCATTCTCACCTGGGGATGCAACAAATCTCTCTCCTGAATAAGAGTTTTATGAGGCAGGAGACTACGAATCAACAAACCGTAAGAAAATTGGATCATGCACATTTTATAACATGTGTGTTTATGAGGCAGGCATACTTTCTCAGCCAATAGAGAAGAGAAAGTGGATGGGAAAAAGGGATGGGATTGTACCCTATGAAGGTGAGCTGGGTGAAGAATCTAAGTTGAACAACATCTAACACAACTGAATTTCAGTATATTGGCATACTTCCTTTTGTGCAATGTAGGTGTTCCTGGGTGTCAACCAAATTTTCCTACATAGAATCTATCAATCACAAAAAGTTATTTAGATACCCTCCTCCCAATACAATCAGTGTACCCTTAGTCATGTAAAGAAAAAAAATCTCTTTTTGAGTGAATCTTAATTGTGTTGCTACAGGCTGTTAATATACTTTCCAAACCTCTTACCAAGCTGGGTGACCAGGCAATTTCCCCCAGTGAAGGCAGGAATAACAGTGCCTACCTCAAAGGCCTGCTGTAAAGTTTAAAAGGGATGATACACACAAAAATGTTTAGAATAGTGCCTGGCACACCCTAAGTAGGATATTAAATATTAGCTACTATTATGTTGATTTAGGGAAGGAGCTCGGTGAGATCATTAGAAAGCTATAGTCCCCCTTCTGGGATAGGTATCCACTTTTCTGTAGAAAACAACCCAAAGAGAGATGTCTTAGACTGTCAAGTACAAAGTGAATAGAGAATCTAGGGTAATTACAACCAACGCCTCCCATATTTTTCTCTTTCAGAATCCTAAATCTGCCAAAGAGGTTTTACAAATCTCTTTCTCAGTGGGGCAGCCCAGGGACCAAGAAATGGATAGTTTCTTGAGCCTGGAGGGCAAATTTTCTTAAAGGCAAGTGGTTGCCTTGGGGTTTCTTTTCTTTAGTTGTCAATGTCTTGGTCACTCTCCAAGATGTTTAGAATGTAGCTCCCGTCAGAGGCACTTGCAGCTTATGAATGACCCTGGCCTATCATTCACTCATATGGCTCTGGGTATGTTTCTATCTTATCTTTCAGGGACAGACCTGGGCTTTCTGACTAGAGAATTCACTATGAATAGGTAGAGAGGTCCTTCTGCTCTGAATGGTTTTCAATTCCTGCACTCCAGTCCTCACTTGTCATTCATGTGTTAGGTCTACCTGCCAGTAGCACTCTGTCAGCAGGGTTGTTAAGCAATCTATGACCTCTGTAGGAAATGAGTCATATAGTTAGCACGCAGCAAAGGTTAAGAAAGAACAGTGATAATTCAGGGTTGGAGCATGGAAACCAGTAGTAGCTAAACTAGTTATAAATCCCCCAGAGATTCAAGTGTTGGGTGTTTGGGCCATACCAGTTGTGTTTTTATTTTTGTTTTAGTGGCAGGGTCTTGCTCTATCACCCAGATTGTAGCGCAGTGCCACAGTCATAGCTTGCTGCAACCTCGAACTCCTGGGCTTAAGCAATCCTCCCACCTTGGCATCCCAAAGTGCTGAGACTACAGGTGTGAGCCACTGTGCCCAGCCCCAGTTGTGTTTTGAATATTGTTCTTTCCTCTCAATAACATCTTCAAATCACTTATTTTCAAGGCAGTTGCTACTGGCAAGATGTAATAAGTGCACTCAACACAACATCACTCTTCTCAGGAGAATCCTGCCAACTAGTATTCTTAACCATAAGATGGCTATGACTGACTTAAGGGTCAAGCCTGGACTCACTGCTTTGTTACTCAACCCTGTAAACCCTTTATTGGAAGACCAAAACTTAAATTTCTGACATGAAAGTGTATAGAGAATGAGAACTGTCACCCAACTTTCCAATACTGAAACCATCCCCTCATCCCGCTGTATTTTTATAGCTGCAACTAAAAGAACTATAGCCATGGCACCCCTGATCTGTACCTTATTCCTTCAGCTGTAATAAAATGTTCTCCCACTCCCCTTGCCTTTTTTCTCATGTCAAGCTCTGGAGGAAACAATTGTTATCCCAGGAAGGAGAAGGTGGCAGATGCTTTCTGCTATTGGCACATAGATAATATCAGCTCAGGGGGAATGTACTTCCACCCCTGTGCCCAGTAAGTGCCAGGATCTGGTCCAGGGAGGCTGAGGTGGCTCTGCTGTTGGGTGGTGGGAGAGCAATGTTAACAAAGCACTCAGGCTGTGCTGTGCACTGATGACTCAGGAATCCCACGCGATCCCACGCTCATGCTAGTCGCCACATCCAGGAACTAAAATAGACCTCTGGTGCTATGAGACAGCAGGCCTTTAGATCTGCTCAGAAAAATAAGCCCGGTCCTAACAACTGGCATGCTATTCAATACAATGGAATGTTACACAGCCATTAAAGATGGCAATTATGTGCACTGTGTGGGTGGAAACCAGAATGTGAAATAATGTTAAGTGAAAACAGCAGAATAGGAAAGAGCAGATATACATGCTGATCCTAACTATGTAAAGCATACATATAAGAGCACTTCTCTAAAGAACTTAAAAGAATGAAGAGTTCCACAGTTCTTTTACATTCCACACCCCCTACTCCAACACATTCTTAATATACATTTTTTTTTTTTTAGAAAATTGTCATGCTGATTACACTAGGTTACAAAGACACCTGTCTTTTAGCTAACACAGGAGTTAACTCCACTGATAATGTGGTTCAGGGACTAAAGGAGAACTGAATACTAAGGGGGCTGGTGCCCCATCATTTGGAGCAACGTGGATGGAACTAGAGGTCATTATGTTAAATGAAATAAGCCAGGCACACAAAGACAAATATCGTATGTTCTCACTCATATTTGGGTGCTAACAAAGTTATCTCATGGAGGTAGAGAATAGAATGATAGATACCAGAGGCTGGGAAGGGTGGAGCGGGGAGCGGAGAAAGAGATGTCGGTTAATGAATACAAACATACAGTTATAATAGAAGGAATAAGTTCTAATGTCCAATAGCACAGTAGGGTGACTATAGTTAACAATCATTTATTGTATATTTCAAAACAGCTAGAAGAGTTTAAACATTCCCAACAAAGAAAAAATGTTTGAGGCAACAAATATCTCAATTACCCTGATCTGATCATTACACATTGTATGCATATATCGAAACATCACATGAAAAAATATGTGCAACTATTATGTATCAACAAAAATGGCCTGGATCGTTCCTCTTCCTCCCCTCGCCCCCTTATGTTCAGGGAACTTGCTCAAACACAATTACCATTTCAGGTTTGGCACTACAGTGAGAAATTCCTTCCTAACTCCAAGCCGACCAAATAAGTCTAAGATGGGAGATTAAGAAAATTTACATTTCCAGCCTGGGCAACATAGCGAGACCTCATCTCTACTAACGATCAAAAATTAGCCAGGCATGTTGGCACATGCCTGTAGTCCCAGCTACTCAGGAGGCTGAAAAAAAAGGGTCACTTGAGCCCAGGAGACTGAGGTTGCAGTGAGCTATAATCACAGCACTGTACCCAGCCTGGGCAACAGAGTGAGACGCTACTCAAAAAACAAAAAACCAAAAAATAACTTATATTGAACCTCTTTTAGTTGGGCCACTGTGTTTTGAACTAGCCTTGCTTATATGGAAAGAAAGGAACTAGATTTTTTTTTTGATAGGCTTCTATAAGTTCCATATTTGTAAAAGAATTGTTGCACACTACCCCTCTTGTCACCTTGTCAGGGTTGGTACTTACAGTCAGTCAAACATCTAGCACATATCTGGGTATCTGAGTGAGTAAAATTCTCTCCCTCGAGATGTGGCCTTAACACCTTTCCAGACCTGGTTTTTCTAGAATTAGCTTTCAATCAGTATATTTAGTTTTCCAAAGACTATAGTTAGTTTCTTTTAACTTTGCATTTTGAAATAATTTTAGATTTACTCAAGAGTTGTAACTGTAGTTCAGAAAGTTCATGTATACCCTTCACCTAGCTTCCCCTAACGGTAGCATCTCATCTTCTGGTACACTGATCAAAACTATCACATTAACATTATCATCATACTAGTTACTAGACAACAGACTTTATTTAGACTTCGGTGTTTTCACTAATGTCCTTTTTGTTGTTGTTGTTCAAGATTTAATTCAGGATCCCATACAACATTTATAGATTGGTTAGTTTACAAAAAAAATCCTACAAACAGGTTTCCTCTTAAGGAGTTGAAAGGGTAAGCTAGTAGGTGTTCTAAGCAAGTTATGATCCTGAGCCACTCTACCCAGAAGGGAACTCCATCACTTCTGTACCAAAGCCCTTAATCCAAGACGCCTCATCACAGTTATTTTCAGAAAACATGTCTTACATTAGCACTTCTCGCAGTAGTACAAAATGATTTGACAAGTAGGTTATTTTTAGCAACCAACATTATGAAGGTGACAAAATGAGAGAAATAGCCTTCCTTGTCTGCTTTCTATGCTTCATTTTTCTTCAAACCGTATATAAATTTTTACTAAAAGCTGTAATATTTGACTAAAACATAAATGCTGAGAAACACCCACACCAACAGGGAAGGGACTCTGCGATGTGTTTGGTTTGACTTGCCTAAAATTAATTATTGAAAACACAGAAAATTGGCCTGGTGCAGTGGCTCACGCCTGTAATCCCAGCACTTTGGGAAGCTGAAGTGGGCGGATCACTTGAGGTCAGGCGTTTGAGACCAGCCTGGCCAACATGGTGAAATCCCATCCCATCTCTACTAAAAATACAAAAATTAGCCGGGCGTGGTGGTACATGCCTGTAATCCCAGCTACTCAGGAGGCTGAGGCAGGAGAATCACTTGAACCCGGGAGGCAGAGGTTGCAGTGAGCCAGGATCATGCCACTGCACTCCAGCCTGGGTGACAGAGTGAGACTCCATCTCAAAAAAAAAAAAAAAAAGAAGAAAACTTACAGGAAACAAATTATTTTTGCCAGTTAATCTCAATAATGGGAAGGGAAAGCAGGCTATGACATTCATTTATTTGTCAACAAATAATCGGATGATTAAGAATGACACCCATTACAAAATTAGCCAGGCGTGGTGGCGCATGCCTGTAATCCCAGCTACTCGGGAGACTGAGGCAGAAGAATCACCTGAACCCAGGAGGTGGAAGTTGCAGTGAGCCAAGATGGTGCCACCACACTCCAGCCTGGGCGACAGAGCGAGATTCTGTCGCAAAAAAAAAAAAAAAAAAACGACACCCATTTCATGCATGCTATGTGCCAAGCAATTTGCAAAGTGTTTTATATATACACAGATTGTTTCACTAATTGGTCACAGCAATCTCCATGAGATAAGTGCTATTATTATCCTTATTTTACATGGAGATGGGTGGTAAAAAGAGCATTGGAGAGGTCAAGTAACTTGTCCTAGATCACAGAGCATGTAAGTGATAGAGTCAGGATTTAGGCCAGGTCAGCCTGACTCCAAAACTGCTCTGCTTGGCCAGTATGCTATATCGCCTATCTAAGCACCTGCCATATTTCAGACACTGTGCTAGGTGTTACATATACAACAGTGACCAAGATATAGCTCTTGTCCTCTTAAACCTTACAGTCTAGTTGGAGGAGACAGACTACTAAACAGTTTAGTATAGCCCTCTCTGATATTCCTTGGCTTGGTTACGTATAAAGGTAATCAGTAAAGGCAAATGGTAAATACCAATATCCTGAAATATTTCAATTCCTTTTGTAGATCCTCAGAGCAAAGGCCTCTCCCCTCCATGTATCATGAATGTCCCTAACAGTCACAAATGGACTTGAGGATATTTACATGTTCCTCCATTGTGTGGCTCTGGGCCACATGTGGGCACTGCCACCCTGCTTAGTCTCCTTTGAAGAGAGACAATGAGAAACAATGTGGAAATACATGTATTAATGAAATAGAATCACCTGATGGAAAATTGTTAAGTGTCAGACATAATAGCTGTATTTCATTTCAATTGTCCTTTTGCACTAACATTAATTGGCAAGTACTAAGGGAGCTTCATGACTGCACTTTATGGGCATGCCATTTTGAAATATATTCCTTAGGAAAGTGACAATGATGCCCCTGTAAGCTATAAATTTCCAATGTGATTTTGAAGATAAAGGGTTGGAAGACTTACATCTCAACAAATGACAATCATCTTCTCCCTTCCAGCCCAAAAACAATCAAAGGGCATTATCTAATACCATAATACTGTACTTCTCAATGCTGGCTGCATATGGGAATCACCGGGGAAATTTTAATATTACCAACGCCTGTGTCCCACCTCCAGTGATTGTGATGACTCAGCTGGTCTGGACATGGTCTGCACTTGGAAGTTTGGAAAGATCCCTGGGAGATTTTAATATACATACAAGTTTGGGAACCACAGCCCTTATCAGAGGATCATAACCCTGACTGACTGCAAATTAGAATCACCTTGGGGATCTTTTAAAAATTCAGATGTTTGGGCCACACCCCAGACCAATTAAATCAGAATCTCTGGAGGATCAAATCCCAGGAACTAGGAAGTTTTGTAAAAAGATCCCTCAGGTGATTCCAATGATGTGCAGCCAAGGCTGGAAACCACCATAGTAGGTGAAACTCCAAATCTGAAAAGGCAATGACAAAATTTGCACTCATTGGTTCAGCAACTCTAAGATGAGCCTAATGAGAAGAAGCCTGTTCTAGAAGAGGAGTGGGAATCAGGCTGAGGATAACTGTTCTACTTTAATATTAAAATGAGTTCACTTTTCTCTCACATGTATGAGAGTTAATTTTTTTTTTTTTTTTGAGATGAAGTTTTGCTCTTGTTGCCCAGCCTGGAGTGCAATAGCGCAATCTCCACTCACTGCAACCTCCACCTCCTGGGTTCAAGTGATTCTCCTGCCTGAGCCTCCTGAGTAGCTAGGACTACAGGCGCCCACCACCGTGCCCAGCTAATTTTTTGTATTTTTAGTAGAGATGGGGTTTCACCATGTTGGCCAGGCTGGTCTGGAACTTCTGACCTCAGGTGATCCACCTGCCTTGGCCTCCCAAAGTGCTGGGATTATAGGCGCGAGCCACCGCACCCGGCCTGAGAGCTAATTTTATTAACTTAGGCTAGGAATTATAATCTTTCGCTAGAATTACTAGTAGCTGATGATACCTTAGCCCTACTTTCTACCACACCCCCCAAAATAATGGCAGAAGGAATGAGAAAGGAAGTGCTTTAAAGAAATAAAAACCTTTGCAAAGGACTGCAAACCAGTGCTCAGAACACCTGGGTAAGTCTAGAAGAGTAGCAAGCAGAAAGACAAGCTATCTGGCCTATGTATTACCCAACTACTGTAGTTACGTTTTATCTGCAACCTGGTGTGCACTTTTACTCATCACACCAAACACCAGGCTTAGAGACCAAAAATCCAACGTGATTCTCATCCTTGGCTACACAACAGTCATCTGGAGAGCTTTTAAAATAATGATGATAGGGCTACACCCAAAATGAATTAAATCAGAATGTGAAGTGATGACACTCAGGAACTTGTTTTTGACGGTCTCCAGGTGATGTGCAACCAAGGCTGAGAATAGTTGCTCTGAACCAGTGGTTCCTAAATTTGAATGCACACCAGAATCACCTGAAAGACATGTTAAATTAGATTGCCCTAGCCCCAGTGTTTCTGATTCAGTTGAGGGAGAGCCCAAATGTGTGCATTTCTAACAAGTTTCCAGGTGATGCCAAAGCTGCTGGTCCAGGGATCACACTTTGACAGGTAAATCTTGACTACTGGTTCACAACCTTGACTGCATACTAGAATCACCGGGCAGGGTGGACAGTAATTTTAAAAAGACTGATGACTAAGACCCTCCCCAAACCAATTAAATTGGAATGTCTGGGGCCCAGGCATCAATATTTTTTATATATTTTTTGAGACTGGGCCACACGCTGTTACCTAGGCTGGAGTGCAGTGGTACAATCATGGCTCACTGGAGCCTCGACCTCCCAGGCCCAAGTAATCCTCCCGCCTCATCCTCCTCAGTAGCTGGGACTACAGGCACACACCACCATGCCTGGAAAATTTTTTTGTGTGTGTGGAGATGGAGGTCTCGCTATGTTGACCAGGCTGGTCTCAAACTCCTGGATGCAAACAGTCCTCCCACCTCAGCCTCCCAATGTGCTGGGATTACAGGCGTGAGTCACTGCACCCAGCCCGGATCTTGGTTTCTAAACACCATTCTACACTGAAAGGAACCAGGGTTCATTGGAAATGGCTGGTTCCAGGACTAGGGCAAGGAAAATGTAAAGTGACCCTGGGAATCTTGTGCCAGAATCTAAGGAAGTACTCAAATACTAATGGAGGCATGTTAAGTGACATGAGAGCCAGCTGAAGGGACTCCCACTGGTCAAACTGTAGAAAATTTGAGCATCAAAAGGAAAATAATTGAACTGAGCTTAAAACACGGAATTCAAATAAGCAAATCACCGAATCAAGTGATATTCAAAAAAAAAAAAAAAAAAAAGCAGGGGGAAACAACTTTGCCACTATTGTGCCAGACCACTGTCAACTCCAATTTGGACAGAACCAGATTCAAGAGGCCAAAGAACAGATCCAGAGACAGCAAACAAGACATGGTGTTTTTTTGTTTGTTTGCTTTTTTGTTTTTAACTGGGGTCTTACATTCAAGGGAGACTCCAGTGGTGATGGGCTGGACGGAACTGCAACCACTTGCAAATGCATGGGGTTTATATAGCATTTTCACCTAACACCCTCCCCCTAACAACCTGCAGCTGGCAACCTTCATTTAAACCAAAACAAAGGGCCTCAATTCCCCGTATGGCCTGCATTTCACGGGACAGGCCAGGAGCTCAGATGTTCCCCATAGATCAGAAATGGATCTCTGGGTTCCTGAGCTGGAAACTCCCTATCGCATTCAGGTGCATCTGCCATACGGGGCCATTCTCAGGCTATTGCTATCTTCAGTTATTGCTATCAGGTGCATTTACCATACAGTCACCATAGTAATTATTAGGAAGCAATTATTATACTAACTTCTTGCTCTAAAAATTGGTATTAAAAGGGAAAGACTTAGGTCTTTACCTGGCTTTTTTGGAGGAACTCTAGTTCATACCCTCTAGAAAGGGAAAAGCTCATTTTTATAAAAGAGTGACAGCTGGCTGGGTACAGTGGCTCACGCCTGTAATCCCAGCACTTTGGGAGGCCGAGGTGGGTGGATAACCTATGGTCAGGAGTTCGAAACCAGCCTGGCCAACATGGTGAAATCCCATCTCTACTAAAAATACAAAATTAGCTGGGCCTGGTGGCAGGTGCATGTAATCTCAGCTACTTGGGAGGCTGAGGCAGGAGAACTGCTTGAACCCGAGAGGCAGAGGTTGCAGTAAGCCGAGATCGCACCATTGCACTCCAGCCTGGGAAACAAGAGCAAAACTCTGTCTCAAAAAAAAAAAAAAAAAGTGACAGCTAATAAACACAGACCGATTGACAGAATTAGGAAATCATGGCTTTTCAATCCCCAATTAAATTATTAATTTACCATCAGTGGGTACACGAAAATAAAAAAGTTAGAAAGCAATCATTTGTTTTTGAGACAGGGTCTTGCTCTGCCACCCAGGCTGGAGTTCAGTGACACAATCTGGTCATGGCTTACTGCAGCCTCTACCTCTCAGGCTCAAGCTAATCTCCTACCCCAGACCCCCAAGTAGTTGAAAATAGAAGTGCGTGCCACCATGCCAAGCTTTTTTTTTTTTTTTTGGTAGAGACATGGTCTCACCATATTCCCCAGGGCTGTTCTCAAACTCCTGTACTCAAGAAATCCTCCAGCTTCAGCCTCCCAAAGTGCTGGGATTACAGGTGTGAGCCACTGCATCTGACCAAAATAAATTAAAAAATTAAAAAATATTAAATGACTGAGTCAGGAAACAGTAATCAACGGATGCTAAAATCTTTAGGGAAGAGGTTATTGGGAAACAGGATAGTCACATGGCATTAGAGTGACATCCGATAGCTTTTTTTTTTTTTTTCTGAGATGGAGTTTCGCTCTTGTTGCCCAGGCTGGAGTACAATGGCACAATCTCAGCTCACTGCAACCGCCGCCTCCTGGGTTCAAGCGATTCTCCTGCCTCAGCCTCCCAAGTAGCTGGGATTACAGGTGTGTGCCACCACGCCCAGCTAATTTTTGTATTTTTAGTAGAGATAAGGTTTCACCATGTTGGTCCAGGCTGGTCTTGAACTCCTGACATCAGGTAATCCACCTGCCTCAGCCTCCCAGAGTGCTGGGATTACAGGCATGAGCCACTGCACCCAGCCAACATCCCACAGATTTCTTATTAATTACAAAGAGGAAAATTACATGGAGAGTTCTGAGGGCCATCAACCTAACCATCACCTTTACTACAAGTGAGCAACTGAAATAATGTACCTCCTAATGGGATGCAACATGAAGTACATACCATCACTTTAAGTTTTGGGGGTGTTTTTGTTTTTGTTTTGTGTTGTTTTGTTTTTTGAGACAGGATCTTGCTGTGTCACCCAGGCTGGAGTGCAGTGGCACCATCATGGCTCACTGCAGCCTCAACCTCCTGGGCTGAAGCAATCCTCCCACCTCAGCCTCCTAAGTACCTGGGACTACAGACATGCACCACCACGTCCAGCTAATTGTTAAATTTTGGATTTTTTTGAGACAGGGTCTTGCTCTGTCATGCAGGCTGAAATACAGTGGTAAAACCATGGCTCACTGCAGCCTCCACCTCCCAGGCTCAAGCAATTCTTCTGCCTCAGCCTCCAAAAGTAGCTGGAACTACACGTGTGCACCACTGTGCCTGGATAATTTTTTTATTTTTTGTGGAGATAGGGTTTTGCCATATTGCCCAAGTTGGAGAAAAAGATTTTAAAACTTTCCTTCATGACACTGTTTTTGGGAAAACAACAACAACAACAACAACAACAACAAACCCTCAAAAAAATGTTTAAAACTGATATAAAACCCTATCACACAGAAAAAAAAAACCATATTTTGGTTCTCAAGATTTGGTTCTCTACGTTACCCAGGCTGGGTCTGGTCTTCAACTCCTGGGCTTAAGTGATCCTCCTGCCTCCACCTGAGCCACTGCCCACAGACCACTTAAGTATTCTTGTCAAAAATGTGTTTTGTTTCGTTTTTGTTTTTGTTTTTTTTTGAGATGGAGTTTTGCTCTTGTTGCCCAGGCTAGAGTGCAATGGCACAATCTCAGCTCACTGCAATCTCCACCTCCCGGGTTCAAGCAATTCTCCTGCCTCAGCCTCCCAAGTAGCTGAGATCATAGGCGTGCACCACCATGCCCAGCTAATTTTGTATTTTTAGTAGAGATGGGGTTTCTCCATGTTGGTCAGGCTGGTCTCAAACTCCCGATCTCAGGTGATCTGCCCGCCTCGGCCTCCTAAAGTGCTGGGATTACAGATGTGGGCAACCGTGCCCGGCCATCAAAAATGTTTTAATGTGAGTCTAATCAAGCCACTAGACCTAACTTCAAGTTTATAAGAAATTTAGGTCAAGAAAAAGTTAAACATGAACACACGTAAACAAAACATCCTGGTTTACCCAGGACTGAGGGGTTTCTCAGGATGTAAGATCAGTGTTCAAACTAGGAGAGTCCTAGGCAAACCAAGACAGTTGGTCACCTTAAAATCAGACAAATCCATAATGTGGAACAGACCTGGTTTCTAAAAAGTCAGTGCCTTGGGTAAAAAGAAAAAGTGAGGAGATCATTCTAGATTAAGAGAGACTAAAGAGGCCATACACGGAGGCTCATGCCTGTAATCCCAGCATTCTGGGAGGCCAAGGTGGGTGCATCACTTGAGGTCAGGAGTTCAAGACCAGCCTAGCCGACATGGTGAAACCCCATCTCTACTAAAAATACAAAAATTAGCCAGGTGTGGTGGCACACACCTGTAATCCCAGCTACTCGGGAGGCTGAGGCAGGAGAATCACTTGAACTCAGGAGGTGGAGGTTGCAGTGAGCTGAGATCGTGTCACTGCACTCCAGCCTGGGCTGTGACAGAGCAAGACCATCTCCCAAAAAAAAGAGATACTAAAGAGACACAGACAAAACCACCAAATGTAACATGTGAATTGGCCATAAAAAACATTTTGGGGACAGTTGGGGAAATTGAATATAAAGCAGTGCTACCCTGCCAGTCCACAGATGTAAATGAACAATGTCGCTAAGTCAGTACACTGTGTAATTCAGCTGCCTTTTTTTTTTTTTTTTTTGAAAAAGACTTTTTTGATAAAGAATGTGGTACTCTGGCACTCTGGGAGGCCGAGGCGGGCAGATCACTTGAGGTCAGTAGTTCAAGACCAGCCTGGCTAACATGGTGAAACCCCATCTCTACTAAAAATACAAAAAAAAATTAGCCAGGCATGATGGCGCATGCCTATAATCCCAGCTAAGCGGGAGGCCGAGGCACGAGAATTGCTTGAGCCCAGGAGGCAGAGGTTGTAGTGAGCCAAGATTGTGCCACTGCACTCCAGCCTGGGTGACAGAGCAAGATTCCCACTCAAAAAAAAAAAAAAAAAAAAAAAAGAAAGAGAGAAAAGAAAAAAAGAAAAAGAATGTGGGCCAGGTGCGGTGGCTCACACCTGTAATCTCAGCACTCTGGGAGGCCGAGGTGGGTGGATCACCTGAGGTCAGGAGTTCAAGACCAGCCTGGCCAACATGGTGAAACCCCGTCTCTACTAAAAATACAAAAATCAGCCGGGTGTGGTAGCACACACCTGTAATCCCAGCCTCTCAGGAGGCTGAGGCGAGAGAAACGACTTGAACCCAGGAGGCGGAGAGGCGGAAGTTGCAGTGAGCCGAGATCGCGCTGCTGCACTCCAGCCTGGGTGACAGAGTGAGACTCCATGTCAAAAAGAAAAAGAAAAAGAAAAAGAATGTGGTACTATGATACACACTTTGGTATAAACTCCTTATCTTTTTGTGAAACATCAGGCAGTCTCCAGACCACACCTCAAGAAGCACTGAACTACATTAGATGACATTAGTGAAGATTAGTGAGGTACTGCTAATTTTCTTAGTTGAACTCATAATATAATGGTTATGTAGAAAAATGTCCTTATGCTTAGAAGATAGATGTATAAGGTATACATGTATCTGTATACCTTATACAGACAGATGAGGGATCTAAAGATGAAGAGTTGGCCGGGCGCAGTGGCTCATGCCTGTAATCTCAGCACTTTGGGAGGCTAAGGTGGGAGGATTGCTTGAGTCCAGGAGTTTGAGACCAGCCTTAGCAAGATGGTGAGATCTTATCACTACAAAAAAATTAAAAAATAGCCAGGCATGGTAGCAAACACGTGTAGTCCCAGCTACTTGGGAGGCTGCGATAGGAGGATCCCTTGAGCCCCGGAGTTCAAGGTGGCAGTGAGCCATGATGGCGCTACTGCACTACAGCCTGGGTAACAAAGCAAGACTCTGTCTTAAAAAAAAAAATTATGACTCACTAAAGACTCAGATGATTTTTAGCATTTTTAAAGCAATAAAGTACATTTTAATTAAGGTACATACACTGGTTTTTTAGATATAATGATATTGCACACTTAATAGACTATAGTATAAGCAATGTTTATATGCACTGGGAAACCATAAAATTCACATTACTTGCTTTATTGAGATATTCACTTTGTTGTGGCAATCTGGAACCAAACCTGCAATATCTCTGAGGGCATAACTATAAACAAGTAACAAAATTATGAGGAAGTTGATTTTCCATAGCCAATCCTGTATTTATTCATTAAATATTCCTTGAAGGAGGAATATTTAAGTTAAAAACAGAAAGGTAAATAGAGTAAACCAGAAGAGTTAGGGAAAAGAATATTCCAAGCTGAGGAAACAGAATGTAAATAGGACCAAAAGGGAAGAACTTTCTCCTTTTCAGGGAAAGGAATCCAATATATCTAGAGAAATGGAGTTCTTCAGATTATGAAGTGGCTTTTGAGCTTCATCAATAATGTTGGACTTTATTTTAAAAGCAATAGGAAGTTGGCTGGGTGCAGTGGCTCATGCCTGTAATCCCAGCACTTTGGGAGGCCAAGGTGGGTGGATCATTTGAGGTCAGCGGTTCGAGACCAGCCTGGTCAACAAGATGAAACCCTGCCTCTACTAAAAATACAAAAAGAAAAAAAATGAGCCAGGCATGATGGCACACGCCTGTTATCCCAGCTACTTGGGAGGCTGAGGCACGAGAATTGCTTGAACCCAGGAGGCAGAGGTTGCAGTGAGCTGAGATTGCACCACTGCACTCCAGCCTGGGTGACAGAATGAGACTGTGTCTCAAAATTACTAACTAAATAAAATAAAATAAAAGCAACAGGAAGCCAATGACAGATTTTAAGTAATGGAGAAACATGAGATTTGCATTTTTTCTTAAGAGGGTCTTGCTATATTGTCCAGGCTGGTCTTGAACTCCTGGGTTCAAGCAATCCTCCAGCCTCAGCCTCCCCACTAGCTGGTATTTCAGGTGTGTGCCATGGTGCTAGAATGAACTGGGGCAAGAGTGAATACAAGCAGCAACAGTTGTGAAGATGACTATTGCAGCAATAACCTGGAGAGAGATGATGGAAGCCTGCAGGGATGGCGACTTTGTGAAAAATTGGATGAGGCCAATAGTACAGGAGAAGGACTCAAAAATCATTCCCAGACTCTGGCTTGGGTGACTGAGTAAACTGTTATATTCATTAAGACTGAGAATAGAGGAGGAAGAACATGTTTAAGGGAAAGATGGAAAGCATTCAACATTAGATATATTGAGTTTGAAGAATCTAGAAGATATCCAAGAGGAAGTTACCTTATAGGTAGTTGGATACAGGAATGAAAAGGAACTCTGTTTTCTGGCTTAAGTGATTGATATAGATGGTATTGCCATTTGCTGATACAGGGAATAAATGGAAAAAAATTGCTTTTTTGAAAATTTCATTATAAAAATAATATAACCCATCACATAAAATTTAAAAATAAGGAAAGGAAAAAATTTATGCAACTACCATAAACCAACACTTTCGGAGGCCGAGGCAGGTGGATCACCTGAGGTCAAGAGTTCGAGACCAGTCTGGCCAACATGGTGAAACCCCATCTCTACTAAAAATACAAAAATTAGCTGGGTGTGGTGGCAGGCGCCTGTAATCCCAGCTACTCAGGAGGCTGAGGCAGGGGAATCGCTTGAACCGGGAGGCGGAGAGGTTGCAGTGAGCTGAGATCACGCCACTGTACTCCATCCTGGGTGACAGAGTGAGGATCCATCTCAAAAAAATAAAAATAAAATAAATCTTTCTGGCTGCTCCTCCTTGGGCTAGATAATTCTTATAGATAGCAAGGGTTCAGCTGGAAGATTTCTTTGATATACAAACTAACCAATTCAGAGCTATATTCCCTCTATCTGGCATGGACACCCCAAGAGACAACATTCCAGTGTCCTAATCACCCCATGGCCAGGTACCAGACAACTAGGGAGCACCCCTATACCTTATTCAAAGTAGCCAATCCTAAACTGTTCACTCAGCCCTGCATTGCCTTTCCCAAAGAAACTCAAGTAACGGCAGTGGCCTAAACCTTCCCCTCTTCTGTCTTCTGCCTCCTGCCCACCCTGGTGTCTTTCCCATGTAGTCCTATGTGGCATAATATGTCTCCTGTCTCTAGGACCTGTAAGCATAATAGACTTTGTTTTCCTGAGCCTCTCCTGTGTCTCCTCTTGTGGCTATACCTGACCCACCATCTAAAAAAAGAATAGAAAACATTATATAGTAGCTTTAACAGCCATATTTTTCTAAGAAGGAGGCTTCTCTAGAATGTTTGATTGAGAAGAATTAAAAATACCAGTTAACCTGATATCACTTTGTGAATCAGACAACACTTACTAAGTTACACATCCTTAGGCCTTTAGATTATCAAAACATAATCTAAATTGTTGGGCAAGTACCCAAGAACAACTCCAGAGTTGATGAAATCATGGACTAGAGAATGTTAAATACAGTCAGTTTTCAATATCCAGTTTATTATGTTATACTAGATTTTGGAGCTTTTTGCCTCCACACTACACAGCACAATTATAGGTATTCAGTCTCTCTGAAAATCTCCTTTCCCTTAGGGTCTCTCCAATAACCAATTCTTCCTCCACGGGTGAGAGTTAATTGGTGCTATTGCTCCTAGGGATAACTACATTTTCTTTTTTTTTTTTTTTTTGAGATGGTGTCTCACTCTGTCACCCAGGCTGGAGTGCAGTGGCACAATTTCAGCTCACTGCAACCTCCACCTCCCAGGTTCAAGCAATTATCCTGCCTCAGCCTCCCGAGTAGCTGGGATTACAGGTGCCCACCACCAGGGAAAACTACATTTTCAAGGGGCATTCGAGATGCCTTAAAACCAAGAAAACCCAAAAGAATTAATCTCATCTGATGATCACTCAGTCACCCTGTATTCACTTCATGGCTTACCCTGCTTTTAAAAAACCTCGACTGTTTCTGGTTTTAATCCTTAACTACCTCAAGAATCCAGAAGTCTTAGAAATATCTAAAAATTGTAGCATCTCTGAGCAAATGCACAGGCTCCAGTCAATGTAAAATTATTACCAGCTGCTTAAAAAAGGTCATTTGTCCACACCATAAGCAGAAACGGAGGAGACAAGACTATAAACTAGAACCAAGGCTGACAGCAACAGGAAGAAACAGTCCAGATCCAGGAGTGGGGAGTGGTCAAACCCAAGCAAACGGGCATGATTGAAAGGGAATCTGAAATCTAAGGTTAAGTCAGCCGCGGCGGGGTGTGGTGGCTCACGCCTATAATCCCAGCACTTTGAGAGGCCGAGGCGGGTGGATCACTTGAGGTCAGGAGTTTGAGACCAGCCTGGCCAACATGGTGAAACCCTGTCTCTACCAAAAATACAAAAATTAGCCGGGCATGGTGGCACGCACCTTTAATCCTAGCTACTGGGGAAGCTGAGGCACGAGAATCACTTGAACCCGGGAGGCGGAGGTTGCAGTGAGCTGAGATCACGCCACGACACTCCAGCCTGGGCAAGAGTGAGACTCTATCTCAAAAAAAAAATCTGCCTCAGACCAGAGGCCTAATAGATTCTTCCTATTCACAAACCAAAGATTGGTTTCCACTGTAATGCTCCCAGGGTCTGCAATGTAGCAATATGCCAAACCTGAAAGTTTCTGAAACTTCAGCCTTAACAAATAGCCTGCTGTCTTCTAGGAGGCTGCTTATCGAGTAAAGAGGAGCACCAGCTCACAATGTGGGGTGTGAGGGAACAAATCCACAGGTACAGCTTGCTGCAGGACAAAGGGCTCGCCTAAGAGCTTCTTAGCAGGGTCTGGAGGACAGCACAGCCTGTAGAAACAGAACATAGCATCAGTTCCCAGGAATAAAAGGAAGAACCCACAGGAATACAATTGCCTAAAATAGAGGCCCTTCCACTGTGTTCCCACAGGCCCCCTGTGTTTCTCTTATACAGCATTTATCTTATTTAATATAATCGTTTTTCTTCACCATCTTCCTTACTGAATTTTAATCTTTTTAAGGGTAGAAATGAAGTAAACACTGCTTAATATTCATCTCTGGGTTCCCAGTATGTGGCACAGAATAAGGGTTCAATACATATTTGGTAAATGGAGCTGAAGAGCCTGTATGTTTATAAGGCCTTAAGATACATAACCACCAAACTGTTCTAAAAAGGGTTGTACCAATTTATATCCCAACCAGCAAAGTAGAAGAGTATTTGTTTGCCTGGGTAATATTCAATACAGTCATGCATCACTTAACGATGGGGGTACATTCTGAAAATTGCATTGTTAGGCAATTTCTTCACTGTGTGAACATAATAGAGCATACTTACAAATATCTAGATGACAGAGCCTACTACACATCTAGGCTCTATGCTATAGCCTATTTCTCCTCAGCTACAAATCTGTACAGCATGTTACTGTACTGAATACTGTAGACAACTGTAACACAGTGGTAAGTATTTATATATCTAAACATTAAAAAGTACTGTAAAAATATAGTAGAAAAACTGGTCAACCTGGACAGCATAGTGAGACCCCATCTCTACAAAATTCTAATTTTAATTTTTAACTGATTTTAAAATTAGTTGGGTGTGGTAGTACATGCCTGTACTTCTAGCTACTCTGGGGGCTGAGGCCAGAGAATCACTTGAAACCAGGAGTTCAATACCAACCTGGGCAGCATAGCGAGACTCTGTCGTTACCAAAAAATAAAAAATAAATAAAATAAGGTCCGGGCATGGTGGCTCATGCCTGAAATCCCAGCACTTTGGGAGGCTGAGGTGAGAGGATTGCTTGAGCTCAGAAGTTCGAGACCAGCCGGGGCCACATGACAAAACCCTGTCTCTACAAAAAACACAAAAACTAGCCGGGCATGGTGGCTCGCACCTGTAGTGCCAGCTACTCAGGAGGCTGAGGCGGGAGGATGTCTTGAGCCCAGGAGATAAAGGTTGCAGTGAGCTGAGATCACACCACTATACTCTAGCCTGGGACAGGATCATCAATATCACTGTTTTGCACCTCCAAATCTTGTCCCACTAGAAGGTCTTCAGGGGCAATAACATACATGGAGCTGTCATCTCCTATGATAACAATGCCTTCTTCTGGAATACCTCCTGAAGGATCTGCCTGAGGCTGTTTTACAGTTAACTTTTAAAACATAAGTAGAAGGAGTATCTGCTAAAATAATACAAGTATAGTATAGAAAGTATATAAACCAGTAACACAGTCATTTTATTATCCAGTATTATGTACTATAGATAACTATATGTACTTAATTTTATAAGTGGTGATGCTGGTGTAAACAAACCTACTGACAGCACAGTAAGTTTGTTTACACCAGCATGACCACAAACATGTAAGTAACCCATGTGCTGAAATGTTACAACAGCTATGATGTCACTAGGCCATAGGAATTTTTCAGCTCCATTATAATTTTTTTTTCATTTATTATTATTATACTTTAAGTTTTAGGGTACATGTGCACAATGTGCAGGTTAGTTACATATGTATACATGTGCCATGCTGGTGCGCTGCCCCCACTAACTCATCATCTAGCATTAGGTATATCTCCCAATGCTATCCCTCCCCCCTCCCCCCAACCCACAACAGTCCCCAGAGTGTGATGGTCCCCTTCCTGTGTCCATGTGTTCTCATTGTTCAGTTCCCACCTATGAGTGAGAATATGCGGTGTTTGGTTTTTTGTTCTTGCGATAGTTTACTGAGAATGATGATAAATCATGCTGCTATAAAGACACATGCACACGTATGTTTATTGCGGCATTATTCACAATAGCAAAGACTTGGAACCAACCCAAATGTCCAACAATGATAGACTGGATTAAGAAAATGTGGCACATATACACCATGGAATACTACGCAGCCATAAAAAATGATGAGTTCATGTCCTTTGTAGGGACATGGATGAAATTGGAAATTTATTATTTTTTTTTTTTTGAGACGGAGTCTCACTCTATCACCCAGGCTGGAGTGCAGTGGCACAGTCTTGTCTCACTGCAACCTCCGCCTCCTGGATTCAAGCGATTTTCCTGCCTCAGTCTCCCAAATAGCTGGGATTACAGGCACACACCACCACCACACCCAGCTAATTTTTCTATTTTAGTAGAGACGGGCTTTTACCACGTTGGCCAGGCTGGTCTCAAACTCCTGACCTCAAGTGATCCGCCTACCTCAGCCTCCCGAAGTGCTGGGATTACAGGCGTGAGCCACCGCGCCCGGTCAGCTCCATTATAATCTTATGGCACCAACATCATATATTCAGTCCATTGTTGACTGAAATGTTATTATGCGACACAAGACTGTAGTTTAAATAGCATTATCCCATTATAATCAAATACATGACAAAAATATTCACTATCACATCTACAATGGAACATTTTCTTATGCAATATAATAAGCAAAAGGAAAAAATGAGTATTAGAAGGAGAGGGACAGAATTATTTTTACATGGTGATCATATGGTCAGCTACCACAACAATGTGAGAATCAACTAAAAAATGAATAAAACTAATAATAGAGTAAGGTAGCTGTATACCAGATTGGCAATAACTAATGAGAAAATGTCATGAAGGCTGGGTGCGGTGGCTCACACCTGTAATCCTAATACTTTGGGAGGCCAAGGCGGTTGGATCACCTGAGGTCAGGAGTTCAAGACCAGCCTGGCCAACATGGTGAAACCCTGTCTGTACTAAAAATACAAAAATTGGCTGGGCGTGGTGGTGCATACCTGTAATACCAGCTACTCAGGAGGCTGAGGCAGGAGAATCGCTTGAACCTGGGAGGTGGAGGCTGTAGTGAGCCGAGACCATGCCACTGCACTCCAGCAAGATGAGACTCCGTCTCAAAAAAAAAAAAAAAAAAAGAAAAGAAAATGTCATGAAAAGATCCCATTCATAATAAAAAGCTGGCCAGGCACAATGGCTCATGCCTATAAGCCCAACACTTTGGGAGGCTGAGGTGGGAGGATAGCTTGAGCCCCAGAGTTTAAGACCAGCTGGAATAACATAGTAAGACCCTGACTCTACAAAATTTTAAAAATTAGCCTGGTGTGGTGACTCACGCCTATAGTCCCAGCTACTTAGGAGGCTGAGGTGGAAGGATTGCTTGAGCCCAGGAGGTCAAGGCTGCAGGGAACTGTGATTGCACCACTGTACTCCAGCCTGGGCAACAGAGCAAGACTCCATCCCCCGCAAAAAAAAGCATCAAATAGAATAGTGCTTATAGTATGCTTCTACTTGTTTGATAAAAAAGGAGAGCTAGTATGTACACACGTACGTGTGCACACACATGCACTCATGCTTGTAGTGTCACAGAATATCTCTGGTAGTCCACACAAGAAACTGCTCAGAGTGGTGACATCTGAAAGACTAGGGGTCAGGAGTAAGAAACTCATTTTTACCCTATATTCTTTTGTATTATTTGAATTTTCTTTCTCTCTCTTTTTTTTACTGTTTTAGAGATGGGGTCTTACTCTATCACTAAGGCTGGAGTGCAGTGGCACAATCATAGCTCACTGCAGCCTTGAACTACTAGACTCAAGTGATCTTCCCAACTCACCCTCCTGAGTAGCTGGGATTATAAGCATGAGCCACTGTGTCTGGTTTATTTGAATTTTTTCTACCATATGCACATACTGACTTTTTTTTTTTAATTGAAACAGGATTTCCCTCTATTGCCCAGGCTGGAGTGAAGTTGAGTGATCACAGCTCACTGCATGCAGCCTTGACCCCACCAGGCTCAAGCGATCCGCCTATCTCAGCCTCCCAAGTACCTGGGACTATAGGCACATTACTACACCCAGCTAATTTTTGTATTTTTACTAGAGACAGGGTTTCACCATGTTGCCCAGGCTGTTCTCAAACTCCTGGGCTCAAGGAATCTGCCCGCCTCAGCCTCCCAAAGTGCTGGGATTACAGGTGTGAGCCACTGCACCCAGCCAAATTCTACACTTTAAGTGGGTGAAGTACGCGGGGAAAGTGATACATGCCCATAGTCCCAGCTACTAGGAGGTTGACACAGGAGGACTGCTTGATCCTAAGGGTTCAAGGCCAGCCTGAGCAACACAGCAAAACCTCATCTCTTTAGAAAAAAAAAAAGTTGAATTGTATGATATATGAGTTGTATCTCAATAAAGCTATTATTTTAAAAAAATACCTTAGAGATCTCTTATTATCAGAACATAGAGAACATCTGCATTTTTTATAGCAGTGTAGTGTTTCATTGAATGGATGTGGCATAGTTGATTTAACCAGTTCCCCACTAATGGACTTTGGGAGTATTTCAACTTTTCCTGTTAAATATTGCAATGAGTAACTTTGTAGATATGTCATTTTATGTGTGTGAGAGTATCTACAGGATAAAACCTCAGGAATGGAATTACCATGTGAAAGGGTATATATACATTTGTAATTTTAATCTATATTACTAAGTTTCCATCCATAGGGATAGCACCAACTTACACAGGGTTAGTACTCAATTTACACAACTCATTTTTTAGAATTATTTTCCCATATTATTACCAATAATGCATTATCAAGCTTTTGTACTTTTGTCAATCTGAGGTATAAAAAGAAGTACCTCAGGGTACTTCTAATTTGCATTTCTATCATTATGAGAGAGACAGCGTCCTCTCATATTTTGTAAATACCTTTATAATATTGCCTTTTCATATCCTCGGTTCATTTTTCTATTGGCTGCTGGAGTACAGTGGTGCAGTCTCAGCTTACCAATTTCTAGGAGTTTCTTAGATTAAGGAAAAAAGTCTTTGTGATGTGAACTGCAAATTATTTTCCAGTTTGTATGCTGTCTCCTGTCTTTGCTTACAGTGCTTTTCATCATGCATAAATTAATGATTTTTTTAATAGTCTTATTGAGATAATTTGCATACCATGCCGGGCACAGTGGCTCAGCCTGTAATCCCAACACTATGGGAGGCCAAGGTGGGCAGATCATCTGACGTCAGGAGTTTGAGACCAGCCTGGCCAACATGGTGAAACCCTGTCTCTACTAAAAACACAAAAATTAGCCAGGCGTGGTGGCAGGTGCCTGTAATCCCAGCTACATGGGAGGCTGAGGTAGGAGAATTGCTTGAACCAGGGAGGTGGAGGTTGCAGTGAGCCAAGATCATGCCACTGCACTCCAACCTGGGTGACGGAGTGAGATTCAGTCTCAAAAAAACAAAACAAAACAAAAAAACAATTCACACACCATACAGCTCACCCATTCATACAGTTCACTGGTTTTTAGTATATTCACAGAGTTATGCATCTATCACTACAATCAATTTCAGAACATTTCATTAGCTGAAGAAGATACCAAACACCCGTTAGCAATCAAGCCCCATTTAATCTCCAAAGCCCCACCCCCAGACCAAGGCAACAACCTATCTACTTTCTTTGTCTACAGATTTGCCTGTTCTAGATAGTTCCTATAAATGGAATGATATAATATGTGGTCTTTTGTGTCTGGCTTCTGAATACCAGTCCCTTATGAATGATTTGCAAATAGTTTCTCCTATTCTGTGGCTTGTCTTTCACCTTTCTCAATGGTATTTGTAGCACAAAACATCTTTTTAAATTTTGATTTTTTTTTTTTTGAGACAGGGTCTCACTCTGTCACCCAGGCTGGAGTACAGTGGCGTGATTTCAGTTTACTGCAGCCTTGACCTCCTGGATTCAAGCGATTCTCATGCCAAGTAGCTGGGATTACAGGCATGTGCCACTACGCCCAGCTAATTTTCGTGGTTTTTTTTTTTTTTTTTTTTTGAGACGGAGTTTCACTCTTGTTGTCCAGGCTGGAGTGCAATGGCGCAGTCTCAGCTCACTGCAACCTCCACCTCCTGGGTTCAAGCAGTTCTCCTGCCTCAGCCTCCCGAGCAGCTGGGATTACTCAGGTGATCTGCCCACCACCTCTTCCCAAAGTGCTGGGATTACAGGCCTGGGCCACTGTGCCCAGAAATATTTTCTTTTAATTTTAAAAAATTTCTTCCTATCGGGCCGGGTACGGTGGCTCATGCCTATAATCCCAGCACTTTGGGAGGCCAAGGTGGGCGGGTCACGAGGTCAAAAGTTCAAGACCAGCCTGGCCAACATGGTGAAACCCTGTCTCTACTAAGAATACAAAAATTAGCCAGGCATGTGGCACGTGCCTGTAATTCCAGCTACTCGGGAGGCTGAGGTAGGAGAATTGCTTGAACTCGGGAGGCGGAGGTTGCAGTGAGCCATGATCACACCACTGCACTCCAGCTTGGGCGACAGAGCAAGACTCCGTCTCAGGAAAAAAAAAATTTCTTCCTATCTGTAGTTATGCTCTCTTTCTCATTTAAGACTATATTTTTGTGTTTTGCCCCTTAATATTGTTGATTAGGCTTATTTATTTAATTTTTTTCTTCCAATAACACCTTCTCGCTTTCTCATCAAATCTACAGGTTTTTTTGTTTTGTAAGTCATTAATTTATGGATTTTTAAAATCATTATTGAGTTCTTCCTTCAGTTTCCTTTGGGTTTATTGTTCTTTTTCTAGCTCATGACTTGAAAGCTCAAATCACTTCGTTTTTTATACATTGACATATAATGATTACATAATTTTTAATTCTCATTTGTTTCATTCAAATATATAATCTGTACTTTATACCTGTCTGTTGTTTCAATGCTACAAATAAATTATATTGCTTATAGTAAAAAGTGAGAGAGAAAAAGATTACAAAATATAAAGATTTCAAAAATCAAAATAGCTGACCAGGGTCAGAACTAGAGTGAAGTGAAAGGCACTTGCATTGGGTGCAAAATTTAATAGGGTGCCAAAAAACTCAGTAATTGAATGTTTTGATGCAATATTTTAGAATATCAAATTGGAAAACTGCAGCCTACAGGCTAGCCACTTGCTTTTATAAGGTTTTATTGGAACCAAAGCCAGAATTCAGGTAAGGCTCACTGAGGCGGGGTTCAACAAGCACAAGGGCAGATCCCACCTTTCCCACCTTTTTAAAAAAATGTAATATTTTGTTCATCATGAATTATTTTGGATTAATTTTGATATTTGAAAATATTGGGCCAGACATGGTGGCTCATGCCTGTAATCTCAGCACTTTGGGAGGCCAAGGCAGGAGGATCACTTGAGCACAGGAGCTCAAGACCAGCCTGGGCAACATAGTGAGACTTCGTCTCTATAAAAAAATCAAAAAAATTAGCCAGGCACTTTGGTAGGCCGATGCAGGAGGATCACCTGCACCCAGGAGTTTGAGACAAGCCTGGGCAACATAGTGAGACCTTGTCTCTACAAAAAAAATTAAAAATTAGCCAGGTGTGGTGGTGTGCACCTGTAGTCTCAGCTACTTGGGAGGCTGAGGCAGGAGGATCTCATGAGCCCCAGGAGGTCAAGACTTCAGTGAGCCGTGATTGTGCCACTGTGCTCAACCTGGGTGACAGAGTGAGACTCTGTCTCAAAAGAAAAGAAAATATTGCACTAAAAATTTAGCCATTAAAAAAAGCTGTAGTGGAATAGAAACAAACAAAAAATATCTTGATTGCTGAGATTTTTAACACTTTTTTTTTTTTTTTTCTGAGACGGAGTCTCTCTCTGTCGCCCAGGCTGGAGTGCAATGGCGCGATCTTGGCTCTTGGCTCACTGCAACCTCTGCCTCCCGGGTTCAAGCGATTCTCCTGTCTCAACCACCCGAGTAGCTGGGATTACAGGCGCACGCCACCATGCCCAGCTAATCTTCTATATTTTTTTAGTAGACATGGGGTTTCACTGTGTTCCCCAGGGTGGTCTTGAACTCCTGAGCTCAGGCAATCCACCCACCTCGGCCTCCCAAAGTGCTAGGATTACTGGCGTGAGCCACCGCACCCGGCTGACACATTCTTAAATTTTGCACCCAAACTAAGTACCTGACTTGCCTCATCCCTGACCCAGCCCTGTAATTGAGTCTTAAAGGTGGTATTTTTTTTGTTTCAGTTTCTTTACACTTCTAATGACTTGAAAGCTCAAATCACTTTCCAATTGTGTGTACAATAAGCATGAATGGCTTTGATAATCAGAACAAAAAATTTTAAACAGAAGTCAAGACTTACTCAATGACATTCCTAGTGGATTCACCATGGAGCTTGCAGGAAACAAAAACTAGCGTGTGGATGGCCCTGAAGTTTCGAATGGCTTGAATCACCTTGTAATCTGAAGGAAGAAACACCTTGCTATTAGTATAATTAACTACCATGGTCTCTGTTATCACAAACTTCCAACTGACCAGAACTCAGGATTGATTAGAAATAGAGGGGAAACAGGTTCAGAGCCAGCCCACTGGGAGCACCCGTAGCATGGTGTGGAAAAGAAGAACCAAAGTTGATGGACAATACTGGGAACATCAAAATAGCTGTTCATCCTTACGCAGTCCGGCACGGGCTGGGTTCACCACAGCAACAATTGACTGTCCATCTTCCTTTGACTTTAGCAGCCCTGGCAAAATCTTCTCTGCTTGACCAGTATGAAATTCAGAGTTGGTGATGCCTATGGAAGACAGGCCCACAGGACATAACTCAAGCCCAGCAGTAAGGGAAAGCTTCAGCTTCACAGAAACGCACAGGAGCCAAGGGCTCTGCCATCTTCCCTTTGGATCTAGCATCACTCCAAGTAACAAGGAAAGAAGTGCTTTTGGACAGACCCACTTCATTTTTTCCAAAGTACTTTCCCTTGGAATATCTCAGTAAGCCTTTCAGCTTGAGCAACTAGTGTTTACACCTTTTTTTTTTTCTTTTGCGACAGAGTCTCACTCTGTCACCCAGACCAGAATGCAGTGGTGCGATCTCGGCACACTGCAACCTCCACCTCCCGGGTTCAAGCAATTCTCTGCCTCAGCCTCCCGAGTAGCTTGGATTACAGGCGCCTGCCACCACGACCGGCTAATTTTGTATTTTTAGTAGAGATGGGGTTTTACCATCTTGGCCAGGCTGGTCTTGAACTCCTGACCTCGTGATCCACCCACCTCAGCCTCCCAAAGTGCTGGAATTACAGGCATGAGCCACCATGCCCGGCTATTTTACAACTTCACAACTCACATAGCATGCAAGGACCTATACCAAGATGAGAACCTTGACTTTTGCTCAAGTGCTCTTCCTGCTATATCAGACATTTTCACCAAATGCCTCAGGAGCTTTCTGTAGGTGAAGCAGTGAGGGCAAGATGATCTATTTTCTATATTGCAGTTTGACAGAAGACTGTGTTTGAAGAAAAGGTTTTGTTGCTGAAAATATAGGTTTGACACCTATTGTATTATGCTATAAGGCCTCGTGAGTCTAATGCCAAGGAGATTCTTCTTCTATTCTGTCCAAAGTTTTGCAACTTTGTTTCCTATCAGCTAGACATGTATCTTCCCTTAGGTTCCTCTTCTGGATAGGAAAAAAGTTAGATATTGGTACCTATTCCAGAAAACCATGAGGATCTATTTCAGAAAACCATTCTGACCCCTCCAGAATTCCCTCCCTTCCTCCCTGTGGGTCAGGGATACAGTAGTTGCCTTTTCCCACACAACTCTTTCCATAGCACAGAAACAACTGCATCCCTTAATTTCTACACAGACTGTAAGCTGTGTACCATTGAAGGCTGCAGTCCATCTTGCATCCTCCACTGCCTGCTCCAACAATTCAATCCCAAGGACCCGAGATGTATGCTGAGCCAGAGAGAGGCCAATCACACCTGAAGAAGTAAACGAGAAGAAGAAGAAGGCATTTTAGGGTTTAGGTGTGGTAGTTTGTTTGTTTTTTGTTTAGTTTAGTTTAGTTTGTTTGTTTGTTTTAAACAGGGTCTCACTCTGTAGCCTAGGCTGGAGTGCAATGGCACAATCACAGTTCACTGCAGCCTCGACCTCCCGGGCTAAAGCAATCCTCCTCTCTCAGCCCCCTGAGTAGCTAAGACTACAGGTTCACGCCACTATGCCCAGCTAATTTTTAAATTTTTTGTAGAGACAGGGTCTCACTATGTTGCCCAGGCTAGTCTCCAACTCCTGGGCTCAACCAATCCTCCTGCCTTGCTTCACAAAGTGTTGGGATAACAGGCATAAGCAACCACACTTGGCTGCAGTTGTAGGGTTTTAGACCGACAAGGTTATACCTGCACCACTACCACTACCTCTCCCCGACCACCTCCGCAAGCTACAAGGGCCTTGGGAGCTGAGCAGCATGCAGATTCTGCCCTGGGCTTCCACTTGCCAGTTCCACAGCAGATGTCAAGAAGGATGGTGTCAGAGTTCACTCCAGTCAGCTCCCCCACAGTCCGATACAGCATCTCTGCACCAGCTGTGTTAATCTGGAAAAAGGCATCTGGAGAGATGCGGATCTTCAAGCTCAGAAGTTCTTCAAAGATGTAGGGTTCCCCAAACAGAAGCTGATAGGGAGACTGCTGATGGCTGCAACGGGTCATGGTACTGGAAAGGAATAAAAGAAGAAAGCATCTTGAGCTGTGAGCGGTGGCTCACGCCTGTAATCCCAGCACTTTGGGAGGCCGAGGCGGGCAGATCACCTAAGGTCAGGAGTTCGAGACCAGCCTGGCCAACATGGTGAAATCTCATCTCTACTGAAAATACAAAAATTAGCCAGGTGTGGTGGCACATGCCTGTAATCCAAGCTACTCAGGAGGCTGAGGTAGGAGAGTCACTTGAACTCGGGAGGCAGAGGTTGCAGTGAGCCAAGATTGTGCTACTGCCCTCCAGCCTGGGTAACAGAGCGAGACTCGGTCTCAAAGAAAAAAAAAAAGCAAAACAAAAAAAAGCATCTTGAAATGGCAGACCATCACATCCCTAGTGGTTGGGTAGACAGGGAGGCCCCAGCATCTCAGCTAGGAGACACAGTCCTTGCCGTGGCCCTGAGAGCTCTGCAAGGGTTTCCCCCTCAGGGGATGAAAGTCCATGTGGACACTCTCACATCTACATTCTGGCCTGTGTTCCAAGACCCAGCTGGTGTACAAGGACCAGAACCATTTAGCCAATATCCTCCACCATCAATCAGCAACCCTGCATCAGCAATCCATAAACCAAGAGTCTGGCAAGCCATCAGCCTATTTGGCTGTCCCAGGTTTACCTTTCCTGGAAGTAAAGTGAGGTCAAGCCACAGGCTGCTCCAGGACCTCTGATGAAAAATTCCTTTACAATCTCCTTCTGAACATGGAGCTCCTCCTGCCCAGACCATAAAATTAGCAGTTAAGCAAAGACTCATCTCTGACAAATTTTCTCTCTAAGCTCTATAGTAATCAGCCCTGCAGTAGTCAGATGTGAAGACATTTCACAAATCTTATTATAAATAACACTTAACATAAAGCAGGCCAGACATGATAGTTCATGCCTATAATCCCAGCACTTTGAGAGGCTGAGGTAGGAGGACTGCTTGAGCCCAGGAGTGTAAGACAAGCCTAGGCAACATAGCAACATCCTGTCTCTACAAGAAATCAAAAAGTCCGGGAGCGGCGGTTCACACCTGTAATCCCAGCACTTTGGAAGGCCAAGACAGGCAGATCAGTTGAGGTCAGGAGTTCCAGACCAGCCTGGCCAACATGGTGAAACCCCATCTCTACTAAAAATACAAAAATTAGCCGGGCGTGCTGGCACGTGCCTGTAATCCCAGCTACTTGGGAGGCTGAGTCAGGAGAATTGCTTGAACCCGGGAGGCGGAGGTTGCAGTGAACTGAGATCATGCCATTGCACTCCAGCCTGGGTGAAGAAGCGAGACTCTGTCTCAAAAAAAAAAAAAAAAAATCAAAAAAATTAGCCAGGTGTGGTGACGTATGCCTGTAGTCCCAGTTACTTGAGAGGCTGAGGTGGGAAGATTGCTTGAGCCCAGCAGTTTGAGGCTACAGTGAGCTTTGATTGCACCACTGCACTCCAATCTGGGCAACAGAGTGAGACACTGTCTCAAAATATAAAAAATAAAATTCTTACATAACTACAGAAAGCCTAAGTATTAGCTTGATACCAGGATATATTGCAATAAACCATGTAGGAACAATAGGGTTAAAAACATCAGGCATCAAAGGACCTGGGTTCAAATCCTAGCTTTGCTATTTACTGATTCTTTAACCTTGGGTATTTCTATGCCTCCATTTCCTCAGGTGTAAAATGAGGGTGACAATATCTTTCCTCCTGCCTACTTTACAAGTTTGTTGAGATGATCACATAAGTATACGAATGTTTTAACACAGGTATGTTTGAAAGCACCAAGTGCATGACAAATGTAAAGTACTATTTGGGTTATGAAATTCTGACACTGCAGTCTCTATTGAATTGGCATTTGGATTTGGAAGAGCAACTACTACCATGGGCAAAGTTCTTGTGAAATTACTTGGGAGTTCTCACATGGTAATTAACTTGGCAGCCTAGCCACAGTCTCTGTGGTTTGATTATGCGAGCAGTATGGTTAAATAGTATCCTTGCCATCTTCTCCTCATCCCTAACCCCTCTCCCCAATTGACACAAATATTCTGTGGATGTACTGTTTCTGCTATATGCCCTGAAACTTCCAAAAAACCAATTACAGTTATAGTTAGTAGTAGTAAAAGTTAAGGTTGCTTAACATCTTGTGAGGCTCACCTGACTTAATTTCTGGGGATGGAAAGTGATGATAGCCATTGTGTGCCCTTGGCTATTGGTGCGGACTGTGAGCTCACGCCAGTATCCACCTTCATGAAATACAAGGCAGGGCTCCAATGGAGACTGTCGAAGGAATACTTCATAGTACTAGGAAGAGAACCGAATTATTACACAAGCAAAACTAGCAAGTTTCACAGCTGTTTACTCATGCTAGGTGATTGTTTGTGTTACATTGTGTCCCCCAAAAATTCCTATGTTGAAGCCTTAACCACCAGTACTCAAAATGTGTCTATACTTTGAGACAGGGCCTTTAAAGAGGTGATTTACTTAAAATGAGGCAGTTAAGGCAGGCCTTAATCCAATCTCACTGATGTCCTTTTTTTATTTTTTATTTTTCAGACGGAGTCTCACTCTGTCACCTAGGCTGGAGTGCAGTGGCATGATCTCGGCTCACTGCAACCTCCGCCACCCGGGTTCAAGCAATTCTCCTGCCTCAGCCTCCTGAGTAGCTGGGATCACAGATGCCCACCACCAAGCCTGGCTAATTTTTGTATTTTTAGTAGACACGAGGTTTCACCATGTTGGCCAGGCTGGTCACAAACTCCTGACTTCAGGTGATCCTCCTGCCTCGGCCTCCTAAAGTGCTGGGATTACAGCCGTGAGCCACCGCACCATGCCTGCTGTCCTTATAAGAGAAAATGTGGACACACAGAGACACCAAGGTTGGGTGCACAAAGAAAAAGACCATGTGTGGACACAGCAAGAAGGTGTCTATGCAAGCCGAGGAGGGAGGTCTCAGCAGAAACCAAATCAGTGGAGACTCTGATCTTAGACTTGCTAGCTTCCAGACAAGGAGGAAATAAACTTCTGTTAAGCCACTCAGTCTGCCGTATTTTGTAATGGCAGCCCTTGCAGACAAATACAGTGATATAAGAAACATGATTGACTGGGCACAGTGGCTCAAACCTGTAATCCTAGCACTTTGGGAGGCCAACGTGGGAGGATTGCTTATGTCCAGGAGTTCAAGACCACCTGGGCAACATGGCCTGTCTACAAAAAATAAAAAAAATTAGGCCGGGTGCAGTGGCTCAAGCCTATATTCCCAGCACTTTGGGAGGCCAAGGCGGGTGGATCACTTTGAGGTCAGGAGTTCGAGACCAGCTGGGCCAACATGGCAACCCCGTCTCTACTAAAAATACAAAATTTAGCCGGGCATCAGGGCAGGCACCTGTAATCTCAGCTACTTGGGAGGCTGAGGCAGGAGAATTGCTTGAACCCAGGAGGCGGGTTGCAGTGAGCCAAGATCGCACCACTGCACTCCAGCCTGGGCAACAGAGTGAGACTCTATCTCAAAAAAACAGCAACAACAACAACAAAATTAGCCAGGCATGGTGACACACGCCTGTAGCCCCAGCTACTCAAGAAGGTGGGGTGGGAGGATCGCCTGAGCCCAGGTGGTCAAGGCTGCAGTGAGCCGAGATCTTACCACTGCACTCCAACCTGGGCAACCTGTGTCTCGGAAAAAAAAAAAAGAATCATGATCCCTGCCCTGTAACTTTACAGAGGATGCTATCAATTATATCTTGAACTGTAAGCTCCATGGAGCTAGAGTTGTTTCCTTAGTCTGACATATGTGTTCAATAAATATTATTGAAAAATTTTATGAATGACTGAACAGGAAAGGTATTCTTATTTAGAACTTCAGTTTATTTATGGAAAATAATCTTCCCTTTCTGTGAATTCCTAATGTATTACTAAGCTGCTATGATTCCACTCTTACTTTTAATGTCCTGATATAAGCACATCATTTCTATATTTTTTCATATAACCTGGTACCAACTATATTATGGCTTAGTCAGATCCTCCATTTCCTCCTGGTATATACAAGTCAAATGCAATCCTGATTTAGTTGTTGTGATCTCAAAAATCCTTAAAGCCAATTGCTGCCATAACAGGAAACACCATCTGATTTACTAGGTCCTTTTGTTCTCATAATGCATGTGTTCTGGGTCCACTGGGTTCTCAAACAAACCACAAATTATGTAGTAAAGGGGGGAATTATACAAAAAAACAGTGCTACCTGAGAGGTAAGATCAATTAAGGTTGTACTTGATCACTTTTGCTATAATTTCATATAAGATGTCCTTGATTTTTACTCAACATAGTTTTCAAATTTTAAGGTTGGTGATTTAAAGAAAGCCTAGTTCCACTGGGCGTGATCCCTCCCACCTGTAATTCCAGCACTTTGAGAGGCCGAGGTGGGCAGATCATTTGAGGTCAGGGGTTCAAGACCAGCCTGACCAACATGGCAAAACCCCGTCTCTACTAAAAATACAAAATTTTGCCAGACATGGTGGCGGGCACCTGTAATCCCAGCTACTTGGGAGGCTGAGGCAGAAGAATCGCTTGAACCTGGAGGTTGTAGTGAGCTGAGATTGTGCCACTGCACTCCAGCCTAGGCGAGAGTGAGACTCCATCAAAAGAGAAAGAAAAGAAAGAAAGAAAGAAGAAGAAAGGGAGGGAGGGAAAGAAAGAGAGACAGAAAGAGAGAGAAGGACAGAAGGGAGGGAGGAAGGAAGGGAGGGAGGGAGGGAGGAAGGAAGGAAGGAAAGAAAGAAAAAAAGAGAGGAAGGAAGAAAGAAATTCTGACTAGTTCAACTGTTGTTTACTGGCTGGTTAGAAAGAAATGCTTTTTGGAAGCAAGATTCAAATATCATATAAAGCCTGGTGCAGTGTCTCTCGCCTATAATCCCAGTATTCTGGGAGGCCAAGGCAGGTAGGTGGATCACCTGAGGTCAGGAGTTTGAGACCAGCCCGGGCAACATGGTAAAACTCCATCTCTACTAAAAGTACAAAAATTAGCCAGGCGTGGTGGCACACACCTGTAATCTCAGCTACTTAGGAGGCTGAGCAGGAGAATCGCTGGAACGCAGGAGGCAGAAGTTGCAGTGAGCCGAGATCACACCACAGCACTCCAGCCTGGGTGACAGAGCAAAACTCCGTCTCAAAAAAAAAAAAAAAAAAGTCATATAGGTTCTGGAAGGATGGTAATTGAAAAACTGAGCTTGACCTAAAAGATAATGGGTAAATATGAAATGCAGCTTCTCCACTGTATGACCTAGGGTCTTGGTTTCTTCACTGTAAGATGGAAACTGAAACTCCTGTTCTTATATGGGAATGCTTAAGTAAGTATTAAGATTAAAGGGAACTTCTGGTTAAAATAACAGAATATTCCACCTAAAATAACAGAATATTCCACCTAAAAATCCTACTAAGTGAAAATCCTACTAAAATGAAACAAAGGAATTAAAAAGGCATAAGCTTATTTAGGTTCATTGTTTCCAACAATTCTCCCTTCTCTCTCCTGCACCATCATTGCCTTCGCTCAGTACTGGATCATTCCCATCAATATACTATCAGATTGCTTTTACTCTCCCATTTTAAGCAGAATAAAAAAGGAATCTTCTTGACCCTATATTCCCCAACTCTGCTCCTCTTTGTCGTAAAACTAATCACAAGAACTGAACCTATTCACTGCCTCCCATTCTTCTCCTTCTACTCACCCATCTGAATCAAGTCACCACTACTCCGCGAAAACAGTACACATTAAGGTCACCCCCAACCTCCTTGTTATGAAATCCAATGGTCCACTCTAAGTCCTCACTTCCTTGACCTATCGGCAAGCATTGGGCACAGGTGATAAGCCACTCCTTCTCTGTTTACTTTCTTCCTCTGGCTCCCAGGGAAACCTTACTCCAGTTTCTTTCTTTTTTTTTTTTTTGAGATGGAGTCTCACTCTGTCGCCAGGTTGGAGTGCAGTGGCGCGATCTCGGTTCACTGCAACCTCCGCCTCCCGGGTTCAAGCGATTCTAATGCCTCAGCCTTCTGAGTAGCTGGGACTACAGGCGCACGCCAACAAGCCCAGCTAATTTTTGCATTTTTTTTTTTTTTTTTAGTAGAGACAGGGTTTAACCATATTGGTCAGGCTGGTCTTGATCTCCTGACCTTGTGATCCGCCCACCTTGGCCTCCCAAAGTGCTGGGATTACAGGCGTGAGCCACGGACTCCTGTTTCTTACAACCTCACTGACCGTTCCTTCAGTCTCCTTTACTGGTTCTTCCTCTTCTTCCAAACCTCTTAAAATGAGAGTGCCCCAGGGATTGGTCCCTGTTCCTCTTCACTTTTCTATCTACTCTCACTCCCTTGGTGATCTCTTGCCAGCCTCATAATTTTAAATGACATCTACATGCTAACAACTCCTGGATTTCTCTCTCTTGAACCCCAGTCGAATATATCCAACTACTTAACATACCCATTCAGATGTTCAATAGGCACCTCAAATACAACATGACCAAAACTGAACTACTCATCTCCTCCAACCCAAATCTGCTCTACCAGTCTTTCCAGTCTCAGTTGACAGTAACTTCATCCTTCCACTTGCTCTACACAAAACACCTGGGGCTTTTTTTTTATATTAAGGTATAACTGACATATAAAATTTGCACCTGTTTTTATGTATACATTTTGATGAGCCTGGACATATACATATACTTGGGATACCAACCCCCACCAGCCAAGGGTACTAAACACATTCATTACCTCCAAAAAATGTCCTTGTTAGAGCCATTTTTTACTTCTTGCTCTTTTTTTTTTTTTTTTTTTTTTTGAGACGGAGTGTCGCTCTTGCCACCCAGGCTGGAGTGCAGTGGCGCGGTTTAGGCTCACAGCAACCTCCACCTCCTGGATTCAAGCGATTCCCCTGCCTCAGCCTCCCCAGTAGCTGGGATTACAGGTGCCCACCACCACATCCGGCTAATTTTTTTATTTTTAGTAGAGATGGGGTTTCACTATGTTGGCCAGGCTAGTCTCCAACTCCTGACCTCAGGTGATCTGCCCACCTCAGCCTCCCAAAGTGCTGGAATTACAGGCGTGAGCCACTGCGCCCAGCCACTTCTCTCTGTCTCTTATACCTCTCACTCAATCCATCAGGAAATCCTGTTGTTCTACCCTCAATGTATATCCATCTCCACTGTTACCACTGATCGATCTACATCATCTCTCACCTGGATTACTGCTGCACAGCTTCTCTCAATTTGTCTCCCTGCTTCTATCCAACCACGCCCCCACCAATAATCCATTCTCAACACAACAGCCAGATTGATCATTAAATCATATCATGACATTCCTCCCTCACCCCATCAAAACCTCTGATGGTTCCCCATTTCATTCAGAATGATGTGGTTTGGCTCTATGTCCCCACCCAAATCTTATCTCAAATTGTAATCCCCACATGTTGGGGGAGTGGCCTGGTGGGAGGTGATTGAGTTATGGGGGTGGACCTCCCCTTGCTGTTCTGGTGATGGAGTTCTCACAGGATATGGTTGTTTGTTAACTGTGTGGCACATTCCCCTTCTTCTCTCTCTCTCCTGCTTCACCATAGTAAAATGTGCTTGCTTCACCCTCCACCATGATAGTGTGTCCTGAGGCTTCCCAGGCATGTGGAACTGTGAGTCAATTAAACCTCTTTTCTTCATAAATTACCCAGTCTCAGGAAGTTCTTTATAGCAATGTGAGAACAGACTAATACACAGAATAAAAGCCAAAGTCACTACCATTAACTCTCACCTCATCTCCTACTATTCTTCCTCTTATTTGCCTGGGTCTACTGTCAATTCCTCCAAAAAGCCAGCCACACGCTCATCTTGGGGTCTTTGCAATAGCTCTTTCTTTTGCCTAAAATGTTTTTCCCTCAGACCTTTGCATGGCTAACACCTTCACTTCCTTTAAGTCCTTATTCCAGGGTTTCTCAACATCAGCACTACTGACATTTGGGGGCAGAAAATGCTTTATTGTAGGGGGCTGATCCATGCACTGTAGGATCTTTCATTTCATTTCATTCATTTCTGCTCAGAAAGAACAGAGCAAGATTCTTTCTCATAAATAAGTAATAATTAAAATTAAATTAAATTAAATTAAATTACAACCCATACTTCCTCCAGCCCCCACAACTTTTTATCCTCCTTACTCTATTTTTTCCCATGGCACTTATCACCTTTCAACATATCATATGATTTACTTATTTTTTAAAAAATCTGTCTCCCCCACAACTAAAATTTAAATTACACAAGGGAACTTATTTTCTTCATTACTGTATCCTAAGCATCTAGAATAGTGCCTTGAACTTATAGGGGTGCAAAAGTACTTGTTGAATAAATAAATGAAAGAACAAAGATAATGGGAGAGAAGACAACAGAAAAGCAAACTCAGTAAAATCTCAGAAGATGGACAGCAGAGTGAAGTGACAAGTGACTTAGCAAGGTGAAGGAAGCCACATCTGGAGTGACCACAGAGGGGGACCTGATAAGTCAAAAGGCTTATCTGCTCTACACAATCCTGGTAAGGCTCACACCTAAAGGTGCAAAATACTGCAGGAAGCTGAGATGGGGTAAGATGCATGACTAAACTCAGGGTTTGGCTAAAAAGTCTAGATGCAAAACTGGCAAATGTTGGCCAGGTGCAGTGGCTCACACTTGTAATCCCATCACTTTGGGAGGCTGAGGCGGGTAGATCATTTGAGGTCAGGAGTTTGAGACCAGCCTGGCCAACATGGTGAAACCCCGTCCCTACTAAAAATACAAAAGTTAGCTAGGCACAGTGGCACGTGCCTATAGTCCCAGCTACTTGGGAGGCTAAGGCATGAGAACTGCTTGAACCCAGGATGTGGAGGTTGCAGTGAGCCAAGATCACACCACTACACTCCATCCAGCCTGGGCGACAGAGTGAGACTTTGTCTCAAACAAACAAACAAACAAAAACTGGCAAATGTCTTCATCCTACCAAAAACTTCCATCTTCCTCTACCAGGAGACTGAAGATGTTTTTCTCAGGAGAAACTGAACCCATCAAAGTTCAGAACTTGGAGATACCGGACACATTGATGGTGGCAGAAAGATGGAAGCAGGAAAAGCCTATATAGATCTGCATTCTTTTTTTTTTTTTTCAGATGGAGTCTCGCTCTTTTACCCAGGCTGGAGTGCAGTGGCGCGAACTCGGCTCATTGCAACCTCCGCCTCCCGGGTTCAAGCGATTCTGCCTCAGCCTCCTGAGAATCTGGGACTATAGGTGCCTGCCACTGTGCCTGGCTAATTTTTGTAGTTTTAGTAGAGATAGGGTTTCACCATGTTGGTCAGGCTAGTCTCAAACTCCTGACCTTGTGATCCGCCCGCCTTGGGCTCCCAAAGTGCTGGGATTACAGGCGTGAGCCACCACACCAAGCATAAGTCTGCATTCTTAATGGTGTGAGATCTGGGCCCCTTTCTATACCTCATTCCAGAAGGCCAGCAGCCAGGCAGGAGATTTGGATATAATTTTTTATAGGAACTGAATAACCTCAGAGAAAATAACTCAAGAGACAGAGACATGGAAGACTTGTCTGCAATCACCAGCAGTAAATCCAAGAATCAGTAAACCCACTCAAGATGAACTATTAACTGGTCAAAGCCTCACTATTTTTTTTTTTTTGACACAGGGTCTTGCTCTATCGCCCAGTTTGGAGTGCAGTGGCATCATCTCAGCTCACTGCAGCCTCGAACTGCTGGGTTCAAGCAATCCCCCTGTCTCAGCCCTGCAAGGAGCTGGGACTACAGGTGAGTGCCACCACCCCCATCTAAATTTTTTTGTATTTTTAGTAAAGACAGGGTTTTGCCATGTTGTCCAGGCTGGTCTTGAACTCTTAAACTCAAGTGATCCACCCACCTCACACTCCCAAACTGCTAGGATTACAGGCATGAGCCACCACACCGGTCCTAAGGCCTCACTCTTAAATATGAACAGCCAGCCAAGTATTACCAGCTATTTGGTTAACACCTCCATTATAAAAGACAATGCCCAAAACAAATACACAGGAAAAAAATCCAGAAGAAAGCAGACACTTCAAACAGGAAAAAAAGCAAATAGAGGCTGGGCATGGTGGCTCACGCCTGTAATGCTAACACTTTGGGAGGCAAAGGTCGGCAGATCACCTGAGGTCAACAGTTCGAGACCAGTCTGGCCAACATGGCAAAACCCCATCTCTATTAAAAACACAAAAATTAGCTGGGCGTGGTGGCATGTGCCTGTAATCTCAGCTACTCGGGAGGCTGAGGCAGGAGAATTGCTTGAACTCGGGAGGCGGAGGTTGCAGTGAGCCAAGATTGCACCATTGCACTCTAGCCTGGGCAACAGGAGCAAAACTCTGTCGTAGGAAAAAAAAAAAAAAAGCAAATAGAAAGATAAGTTAATGTTACATTACTAAAAAAGAACAGAATGCTACATGAAAGGAGCAATTAGAGAACAAGAAAAACCTTTTGAAAATTAAAGACACAATGATAGAGACAAATTCAATAAAGCTGTTGGTATGTAGGTCAATAAAATTTCACAAAAAGAACAAAAAGGCAAAGAGATGAAAAACAGGAGAGAGAAATGAACGGAAGATAACAGAAGCAATCCATAAGGTCCCCAAATCTAATAGGAAGAATAGAGAGCACATAGAAAATGAGGGAGAGGGGACCGGGGGTGCCTATAATCCCAGCACTTTGGGAGGCCAAGGTGGGTAGATCATTTGAGGTCAGGAGTTCTAGACCACTCATGCCAACCTGGTGAAACCCCATCTCTGCTAAAAATACAAAAATTAGCCAAGCGTGGTGGCAGGTGCCTGTAATCTGAGCTACTCGGGAGGCTGAGGCAGGAGAATCACTTCAACACAGGAGGCAGAGGTTGCAGTGAGCTGAGATCACGCCATTGCACTCCAGCCTGGGCAACAGAGTGAGACCCCTCTCAAAAAAAAATTCAGGAAGAGGGGCTGGGTGCGGTGGCTCACACCTGTAATCCCAGCACTTTGGGAGGCTGAGGTGGGCGAATCACGAGGTCAGGAGATCGAGACCATCCTGGCTAACACAGTGAAACCCCGTCTCTACTAAAAATACAAAAAATTAGCTAGGCGTGGTGGCATGTGCCTGTAATTCCAGCTATTCAGGAAGCTGAGGCAGGAGAATTGCTTGAACCCGGGAGGCAGAGGTAGCAGTGAGCCAAGTTCACGCCACTGCACTCCAGCCTGGGCAACAGAGCGAGACTCCATCTCAAAAAAATAAATAAATAAATAAAATAAAATATAAAAAAAATTAGCTGGGCGTGGTGGCTGGTGCCTGTAATCCCAGCTACTCGAGAGGCTGAGGCAGGAGAATCACTTGAACCTGGAAGGTGGAGGTTGCAGTGAGCCAAGATCGCACCATTACACTCCAGCCTGGGCAAAAAGACTGAAACTCCGTCTCAAAAAAAAAAAAAAAAAAGACTAGAGACCAGCAAAAGAAGCCCCAGGATAACAGCCATGCAGAAGACAGGCTGGGCCTAGGATGGCAGACTCCAGGAAAAAGGTCTTCAGGGAAAAACTTCAACTGAAGCTTTTGAGATATGGAAAATATTGATGAATATCTGACAGATCTTATAAAGCATTTGGGAAGAAATTGGCGGCCAGGCACGGTGGCTCACACCTGTAATCCCAACACTTTGGGAGGCCAAGGTGGACGAATCACCTGAGGTCAGGAGTTCAAGACCAGCCTGGCCAACATGGTGAAACCCCATCTCTACTAAAATTACAAAAATTAGCTGGGAGTGGTGGCGGGCCCCTATAATCCCAGCTACTTGGGAGGCTGAGGCAGGAGAATTGCTTGAACCCAGGAGGTGGAGATTGCAGTGAGCCAAGACTGCGCCATTGTAATCCAGCCTGGGCGACAAGAGCAAAACTCCAAGTCAAAAAAAAAAAAAAGAAAGAAAAGAAATTAGCAATTGGTTTACAGAAAATGAAGGAGGCTGGGTGCGGTGGCTCACACCTGTAATCCCAGCACTTTGGGAGGGCGAGGCGGGCGGATCACCTGAGGTCAGAAGTTCGAGACCAGCCTGGCTAACATGGTGAAACCTCGTCTCTACTAAAAATACAAAAATGGGCCAGGCGTGGTGGTGTGTGCCTGTAATCCCAGCTACCCAGGAGGCTGAGGCAGGAGAATTGCTGGAACCTGGTGGGTGGAGGCTGCAGTGATCCAAGATCTCGCCACTGCACTACAGCCCGGGCGACAGAGCGAGACTCCATACACAAAAAAATAAAGAAAGAAAGAAAGAGAAGAAAGAAAACAAAGCAAATGGAAAAATGAGGTAATTATTCATGCCAATAAAAACAAAAAGATGCAAAATACATTATACTATTAATATGTAGGACTATGCAACTATAAAAAAGTCAAGTATATTATTCTGTGAAAAAAAATCAAGATGCAGAACAATGTATACAGTAGGCTGCCTTTTAACTATGAAAGCGGGGAAGACACAAATATCTATTAACATTTCCTTTTTTTTTTTTTTTTGAGACAGAGTTTCACTCTTGTTGCCCAGGCTGGAGTACAGTGGCATGATCTTGGCTCACCGCAACCTCCGCCTCCTGGGTTCAAGGGATTCTCCTGCCTCAACCTCCCAAGTAGCTGGGATTACAGGCATGCACCACCACATCCAGCTAATTTTGTATTTTTAGTAGAGACAGGGTTTCTCCATGTTGGTCAGGCTGGTCTTGAACTCCTGACCTCAGGTGATCTGCCCGCCTCGGCCTCCCAAAGTGCTGAGATTACAGGCGTGAGCCACCGTGCCTGGCCTACATTTTTTTTTTTTTTGAGACATGGTCTCGCTCTGTCACCCAGGATGGAGTGCAATGGTGCGATCTCAGTTCACTGCAACCTCTGCCTCCCAGGTTCTAGCGATTCTCATACCTCAGCCTCCTGAGTAGCCAGGACTATAGGCGTGCGCCACTACGCTCGGCTAATTTTTGTACTTTTAGTAGAGATGGGGTTTAGCCATGTTGGCCAGGCTGGTCTCGAACTCCTGACCTCAAGTGATCCACCCGCCTTAACCTCCCAAAGTGCTGGGATTACAGGCATGAGCCACCATGCCTGGCCTACATTTTCTGAAATCAGCAAAAATAAAAAAAAAAATTTTACCCATGGCAGGGAGGGAACTGGGTAGAGGGGTCAGAGGTGAAAGCTAGACCTCCCTGAATATACCTTTATTTTGTAGACTTGATTTTGGAACCTAGTAAATATTTTTTTAAAGTATAAAACAAAATTTAAATTTTAAAAAATCTGTAAAATTTGAAAGCAAAATGGAAAAAAAAAGAACCTGTGTATCAAGTATCCAGTTAGTGGCTTAACTACAGAGTGGAATTATTTCAAGGGACACAGTAATTTGACATAAAGAACTAGAAAAAGACCAGGCGCAGTGGCTCACACCTGTAATCCCAGCACTTTGGGAGGCCGAGGTGGGTGGATCACTTGAGGTCAGGAGTTCAAGACCAGACTGGCCAACATGGTGAAAACCCATCTCTACTAAAAATTCAAAAAGTAGCTGGGTGTGGTGGCATGGGCCTGTAGTCCCAGCTACTTGGGAGGCTGAGGCATGAGAATTGCTCAAACCCAGGAGATGGAGGTTGCAGTGAGCTGAGATCATGCCTCTGCACTCCAGCCTGGGCGACAGAATGAGACTGTCTCAAAAAATAAAAAATAAAAAATAAGTGTCTCAGAGGTCAGGCACGGTAGCTCATGCCTATAATCCCAGCATACTCTGGGATACAGAAGGTGGCAGAATTGCTTGAGGCCAGGAATTCGAGACCAGCCTGCACAACATGGCAAGACCTCATCCAAGAAAGAAAGAAAAGAAAGAAAGAAAAAAACGTATCAGAGGCCAAGCTCATGATGTACTATCTTATCACCACTTCACCTCATATTCCTCAATTCTGTTCTGCTGAAAACACTAGCCTTCCAAATACTTCAGACACCTGACACTTGCTATAGTACCCTCATCAGCACTTCTTCCTAATACATCCCTACTATGAAAAAGTCCTTAGATGCCTGATACTTACAATAATGGACACAGTTCTCTCTTCCCCTCTCCACTCTTTCTGAAATGAAAACCTAGCAATGTTTTCTCCATAGTTAGAAGGTATGCTTTCAGTACAGAGCCCCTCCTTCCCTCTAGCACTAGAATTGGCTCTATTATCAAAATGTCAGGGATGTTGCTGTTGTAGACTACAATGCTCCAGGCCATTCTCAACCAGCTCTTGTTCCATTTTACCTGCGCCACTTGACTGTGTTTCTCAGGGATGTTTTTCAGATGATTAGACTGCACACAGACAACGTTCCCATCTATGGAAAGAAAAATAATTTGCATGGTTTTATTCTTAAAAGATTATTTAAAAGAAAATGCCTGGCAACTCAAATTTCTATCGTCAAAGTGGCATATGTAGATATGAAGAAGCAAATACAATCTCATGGCCACTTTTCAGAGAAAACCTAATTATTTCCTGGTCTAGCCATTAAGCAGCTAATTATTTATGAAGCTACTCAATATTTTCTCTCACGCCACAAATGCACTATATGACGTCTGTTTTCTGTTCAGATTTTAAGAGGGAAATAAAATGTAATGGGTTTTATTTTTCTATTACTGAATAATAGAACACTGACGTCACAGTCATTTAATTCAGCACACAGGAGGGAAAAAAGCCAAGTGCACGCCCTAACGAACTGTAGTTTAAGGCATATGGATATTAAACTGTGTGACTAATATCAAATGATGGTATTTCAAGTGGATTTATTGAAAATGGGCAAACAGAAAGCTCAGGAATGGGCCAAGCACAGTGGCTCATGCCTGTAATCCCAGCACTTGGGGAGGCTAAGGCGAGTGGATCACCTGAGGTCAGGAGTTCAAGACCAGCCTGGCCAACATAGCGAAACCCCGTCTCTACCAAAAATACAAAAATTAGCTGGGTGTGGTGGTGCACACCTGTAATCCCAGCTACTCAGAGGCTCAGACAGGAGAATCACTTGAACTCGGGAGGCGGAGGTTGCAGTGAGCCGAGATCACACCACTGCACTCCAGCCTGGGTGACAGTGCGAGACTCCATCTCAAAAAAAAAAAAAAAAAAAAAGCTCAGGAATGGAATCTGGGAAGGGATAACTGAAAGTAAGTTTCAGAAATATGCCACTGTGATTCCCCTCACCGATACACACCTCCCCTACCAATTCTTTTAAGGTAGATTTACCACAGAAATAATTTTCAGAGATATGGGGATGTGAAATAGGAAGACAACTCTAACAAGGAGATTGCTCCCACTGCAGAAAGCAGCATAAAATGATGATGACAACAATGATGATGAGACAGCAGCAGCAACAACGCCAGCATTTACTAAGTGTTTACTAGGTATCAGGCATATATGGCTTTTAGAGGAAGAAAGGGCGAGGGTTGCATTTTCTATCACTGTGTTACAATGACTACCCATTAGCAGTATCCGTAATCAACCTTGTGATCACGTTCTGCATCAAAGACTTCCAATTTAATCTTCTTCTTTAAGGCCACCGTATTTTCCACTTCTACTGACACTTCTCTGCACCCTTTCATTCCTCTTCAGTCTTTGGTTTATACAACCTTCAACTGACCTCTCCAAGTTCCCAGGTAGAACCCCACAGTCTTTGGATTGCCATCTGGACCTCGGTTCACAGAGAAGGTGGACTTATTTCGGTAACCATTGATGACAGGCTGGAGAGGGCAGAAGGACAGGAGGGGGATGAGAGGTCAAATGAAACCAAGGAAGATAACAATAAAGGGAAAGCAGGAATGTTCTCTGGATGAGGACAAATAAGGTTTGCTTGGAGGGTATGGCATATGTGAAAGTCTGTGGCTAAGAAGATCAAGACAGTCCATAGAAGGGGAGTTCCAATCTTGCCATAAAGCAGGAGTCAACAAACTACTTATGTCAAGAGCCAAAGAGTAAATAATTTAGGGCTTTGCAGGCCATATGGTCCCTGTTGCAACTACTCAACTCTGCCATCATAGTGCAAAAGCAGCCATAGACAATACATAAACAAGTGAGCTTGGCTGTGTTCCAATAAAACTTTATTTACAAAATCAGGCAGCAAGACAGAATTGGCCTAAAAGCTGTAGTCTGCTAACCCCTGCCATAAATTAAATTCCACTCTTCTGAGGCCACATTAGAAAGGTTTCCAATGTTACATGGGCAAATTGTGTGGGGATGGCAGGGAGAAAGGTTTCCAAAGTTTGGAACCTTTCTAAGGAGGTAATAGTGGAGTGGTTGATACAATGGAGTCTCTATCAGATAGACCTGAGCGTGAATCTCAGCTCTGGCCCTTTCTAGATGTGTGTCCTGGGCAAATTACTAAATCTCTCTGGGCCTCAAGGTCTTCATCTATAAAATGATAGTATCTACCCCTCCAGGTTATTATAAACAGTAAAATGTGACAATGATGCATGATAATAATTTAGCATAGGGCCTGGTCCCTAGCAAGTACCCAGTAAATATCAGCTGATGTTATTAGCATTAAGGGGCCTTAATAGATAAGGAATAGGGAGGTGGGGGCTTACAGAGGGTATAATAGGATGGAGAAGACAAGAGAGCCTCTCAGATTTGGGTACAGCCGTTGTCACACTGACTCCATTGAGCATTTGGATGTAAGACTCTAGTCTTTGTAAAATTTTCTTCTGAGCTGCAAATTTCACCTGCAAAAGAATATAAGCTATGAAACGAAATACTGGCTGGGCACGGTGGCTCACGCCTGTAATCCCAGCACTTTGGGAGGCCGAGGTGCGTGGATCACCTGAGGTTAGGAGTTCGAGACCAGCCTGACCAACATGAAGAAATCCTGTCTCTATTGAAAATACAAAAATTAGAGGGGCGTGGTTGTGCATGCCTGTAATCCCAGCTACTCGGGAGGCTGAGGCAGGAGATTCGCTTGAACCCAGGAGGTGGAGGTTGTGGTGAGCCGAGATCACACCATTGCACTACTCCAGCCTGGCCAACAAGAGCGAAACTCCGTCTCAAAAAAAAAAAAAAAAAAAAAAAGAAATGAAATACTTTTGTAGCTTCACCGCAAAGAATGGTAAACAAACAGGACAAAAGAAGAGTGTCCCACAGATTCTTGGCTCATGGTCTCAACAGATGAGGAACCCAGAATGAAGGAACAAAAACAGACCTAAAAAGGTAATGAGGAAAGGTCAAGAATGAGCTCTTGTGCAAGCTCATCATTTTATCTGACCTTTCAGACTGAACACTCAAGGTATATGTCAGTTCTGCCCAGCAGAGCTTTCCACAATGGAAATGTTCTGTTTGCCCTGTGTTCTACGTATACAGTGGCCACTAGCTATATGTGGTTACTGAGCACTTGAAATGTGGTCAGTGGGAATGAAGAACTAAATACTTTTTTAATTTTTTTTAGAGAGAGGGTCTCACTCTCGTCACCCAATCTGGAGTGCAGTAGTAAGATCTTGGCTCACTGCAGCCTTGATTTCCCAAGCTCAGGTGATCCTTCCACTTCAGCCTCCCAAGTAGCTGGGACTACAAGCACACGCCACCAAACCTGGCTTATTTTTTGTATTTTTAGTAGAGATGGGGTTTCGTTATGTTGCCCAGGCTGGTCTCAAACTCCTGGGCTTAAGCGATCCACCTGCCTCAGCCTCCCAAAGTGCTAGGATTACAGGGGTGAGCCACCATGCCTGGCCTAAACTTTTTGTTTTTTTATTTTTTTGTTTTTTTTTGAGACGGAGTCTCACTCTGTCACCCAGGCTGGAGTGCAGTGGCGAGATCTCTGCTCACCTGCAACCTCCGCCTCCTGGGTTCAAGCGATTCTCCTGCCTCAGCCCCCCGAGTAGCTGGGATTACAGGCGCATGCCACCACACCTGGCTAATTTTTTTGTATTTTTAGTAGAGATGGGGTTTCACCATGTTAGCCAGGATGGTCTCGGATCTCCTGACCTCATGATCTGCCCGCCTCAGCCTTCCAAAGTGCTGGGATTACAGGCGTGAGCCACCACGCCCGGCCCTAAATTTTTAATCTAAATTTTAATTAATTTACAGAGTCAGCCCTGCTATAACATGACGTAAGTGTTCCTATATCACACTAAGCAAAATCACTCACAAAAAGATCTCAAGGCTCATGGGAAAAACAGGATTAGGCATACAACATTCCAAAACTTTATCAATAACACCCACAGAAAAGATTAAGAACCTAATAAAAACAGCAGCACTGTTTTGTACATGGCAAGTGGTTAAGAAATATGAATAGTAAGCTAGGCACGGTGGCTCACGCCTACAATCCCAACATTTTGGGAGTCTGAAGCAGGCGGATCGCTTGCGTCCAGGAGTTCAAGACCAGCCTGGGCAACATGGCAAAACTCTGTCTCTACAACAAATACAAAAAAATTAGCCAGGCATAGTGGTACACGCCTATAGTCCCAACTACTAGGGAGGCTGAGGTGAGAGGATCCCTTGAGCCCTGGAGGCAGAGGTTGCAGTGAGCCATAATCACACCTCTGCATTCCAGCCAGGCAACAGAGTGAGACGCTATCTAAAAAAAAAAAAGAAAAGAAAAGAAACATGAATACTACGATAAGGATAACACTTTACCCTGACAATGACCTGAAGTTTACTTATGGAAGTGGGTATCAGAAGAACTGCAGCTTGGGCCGGGTGCAGTGACTCACACCTGTAATACCAGCACTTGGGGAGGCCAAGGCAGACAGATCACCTGAGGTCGGGAGTTCAAGACCAGCCTGGCCAACATGGTGAAACCCTGTCTCTACTAAAAATATAAAAATTAGCCTGGCATGGTGGCATGTACCTGTAGTCCCAGCTACTGGGGAGGCTGAGGCAGGAGAATCACTTGAACCCGGGAGACAGAGGTTGCAGTGAGCTGAGATCACACCACTGCACTCCAGCCTGGGCAACAGAGCCAGACTCTATTTAAAAAAAAAAAAAAAAAGAATTGCAGCTTGGAGTTATCATGAAGTCATAAAAAGAGGGCTATGTGAGTCAGATGGAAAGTTCTAACACCAGATGTGGATGGGTATGGCTCATAACAAACACACTGGGGGAACTGAGGGAGCTGGTAGATGTTTGAGGTGCGTGCATGCATTCATTTTACATGTTCTTAAATAGCTCGGTTCAGCTGAGTATGGTCTCCTTTCATCTAGCGTTTCTTATGGACAAAATTACTTCTAAGTAAACATGAAATTTTCATTATGCTCAAATTTTCCCTAATATGTCAATTAGTTAGAACAAATTTCTCTTTTCTAAATAAGCAGTAGAGCTTATTTAGAATTAAGCAGTAGAATTGACTGTATTCAAATTTAAATTGCCACATATGGCTACTGGCTACCATGTTGGAAAGCACAGCTACATGTGAAACAGCAAGAGCACTGCTACTCACATACACAGAGCTATAAGTATAACAAAAACGCAAGGAAGAGAGGAAACAGACATTTGGATCTATGGGTCTAGAGTGAGGAAGATATAATTGGCCTAAAGTTCCAATTTTGGAGTCAATAGCATAATGAGTTTAAGAAGCTGCTTGGGATTCTGCGTAGAACTGTCCAGTCAAGGCCCGGCGCGGTGGCTCACACCTGTAATCCCAGCACTCTGGGAGGCCGAGGTGGGCAGATCACCTGAGGTCAGGAGTTCAAGAGCAGCCTGGCCAACATGGCCTATCTCTACTAAAAATAGAAAAATTAGCTGGGCATGGTGGCGCACGCTTGTAATCTCAGCCACTCAGAAGGCTGAGGCAGGAGAATTGCTTGAACCTGGGAGGTGGAGGTTGTAGTGAGCCGAGACTGCGCCACTGAACTGCAGCCTGGGCGACAGAGCGAGACTCCATCTCAAAAAAACTTAAAATTAAAAATAAATAAATAAATAACTGCCCAATCAAGCTTCCTACGAGTCCAGCACCATTCTCCTGGAAAGGAGGGGTAAAGACTTAGGCTGGGCACCTACCTTGAGCTGTTCTTCATAGCTCAACCTCCAGAGTGGTGTCACAACATCAGCCAGCCTTGAATAAAATAATTCAGGCAATTCTTTAATTATATAAATATGTACTGAGTGCCTACTATGCATAAGTACTTTCAGAAGACCTAACTCTCATGCTCTCTAGGGAGATGGAGTCTGGGAGAAGAGCCCATTTTGATGTTGTCTACTTAACAAAGCAGAACAGATGAGGCAAACCTAATATAAGAAAAATCCAGATTTATCAGGAGGTAATTAATCATATTACAAAAGGCTTCACTGTTGGGTTTCTTTAAATAGCTTACCTTCCTAATGCTTTTAAAATATAATTTGATGTAGAAAATACATTTGTTGCATAAATGAGGTATATTTGTGCTTATATGGCTGCAATGGGCCTACTCATCTCTAATCCATCTAATATCATTCTGGGTTCCTGGTTTTCAGCAAACCTGTCCTGGACTTATTAAAGACAAGGTCCCAGATTAGTATCTTCTTTCTGATAAAAACACACTCAAAGACAAAGAGAACGGTTTCTGCAACCCCAAAGCATTTCCACCAATATTCTTCAGACGTCCTCAAATTTGCCCTGGGTATCCTACCTCAGGTGGCCCCTCAAATCCTTGTAATGCTACATTAGTTACACTAGGAATACAGAATTTCAGCAGATGTACAGATTGAGACCTGCTAAGGAGAGAGGACATCAGCCTGGCCTTTACCTTTCCTGCCAGGAACCATCTAGTGGTCCAAGATGGCTTGGTTTCTTCTGACTTTTTTGTCCTTTCTGACATTTCGTGGCTATCACACGGGTGAAATCTCCCTTACATACTGTGCCCAGAAAGAGCTGTGACCATCCTGGTGGATTTCTGGCATACCAGGGAAGCAGTCCTGGTTTGGAGAAGAGACCCACCATGGAGATGAAGTATCTGAGGCTGTGCAGTGGGACTCTTCTCTTAAGGCCTGCCATCCAAAGAACACACTGAAATCCACCTGCATGAAAGGTACACATACAGAGGTTGGGAAATAGAAGCACAACTATCAAACCCATTCATCCACTTATAAACCCTTATGGAACTGAAGCGCCTAGCAGAATGCTGGCACACAGCAGACAGTAAAAGCAAGCCTGTTGAGCAGAACTGAATTACTGTATGCAAGGTATGTTTCGGTTCCCAAAATAAAGAGATGAGGAAAATATAGTCTCTGTCCTCCAGGAAAGAGTTCAAATCTCTGGATATATTTCTGTGACAAATCTCTTTCCCTATTCCACCTTCCTAACCAACAGCCAATCAAGCAGCTAATATTTAGTAAGTGCTTACTATGTGCAAGACATCATGCCACACTAGACACCAGAGGGGTTACAAAGGTTACAATCTAATTAAGGAGATTAAATGCTGACACAGGAAGACATTAGGAAATAACACAGTATGCTTGGTTCCTGATGAGTGCTCAGAAAAGGCTTCCCAGAGCAGGGAGGGATGGCGCTGAGTCTTTGTTTTTTAAGACAGTCTCATTCTGTCGCCCAGGCTGGGGTGCAGTGGCATGATCATGGCTCACTGCAGCCTTGACTTTCTAGGCTCAAGCAATCCTTCCACCTGAGCCATGCAAGTAGCTGAAACTACAGGTGTGCACTACCACACCATTCTTTTAATTTATAGTAGAGACAGCCAGGAGCAGTGGCTCACACCTGTAATCCTAGCAGTTAGGGAGGCCGAGGCAGGTGGATCACCTGAGGTCAGGAGTTCGAGACCAGCCTGGCCAACATGGCAAAACCCCATCTCCACTAAAAATACAAAATTAGCTGGGTGTGGTGGTGCATGCCTGTGATCCCAGCTACTTGGGAGGCTGAGGCAGGAGAACTGTTTGAACCTGGGAGGCAGAGGTTGCAGTCAGCCGAGATTGCGCCATTGCATTCCAGCGTGGGCAACAGAAGCAGAAACTCTGTCTCAAAAAAAAAAATAAATAAATAAGGTGGGGAGAGGTGGCTCACGCCTGTAATCCCAACACTTTGGGAGGTTGAGGCGGGCAGATCACGAGGTCAGGAGTTCAAGACCAGCCTGGCCAACATGGTGAAACCCCGTCTCTACTAAAAATACAAACATTAGCCGGGTATGGTGGCACACGTCTGTAGTCCCAGGTACTCAGGAGGCTGAGGCAGGAGAATCACTTGAACCTGGGAGGCAGAGGTTGCAGTGAGCCAAAATCGTGCCACTGCACTCCAGCCTGGGCGTCAGAGTGAAACTCCATCTCAAATAACAAACAAACATAGTAGAGACAAGGTCTTGCTATCTTGCCTAGACTGGCCTCAAACTCCTGGGCTTAAGTGATCCTCCCACCTAGGCCTCCCAAAGTGCTGGGATTACAGGTGTGAGCTGCCACGCCCAGCCAGAAACTGAGTCTTAAAGGATGGCAGAGAGATGAATTAGATGTTTGAAGGACAGCAGGGAGACCAGTCTGACTAAAACAGTAGTTCACCTTAAGGAATAGAGGCAACAGGCTGAAAAGTTAAGTGAAAGTGAGATTTAAAAGAATGTTCATGCCTGAATAAAACATGGACTTTATTGTGAAGGTAACAGTGAGATGATGGAGGCTTTATGTAGAGAATTAAAAATGAAATAAGGAGGCTGATAAAAAGCAAGTTCGGCTGGGTGCAGTAGCTCACGCCTGTAATCCCAACGCTTTGGGAGGCCAGAGCGGGCAGATCACAAGGTCAGGAGTTCGAGACCAGACTGGCCAATATGGTGAAACCCCGTCTCTACTAAAAATACAATAATTAGCCAGGCGTGGCGGCAGGCACCTATAGTCCCAGCTACTCGGGAGGCTGAAGCAGGAGAGTCGCTTGAACCCGGGAGGCAGAGGTTGCAGTGAGCCAAGATTGTGCCACTGCACTCCAGACTGAGTGACAGAGCGAGACTCCGTCTCAAAAAGAGAAAAAAAAAAAAAAAAAAAGCAAGTTCATGTTTGAGACATATTGTGTTTAGAATGGTAGGGAAATATCCAAATGGAAATGTGTAGCACGTAAGTAGAGAAGCAGTAGGATAAGTCGAGAGAGATGGCAGGGATACAGATTTCATTGAGTGTCTATAAGAAATACAAGCTGTAAGATGAAAAAGGGCTTTGAGGCCAAGCACGGTGGCTCATGCCTGTAATCCCAACACTTTGGGAGGCCAGGGCGGGCAGATCACAAGGTCAGGAGTTCCAGACCAGCCTGGCCAACATAGTGAAACCCTGTCTCTACTAAAAATACAAAAATTAGGACCGGGCGCAGTGGCTCATGCCTGTAATCCCAACACTTTGGGAGGCCAAGGCAGGTGGATCACGAGGTCAGGAGTTCGAGACCAGAAACCCCGTCTCTACGAAAAATACAAAAATTAGCTGGGCGTGGTGGCATGCACCTGTAGTCCCAGCTACTCGGTAGGCTGAGGTAGGAGAATTGCTTGAACCCAGGAGGCGGAGGTTGCAGTGAGCTGAGATCACGCCACTGCACTCCAGCCTGGGCGACAGAGTGAAACTCGGTCTCAAAAAAAAAAAAAAAAAAAAAACCCTACAAAAATACAAAAATTAGCCAGGCATGTTGGCAAGTACCTGCAACCCCAGCTACTTGGGAGGCTGAGGCAGGAGAATTGCTTGAACCTGGGAGGTGGAGGTTGCAATGAGCCGAGACCGTGCCATTGCACTCCAGCCTGGGCAACAAGAGCAAAACTCTGTCTCAAAAAAAAAAGGGGGGGGTGGGGTGCTCATGTCTGTAATCCCAGCACTTTGAGTGGCTGAGGCAGGAGGATCAATTGAGCTCAGGAGTTCGAAACAAGCCTGAGCAATATAGTGAGACCCATCTCTTAAAAATAAAAAAGGGGGCTGGGCGCAGTGGCTCACACCTGTAATCCCAGCACTTTGGGAGGCCGAGGTGGGCGAATCACCTGAGGTCGGGAGTTCAAGACCAGCCTAACCAACATGGAGAAACCCCGTCTCTACTAAAAATACAAAATTAGCCGCGCATGGTGGCACATGCCTGTAATCCCAGTTACTCGGGAGGCTGAGGCAGGAGAATCGCTTGAACTCAGGAGGCGGAGGTTGCGGTGAGCCGAGATCACACCATTGCACTCCAGCCTGGGCAACAAGAAAGAAACTTCATCTCGAAAAAAAAAAAAAAACAATAAACAAAAAAACAGGCTGGGTGTGGTGGCTCACGCTTGTAATCCCAGCACTTTGGGAGACTGAGGCAGGCAGATCACCTGAGGTCAGGAGTTCGAGACCAGCCTGAGCAACATAGTGAAATCTTGTCTCTACTAAAAATACAAAACAAACAAACAAACAAACAAACAAAAAAAATTAGCTAGGCATGGTGGTGGGCACCTGTAATCCCAGCTACTCAGGAGGCTAAGGCAGGAGAATCACTTGAACCCAGTAGGTAGAGGTTGCAGTGAGCCTAGATAACACCACTGCATTCCAGCCTAGGTGACAGAGTGAGACTCCATCTCAAAAAATAATAATATTAATAATATAACAAAAATTTTAAAAATTAAGAAAATAAAAATAAAAAAAACAGGCCAGGCGCAGTGGCTCACACCTGTAATCCCAGCACTTTGGGAAGCTGAGGGGGCAGATCACTTGAGGTCAGCAGTTCGAGACCAGGCTGGCCAACATGGTGAAACCCCGCCTCTACTAAAAATACAAAAATTAGCCGGGCATGGTGGCATGTACCTGTAGTCCCAGCTACTCGGGAGGCTGAGGCATGAGAATCGCTTCAACCCGGGAGGTGGAGGTTGCAATGAGCTGAGATCACACCACTGCACTCCAGCCTGGGCGATATAGTGAGACTCAGTCTCAAAAAAAAAAAAAAAAAAAATCAATCAATCAATCAAAACAAAATTTTCTTTAAAGTACCTTGAGTAAAGGCAAGAGCAAAAGGCCAATGACTGTATCAGGGAGAAAGGTAATATTTGGAGAGCAAGAAGAGATGCTGGTGTCTCAGAAGGAGAGTCAAGAGAGCCTGGAGGCCTGGAGGCCAAGGCATATACCTCTGAGGAAGATAGTATCACATCCATTAGGTCTGGGACAAAAGAAAGAAGGGAAAGGAGGCAATGGGAAGTGGCAGGCAGTGGGGACATATGAAGGCTTTGAGATTTTAGGAGTACAGATCCTAGTCAGACAGCCAGACCTGTCCTGGGTGGTCCACTGGCCCCACCACTCACTACCTAGGTGGCCGTTGCCAAGTTAATCATTCTCTCTGACATTCCTTTTTTTCACTTGTAAAATGGAGACAATGGTATCTACCTTATATAGTGGTTGTAAGAGTTGAAGATAATTAATAAAAAGTACCTAGGCTGCTGGTCACAGTGGCTCACACCTATAATCTCAGCACTTTGGGAGGCCGAGGCAGGCGGATCACCTGAGGTCAGGAGTTCAAGACCAACCTGACCAACATGGAGAAACCCTGTCTCTACTAAAAATACAAAATTAGCCAGATGTGGTGGCGCATGCCTGTAATCCCACCTACTCAGGAGGCTGAGGCAGGAGAATCGCTTGAACCCGGGAGGTGGAGGTTGCGGTGAGCCGAGATCACGCCATTGCACTCCAGCCTGGGCAACAAGAGCGAAACTCCGTCCCCCCAGCAAAAAAAAGTACTTAGGCCAGGTACAGTGTGGCTCACGCCTATAATCCCAGCACTTTGGGAGGCCAAGAGAAGAGGACTACTTGAGCCCAGGAGTTTGAGACCAGCCTGGACAACACAGTGAGACCCCGTCTCTACAAAAATTAAAATATTAGCCAGGCATGGTGGCATGCGCCTGTAGTCCCAGCTACTCGGGAGGCTGAGGTGGTAGCATCACTTGTGCCCAGGCAGCCATGATCATGCTCCAGCCTGGGTGACAAAGCAAGACCCTGTCTCGAAAAAAAAAAAAAAAAAGTACTTAGCAGAAGATTAGACAGGTATGTTTGTGAAACTCTGAGCAGAGTCCAACACCTGGCAAAATATCTTCAGTAAGCATTACTAGTAACTGTCATGACGTGTTTAAAGACAGTATTTAACTGAGTAGAGGTGGCAACACTGAAAGAGGGGAGTGGGAGAAGGAACAATGGGAGTAACTATGAGACAAAAGCTGGAAGAGCTAACATGGGTGACATTGAGAACACAAGTAGAGGGCCTCCCTTTGCAACACAGGACTCTATGTTATGTCTACATTGCTGTGAAAGCACCTGGTTTTTGTTTGTTTTAAAAATGAGATGGGGTTGGCCGGGCATGGTGGCTCACACCTGTAATCCCAGCACTTTGGGAGGCCAAGGTAGGCGGATCACCTGAGGTCAGGAGTTCGAGACCAGCCTAGCCAACATGGTGAAACCCCGTCTCTACTAAAAATACTAAAATTAGCCGGGCATGGTGGCAGGCACCTGTAATCCCACTACTCGGGAGGCTGAGGCAAGAGAACTGCTTGAACCTGGGAGGCAGAGATTGCAGTAGGCCAAGATTGCAACAGAGCAGAACTGGGCGACAGAGCGAGACTCCATCTTAAAAAAAAAAAACAGAGATGGGGTCTCGCTATGTTTTCCAGGCTGGTCTCAAACTCCTGGACTCAACCAATCCTCCTGTCTCGGCCTCCCAAAGTGCTGGAATTATAGGCATGAGCCACCATGCCCAGCCATAAGCACCTATTTTAAGTACTTGGGACACTTGAATGGACTTGGCCTGACATTCTGTTAACCTGCTGTGAAATTTGTATTTTGCCCTTAAGCTCTACCTTGGATTTCATCCCAATGTTAAGTCATAGCCTAATTCAGAATTTTACATTTATACACATACACACACACACACACACACACACACACACACACACACAGAGAAAATTATTGCTAAATTAACATTCCATGATCAATAAGCAACATGGAGGATGACGACATAGGTGCTGCAATATTTAGCCCATACACCATTTTGTATGATTACAAAGTACTAAAGAAAGTGACTGTCATAGCATGTGACATTTGGGGGATTTCAAATTTTTTACAGAATATACACTTAAGCTGGCCCAGAGTTCAGGTGTTAATGATAGCACTCTCCACTCAACACCCACCCCCATCAAGAAGCAACAAGACAGTACAGTTAAGAACACAGGCTTTGAAGCCATGTTCTTTGTTACCAAAAAAAAAAAAACAGTCTTACTTTGTCGCCCAGGCTGGAGTGCAGTGGCACATTCTTGGCTCACCGCAACCTCCGCTGCCTGTGTCAAGCCATTCTCCTGCCTCAGCCTCCCGCGTAGCTGGGATTACAGGCACCCCCCATTGCACCCAACTAATTTTTGTATTTTTAGTAGAGACGGGGGTCTCATCATGTTGGCCACCCTGGTCTCGAACTCCTGACCTCAAGTGATCCACCTGCCTCAGCATCCCAAAGTGTTGGCATTACAGGCATGAGCCACCACATTCGGCTGGAGCCATGTTCTAATCCCAGCTCTACTTCTCACTAGCTATGCGGTTTTAGGTAAGATATTAATACTTAAGTGCTATGAATCTCAGTGTCACCATCTATACAAATAGGACTGAGAACACCTATCTTTCACAGTTTTGGTGAGAATTAAAAGCATTCAAATATATGACATGTTCAGGACTGTGCTTAAGACAGCCAGTGCTCAACATGTGTCACTGCTCTTTCTTAGGCTCTGATTCAAAGCATATCACTTGGTTTCTTCATGCCTCAACATCTCCAACCTGCAAAACTGACAAGATGTAACAATGCATGCAAGTGCTGTGAGGATGAGTACAGTTTGTGGGAAATTTAAAAAACAACATACACACACATAGACACATAAATTTTCTGACCCTCTACATGAGTGCCTGCTGGAGTGTAGTGAGGTTATGGCCTGTGCTGGACTACCTGTTAATACTCTCAAAAGTGTGTGGCAGCCGGGTGCAGTGGCTTACAACTGTAACTCCCAGCACTTTGGGAGACCAAGGCAGGAGGATTGCTTAAGGCCAAGAGTTTGAGACCAGTCTGGGCAACATAGCGAGATCCGGTCTCTACAAAAAGTTTTAAAAATTAGCCAGGTGTGGTGGCACACACCTGTAGTCCTAGCTACTTAGGAGGCTGAGACAGAAGGATCACAAGTCCAGCAGTTGAAGGCTGCAGTGAGCTATGATTGTGCCATTGCATTCCAGCCCGGGAGGGAGACCCTGTCTCCAAAAAAAAAAAAAAAAAAAAAAAAAGCCAGGCGGGGTGGCTCAGGCCTGTAATCTCAGCACTTTGGGAGGCCAAGGAGGGTGGATCACTTGAGGTTAGGAGTTCGAGACCAGCCTGGCCAACACGGTGAAACCCTGTCTACCAAAAATATACAAAATTAGCTGGGTGTGGTGGCGCACGCCTATAATCCCAGCTACTCAGCAGGCTGAGGCAGGAGAATTGCTTGAACCCGGGCAGAGGTTAAAGTGAACCGAGATCATACCACTGCACTCCAGCCTGGGCAAGAGACTCCTTCTCAAAAAAAAAAAAAAAAGTGTGTGGCCTGTGAGAATGTACGTATTCGATATGGAGGATGGCAAAAGCCAGAGAAAGGAAATGAATGAAGAGGCAAGAGACATAAAGAATGACATGGTGGGTCTGAGAAGGCCAGTGGCCTTGAAGCCCAGACTACAGGGGAAGGGAGTAGAGCTGATCCAGGAGAGGGGTCCTGTCCCTCCAGTCAGCAGGAAAGTCAGGAGGAAGGAAACTGCAGGCCCATTTGAGGATTTGCAGAGGAGGGACAAGGAAGCTGGGGAATTTGAAGATAGCTATTCCCACCCCAACGACATTTAGACTTTTTTGTGAGTGTGTGGGTCCTCTCACTGGTGACTCTGCCATGACTGTAGTTCATTTGCCCTATACCCCAGCAGGAGGGTCCTTGTCCATCTAGGTCTCTTCCAAATTATCAAGTATGGTTTAAAACAGGACCTTATTATTTCAAGGTGCCAACCAGCCATCATTCTAGGTAAAGAGCCTGTCATATTTAGTAACTTCTGTGGTGAAATTTCTTTTTCAAGGCAGCACACTCATACTAGTCAAGGTGAGTTCTGTTTCTTTCTTAATGTCAGGGGAGACATTTGTTCACAGAAGAGACTATTTTCTTTTTATATTTTGTCCTGTTTTAAATAAGTGCTTGGGGCCAGGTGCGGTGGCTCACGCCTGCAATCCCAGCACTTTGGGAGGCCGAGGCTGACAGGTCACCTGAGCTCAGGAGTTTGAGACCAACCTGACCAACATGGAGAAACCCTGTCTATACTAAAAGTACAAAATTAGCCGGGTGTGGTGGCGCACGCCTGTAATCCCAGCTACTCGGGAGGCTGAGGCAGGAGAATCGCTTGAACCTGGGAGGCAGAGGTTGCGGTGAGGCGAGATCACACCATTGCACTCCAGCCTGGGCAACAAGAGTGAAACTCTGTCTCAAAAATAAAAATAAAAAATAAAAAATAAATGCTTGGGGGCCAGGCTCGGTGGCTCTCGCTTGTAATCCCAGCACTTTGGGAGGCCGAGGCAGCCGGATCACAAGGTCAGGAGTTCGAGAGCAGCCTGACCAACAGAGTGAAACCCAGTCTCTACTAAAAATACAAAAATTAGCTGGGCGTGGTGGCAGGCGCCTGTAATCCTAGCTACTCCAGAGGCTGAGGCAGGAGAATCACTTGAACCCGGGAGGCGGAGGTTGCAGTGAGCCGAGATCGCACCACTGCACTCCAGCCTGGGTGACAAAGCTAGACTCCGTCTCAAACAAATAAAAAATAAAAATGCTTGGGAGTTTTTTCCTCAGCAAAAAAAAAAAAAAGCGTGTGAGCAGTCGTGCTCGACTGTTCTATACCTGCCTCAGGAATTGATCAGGAAGAGTCCTGGAGTCCAGAGTAGCCCAAATAGGAAGGCAGGCTAACTCTCCTGTGCTCAGAGAGGTTCAAATCAAAGAGACTATGTGGTAGGTCTCACCTGCGCAGGGCCAAGGATCCCTTTTGGAGCAAAATGTTCACCCACCGACAAGGGTCCTGCTTGCACTCTCTGCTCACCCTTCCTTCAGCTGGACCGGCTCCAGACACTATTCCTTGCTAAACCAAACAAGCAAATGGGTTGACTGCTGTGTCGTGTCCCGAATGCAGCCCACAGGCAGTCAGGTCCTTGTCTCCCCAACAAGACTCCACTAGCCCTTCCATTCCCTTCTTCTTTAGGCAAGTTCTGCCCACTGTGTCTGTAGGAAGGGTTAACAAAGAGGAGACACTAGGAAAGGCTACCACTAAACTTGGCCGGTCTGCAGGGCCCGGGAAGGACAGAAAGTAAGGGAGTGGGAGGAGTTAGGGCACAGGCCCACGCTGGGCCGTACACGACCTTGCGCAGTCACCGTCGGGTCCCGTCTCCAGCCCCGCCTGCCTCCTCCATTCCCCGCCCCGCGGACAGTTTGGCATAGTAGGGAGTTTTCTGTAAAGCAAGGGTTAAATCAGGTTTTCCGGGCTATTTATCCACCTTACCTTCCTTCGTAACCAATAAATCCTCTTACAAACCTGAGGCGGCAAACTAAAAGGCCAGCGGATGGCCTGGTTTGCTGCGGCGGGGAAACAGTCACTTCCTGGTGCGCAAGGCGCCTCTACTCCCGCCGCACGCGCAGCCAACCCTTGGCAAGCGCGGCGGGACACGGGGCTCCTCCCAGCGTCGGCGAGGCAGCAGGCTCCGGCACCTCGACTCCTCTCGGGGAGTACCCCTCCCTACTTTGCTGGGGGAACCTTCTATGGAGACCTTCCTTAAAAGCACTCATAGCCCTGACACCCGCCGCCTTCCTTCTCTAAGTTCTCCTCTCCTCCCCTCCCCGGGGCCCCGCCCACCACCTGCTCTTTCCTCACCGTCCCATTGGTGGATCTACATAAGAGACTCACGAAGACGTTCACACTGCAGTGTTAACTGCGTTAGCCATCCCAGGGGTGCTTGCAGTTTAAGTCTTCCAACTCAAGGAATAGTTTTCTCATGATAGAATTGCAGACATCAGATCCCTAACGGGTTGGAAGATTGGGAGATGAGAAACAGGGTGGTTCCGTGAAATGGCATCCTTTGGTAAAAGCCAGATCTATTCTGGGCCGTGGGGTTTCTCAAGCATTCATTCTCTTTTAACACTGCATCAGAAAAATACTTTATAGTTTCTTCACTGGATCCCACTCAAGACTATTAAATCCTAAACCCTCAGAAATAATCTTTTTCTTCAACTACAGAACTCAAAAAGAGGACAGATGTCTCTTTTTGGTTGATTCACTACCTCCTGGACTACATTCAGTAATACCTCTAATTTTTAGAGGAGTCATTAGCCCAGCCACGAGTAAGAAAACTTGAAGTATACACACATCTGTGTGCTGTAAAATATTGTTGCTTTAATAGAGTAAAATTTACAGCAAAGTGAACCTACCGAGGTGGGTGCAGTGGCTCACGCCTGTAATCCCAGCAGTTTGGGAGGCCGAGGCGGAAGGATCACCTGAGGTCAGGGGTTCGAGACCAGCCTGACCAACATGGTGAAACCCCATCTCTACTAAAAATACAAAAATTAGCTAGGCGTGGTGGCGCACGCCTGTAATCCCAGCTGCTCAGGAGGCTGAGGCAGGAGAGTCACTCGAACCCAGGTGGTGGAGGTTGCAGTGAGCTGAGATCATGCCATTGCATTCCAGCCTGGGCAAAAAGAGTGAAACTCCGTTTCAAAAAAAAAAAATAGTGAACGTACATTTAATGATATTTAATTTTTATGCTTAATAGTAATTGTGCTCAAGTGGAAAACACTTTGTAGTCAACATTTCATGTATTAATATTTATTCAAAGCATAACATGCCTATTATGTGCAAGGCAATGTGTTAGCCTTAGTGAGTACAGTAGTAAATTAAACAAGGCCCAATACTTCAAATAGCAGCAAACATTGAGTCAGTCAGAATAGGATTCAAAGCCCAGATCTGCCACTTATTTTCTATTTTTCTGTTTTTTGAGACAGAGTTTTGCTCTTGTTGCCCAGGCTAGAGTGCAATGGTGTGATCTCGGCTCACCGCAACCTCCGCCTCCCAGGTTCAAGCGATTCTCCTGCCTCAGCCTCCCGAGTAGCTGGGATTACAGGAGTGCACCATCACGCCCAGCTAATTTTTGTATTTTTAGTAGAGATGGAGTTTCACCACGTCGGTCAGGCTGGTCTCGATCTCCTGACCTCAGGTGATCCGCCTGCCTCGGCCTCCCAAAGTGCTGGGATTACAGGCATAAGCCACCACCCCCAGCAGATCTGCCACTGATAAGCTGTGTCCACTGAGCAAGTTATTTAATTACTCAGTGCTTCAGTTTCATCATCTGAAAAAAAATGTCCACAATAATTTTACCTACCTCATACGGTTGTGACAACGATTAAATGAGTTAATACACACAAAGTGCTTAGAATACAGTAAGTACACAAAGTTAGCTATTATCATTCAAAATAAGTTGATATACTGTGTGTTCATACATTCTGAAGAAAATAAAAATATTTTACCCCAAAATAAATGTATTTGCCATATGTTTGAAATGGCTGCCTCAGGACCAGAGGACTGAGATGGGGGAAATTTGCATCTGTAGAGAACCTCCTTGAATACAGCCAAGCTTCCCATTTCTATGCCTTACCTGGATCCAGGAGAGATTGAGAGTCTGACATCTTTAAAAGTTTGAAAAGAAGCATTTACCAGCTATTCTTTCGGAAGGAGGCTTCCTCTACATGACAAGGCCACCTTCACAAACCAAGTCTCTTCCTTTCTTCCATAACCTATCTTGCCACTAAAACCTGTTTTTGTATATACTCTGAGTTCGTCCACATTCTTTCTGTAATTTCTTACTTTTTTTTTTTGAGGTGGAGTCTCGCTCTGTCACCCAGGCTGGAGTGCAGTGGCGCGATCTCGGCTCACTGTTGCAAGCTCCGCCTCCCGGGTTCATGCCATTCTCCTGCCTCAGCCTCCCAAGTAGCTGGGACTACAGGCGCCCGCCACCACGCCTGGCTAATTTTTTGTATTTTTAGTAGTGACGGCGTTTCACCGTGTTAGCCAGGATGGTCTTGATCTCCCAACCTCGTGATCCACCCGCCTCGGCTTCCAAAAGTCCTGGGATTACAGCCGTGAGCCACCACGCCCGGCTTTTTTTTTTTTTGAGATGGAGTCTCGCTCTGTCACCCAGGCTGGAGTGCAGTGGCGCGATCTCGGCTCACTGCAACCTCTGCCTCCCGGGTTCGAGCGATTCTCCTGCCTCAGCCTCCCTAGTAGCTGGACTACAGGCTTGCACCACCACGCCCAGCTAATTTTTGTATTTTTAGTAGAGACGGGGTTTCAACATGTTGGCCAGGATGGTCTCGATCTCTTGACCTCGTGATCTGCCCGCCTCGGCCTCCCAAAGTGCTGGGATTACAGGCATGAGCCACGCCTGGTCTCTTTCTGTAATTTCAAGATGATATATAAGCTTCTGTTAATTATTGGGAGGTTGGGTCTCCATGATGAAGGCTCCCATGTGTACATGTTAAATAAATTTGTATGCCTTTTCTCCTATGAATCAGCCTCATATCAGTGATATTTTAGTGAACCTTCAGGGGCCAATGACTTTGGCCCCCACAACACACACACACACACACACACACACACACACACACACAAACACACACGTGTATGTTTCTTGTTTTTTAAAGAGAGATTTCACTTCCATCCTAAACCCTTGAGGAGGTAAATGTTTGACTCAAATTGCCACTATCCTAACTGCTCTCATGGCTCATAAGCAAAATTTGAACTCAAACCACTGCTTCAGCCTTCTAGGCCCATGCAGGGCTATCAAGTGAGACCAGGCCAGAGAATTTACCTTTGGCTCTATTTTCCCTTTCTCATCTTTTAATCCCCTCTTATATGGCTAGACAGCTCTACACCTTTTATCACCTCCTCTTCCCCTTTCTTCCCCTTCCCAAGCCCTTCTGCTCCTTTATCACTTCTCGTTTTGGCCTTCTGTGTTGTGCCTAGCACAGAATCAGGTGTCCCATACGAGCTCAATAAATATTAATATTTGATTAATTAAACTGAATTCCATCTTGTCTGCTGAAAGAGAGAAGGCATTTCCTCCCTCACCCCCACCTATTTTGAGCATCCAGGCAAATTCATTTAAAGCAGGCCTGTCATTCAAGGAGGAAAACCCTGAGGGGTAGAGAGAGAAAAGAGATTAAAGCAGCTATAATGTAATTATTTAGCCATTAACCCCTTTATATTTATTTAATCTGGTAAAGCATATTCTACTATAAAAGCGAAATCATTACATTTGTAAGAGGGGAAAGAAATACCCCGTATTATAGGAAAGGTTAGACCCTTCAACCAGAAAGTCAGTAAGTGGATATGTCATAGATGATAAGGAATATTGTTAACTCAAATAAGAGCTGGAACCAAGATAACCTTTTACTTAATTTTGTTATTAGCAAACCAAATCACAACAAAGTGAAATCCCTAGGAATTTGTCAAACATTCTCATTTTGGTGCAAGGAAAAGATAGCTGAGAGGCTACAGCATTCGCTCTCAGAAATAACATATTAAAATTTACCAAGCAGGAGCATCGCCATCTTGGACAAGCACCACAATTCTAAAGTTCTCCTTGATCAAAAACCACCTAAGGCCGGGTAAGGAGGCTCATGCCTGTAATCCCAGCACTTTGGGAGGCTGAGGCGGGCAGTATCACCTGAGGTCAGGAGTTCAAGACCAGCCTGGCCAACATGGTGAAACCCCGTCTCTACTAAAAATACAAAAAGTAGCTGGGCGTGGTGGTGCATGCCTGTAATCCCCGCTATTCAGGAGCTGAAACAGGAGAATTGCTTTTTTTTCTTCTTTTTTTCTTTTCTTTTCCTTTTTTTTTTTTTTTTTTTTTTTTTTTGAGATGGAGTTTCACTCTTGTTGCCCAGGCTGGAGTGCAATGGTGTGAATTCAGCTCACTGCAACCTCCGCCTCCTGGGTTCAAGCAATTCTCCTGCTTCATCCTCCCAAGTAGCTGGGATTACAGGGACCTGCCACCACACCTGGCTAATTTTTTGTATTTTTAGTAGAGACAGGGTTTTGCCATGCTGGCCAGGCTGGTCTTGAACTTCTGACCTCAGGCGATCCACTCACCTCGGCCTCCCAAAGTGCTAGGATCACAGGCATGATCCACCGCACCTGGCCAAGAATTGCTTGAACGCAGGAGGCAGAGGTTGCAGTAGGCTGAGATCGCGTCATTGCACTCCTGCCTGGGCAACAATAACGAAAGTCCCTCTCAAAACAAAAACAAAAACAAACAAACAAACAAAAAAACACCTAAATCCAAAGGGCATCAGCCTAATGGCTAAGGTCAACATGACCATAAACCGTAAATGACATCTCCAACCAGAAACATTCCAACCATAAGATAAACCCCTCCCCAACCAGAGACATGCCAGCCCCAAGTAACCTCCCCTCCAACCAGAGACATTCCAACCCTGCAATAAACTTCTCCCCACCACAGTAACATTCCAAGCCTGTAATAAGCTCCCTCACCCTAAAACCAATAAATACTCTTAGTCTGTAAGAGAGAGCACTCCTGACCAAAATCGGCCAGAAGACCCTCTCCGGTTGATTATCCAAAATAAACCTGTCTTTGTCTGTTGAGCCACTTTTCATGTTTCTTTCCTCTTTCTTTAACTCTTACAAAAATTAGTTGGCATTTAGGGCTGGTTTGGTTCCATTAAACAAGTTCTTTGGTGCACCTAGGACTGTGCTATATGCTATGAGGGATAGATTCACAGACCACACCCTCAAAGATTGTATGACCTGATAGGAAGATAATACTCAGTGTGAGAATACACAACTATTGGGGCTTTGGTAAGTCTCAGAAAACAGCCACCATCTTGGTACCAAAGGAAGGAAAAGAATGTGATAATTGAGTTGAATGCATAGGATATGAATAATCTGAGAGGAACTGGGACTGCAGCATGAAAAGAGGAAATGAGTAATAATTGTACAAGGCCCATGAGGAGGCAGACCTGGCTAGATAAGAGTTTGGTGCTTAAGCCATTGGCCATTGGCTGATCAGATAGACAGGTCAGGGAAAATAACAAAGGGTCTGGAGGGCTGGGATGAGGAGTTTGAGCTAGTTCCTGTAACAATAGGAAGCTAATGAAGAGTTTTTGGGTTTTTTTTTTTTCATAAGATGTTTCTGCAAGATAACTCTAGGAGCTGTATATAGATGGATTTTAGGATGTAGTGATGCAATCACCTGACCGGTTCTTCCTGCTCACTGCACAGACAAAATCAATTCACTGAGACCACAGCATTGCAGTAAAGAAAGAGTTTAGGCCAGGCACGGCAGCTCATGCCTGTAATCCCAGCACTTTGGGAGGCTGAGGTGGGCGGATCACCTGAGGTCAGGAGTTCAAGACCAGACTGGCTAACATGGGGAAACCCCATCTCTACTAAAAATACAAAAATTAGCTGGGTATAGTGGTGGGTGCCTGTAATCCCAGCTGCTTGGGAGGCTGAGGCAAGAGAATCACTTGAATCCAGGAGGCGGAGGTTGCAGTGAGCCAAGATCACGCCACTGCACTCCAGCCTGGGTGACAGAGAAAAACTCCATCTCAAAAAAAAAAAAAAAAAGAGTTTAATTGATGAGAGCTCGGCCACAACATGTAGGAGATGGAGTTATTACTCACATCAATCTCCCTGAAAATTTGGAGGCTAGAATTTTTCAAAGATAGTTTGGTAGGCAGTTATAGTTATATGCATACACAGCTCTACACCTTTCATCACCTCCTCTTCCCCTTTGGTTGGGGATGCAATCATAGGGGTATGGAAAATGGCCCTCTTGGACTGAGTCTGCTCCTGGGTCGGGACCACAGTAGGTGTGGGGTGGGACAATTCAGTAAGTGTGGGGTGGGACTCAGAATCCATATGTGTTACAATCATCCAAGCTGATTATGTTGCAGATGTCCCTGACCATATTTTGAGAAAATTTTGCAGTATGCAGTATAGCTTGCCTTAGCACAGAAACTTATGACCTCCCATCTGAATGTATGCAACAGTCTCCCTCAGCTTCCAGGTCACTGAAACTGCCTTTGCAAAATGATGACATTAAGAGAAATCTGACATGGTTGACTCCATCTTGCCTTCAACTTTCAAGCTGTCCTTGGCCATTCATGGGCATGGGCCACGCTAACTTTGAGAGAAAATTAGTTTATAGTTTAAATGATAACAGCCTTTCCCAAAAACTAAACCACCCTTGTAAAACTAATGAAAGGCCACCAACCAGGTTAGGAGGATGAGAGGGGCCTGCATTATACTAAGATGTAGGCATAGTTAAATGATTTCCAGCCATTATTCCAGAGGTCACAAAATATGCAACTATTCCAATTACTCCTGCAGATAACATGACTATTGTAGAACCTCAGATTGGCCTTTTGAGATGTCTCCAGGTCTTTTGGATGTCTGACACCCATGGCTCCACCTGTACCCACCAACCACTCCTGTGGTCCCACCCAGAAGTGACTCAGTGCAAGAGGAGAGCTTCCAATCCCTATGATTTCATTTTCAAACCAAGCAATCAGCACCCATTGCCTAGCCACCCCCACACCTTCCCCCAAACTACCTTTGAAAAACCCCTAACCTTTGATACTTTGATACTTTGAGGAGATGGTTTGGCTGGCCTTGTGTCAATTAAACTCTTTCTCTACTGCAATGTCGTGGTCTGTTTTGTTTGTGCAGTGGGCAGGAAGAACCCATAGGGCAGTTATAGGGTTCAGGAATATCTAGGGTTGTAACAAGCATACCAGGTGATGCCCATTAAAATCTGAGCTCCGACTACCACACACCAACTGAAATCTCAGATGAATTAGTTGGAGATCAAAAAAATCAAACCATAGGCCAGGTGCAGTGGCTCACGCCTGTAATCCCAGCACCTTGGGAGGCCGAGGCAGGCAGATCACCTGAGGTCAGGAGTTCAAGACCAGCCTGGCCAACATGGTGAAACCCTGTCTCTAATAAAAAAAGAAAAAAAAAATTAGACGGGCATGGTTGCAGGTGCCTGTAATCCCAGCTATTCAGGAGGTTGAGGCACGAGAATCGCTTAAACGTAGGAGGCAGAGGTTGCAGTGAGCCGAGATGGCACCACTGCACTCCAGCCTGGGCAACAATCAAATCAAACCATAAAAGCCCTAGAATAAGATGTAGATGATTATGCATCTAAAATTTGGATGGGAGAAGACATCATAAACTTAAAAGCAGCAGAAAAAAAACACTAAGTAGGTAGATTTTACTACTTAACCTTAAGAACTTGACATGACAAAAATATAATTAACAAAATGAAATCATAAAAAACAAGCAGAAAAATATATACAAGTATAGCAAAGAGTCATTATCTTTCTTGATAAAAAGCTTACATAAACTTACAAGAAGAACACGATGTCCTCAATAAAGACTTTGACAAAGGCATGGAGAGAGAATTTCCAGGAAAAGAAATCTGATTGCTCAGTAAGGTGTTTTGTTCTAACTCACTAGTAATCACAGAACATGCAAAGTATACAAACTAGATAATACTCTTTTACCTGTGAAGTTAATTAAGATTTAAAAAGAACTGTGCCAGGCACCGTGGCTCACGCCTATAATCCCAGCACTTTGGGAGGCCGAGGCAAGAGGATCACTTGAGCCCAGGAGTTTGAGACCAGCTCGGGCAATATCAAGAGACCACGACTCTACAAAAAATTAAAAAATTAGCCAGGCGTGGTGGCGCATGCATGTGGTCCCAGCTAGCAGGAGGCTGAGGTGGGAGGATTGCTTGGGCCCAGGAGGTCAAGGCTACAGTGAGCCGTGACAGTGCTGTGCTAGTGCACTCCCTGGGTGACAGACAGCGAGACTCTGTCACACACACACAAAAAAAAAGGAACACATATTTCTCAAAGTAGACCATGAGCAGTGAGGCAGAAACCTTCATACACTGCCTGTGGGATTGTAAATTGATGCTTCCTAGAAAGCAAATAGAATCACAAGTCTTAAAAAATTTCATAGCATTTGCCCCAGAAATTCTCCCTCTAGGAATCTATTCTATGAAAATAGAGATATGGGCCAGGTGCAGTGGCTCACTCCTGTAATCTCAACACTTTGGGAGGCTGAGGTGGGCAGATCACTCAAGGTCAGTAGTTCCACACGAGCCTGGCCAATATGGCGAAACCTCTTCTCTACTAAAAATTAAAAAAAAAAAATTAGCCGGGGGCGACAGCACACACCTGTAATCCTAGCTACTCGGGAAGCTGAGGTGGGAGAATTGCTTGAACCCCGGAGGTGGAGGTTGCGATGAGCTGAGATCACACCACTGCACTCCAGCCTGGGTGACAGAGTGACTCCGTCTCAATAAAAAATAATAATAATAAAAGGCCCAGGCACAGTGCCTCACGCCTGTAATCCTAGCACTTTGGGAGGCCAAGGCGGGTGGATCACCTGAGGTTGGGAGTTCAAGACCAGGCTGACCAACATGGTGAAACCCCGTCTCTACTAAAAATACAAAATTAGCCGGGCGTGGTGGCGCATGCCTGTAATCCCAGCTACTCGGGAGGCTGAGAGAGGAGAATCTCTTGAATCCAGGAGGCAGAGGTTTCGGTGAGCTGAGATAGCGCTGTTGCACTCCAGCCTGGGCAACAAGAGTGAAACTCCATCTCAAAATAATAATAATAATAATAATAATAATAATAATAATAATAAGATATTGGCTTACAAGTCAAATAAATGCCAGTGATAAATATAGTTTCTAGTGACAGGAATTGTCTTATCTATTATTTAGGGTCATACCTACCAGCTATTAACATACCCTTGAAACCAAACTAGTAATCAGATGGTCATTTGTAACTTGAACAAATGGAGCTGAATGGGTTTTTTTGTTTGTTTGTTTGTTTGTTTTTTAGGTTTCGCTCTTGTTGCCTAGGCTGTAGTGCAATGGTGCAATCTAGTCTCACTGCAACCTCCACCTCCCGGGTTCAAGCGAGTCTCCTGCCTCAGCCTCCCAAGTAGCTGGGATTACAGGCATGTGCCACCACGCCTGGCTAATTTTTGTATTTTTAGTAGAGATGGGGTTTCGCCATGTTGGCCAGGCTGGTCTCAAACTCCTGACCTCATGTGATCCGCCCATCTCAGCCTCCCAAAGTGCTGGGATTACAGGCGTGAGCCACGGTGCCTGGCCGGCTGAATGGTTTTAAGGGAGGTCTTTGACTGGGTTATTTGTATACCAGACTGGGTTATTTGTGTCCTGTCATTTGAATAGTAGTGCATAAACACTGACTCTCCAATGTTCTTTTTTTTCACCATCTGTAACTAGTTATCAGAATCTTCTGTCATTACAATATTACCTGCCTCCTGTTCTCATTACATGTCACGGTTTCCAAGGTAACAGCTGTCTTACATGAATTACATTCTAGGTTGGTAGCTCCCAGGTGAGATATTGGGAAGCATCTTAATCTTATTTGCATATATCTACAAATTATATTTACCAGAAGTCGCTTCTGGGAAGAGTCACAGCTGGCTAGTTTCATCCATTGTGAGCCTTTTTTTTTTCTTAATTTTTTCAATTGAAGAGTTTATCATTTCCCAAATTATGTGTCTGATTTTCCTCTAAACTGTGTCTCTTAAGTTTGGAGACACATATTACTTTGGGGGCCCTTCAGTTCACTGATAAACATCTAGGGTTTCTGATGATAGTACTTAGGAGAATGGCACTGAAACTAACAAAAATAGGGAAATCAGAGAGGGAGTCTTTTGGGAGAGGGAGGAAATAGTGGAATTGAGTGAAGGTCCAGTAGGCATGTAGAGAAAAAGTTAACATAACAGGAAAGCTCTTATGTTGTCTGTGGCAGGAATTACCTTGGAAACTGTCACCAAACTACCTAGCTACCTTTATACTTCTGGTTTCTAGGGTAACACAGATATTTACTACCTTACATTTACATGGCTGGTGCTGATGTTCATTTTCTCACTTTTTACAGTCCCAACCCTTTGCTTTTTATAGTGTTGAAATTTGCAATTGAATGTTAATAGCATTCCAGTACTGGTGGCTCATTCCTCAAAGCTAGATGTAGACAAATAGCATAGGAACTTCTATCCTGGGTCCTGCTCCACACTGGAATGTCATCAGTACATGAACCTGGGCTTCATGCCTGAGACTCAACACCAAGGGCACAAATTCTACAACTCCCCAGAGGCTATAATTTCCATCCTCTCCAAATCATCATCAGTAAACTCTTAATAAAGACACTACTTTCTACTTTTCTTCCTTTTTTTCTCCTTCCTTAGACTAGTCAAGCGAAGCAGTGGGAGTGGAGAAGTCTACTTACTTTCTTTTTTCTGAAACAGGATCTCCTTCTGTCACCCAGGCTGGAGTGCAGTGGTGTGCTCACAGTTAATTGCCGCCTTGACCTCATGGGCTCAAGTGGTCCTCTCACCTCAGCCTCCCAAGCAGCTGGGACCACAGGTACGCACCACCACACCCAGTTAATTTTTTTTTTTTTTTGAGATGGACTCTCGCTCTGTTACCTAGGCTGGAATGCAGTGGCACGATCTTGGCTCACTGCAACCTCTGCCTCCAAGGATCAAGCAATTCTCCCTGGCTCAGCCTCCCAAATAGCTGGGTTTATAGGCGTGCACTACCATGCCTGGCTAATTTTTGTATTTTCAGTAGAGACAGGGTTTCACCATGTTGGCCAGGCTGGTCTTGAACTCCTGACCTCAGGTGATCTGCCCATCTCGGCCCCACAAAGTGCTGGGATTACAGGCATGAGCCACTGTGCCCGGCCCCAGCTAATTTTTAAAAATTTTTTGGTAGAGACACCAAATTCGCCATGTTGCCCAGACTGGTCTCGAACTCCAGGGCTCAAGTGATCCTCCCAGCTCAGCCTCCCAAAGTGTTGGGATTACAGGCGTGAACCACTGCACCTGGCCTTTTTAAATTTTTTTTTTAACATTTATTTTAGGTTCAGGGGTACATGTGCAGGTTTGTTATATAGATAAATTGCATGTCTCAGGGGTTTGGTGTACAGATTATTTCATCACCCAGGTAGTAAGCATAGTACCTGATAGGTAGTCTTTCTTTTTTCTTTCTTTCTTTTTGCTTTTTTTTTTTTAAACAGGATCTCCCTCTGTCGCCCAAGCTGGAGTGCAGTGGCACAATCTCGGCTCACTACAATCTCCACCTCCCAGGTTCAAGAGATTCTCCTGCCTCAGCCTCCTGAGTAGCTGGGACTACAGGCACATGCTACCACGCCTGGCTATTTTTTCTATTTTTGGTGGAGATGGGGTTTCACCATGTTGGCCAGGCTGGTCTTGAACTCCTGACCTCAAGGGATCTGCCTGCCTCAGCCTCCCAGAGTGCTGGGATTACAGGCATGAGCCACCGCGCCCAGCCCCAATAGGAAGTTTTTCAATCCTCCTCCCACCCTCCACCCTCCACCACCAGACCCTGGTGTTTATTGTTCCCCTCTTTGTGTCCATGTGTACTCAATGTTTAGCTCCCACTTGTAAGTAAGAACACGTGGTATTTGGTTTCCTGCGTTAATTCACTTAGGACATGATCTCGTTCTTTTTTATGGCTGTACAGAATTTCATGGGGTATATGTACCACATTGTCTTGATCCAGTCTATCGTTGACGGGCATTTAGGTTGACTCTATATCTTGGCTATTATCCTCACTTTTATGTTCCATGATTCTGTAAAGAAACTGGTAGATGAGGCCAGGCTGAATGGCTCACGCTTGTAATCCCAACACTTTGGGAGGCCGAGGTGGGCAGATCACCTGAGATCAGGAGTTCGAGACCAGCTTGACCAACGTGGAGAAACCCCGTCTCTACTAAAAATACAAAATTACCCGGGTGTGGTAGCGCATGCCTGTAATCCCAGCTATTCAGGAGGCTGAGGCAGGAGAATTGCTTGAACCCGGGAGATGGAGGTTGCGGTGAGCCAAGATCACGCCCAGGCTGGGCAACAAGAGCGAAACTCCATCTCAAAAAAGAAAGAAAGGAAGAAACTGGTAGATGAAATACTTTCTGCCCCATCCCCATTGCATTATCAATATGTGTTATTTGGTTTCTGAACTTTTTTTTTTTTGAGACAGAGTCTCATTGTGTTGCCCAGGCTGGAGTGCAGTGGTGTGATCTCAGCTCACTGCAACCTCCGACTCCTGAGTTCAAGCGATTCTCCTGCCTCAGCCTCCCAAGTAGCTGAGATTACAGGCATGTGCTACCATGCCCGGCTAATTTTTGTATTTTTAGAAGAGCCAGGGTTTTGCCATATTGGCCCAGCTGGTCTCAAACCCCTGACCTCAAGTGACCCACCCCGCTCGACCTCCTAAAGTGCTAGATTACAGGCGTGAGCCACCACATCTGCCCAGTTTCTGAACTTATAATTTTTATTTTGCCAAAGAAAAACAATTAGTTGGAAATGAAAATGATTATCGAGAACTACACATGTAATAATAACAAATATTCAACATGTATTGAATCCTTACTCTGTGCCTCACACTGTGCTAAGTGCACAACGTGCATTATCTCATGTGGGTCCTTATTTTACACGTGAGAAAAGTGGTACCTGTATTTTACAGAGGAGGTAGCTGAGACTTAGAGAGGGGTAACTAACTTATTCAAGGCCACACAGTAAGTGGTGGAACCAAAACTTGAATTCAGCTATCTGATGCCCATATCTCCACTTCTTTTTTTTTTTTTTTTTCGAGACAGAGTCTTGCTCTGTTGCCCAGGATGGAGTGCAGTGGCACAATCTCGGCTCACTGCAACCTCCGCCTCCCGGGTTCAAGTCGTTCTCCTGCCTCAGCCTCCCGAGTAGCTGGGATTACAGGCACACACCACCACGCCTGGCTAATTTTTGTATTCTTAGTAGAGATGGGGTTTCATCATGTTGGCCAGGCTGGTCTCGAACACTTGACCTTGTGATCCGCCCTCCTCGGCTTCCCAAAGTGCTGGGATTACAGGCGTGAGCCACCGTGCCTGGCCCCATGTCTCCACTTTTTATCTTTCAACTTTTAACCAGTGATTCTCAAGCATTAGTGTGCATCAGAATTCTCTGGAGGGCTTGTTAAAACACAGATTGCTGGGTCCCATCTCCAGAGTTTCCTGATTCAGTAGACCTGAGAATATGCATTTCTAAAAAATTCCCAAGTGATGCTGATGTTGCTGGACTGGAGAGTACACTCAGAGGAACTCTGCTTTGTACTCCAGTGCCTCCCTTAACGGGCAGAAGAGCCTATCACTGTAATGAAGCTGAGAAGGAACTTGTGTGCAATAGGGAGCTTGTGCTTTTCTTAGGGCTCAATGTTCAGAGATCCTTGGGGATGCTCAGGTCTGTCCCTATCTCTCCAGGAAGACCAGACAATAGGCAAGAGATTCTACTCTGGAGGAGTACACAGTACAGAGGCTGTGCTCACAGAACACAGTATTTCTGCAAAGAGCTGGGCATATCCCGAGTTCGGCTCAGTTTCTTAGTCTTGACTGCTACCAAAAGCTGATGCAAGTACAATGTTATCTTAGTTCTCTTTTGGAAGAAACTCAAAGAGTTAAAATCGAAGAGCAGTATTTGCCAAGTATAGCTACCTGTCAGCTGAGGTTTTTGATATATCTGACACATTCAGCCTGATCCTGTGGAGGGTCTCGATTAGCACTATCTTGTGAAGCTGAGGAAAGAGCCATTACTGTGCAAGCTCAAGTCAGAGCTGCTATTCACACCTACCTTATAAAGAACATATATTGCCTACAGTAGACAGAGAGAGAGGCACACATTGAATATAATACACTACCATAACCTTGTTTCTCTTTTTATTTCAATTTTTCCACCTTATGCCTTGTATTTCCCTGAGGTACAGCTGAGGTCACTGAGTTTTTAGGCAATGAAGCAAAGATCAGTGTTCATTAGGGTGACTGCACATCAGGTCATTGGGAAGCTTTTTTTTTTTTTTTTTTTTTTTTTGAGACGGAGGAGTTTCATTCTTGTTGCCCAGGGTGGAGTGCAGTGGCACAATCTCAGCTCACTGCAACCTCTGCCTTCCGGGTTCAAGTGATTCTCCTGCCTCAGGCCTCCCGAGTAGCTGGGAGTACAGGCACCTGCCACCACGCCTGGCTAGTTTTTGTATTTTTAGTAGACATGGGGTTTCATCATGTTGGCCAGGTTGGTCTCGAACTCCTGACCTCAGGTGATCTGCCCGCCTCAGCCTCCCAAAGTACAGGGATTACAGGTGTGAGCCACCGCACCCGGCAGGGAAGCTTTTTCAAAATACCTGTCCCAGGGACCCTACTTTAGACCAATTAAACACAAATCTTTGTGGGCAGGCCTCAGATATATGCATTAAAAAACAAATTTCCAGGTGATACTAATGCCAGAGAAGGTTAAGAGCCTATTCAAGAAAATAGGCTCTGTTCCATAAAAAAGGATGAGTTCATGTCCTTTGCAGGGACATGGATGCAGCTGGAAACCATCATTCTCAGCAAACGATCACAAGGACAGAAAACCAAACACCACATGTTCTGACTCATAGGTGGGAATTGAACAATGAGATCACATGGACACAGGGTGGGGAACATCACACCCTGGGGTCTGTCATGGGGTGGAGGGCAGGGGGAGGGATAGCATTAGGAGAAATACCTAATGTAAATGACGAGTTAATGGGTGCAGCAAACCAACATGGCACATGTATACCTATGTAACAAACCTGCACATTGTGCACATGTACCCTAGAACTTAAAGTATAATAAAAAAAATTAGGCTCTGCTGTTGTGCAGATTTCATTTCTAGCTCTGCTACTTATGAGAAGATGACCTTGGGCAAATGGCCGAACTGCTCTGAGCCCCAATTTTCCCATCTATAAAAATTGGCATACTAATAGAACCCACTGGGCTTTGTTTCATGGGCTGTCATGAAGGATTGAATGTACTGGTGTATGTAATGGACTGTAATTGTACAATGCCTAGCACAGAGTGATTACTCCCTAGATGATAGCTAGTGATAAAATTAAGGCATCCCGGCCAGGTGTGGTGGCTCATGCCTGTAATCCCAACACTTTAGGAGGCCAAGGCAGGTTGATCACCTGAGATCAGGAGTTCAAAACCAGCCTGGCCAACATGGTGAAACCCTATCTCTACTAAAAATACAAAAACTAACCAGGCATGATGGCGTTTGCCTGTAATCCCAGCTACTTGGGAAGCTGAAGCAGGAGAATCGCTTGAACCCAGGAGGCAGAGGTTGCAGTGAGCCGAGATCATGCCACTGCACTCCAGCCTGGGCAACAGAGAGAGACTCCACCTCAAAAAGGAAAAAAAAAAAATTAAGGCATCTCCCTTTCATCCTGCAGAGCAAGTCATGAAGTTGTGACCCTATGGGAGGTGTGGTTATGTTATTCTGCTATGGATTTCATGGTCTTTCAATGGGGACCACCTGTGAGAAGGTAAAAGGCTATGCAGACCACCTACCTGGTACATGTCATAGGAAACCTATTTCATAACAAATGGGGAAAGCCGGTCACGGTGGCTCATGCCTGTAATCCCAGCACTTTGGGAGGCAGAGACGGGCGGATCACCTGAGGTCAGGAGTTTGAGACCAGCCTGACCAACATGGAGAAACCCCATCTCTACTGAAAATACAAAATGAGCCGGGCATGGTGGTGCATGCCTGTAATCCCAGCTACTCGGGAAGGCTGAGGAAGGAGAATCGCTTGAACCTCGGAGGCGGAGGTTGTGGTGAGCCGAGATTGCGCCATTGCACTCAAGCCTGGGCAACAAGAGCGAAACTCCGTCTCAAAAAAAAAAAAAAAAAAAAGGGAAAATGATGCTTCTTTGGATAAGACACCAAGTAAAAGCAAAGCAGAAACAAAGTAACACTAATATTCTTAGAGACCAGCCCATTAATTACCTTGAGGAAATAATAGACCGCTTGGGGTTCTCAGACCCATTCTGAGAACCACTGAAGAGTACATGATGGTCTGCACTATAACTGGTGGCCTAATTAGTGGTCAACCCAGAATTTCCAGAGTATTCAGGAGTCACAAGCCAAAAAACTCAATATCTATTGCCCAATGTCTCACCAGGTTTATGCATTTATTCCTCACCCCTAGTAGGCATGTGAATTGGTGAACCCTGGTGCACTCACCACCCAGAGACCTTTATAGTTTAAGCAAAAAACTACAAGAATCTACGCATTAGGATGTAAGGAATGAGAGAGAAAACAGCAGAATTTCTTAGGCCTTAACAGACAATAAAGAAGGCCGCCCCTTTGTGGGAATCAAGTATTGGATCTCAGCTCAGTTCCAAGATAAAGTAAAAAAATCCAGTATTCTGGCGGGGCACAGTGGCTCATGCCTGTAATCCCAGCACTTTGGGAGGCCGAGGTGGGTGGATCACCTGAGGTCAGGAGTTCAAGACCAGCCTAGCCAACATTGTGAAACCCCATCTCTACTAAAAATACAAAAATTAGCCAGGCATGGTGGTGGGTGCCTGTAATCCCAGCTACTTGGGAGGCTGAGGCAAGAGAATTGGTTGAACCCCGGAGGTGGAGGTTGCAGTGGGACGAGCTCGTGCCACTGCATTCCAGCCTGGGCAACAGAGCAAGACTCCATCTGGAAAAAAATAAAAATAAAAAATCCAGTATTCTACACTTGATCTTAACCAAAAGGCCAAGAAGCGATAAAAAAAAAAAAAAATCCAGTATTCTATTTTGCCTCTAGAGCCAAGTAAAGATAAAGCATATCCATCTCAAACCAATAGCCAGCATTATGATAAATGAGAAAAAGGAAGTTAGTAAAAATGTGGTAGTTAATAAAATGGGCTTTTGGTTTCGGACGAACCTGGGTTTAAAATTTCAGTTTATGTGTGGGTGAGGTGGCTCACACCTGTAATCCCAGCACTTTGGGAGGCCCAGGTGGGAGGATCCTCTGAGCCCAGGAGTTCAAGACCAGCCTGGGCAACATGGTGAGACCCTGTCTCTATTTTTATTAAAAAAATATAAAAATCCCAGCTCAGGAATATATAGGCATGTGACTTTGAGCAAATTACATAATAAATCAAAACCTAATAATAATGGTTCCTACTTTGGGGGGTTGCTGTATTGAATGAATGAGATTATGTAGGCAAAACACTTAGAATGGCACTTGATACATGATAAACCCTCCATAATTTTTTTTTTTTTTTTTTGAGACAGAGCCTCACTCTGTCGCCCAGGCTGGAGTATGGTGGCATGATCTCGGCTCACTGCAACCTCTGCCTCCCGGGTTCGAGCGATTCTTCTGCCTCAGCCTCCCAAGTAGTTGGGATTACAGACGCCCACCACCACGCCCAGTTAATTTGTGTTTGTGTGTGTGTATTTTTAGTAGAGATGGAGTTTTACCATGTTGGACAGGGTGGTCTCAAACTCCTGACCTCAGGTGATCCGCCTGCCTCGGCCTCCCAAACTGCTGGGATTACAGGCGTGAACCACTGTGCCTGGCCAAACCCTCTGTAAATTATAGCTTTCTTCTAACTAAAAGCATTCTCACTGGAGTCAAGGACAAAGCTAGGCTGCTGCCATTTACAAGTGCTTAATAGTGTTCTGAATAACCAGTATCATCCTTAGAGGGGCTTCTGCCCTGGGGCTCATGCTTTAAAGGATATCTCATATTGTAAATACTCAAATTTATTTAAAAAGACACAGGCACTTGTGTCACTTGGGATCTAGTACTTAGTGTTGGTACAGCACACCACATAATCCTAAACCTCCACTCTCATGATTAACATCATTCAAACTTAAGGGGAATACTTCCTATCTCTCAATCTATATACTTGGAACAAAAGGCAAATCCATCTACAAGCCATGAAGTTTTGTGAGTTATGCTGCTGCTCACTATATCAGACACTGCTTAGAAGTACAAGGAAAATCTGAGTAGCAGATGTGCTTAGTGAGAGAAAAGACAAATTAACTTGTCAAATCCTTTCTGTCTCAAGAGCGATAGATTCTTCCATAACAATGATTGTTTCCCAGTAGTAACAAGCATAGGTTTTCTTGCTTCTCTTTGTGTTCCAATTCATGGTTCCTTGATGTGTTGTAAGTAGGCCTCCAATCGTACTCTTGGCCCAGGCTAAGTAAATGTTAAAAGCTGACTTGTAGCTAATACTGTAAGATTTGAAAAAGAAATTAGGAATAACTATTGAAAGAGATACATAAATTACCATTATTTCCAGTTAATTTGTTTGTCTATCAAGAGAACACCCAAGGGCATCAATTGAAACACTCAGATATTTAAGAAGAGAGTTCAGAAAAGCGGCCAAATAACAATCAATAGTTTTCCTGTAAGCCAGCAACAACCAGCTAGAAGATATAATGGAATAAAAATGCATTAATGATGACAAAAATAGCATAAAACTCCTAAGAATAACTCTTTTGAACTCGGGCTCAAGATATCCTCCCTCCTCCGCCTCCCAAGTAGCTGGGACTACGAGCTCATGCCCACACACACAGCTAACTTTTTTTTTAATTTCATTGTAGAGATGGGGTCTCACTATGTTGCCAGGCTGATCTGGAACTCCTGGGCTCAAGTGGTCCTCCTGCCTTGGCCTCCTAAAGTGTTGGAATTACAGTCGTGAGCCACCACACCCAGCCAGGAATAACTCTTTAAAAAATGCATAGAGACTGGGTGCGGTGGCTCCTACAAGTGCCGAATCTTCTGTCTGTCTGTATTTATATATATATATTGCGTGTGTGTGTGTGTGTGTGTGTGTGTGTGTGTGTGTGTGTGTGTGTGTGATGTTTATATATAAAAGAGCTCTGATTGCCAGGCATGGTGGCTCATGCCTGTAATCCCTGCACTTTGGGAGGCCGAGGTTGGGGGGAATCACCTGAGGTCAGGAGTTTGAGACCAGCCTGGCCAACGTGGTGAAACCATCTCTACTAAAAATACAAAAATTAGCCGGGCATGGTGGCGCATGCTTGTAATCCCAGCTACTCAGGACGCTGAGGCAGGAGAATCGCTTGAACCAGGGAGGTGGAGGTTGCCGTGAGCCAAGATCGTGCCACTGCACTCTAGCCTGGGCGACAAGAGTGAAACTCTGTCTCAAAAAACAAACAAACCAACAAAAAACAACAACAAAAACAAACAAACAAACAAACAAAAACCCCTTTGATTAATTGGCTTAGAAAAATAAGCACTTAAATATTTTGTCAGAAAAATAGAAACTAATGCTTTTTTGTTCTCAAGACTTTAGTAATCTTTTGGAAATAAAAACAGTTTTAAAGATTATTGGTAAAATAAAATGTCTTGAAAATGCAGACATTTGTTCTAAATTAAGGTCAGATATCAGATTTGCTAAATGCTTTAAGGTCAAACTTTCTTTGACTTTTGAAAATTGTTCGATTTACCTACTTTGGAGCATTGGATTATAGATAAGGCCTGGGGACATACGGAGAGCTATGCCAGCTAGCTATGCTAAAAAGAGTCAGACCTTATCTTCATTTCCGTCTGTCCTAGGCTCCACCCCAGTACCTAATTAAAATTACTTACTTATCAGGTTTTTCACTAAAAATAAAAGTTGCTAAGAGTTAACTTTGTAACATGTAATTAAGAACACTGGAGAAACAGTTTTACATACATGTAAAAGCATTGGGAATATGGCTTTTGTTAAAGGGAATGTAATTTTGTCTAGTTCAGAGGATTTTAAAGATTGTCTTTTTTTTTTTTTTTTTTTTTTTGAGACAGAGTCTCCCTCTGTGTCGCCAGGTTGGAGTGCAGTGGCGTGATCTCGGCTCACTGCAACTTCTGCCTCCCGGGTTCAAGCGATTCTCCTGCTGCAGCCTCCTGAGTAGCTGGGACGACAGGCATGTGCCGCCATGCCCAGCTAATTTTTATATTTTTAGTGGAGACGGGGTTTCACCATGTTGGCCAGGATGGTCTAGATCTCTTGACCTTGTGATCCACCCACCTCGGCCTCCCAAAGTGCTGGGATTACAGGCGTGAGCCACCACTCCTGGCCTTAAGGATTGTTTTAACCTAAAAGAGTAACAGAGCAAAACCGAAGGTTTAAGCAAAATGAAAAGGGTTTGTAAAGGGTCAGTCTTATAAAAAAAATTCTGTGGATATAAACAAGTTGGCTAGGATTTAAAAGAAATTATTTAGCTTTTTTCCGTAGGTTAAAACGTTGAAATGATACTGTTCTGGGGCCAGAATCCAGGCCCATCAATTTTCTAAGAAAACAGGGTTTTCTTAGAAGAGGATTTTCTTAAAAAATGGATCTGTTTGATGGAAAATTGTAGAGCGTTCTAAAAAGTTCATGAAAACCTTACCTTATGGTCAACTAATTAAAACTGGATAGAGATATAAAATGTTATTTAAAAAACTAGCCTTAACATTAAAGATGCACTAATGCAAACATGAAATTTGGTTTTCTCCTTTGAAGATGATTTTTATGTAATGTTAAAAGATAATGAAAGGGTTTTATTTCTTCCTTTGAGTAAATTGCAGGGAAAAAAGGGAAGACAGAGAAGAGACAAATTTAGTTAGCCTAATGCCATCTTTATTGGGTCTTGTTTGGAAAGCTAAGTCTCCTCCATCAGAGCAAAGGTTTTCTTTTTTTTTTTTTTTTGAGACGGAGTCTCCCTCTGTCGCCCAGGCTGGAGTGTGGTGGCACGATCTCGGCTCACTGCAACCTCTACCTCCCGAGTTCAAGCAATTCTCCTGCTTCATCCTCCTGAGTAGCTGGGATTACAGGTGTGCACCACCACGCCCGGCTAATTTTTTGTATTTTTAGTAGAGACAGGGTTTCGCCATGTTGGCCAGCGTGGTCTCGAACTCCCGACCTCAGGTGATCCACCTGTCTCGGCCACCCAAAGTGCTGGGATTACAGGTGTGAGCCACCGCACCAGGCCACAGTTTTTTTTTTTTTAAACAATTTTTTGGAGTTATCATTTTGGTCAAATGAATGACTTATAGTAACCTGGGATTCTATTTTGTGATATCCGGTGCTTTAAATCTTTGATATTTAAAGGCCAGGCACGGTGGCTCATGCCTATAATCCCAGCACTTTGGGAGGCCGAGGTAGGCAGATCGCCTGAGGTCAGGAGTTCGAGACCAGCCTCAACATGGAGAAACCCCATCTCTACTAAAAATACAAAATTAGCCAGGCGTGGTGGTGCATGCCTGTAATCCCAGCTACTCGGGAGGCTGAGGTAGGAGAATTGCTTGAACCTGGGAGGCGGAGGTTGCGGTGAGCTGAGATCATGCCATTGCACTCCAGCCTGGGTAACAAGAGCGAAACTCCGTCTCAAAAAAAAAAAAAAAAAAAAAATCTTTGATATTTGACAAACTTTCCAAAATCAAATTATAAATTATGTCTCTTTCTAACCTAATATTTTAGATATTAGGTCCTCTAAAGTCCAAAAATGACATTTGGCTTATTTGGTACAAAAACCATACAGGAAGCATTGTCAAATATGAAATGGTGTTTGGCTTTCTTTGGTCTGTATTTGTGTAAATGTGTCATTGGTATATGTTCCAAAATTATGTAAAACTGCTATAATTCTTTTTCTTTCTTTCTTTCTTTCTTTTTTTTTTTTTTGAGACAGAGTCTGGCTCTGTCACCAGGCTGGAGTGCAGTGGCACGATCTCGGCTCACTGCAACCTCTGCCTCCCAGGTTCAAGCGATTCTCCTGCCTCAGCCTCCCAAGTAGCTGGGACTACAGGCGCGTGCCGCCATGCCCAGCTAATTTTTGTATTTTTAGTAGAAACAGGGTTTCACCATGTTGGCCAAGATGGTCTCAATCTCCTGACCTCGTGATCTGCCCACCTCGGCCTCCCAAAGTGTTGGAATTACAGGCATGAGCCACCACACCTGGCCAAAAACTGCTATAATTCTAATATGACTTAGTATATGTTATCAGTAATAATTATAATTATTACGTTAAATGACTGTGTGCCACAGAGGTAAATTTCCTTGTCAATTGTGCCTTTAACTGTGGCTGCCCTAAAATGTTTTTGTCATCCACAGACAATTGTTGTCTCACTTTGGTCCTCTTTAAAAGATGATTTTATAATCAGCTATAAAATTTAACAGGTGCTCCTAAATGTGAGTTTCTGATTAATTACTCTGGGAGATTGTAAAATTAGAATTGAAAAATACTTTCAAATAGAAGAGTGAATGGTGTTTGGTTTTCTTTGGACTGTATTTGTATAAATATGTTATTGGTATGTGTTCCAAAATTACGGGAAACTTCTATAATGTTGATATAATTTAGTGTACATTATCAATAATCATAATTGATATGTAAAATTGTTGTATGCCACAGAAGTAACCAAAATTCCTAGCCAATTGTAGCTTTAATAGTGGCTATAGACTTTTGTCATCCACAGACATTTTGTCTTCCTTTGGTCCTTTTCAAAAGGCAGTTTATAATCAGATATAGGACTCTGAATGCAGGTCTCAGATAACTTTAAAAATTGAGCTATTGGAATAGAGGAAAAACCAATCTTCTAGGACTCTCATGGAGAGCTAATGTATTAAACATTGCTAGACCCTTTGTTTTCAGAGTCAAGAGAACTTATTTCTTTAGAGCTATTTGCAACTGTTAACAAGTGAGTAAAATATACTGCTGTGGACAAAATTTGGAGCATATTTGTTCCTCTCTACCTGATTTCTCCAGAATTTGGAAACTATCTGTGAGTATTCTCAATTTATGGCAGTATAGTTAATTGCATAAATTCAATAAGAATTTGTTTTCTTTTGTAACAGGACACAATTGGAGAAATTGGTTACTTTACCAAGGCTTTGACTGGAATGGCATGCTTCCTTTAAATAATCAAAGTTGACTTATAGAGCAAATTAAAGCCCATTGAGGCATCTGGCCTCATACCTTATCCACACAGAGTCCCTGTGCAAGGTTCCTGTCCTGTGGTAAGTAAAGAATGTCACTTTCTAACAGGCCCAGGAACCCCAAGTTATCTTGGGACCTCAAGAGGAGAGGAATTTGCCCAACTCATAGGTATTTGAGGGTGCAAACCCACGGCTGGGCTCGGCTTTTAAAACATCTTATCTGAGATTCTTCATGGAACAGAGTTCTAGCAAAGCCAATTAAAAAACCCTAAGTGAAAAATATTCTTGCTGCACTTTATGCAAATAATCAGGCCACATACAGTAAGACTAAAGCTTATTTTGTAAACAAATCAGTTCTATCATGTTGTTTTTAATAAAAATGGGGACTGGAGAGAGAAAAATTATGCTTCAAAAAACTATAGTACACTGTTGTTAGCTGTTCTTGAGTTTTTTTCTGCAGTTTAGACTAAATTCTAAATTGTTTGTGGGTTAGAAGTCCCCAAACTAATGCTTTCAAATCTCTGCTTTTAAAATTGGGAATTGTACTCCTCATCCTAGGACTCATTATTTACCTTATAAGGTAAAATAGGCTGTTCACTTAAACACTGTAGTAAAACTATAGATGAGAGTACTAATGTTTTTGCCATACAAGCCTTGGAAGCTCAACCAGGCCGGCATGAGTATGCTCAGACAATTAATTGTAAAGCAGTTCCACTCTTCTCACCTTGGGGTTCACTCCCAATCCCACTACATCCCCTGTCAGCAGGAAGAGGCCAGAGTGATTGATGGCCTTTTCCCATCTTCATAGCCTATACCTTAAGATTAAGGTATTATAAAACCCAAAGGGAGGGATTGAAACCGCCTTTGTAAAATTATGACTGAGAGAGTGAAAGAGATCTAACTTAGCTGACTCCATCTTGCTTCTAACCTCCAAGCTGTTCTTGTTCATTCCTGGGGGTAGGCTGAACTAACTTCGGGAGAAATGTAGTTTATAGTTTATAGTTTAAACAAATATGGTAACAGCCCTTTCCCAAAGCAGACCTCCTTCCTGCCTGGCGACTAGATTGCCTTTGTAGGACTAACATTAGCCACAAGATCAGAAATTATGGTTTAGGGGTCATGCAGCTGGAGGCTATAAGATTCTGAGCCTCCCTAAACTGCTCCAAAGATCAGTGTTTGAGATATTTTGTAGACCCTGCACTTGATAAATCAGCTGGCACCACCCAGATCAATAAACTGGCTCATGTGATCTTATGGCCCCCACCCAGGAACTGACTCAGCACAAGAAAACAGCTTTGACTCCCTATGATTTCATCCTTGACCAATCAGCACTCCTGGCTCACTGGCTTTCCCCGACCTACCAAGTTATCCTTAAAAACTCTGCTCCCCGGCCAGGCATGGTGGCTCACACCTGTAATCCCAGCACTTTGGGAGGCCGAGGCGGGCAAATCACCTGAGGTTAGGAGTTCGAGACCAGCCTGGCCAATATGGTGAAACCCTGTCTCTACTAAAAATACAAAAATTATCCAGGTGTGGTGGCATATGCCTGTAATCCCAGCTACTGGGGAGGCTGAGGCAGGAAAATCACTTGAACCCAGGAGGTGGAGGTTGCAGCAAGCCTAGATTGCACCACTGCACTCCAGCCTGAGCGACAGAGCAAGACTTTGTCTCAAAAAAGCACAACAAAACAAGCAAACAAAAAACTTTGCTCCCCAAATGGTCAGGGAGACTGATTTGAGTAATAAAACTCTGGTCTCCCGCATGTGGGCTCTGCGTGAATTACTCTTTCTCTGTTGCAATTCCCCTGTCTTGATGAATGGGCTCTGTCTAGGCAGCGGGCAAGGTGAACCCCTTGGGAGGTTACAGTTTCACCATGCTGGTCAGGCTGGTCTTGAACTCCTGACTTCAGGTGATCTGCCTGCCTCGGCCTCCCAAATTGCTGAGATTATAGGCGTGAGCCACCACGCCTGGCCATGCATCACATTTTTATTTGTAAAAGTAAAAACCATGGAAACAACATCAATATCTAGCAATAGGATGCAAAATGAATGAGAACTATAGTACATTCAAGTGATGCTAAAGTTTTATACAATCATTAAAAATGATTGTTTAGGGCTGAGCATGGTGGCTCATGCCTGTAATCCCAATGCTTTGGCAGGCCAAGGCAGGAGGATCGCTGGAGCCCAGGAGTTCAAGACCAGCCTGGTTGACATAAGGTAGCCCCATGTCTACAGAAAATAAAAAATAAATTACCCGGGTGTGGTGACACGTGCCTGTAGTCCCAGCTACTTGAGAGACTTGTAGTCCCAGCTACAAGAGAGAGCCTCTCACTTGAGCCCACGAGGTTGAGGTTGCAGAGGGAGACCCTCTGCAGGGTCTCAAAAAAAAAAAAAATCGTGTAGGGCTGGGCTCCGTGGCTCATGCCTGTAATCGCAACACTCTGGGAGGCCGAGGCGGAAGGATCCCTTGAATCCAGGAGTTAGAAATCAGCCTGGACAACATCACAAGGCTCTGACTCCACAAAAAATAAAAAAATTAGCCAGGCATGGCGGCATGTGCCTGTGATCCCAGCTACTCCGGAGGCTGAGATGGAGGATCACTTGAGTGAGACTTTGTCTCTAAACAAAACAAAACTCTGTGTGTGTGTGCGTGAGCATTTACAGTGCTAAACAACTTTAAGTACCACACTAATAGTGAAAAATATTACAGGAGAGGCAGCAGAGCAATTGTTAAGAGCCTGGGCCCTAGAAATGACTGCCTAGGTTTGAGGCCTGGCTCTCCACTTACTAGCTGTATACTCCTGGGCAAGTTACCTACCTTCCCAGCCCCTCAATGTGCCCATTCATAGCATGGGGACTCATACCTAGTCCATAGTGTTGCTGTAAAGATTAAATTAGTTAATACAAGTAGAGGGCAGCGTCTAGCATCTAGTAAACAGTTGACAATTATTGGTTATTGTTATAGAAAATTGGAGGAGGGAGAAATCATATCTAACTGACAATGGATCAGGAAAGGCTTTATAGAGGAGGTGACATTAAAGAAAAGGTTTAATGCTAATGAAGAGTGATGGTGGGGGGCGGGGTCAAAAGATAGGGAGTTAAAGGTAGAGGAGGTGGTAAGGCGTAGGTTGTGTGAGGCCGTGAGTAGATAGATGAGTGGTGGCGTGTGGCAGTGGGAGCCATTGAAAACTAAATCTCCAAAGAGAGACAGGGGTCAAAATGTGGAGGGCCTTGAATTCCAAATTTAAAACTGGAGTTAACCACTGGCTATGAGAGTCATTAAAGATTTCTGAGCAAGAGAAAGAGGAAGCCTTCTTTGGCAGCATTGAAGGCTGACAAATTTGCAGTTTTATCCTTGAGTGTTACGAACTTCAGAAACAACTCTCTGAGGGCTAATATTTTGATTTAGGAAAAGGAAAGGGGGACACAAAGGAAGAGATGGAAAAAGGGAGTGAATAACTGAAGGATGATAAGTGGGAGGGGGAGATGAAAAGTGAGCCCGGTGGGAAGGTGGCAGCAAAGCCTGTCTTCCCTAATTCCTCATTCCTGGGGTCACTTGGTGACTGAACTCATACATAACCTCCCTTCTCCCCATTTAAGATTTGAAGTTTCCGTCTTTCCTTTAGGGCTTCATTTAACTTCGAGACTGTCCTTTTGGCCTGTGAGCACACGTAGGGCATTAGGACCCAGCGTTTGTTGTAGTGAGAGTGGTTGAATCTCGATCTCTCAATTTTTCTCTCGAGCTCCCTCCTCTCCCTTTGTCATTCTAGCTGCCTGCTGCCTCCGCAGCGTCCCCCCAGCTCTCCCTGTGCTAACTGCCTGCACCTTGGACAGAGCGGGTGCGCAAATCAGAAGGATTAGTTGGGACCTGCCTTGGCGACCCCATGGCATCCCCCAGAACCGTAACTATTGTGGCCCTCTCAGTGGCCCTGGGACTCTTCTTTGTTTTCATGGGGACTATCAAGCTGACCCCCAGGCTCAGCAAGGATGCCTACAGTGAGATGGTAAGTGAAGCAAACGGGTGATGAGGAGCGCACTCCCATGGGATTGCGAGGACCTCTCCCCTTTTTTCCTTCTCAGTTTCTGGTCCCACCCCCTTAGCCCCTATCCCCACCTGGACCCTCCGTTCTCAACAACTTTGCAGCTCGGAAGGAGCAGCTGGGCAAGAGCGATTTCTTTTGTGGGCTATGCTGTTCTGGAGCCACTGAATGCCAGTTGGGGGAGGGGTTGCGCAGCGAATACCCCCCATCCCAAGTAAACCAGAAGGCTGAGACCTGCGTAGCACCTGTCATTGGCAGGAGCCCTTCCCTCCTTCCAGCACACACCCAAAGTCCGGGCAACCAGTATACAAGTCTGATTCCCTCCCTGTGAGCTAAGAGTTTAGCAAGCGGAGAGTTTATTTATTTTAGAGCAGAACAAAAGGGAAAGAGGAAAAGAGCTGGGAAAAATGGGCTACTAAAACAAGCAATTTTTAGGGGCTGACTGGTATTCCTCATCCCAGGCAGACAGCTGATAGTATTCCTCCAGCCACCTGGGTATGTATCTGGATCCTTGAGACAAAGCATTCTTGGCCCAAATAAAGGTCACTAAGCTCTTGTTTCTTCCCCTTCTCTCAAGGGAGAGCTAGATGTTTTGTTTTATTTTGTTTTGTGTGTGGGGTAATCTACAAAATCTGCAAAGTCTGCTTTTTCTCTCCCGCAAACAGTCCGTAATCCCCACCTTGCCTTCTGTGGATGACCAGAGCCAGGCCCTCTGCAGGTTTTCCCCTCTGCAGAGTTGGAATCAATCACGGAAGGTGACTGGCCAAAACATCTCCTCTGCAACCTGGGGGCTGGGCTGCTTTCCCCAGTTGGGCGTGATGAGGACTTGCTCTTATGCTGTGGAGTACTAGGAGATGGCAGGGAATGTTTCCAGCACTTTCGGGTCTGTCCCTTCTTCCCCTGTCACTTTGCCTCTTCTTTTCCCCACCCCAGCTGCTTCTCGTCGCCTTTGCCAGACTTCCAATAATGGGAAGGAGCACATCATTGGGCTCTCAAGGTCAAGAGAGAAAGGAGCTTAGGGGAGGAACAGAAGGGGAAAGAGAAAAGAGGCAAGCCCTTTTAGGGCTGAGGCAGGGAGGAACAGCCTCACACATTGCGAGGAATTCATAGCTCTCCTGAACCCACTGCAGAGCTTTCCAGGGCCCCTTAACGTGAGCTGCAAATGGATGGAGACTGGCAAATTATATTAATAGATGCTCAGAAAATGTTTGCAGGCAGCTCTGGCTTCTGTCTCAGGGTTTAAGCTGGAGCTTTCCATTTCTTCCTCACCGCAGGATCACCCTAGGGTTGGGGAGGGTGACAAGGGCTTAGGTCTAGCCCCAGTGGCAAATCCTTACATGCTTCTCCTTCTCCCTTCCCCTCCTCCCAGCATGTTTGACCAGATGGAATTGAAATCAGGTCAAAATGAGTACCCGAGGCAGCCTGCACTGGGAGAAGAGGGACAGGGTGGGGTAGCAGAAGCCACCAAATGGCTTGAAGAGGTTGGGACAGAGGGACAGGGTGGAGGGGAAATGCCATTATATTTCTGTCTTGGTGGTAGCAGTTTGGTGTTAGATTATGAATAAATGAACATGCTCTTGCTTTACTTTTCATATGTACATATATTTATATATTTGTGTGTGTGCATCATAGGTATGTGTAAGCTTTCCCTAGCCTTAGGGACACACTACCTTTCTTCAGTATACTCCCTGCCCTCCAGACCCTAGTCAGCTGCTTCAGAGGCCCCCCCAAGCTGCACCCTAAGTACAGTGTTAGGCTCTGCAGGCAATCCAACTAAGATGGAGTCACCGGGAAGCTTCCTACCAGCTTAGCAGGAGCTCACAAGGAGGACCAGCCACAAATGGGTTTACAGTATGTTTCTTCCTAGAAATGGAGCTGTCTAGTGCAGCCTAATGAAAGGCAGAAGAAACAAATATGAAGATTTCATATCATACATAGGAACATATTTAAATAGATATAGTGTAACACAGCAATATAGAACCATTGTGTGTGGGTGTGTATGCACACTTCTGCACTTCTGTGCTAGGGGCATCTAGAGGGAATGGAAAGATTGTATCTAACTGAGAAGTAGACGTCACAATAGTTTGAAGAGGATTTTCAGACTGCCCTTTTCCAGGGTCCTCTCCTGCATTGAGCATCGGGCCATAGACTGGAGATTGCTCTCTGGCATAAAGCCTACTGCATAGTGCCTGGGCTTGGCCCAGCTTTATTCTCGTTCCCATAGGAAAGGGAGGGAAATTCAGTTCTAGTACAGAGAAGGTGCTCAATATGTATTTGTGGAGTGGTTGGGTGAATGAATGAGTCATTGTAGCATTGCCTTGGCTTGTTACCACCCTTCAGATTTCTCTGTTTGGCTCTTGATTATGCAGTTCAGGAGCCATTTCTTGCCTCTTAGAGGGACTCTCTAAGAAGCCCCTGTCTCTCAGAGGCAGAGTCTCTCAGAACCCCAACCCTAGATCAGCTGGGATGATTATCTGGGATTTTTTGTTTTCCATTAAGGAGTGGATTCCTCTGCATCGAGGAGGTTAGTCATGTATTGACTGCAGTGGCATTTCTTATAAGATCTCAAAGCGTTGTTGCTGCTGTTGTTGTTTTAAGATTATTTGTTCTTTAGAACATGTCTGTGAGGTAGATTTAGTGTATTCGTTATTTTTATTTTACTGATGGATAAACTAAAGCAGAACAAGTTTAATGACATATCCAAGGCCAGAAAGGTAAGCTGTTGTTGGAGCAGAGATGAGAAACCAAGTCCATGACTCAATACTCCCAATAGAAAGATCATTAATGGTTAAAACTGTTGGTTTTTATGGATGCCAGAACTGACAACCGATTCTTGAGAACACCTGGCACAGTCTTCCTCCTTTTATTGTACCAGTTTAACTGCCCAATGCATATTTTCAATTTTGTTTTACTACAAAATCAATTTTTAAAATTTAGATTTTTGATTTGATTTCTTTTTTCTTTTTCTTTCTTTCTTTTTTTTTTTTTTTTTTTTTTTGCTTTTCTGCCAACTATTTTTTTTCTTGTTTTAAAATCATTTGTGTAATTCTTAGGTGTTATCTTCTCCAGGGAGAATCATTGCTAAAAAACCAAACAAATGACTATGAACTTTTCTCCTGTTTCTACTGGAGAAGCCAGCAAGGGTTAGTGGAAAGAGTGCAGGCTTTATGGTCACACAGGCTTGGGTTCAGGTCCTGCTACTCTTGGTGTCTCAGTTTCTTTATTCTTAAAATGGGGATAAGAATGCCTACCACTTAAGAAACAGACCATCCTAAGGGCGGGGGGTGGGGGGAAGGAGTGCCTACCTTAGAAGGCTGTAAACATTAACTGAGATTATGTATAAAAGTGTCTGGTACAGTGTTTGCTATAGTATGTGTTCAAGAAATGCTTTGGGTGAGGTGATTATGATAAGTAATTCTGTTTTATGGAGTGGTTTCCTAACTGATTTAAATAGCTAGTTTAAGGGATTGAAATCAAGCATATATATATATTTATTTATTTATGAGACGGAGTTTTGCTCTTGTTGCCCAGGCTGGAGTGCAATGGTATGATCTTGGGTCACTGCAACCTCTGCCTCCCGGGTTCAAGCGATTCTCCTGCCTCAGCCTCCGGAGTAGCTGGGATTACAGGTGCGTGCCACCATGCCTGCCTAATTTTTGTATTTTTAGTAGAGATGGGGTTTCACTGTGTTGGTCAGTCTGGTTGCGAACTCCTGACCTCAGGTGATCCACCCATCTCAGCCTCCCAAAGTGCTGGGATTACAGGTGTGAGCCACCACCCCCAGCCTGAAATCAAGCATTTAGAAGAACAAGATGCTATTTTCATGTGCCCTTGTGGACAGACCTTTATGCAATCAATTAATATTGAAAAATCCACACTTGCTGCTGTGTAGTGTACAGTGGATCTCATGCAGAACTTCCAGATGCATCTCTGAATAGCCCATTTGGCATGTGTTGTCCCATACCTCCTCCAGATTTAGCAAGTATCATTATAGAGTACTCTAAATCCCACGTGAATTCAACATGACTGGCCACTCCCTTGACTAAATGCCTTTATTAGTTCACTTGAAAATGGGAGACAGCCCTTAAAAGTGCTGGGACGCAGTTTCCTGTGCAGTGACTGGGAACATATAAATAGTTGGCTTGCTTTAAATCTGGTGTTCAGCTTTTTGTAGTAGTGGCTTCATCCTGTAAGCACAGGGGACCACATATGAAAAGATAAGAAAACACCAAAATCCTGGTGACAATAAAGCCAAGAGATTTTGGTCCTGAGGATGACTGGGCAAGTCCCTGATTCTTTGCATCCCCTCATAGTAAAGGTTTGTTGATTTGATTTATTTGTTTATGTGTAGTTAAGTGCCCTTCTGTTTATGTAATCCTGAGGAAACACTCCCAATATGTTTGGGCAGTTTATTTAATGTCCATAGGTAATCTTTTAAGCTTCCAATCACTGCTATTAATTGCTTTCCAACTAGGTAATAAGATAGTAATTTACTGATGTTTAGACTGCTCTCTGAGGTGGTACAGTACATTTATTTTCAGAGAGGAAACCGAGACCCTGAGAGGTGAAGCAGCTTTGCTTAATTCACACAGCCTGCCATCACAAGCTAAACTACATATTAGAGTTTATGTTGGGGAGCTTGTAGCCTCTCAGTATGGACAAAAGCTGAGTTTGTTTCAGACAGATCTTTGACTGACAGTAGGAGTCAGTCTTCTGCCCTAAGATGCAATCTGGGAAGGGTCCACTTTGACTGGTACGATCAAGCATGCCAGCTTCCTCTTTAGGTGGGCATTACATGACAGTGGAAAGTAGAATAGGTCGGGAGTTCAAGACCAGGCTGACCAACATGGAGAAGCCCCATCTCTACTAAAAATACAAAATTAGCCAGGCATGGTGGCGCATGCCTGTAATCCCAGCTACTCTGGTGGCTGAGGCAAGAGAATCACTTGAACCTGGGAGGCGGAGGTTGTGCTGAACCGAGATCACACCATTGCACTCCAGCCTGGGCAACAAGAGGGAAACTCCATCTCAAAAAAAAAAAAAAAAAAAAAAAAGAAGGTGTTTAGCATTCATGTGGCAATTTGGCAATTAAATATGTAATGGCTTTTTATTACATTTAAACAATGATCTATGATTCACACAGGCTTTATTTCTTACAGAGATTCAGAAAAATCACACATGAGTCAGTACATTTTGCAGCACTTATGTAGGCTTTATGGTTTAAGATAGCAACCAGGCTGAGATTTTTTGCCAAAATATATTTTTATCAGTGCTTTCTTCTGCTTTCATATAGTTTTTTTTCCTTGTAAATCTTATTGAAGTATAACATATATACTGAAACATGCACATAGCATAAGTATGCAGCTCAAGGAATTTTCAGAACATTCCCATGTAACCCAGCACTCATATTAAGAAAAAGCACATTGCCAGGTGCTGTGGCTCACGCCTGTAATCCCAGCACTTTGGGAGGCCAAGGTGGGTGGATCACCTGAGGTCAGGAGTTCGAGACCAGCCTGGGCGACATGGCAAAACCCCGTTTCTACTAAAAATACAAAAATTAGCTGGGCTTAGTGGTGGGTACCTGTAATCCCAGCTACCTGGGAGGCTGAAGCAGGAGAATTGCTTGAACCCAGGAGGCAGAGGTTGCAGTGAGCCAAGATTGCACTACTGCACTACAGCCTGGACGACAGAGTTAGACTCCATCTCAAAAAACAAACAAACAAACAACACAAAACAAAAAGAAAAAAAACAAAAAAAACCCCACATGACCAGCACCCCAGAAACCTTCCTCATGGCCCCTTCCAGTTACTACCCCCATCAAGGGTAATTACTATCCTGACTTCTAACAACATAAGTCAATTGTACCTGATTTTGAATTTTATATAAATGGAATTCTACAGTATATTAGCCAATTTATCTTTTCCTTTTACCTAATTGGCATGAGTGAACTGAAGTGGACACTATTTGCCCTGTGTTCTCATTTTGTATTTTGTCCTGTTAGCTGGCTTGGGCTGGTTATTAATTGTAATCAAAGATTAATATTATTTGACAGTTTTGAGCTGTTCAAATATAATATCATTAATATGAGATCATGGATCCTGCTGTGTGGTGAAGAATAAATGACAAAAAGGAAAAAAAGGTATGACTAAAGAAAGGCTCTGGCTGGGCGCGGTCGCTCACGCCTGTAATCCCAGCACTTTGGGAAGCCAAGCTGGGCCGATCACCTGAGGCCAGGAGTTCTAGACCAGCCTGGCCAACATGGTGAAACCCCATCTCTACCAAAAATACAAAAATTAGTTGGGTGCGTCAGCGGGCGTCTGTAGTCCCAGCTGTTTGGGAGGCTGAGGCAGGAGAATTGCTTGAACCCGGGAGGTGGAGGCTGCAGTGAGCCGAGATCGTGCAGCTGCACTCTAGCCTGGGCGACAGAGTAAGAATCCATCTCAAAAAAAGAAAATAATAATAAATTAAAAAAATTAAAAGGCTCCATAGGCCAGGCGCATTGGCTCACACCTGTAATCCCAGCACTTTGGGAGGCTGAGGCGGGCGGATCACGAGGTCAAGAGATTGAGACCATCCTGGACAACATGGTGAAACCCTGTCTCTACTAAAAATACACACACACAAAAAAATTAGCTGGGCATGGTGGCACACACCTGTAATCCCAGCTACTCAGGAGGCTGAGGCTGGAGAATTGCTTGAACCCAGGAGGTAGAGGTTGCAGTGAGCCAAGATCGCGCCACTGCACTCCAGCCTGGCGACAGAGCGAGACTCTGTCTCAAAAATAAAAATAAAAATAAATAAAATTTAAAAATAACAAAAAATAAAAGGCTCCATATGCTTTTGACTCATGTCTGAATCATAATGTCCTCATACCACAAGAATGGATCTGCTTGATTCATCAATGATTTTGTTATTAAAATAATTACCGTGGCTTGCAAAAATATGGATTTCTAATTGTGTGGGTTTTTGTTTTTGTTTTTGAGACAGCATCTGGCTCTATCACTCAGGCTGGAGTGAAATGGCATGGTCTCGGCTCACCGCAACCTCTGCTTCCCAGGTTCAAGTGATTCTCCTGCCTCAGCCTCCCAAGTAGTTGGAACTACAGACGTGTGCCACCACGCTTGGCTAATTTTTGTATTTTTAGTAGAGATGGGGTTTTGCCATGTTGGCCGGGCTGGTCTCGAACTCCTGACCTCAAGTGATCCACCCATCTTGGCCTCCCACAGTGCTGGGGTTATAGGCGTGAGCCACTGCACCCGGCCTAATTGTGTGGTTCATTAATGATCAAATGTGTGTGTGTTGCCCTCAGCTGATGCTATGACACTTTGATTATTTACCTAAATCTCCAAAATGCTCATTTGATTTATTGAATCTGAGGGGAAACTGAGGTAATAAAATACTTAGTAATTTTCTCCAAGCAATTTAGTGGCAAAACTAAAATTGGAATTCAGCTTAAGAATCCCAGTCCAAGGATATTGCTAGATGATTGCCTTTGATTGCAGGGGTTTGAGACATTTAACTAAGCCCATCTTTTTCCTGTTTTTCTTCCCCCTATACGGAAACTATGGTTTCAGAGCCTGGGTTATTGCAGTGGAAAGAACACAGACCTAACAAAGTGAATTGCAAGAGCCTTTTAAGAAAGTGAATCTGTCAACTGTCTTTATTCTTACTATCCATACAATTAAAGTCTTTAGAGACCTAGTTACTATAGACTGAAGACATGTGACCCTTCTATTGTTTAACTTGAGGTGGCCTGGACCAAGCATAATGAGGGGGTTAGCAATAATAGGATTCTTTTTTTTTTTTTTTTTTTTTGAGAAGGGGTTTCGCTCTTGTTGCACAAGCTAGAGTGCCATGGTGTGGCCTCGGCTCACTGCGGCCTCTGCCTCCCGGGTTCAAGCAATTCTCCTGCCTCAGCCTCCCGAGTAGCTGGGATTACAGGCATGCGCCACTACACCCAGCTAATGTTGTATTTTTAGTAGAGATGGGGTTTCTTCATGTTTGTCAGGCTGGTCTCGAACTCCCAACCTCAGGTGATCCGCCCGCCTCAGCCTCCCAAAGTGCTGGGATGACAGGCGTGAGCCACTGCGCCCGGCCAATAGGATTCTTTTGATGTCGCTATTCTACTCCACAGGAGAAGATTGATGGCTTCCTATAATGTCAAGACCCATCCAAGCTTAGTCCCATCTCCAATAAACTAAACATTCCCTCTTTGGAGTCCTAGAAAATAAATCCTGTCTGTACCTACTCAGTTTTCAATGAAAGATTTGATTAAATGGTGTATCCACATGCAGTTTTCTCTTGAGAAACAGAGGAAAGAAAGAAGCAACAGCGGCATAAAAATATACACAGCTGCAGTTTAAGAGGTTAGCTAAACTAAAAAAGTAATACGCCGTTCTACTAAATGGAGAGAAAAAAGATTACTGAAGTTATAGGAACTTGATTTAAAACATGGAGTTTGGCCCCGGGCTACAGATTGCACTATAGTATAGATAAGAGTTTGTACCTGAATAATGGGTGGTTAAGCCCTAGTCAAAAAAGAAGTGTTTCCAGAAGCCATTCAGCCAGCATCTGGAAGTCTTGGCTCCTAACTGACTATAAGAAACTCATCCTGGGCTGGGCACATAACAAGGTCAGGAGTTTGAGACGAGCCTGGCCAACATAGTGAAATGTGGTGAAGTGTCTCTACTAAAAATACAAAAAATTAGCTGGGCATGGTGGCAAGCGCCTGTAGTCCCAGCTACTCAGGAGGCTGAGGCGGGAGAATCACTTGAACCTGGGAGGCGGAGGTTGTGGTGAGCCGAGATCGTGCCACTGCACTCCAGCCTGGGCGACAGAGTGAGACTCCATCTCAAAATAAATAAATAAAATAAAAATAAAAATACAAAAATTAGCCGGGCATGGTGGTGCGCGCCTGTAGTCACAGCTACTTGGGAGGCTGAGGTAGAAGAATCACTTGAATCCAGGAGACAGAGGTTGCAGTGAACTGAGATCATGCCACTGCACTCCAGCCTGGGTGACAGAGCCAGATTCCATCTCAAAAAAAACAAAAAACAAAAAACAAAACAACTCATCCTGTCTTTTGTGTTTATCACATCAGAAGTTTACACTTAGGATTTAGGAATTGCCTCTTGAGAACTTTTGTGTTGCTAATTAGAAATGGCCCTTACTGGGCAACCGTGGTGGCTCACGCCTGTAATCCCAACACTTTGGGAGGCTGAGGCAGGAGGATCACTTGAGCCCAGGAGTTTGAGACAGGCCTAGGCAACATAGTGAGACCCAGTCTCTACAAAAAAACTTAAAAGAGATTAGCCAGGCATGGTGGCACAAGCCTGTAGGCCCAGCTAACTCGGGAGGCTGAGGCGGGAGGATCACTTGAGCCTGGGAGGTCGAGGCTGCAGTGAGCCCTGATGGTGCTGCTGTACTCCCGCCTGGGTGACAGCGAGACCCTCAGAAGTGTTAAGAGGCCAGGCGTGGTGGCTGACGCCTGTAATCCTAACACTTTGGGAGACCGAGGCAGGTGGATCACCTGAAGTCAGGAGTTCGAGAAGAGCCTGGCCAACATGGTGAAAACCAGTCTCTACTAAAAATACAAAAATTAGCTGGATGTGGGGTACATGCCTGTAAACACAGCTACTCGGGAGGCTGAGGCAGGAGAATCGCTTGAGCTAGGGAAGCATAATTTGCAGTGAGCCGAGCCACTGCACTCCAGTGTGGGTGACAGAGTGGGATTCTGCCTCAAAAAAAAAAAGTGTTATGGAAGCCTCTGGGGTCTACATTTTTTCCCCGTAATGTCCCCCTGCTACCATCACCAGGATGCAAAGGGAGAAGGATAAGGCAAGTGGCATGTATTTAGGTTAATGAGAGGAAAGGGGTGGGCTTCTCACCACCACCAGGTACCCTAAACCTCAGCTCAGCTCTGCCCCACATGGGTCTGGCCCCTTTCAGCCCAAGGTTTTACTCTGCCTACTGGTCAACCTCTCTCCTAATTTCTCTATGAAAAATCCTTGATTTAATCTAAGATGGGAAGAGAGAGGAAGAATGACTAACACTTTGTATTTCCATATAGGCTCAGGAATAGGGTAGGAACTAGGGTGAGGTGGAATTTTAAATAAGGACAGTCTCTGACAAGGCAGGTTTAGGGAGAAGTGAGTGAAGCAGGGTCGTGCAAGTGTAGCGTCGGAGCCTACCTTTATTTAAAAGTTTCATATCTTGTTCATCATGGATATTATTTACCTAATCAGTGAGTGTTTTTGGTGCCCTCTTAAATTTTCCACCCAAGGTAAGTAGCCTTGCTGACTTTACCTTACTCCAGGCTTGTTCAGGACCTTTCAAATAATTTGCTCAGAGACACCCAACTAGAAAGCGGCAGGATCACTTTGGAAAGTTAAGGCAGGCCACATAGCCAGGGGCTGTCTCTAAAAAAAAAAAAAAAAAAATTAGCCGGGCATGATGGTGCATACCCTGTAGTCCCAGCAACTTAGGAGGCTGAGGCAAGGTGGGAGAATTGCTTTTGAGCCCCAGAGGTAGAGGCCGTAGTGAGCTCTGATCCCACCACTGCACTCCAGCCTCAGTGACAGAATGACAGTCCATATCAAAGAAAAAAAAAAAAAAAGGCTAGAAAGTGGCAGAGCTGGGATTTGACGCTAAGTCTGTTTGCATCCAAACCATGCTTTTTTCTAAACCATTAGTCTTTTAAGAGTCCTCATAGGCGATTATCTTGGGCCACTCATGATAATTAATCCATTAAGTAAAGGTGCATTCACTTGTTAATATTTGTTCCAAATCTAGAGTGTGTGAACACTATTTTAAGTGCCAGATGCTTCTGAGAGGTCAAGTTGGCTTTCTGCCTCATTCTTACACTTGTCTAGCATTTGGCACTTTTGACTATTCTCTTCTTAAAACTTATCTTGGTGTCCATGACCTGGTCTCTCCTGGTTTTCCTCCTGCTTTTCTAACCATACTTTCTTCTATCTGCTTTGTGGACTCTGTCTTTCCATTTCTTTCTTTCTTTTTTTTTTTGAGACAGAGTCTTGCTCTGTTGCCCAGGCTGGTGCCATCTTGACTCACTGAAACCTCTGCCTCCTGGGCTCAAGTGATTCTCGTGCCTCAGCCTCCCGGATAGCTGGGATTACAGGTGCATGCCACCACGCCCGGCTAATTTTTGTATTTTTTTTTTTTTTTTTTGTAGTAGAGACAGGGTTTCGCCATATTGGCCAGGCTGGTCTCAAACTCCTGGCCTCAAGTGATCTGCCCGCCTCGGCCTCCCAAACTGCTGGGATTACAGGTTTGTGCCATCACGTCCGGCCTCTCTTTCCATTTTTTAAATGTCTGTCATGCATTTTTTTCCCACTGTATATACCCTCCCTGGGCATACTAATGACCATCCATTCTCTATCTTTAGTCCAGACTTCTCTTACTGAGCTGCCTTACCAGTCATCTACACTTGGATGCCTTAGAGGTACTTCAACTCAAAACCCCCAAATTGAGTTCCTCATTCTTTCCTGATCCCTGACCCCCGCATTCTGTTCCTCCTGATTATCTGATATATACCCATACTTAGAGAATGGTAACACCTATCTATCTCTCCAGCACCCAAGCCAGAGACCTGAGAATCATTCTTGACTCTTCCCTTTCCCTCAGTGCCCACATCCAATGAGACACCAAGTTCTGTAGAATTTTTTTTTTTTTTTTTTGAGACGGAGTCTTGTTCTGTTGCCCAGGCTGGAGTGCAATGGCGTGATCTCGGGTCACCGCAACCTCTGCCTCCTGGGTTCAAGCAATTCTCCTGCCTCAGCCTCCAGAGTAGCTGGGACTTATAGGCATGTGCCACCACGCCTGGGTAATTTTTTTTGTATTTTTAGTAGAGACGGAGTTTCATCATGTTGGCCAGACTGGTCTCGAACTCCTGACCTCAGGCGATCCACCCGCCTCGGCCTCCCAAAGTGCTGGGATTACAGGCGTGAGACACTGCACCCGGCCAGATTTTGCTTTCAAAGCATTCCTCTACTCTGTCCCCTTCCCGTGTCCTCACTGCCATTATGCTAGTCCACATCTCTTACCTGATCTCTTTGTTTCCAGGCATACTTCCCCCAATTCATCCTCCACACTATTTCTAGAGGGACCATCTTTTCTCTCTCTCTCTTTTTTTTTTTTTTTTTCCAGACAGGGTCTTGGTCTGCCTCCCAGGCTGCAGTACGTTGGCACGATCACAGCTCACTGAAGCCTTGAACTCCTGGGCTCAGGCAATCCTACTATCTCAGCCTCCCAAATAGCTGGGACTACAGGCACACACTGCCACGCCCAGCTAATTTTTTAAAAACTTTTTGTAGAGACAGGGTCTCACTATCTTGTCCAGGCTGGTTTGCACTCCTGGGCTCAATCGATCCTCCTGCCTTGGCCTCCCAAAGTGTTGGGATTACAGGCGTGAGCCACCATGCCCGGCCTATTTCCAGAGGGAATTTCTTTAAAAGTTCCTCCTGGCTTATAAGACAAAGTCCAGCTCCACAGCAGAACAGATATTGTTCTCCATGATCTAATTCATATTTATCTCTCCTATTTCATGTCTCCCCTCCTTCCCTTCCCTCTATCACCCTATGCTGAACTGAAGTGGTATTTGGCCATATTTGGTGTGTCAGGGTCTTTGCTCATCCAGCTTCCTCTGCCTGCAGTGCCATTTCCTTTTTTATCTTGCAAACACCTGCTCTACTTTTTTTTTGAGATGGAGTTTCAGGCTGGAGTGCCTCACCACCCACTTTTAAGATTCCACTCCAAATTTTCTGTCACCATCTAGGGAGATTTGACCACTCCCTCTGGTGTGCCTATACTGTTCCTGCTACATAATTGTATCCAGCACTTATAACACTTTATTGCACTTGTGTATTTACATATCCGCTCTTCCCCTTATAAACTTCAAGCTTCAGGAAGACAGGACCTTTGAATAACTGACACTTATATCCAGAGTATCCAGAACAGTGCCTAGCACAAGGAGGCACTTAATAAATATTGAACTCAGATGAGAGCACCTCCTGGAAAGCAAAAAAAAAAGAAAAGAAAAAAGAGAAAATAAACATTGAATGAATGAATGGATACTAAAAGAAAACAAAGCAGTGGACCAACCCAATAAGACACTTGATAAAATCTCATCAATTTACTCCAAAATGAGGAACAGGCCAAAATGGATAGTGAAAAATATGAATGATCTGTAACTCTAAGATCAATATAATTCTGTTACTTTGTGATCTTATACAGATCTCTATTTATGTACCACTAACTGTGCTGCTTTATGTTGTTTACATATCTGTTTCCCCCTACTAGTCTGAAAGCTTCATGACCCTGTCTAATTTATCTCTGTATCATTGATGCAAAACCCATAATAGGTGTACAATAAATATTTCTTGAATCAAAATTAAGGAATGAGGCTGGGCGCAATGGCTCACACCTGTAATTCCAGCACTTTGGGAGGCCAAGGTGGGCAGATCACCTGAGGTCAGGAGTTCGAGACCAGCCTGGCCAACATGGCGAAACCCCATCTCTACTAAAAATACAAAAAAAAAAAAAAATCAGCCAGGTGTGGTAGTGCATGGTAGCTATGTGGGAGGCTGAGGCAGGAGAATCGCTTGAACCTGGGAGGCGGAGGTTGCAGTGAGCCAAAATTCCACCACTGCACTCCAGCCTGGGCGACAGAGTGAGACTCCGTCTCAAAAGAATAAAAATAAATAAATAAAATAAAATAAAATTTAAGGAATGAAGCTAGCCAAAGTAGCTTCTTATAAAGGTTTGGGGATTTATCTCAATGAAATGAGAATGATTTTGTCTTACTATATTTTAAAGATATATAAAGGGCTGACATTTGCATACATTTTTATTTTTCTATTTTCTCAGCAAACACTTTCATTTTTATAGATTCTACAAATATAAACTCCAGCTTCGCTCTTTTCTGAAATATAACAAATTCCAATTTAGGGAAGTTCAAATTAGTGAATCTTTACCATACTGTGCCTTACCTTGTTTCATTTTGCTTAGTATTCATATGCATCTGGGTTTTGACAAAGCAGGCACTAGAAAATATGGATGTGGCTAACATGTACCAGTTTTTATGGGCCTAGTGAATTTTTAAAAAATTCTTTTTATTTATTTATTTATTTGCTTATTTATTTATTTATTTATTTTTGAGATGGAGTCTTGCTCTGTCGCCCAGGCTGGAGCGCAGTGGCACGATCTTGGCTCACTGCAACTTCTGCCTCCTGGGTTCAAGTGATTCTCCTGTCTCAGCCTCCCGAGTAGCTGGGATTACAGGCATGCCCCACCACACCCGGCTAATTTTTGTATTTTTAGCAGAGATGGGGTTTCACCATGTTGGCCAGGCTGTTCTAGACCTCCTGACCTCAGGTGATCTGCCCACCTCGGCCTCCCAAAATGCTGGGATTACAGGCGTGAGCCACTGCACCCGGCTAAAAAAAAGTATTAATGCTATTTATGATTTATAATCATAAATGCTTTTAAACTATAAAATCAAATTATTCGCCTTATTACCTTTGGTGCTTGTCTTAGTCCATTCAGACTGGTATAATAAAATAGCATAAACTGGGTAGCTTATAAACAACAGAAATTTATTTCTCATAGTTCTGTAGGCTGAGAAGTCCAAGATCAAGGTGGGAGCAGTTTGGTGTCTATTGAGGGCCCACTTTCTCTTCACAGATGGTGCCTTCTAACTGTGTCCTCACATGGCAGAAGGGGCAAGTCAGCTCTCTGAGGCCTCTGTTATAAAGGAATTAATCTCATTTAGGAACACTCCACCCTCATGGACATAATCATTTCCCAAAGCCCCACCTACTAATACCATCATCTTGGGGGTTATGATTTCAACATATGGTTTTTGTTGGGGACACAAACATTCAGACCATAGCAAAGATGCTACTAAGGTTTAAATCACAGGGATTCCAGCAGATTGCTTGTGTTTGGATTTTTTTTTTTTGATGGAGTCTCACTCTGTCGCCCAGGCTGGAGTGCAGTGGTGCAATCTCAGCTCGCTGCAATCTCCATCTCCCGAGTTCAAACCATTCTTGTGCCTCAGACTCCCAAGTAGCTGGGATTACAGGTGCCCGCCACCACTCCTGGCTAATTTTTGTATTTTTAGTAGAGATGGGGTTTCACCATGTTGGCCAAGCTGTCTCCAATTCCCGGCCTCAGGTGATCTGCCCACCTCGGCCTCCCAAAGTGCTGAGATTACAGGTGTGAGCCACTGTGCCTGGCCTCTTAGTTTAATTACATATAATTAAGATAAGAAAAATTATATATAATGGGACACCAGTGGCTGGTGTGAAAGGGGAGAGGACTCTGCTTGTGTTTTCTTCATTCTAATGTTAAAATCATGGTTAATGCAGTAATTTCCTTACAATATTCTCACTCTAGAAACGTGCTTACAAGAGCTATGTTCGAGCCCTCCCTCTGCTGAAGAAAATGGGGATCAATTCCATTCTCCTCCGAAAAAGCATTGGTGCCCTTGAAGTGGCCTGTGGCATCGTCATGACCCTTGTGCCTGGGCGTCCCAAAGATGTGGCCAACTTCTTCCTACTGTTGCTGGTGTTGGCTGTGCTCTTCTTCCACCAGCTGGTCGGTGATCCTCTCAAACGCTACGCCCATGCTCTGGTGTTTGGAATCCTGCTCACTTGCCGCCTGCTGATTGCTCGCAAGCCCGAAGACCGGTCTTCTGAGAAGAAGCCTTTGCCAGGGAATGCTGAGGAGCAACCCTCCTTATATGAGAAGGCCCCTCAGGGCAAAGTGAAGGTGTCATAGAAAAGTGGAAGTGCAAAGAGTGGACCTTCCAGGCAGTTGCGTCCATGACACCAGGAAGATGTCAGTGTGTGTTTTTCATTTGATTTATTTATCTTGGGGAAAGTGAAAAATGTAATCTGCAAGTTAATGACCCTATTGGCTTGTGTACATCTATATGCTAAAATGACTTCCCCACATTGACATTTGTGCGCCACCTTTAATCACTCTGGGGCAACTCTCACATCTTGCTGCATGTACATGTATACGGCTACTATTGAAGTGTAATTGTGAGATGGACTCCAACAAGCATGTGACTGTGAGATTGTGTGTGGGAAAATGTATTTAACTACTCTGTGTGTGTGTGTGTGTGTGTGTGCGCGCGCGCGCGCACGCGCACACACTCACGCACACACAAGCAGAGAAGGCGCTGATCTTGAACTAATCCTGCACAGGCATCCTTCCCTTTATAGATTGATTCCAGCAAAGGCGGAATAAAACAAATTTCCTATGAAGAGAATCCTGATATGAAACAAGTCATGTAGTCTCATGGCCGGGAATCTCTCCACAGATACTAACAACTTAAACTTACTACTTTAGGAGAAAAAAAAAAACATTCAATTTCGGACACTGAGTTATATATGAAATTAATTAGGCTCTAGTCCAACAGTTGTTTACATTTTAAATAGTCCATATTGAATTTAATTAAAACAAGGGATGCATGCAGTCAAATTGATAGTTTAATTCTTCAAGTGATAATATAGGAAGTTTCACCTTGCCTTTGTCCAAGCCCCACCTATTAAAACCCTTTACTCACAGTTTGAAACTGAAGCAGTAAACTTGTTTCCAGACATCTTTTTCAGATTGTCTTAAGCCCAAAGTTGCCTCACTTCCACTATTCTCAGCAGCCAACCAGGATTTGGCAGCTGCTCCACTGTTACGGTTGAGGGAACAGGGATCAGTCCTGTTAGAAGTCTGTGAGCCTCAAACTCTACCTGTTCTCTGCAATCATCCAAAATTTGAAAAAGAAGCTATATCCAGTGTTTCACTGCCAAACAGATTCACTACTCTTACTGATTCTTCACTGAGCTTTGCTAGTATAAGCAGAGTTCCAAGTCTCCCCTAGGGTTGTCTCTACATTTCTTTATCATTCCAGTGGGTAGGGTTTAGCTGGGGGAAGGACATTTCATAAGGGTTAGTTGGACTGAGCAGTATGGACATTTGCTTTTTTCATTACGTACTGTTGTTTTTCCTTGTTAGGTGTGCTTTGGTGGTTTTAATATTATTGTGCCAGGGATGGGGAAATGGGGGGGGTTGTGTGGGAAGAGTACTTATTATTGTGTTTTCTTCAGTGTAATTGTTCTTGGTAATTGATACCTCTCTGTTTTATTTCTCTCATTCTTTCAAAATAAAACTTTTTGAAATTTGGAGGAAACTGTCTGGACAAATACTGAAAATCTGGAAAGTAAGGATCATATCAAAGGATTTAGCCTCTCTTTTTCTGAGTCTGGCTGAAGGAGGAGAGGAAAGAGAAGAGGGAGTTTAATCACTTAATATGCTAATAAGGTTGCCAACTTTCCAATTTCCTTTTTTTCTTTTTCTTATTTTTTTTTTGAGACATGGTCTTGCTCTGTTGCCCAGGCTGTAGTGCAGTGGTGGGATCACAGCTCACTGCAGCCTCAATCTACCAGGTTCAAGTGATCCTCCCACCTCAGCCTCCCGAATAGCTGGGACTACAGGCATACGCCACCATGCCCGGCTAATTTTTTATTTTTTGTAGAGACGGGATTTTGCCATGGTGCCCAGTCTGGCCTCGGACCCCTGGGCTCAAGCAGTCTGCTTGGCCCGGCCTTCCAAAGTGCTGAGATTACAGGTATGAGCCACCTCGCCTGGCCCAACTTTCCAATTTTATTTACGCTCCCCCACACTTTTGTGATGTTAGCATGCAAGACAGAAAGCCACATAATTAGGATCTCAATACAATGTCCAGGTTTTAGGAGTTTTGCTTAATTAGGTGATGCCAAGGGAAGTTAGAAAAATGATTTCGGAGAAAATTGAAGGTGTATCAAAGGTGAATCACTATCTTTCACTACATATATATATCTCTCCACAAAGTGGTACAAGTTGCACTGCCACAGACCTGTCACATTAGGCAAGATATTTCACCACTCAGGGCTCCAGTTTAATCATCTACAAAAAGAAGAATGTTGAAACCTTAAATTTCCTTCCAATTTACATTTCTTTGAGCCTATGAAACATGATTAAAAACATGAAAAATGATTCAAGAAATTTTCAACTTTATTAAAGGACAACATCTATCAGAAAAAATTGAAGAGCCTCAGTTGTCATGCATGATTAAATAAGAGTTGGTGAAACTATTCTGAAAACCATATATGATGTGGTAAAGTTATTTTTGCTGTATCCTTTCCCAACTACATAAACTTAAACTTTGATTATTCATCTCTAAGACTGCAGTCCTCCCCGCCCCCCGCCAAGTTTACCTAAAGTTTATAGGTATGTTTTGGTCTCAACAACTCAGTGAGAGTCATTAAATTTATCTTTTCTCTCTTATTCCTACTCTAATAAGAGATTAAATTAGGGACTAAGCTGAGAGCTCAGACTAAACCCTTGTGGCTGTTTTCAAGGTCAATTAACTCCTCATGGTTAGGAATAGTTACATGTTGACAGCCGGTTTATAGAAAACCTTGGAGGATATCCATACCCATTGTCGGTAAAAGGAGGGCAGACCCAGCCTTTCTTTCCTCCCACGCCCTAGGTTCACACGGGGAAAGCGACAGGCCCTTTAACTTAAGTCTCGGCCAGGGAGAAGCCACCTTTATTGTGAAATTTGCGGTTTCACATTTTCCTACAAAGTCCCGACATCTGGGGTCAGCCTAGGCAAAATAATCACTATAATTGATCATGTTAAATTCAAGAACCGAGACACGAATTGTCCCGTTATACGCAAAATGACGAATGTGAACATTCTTATATTCTTAGCACAGTGGGAACGCCAGCCAATCAGCTGACTCCAGCAGCAACGGCCCACTCGCTGCTCTCCTCACAGGCCCAGGTGGGTGGGGCAAGCCGCTCTCCGTAATTGGTTCTACGCCAGCGTCGTCGCGCGCGCCACCTCCCGCCACCGAGCCTCCCGCCACCTCTAGCCAATCAGGCTTCAGCTGAGTGCGTTGCTCCGCCCAGCCGCCCCTCTGGGTCTGCGCGGAAGCGCATGCGTGGGGTGGAGTCAGCTTCTTTGAATTCCGGAGGCGGCATTCGGTGGTCAGAGGCCTGTGCGGCTGCAGGTAGAGTGTCTTAGGTGAGGAGGTACTTTTAAGCACCGCGCGAAATGGGGGCGAAGAGAATTTTTTTACTTTTGAGGGTGGGACTATCCTGCAAGGTGTGACTGCGGTCGGGTTTTCCGTAGCCAGTTTCGCACCAGGGATCCTTGGGAAGCGCTGGGATGGTTCAACTGGGTGGGGTCAGAAGCTGCTCCCCTGCCCTTCTTTCCTAGGAACCTAGGAAATAACTCGGAACCTGTAACGTCCCACTGGTTTGGACATATTCCTCTCCTGATCTGGCCTCATCTGTTCCAGGGAGGTGGGATTGAGTAAGTGTCATTCCGACTATTCCTTTAGTTTTTCCTATTTGCAGCCAAAAACTTAGAAGTCATTTTTGGTTCCTCTTCCCTTTTCCCTACATCCAATTCTTTTATCACGGCCTACTTTGTCTAACTCCAAAACATTGCACGAATCCAATCATTTTCCACCTCTACACCCTAGGCCTAGTGCAGGCTACAGTCAAACCTCTTCTGGACTTCTGCGACAGCCTTTTATTTGGTTTCTTGCCGCTCCTTGACCTCTAACATTCTCGTCTCTGCACTGCAGCTAACATGATCGTCAAACACAAATCAGGTGGTATTGCTCCCCTCTCTAACCTTTCCCCCTTCCCCTATGTTTTCCCATGACATTTAAAATCCAAACTCCTTACTCTGGCCTGCAAATCCCAATATGAACTTAGTCCCTGGCTACGTTCTGACTTCATCGCTCATTACCTTTTACCTCTTTCATTCCACTCCCTCCAGACTGATGTTACTACTGTTTCTTTTCTTTTCTCTTTTCTTTCTTTCTTTCTGTCTCTGTCTGTCTCTCTCTCTCTCCCTCCCTCCCTTTCTTTCTTTCTTTCCTTTCTTTCTTCTTTCTTTTGACAGAGTTGGGCCAGGCGTGGTGGCTCACGCCTGTAATCCCAGCACTTTGGGAGGCTGAGGCAGGTGTGGATCACTTGAGGTCAGGAGTTCGAGACCAGCCTGGCTAACATGGTGAAACCCAGTCTCTACTAAAATACAACAAATAGCCGGGTATGGTGGTGTGCGCCTGTAATTCCACCTACTTGGGAGGCTGAGACAGGAGAATTGCTTGAACCCGGGAGGCGGAGGTTGTGGTGAGCCGAGATAGAGATTGCGCCACTGCAGTCCAGCCTGGGTGACAGAGTGAGACTGTCTCAAAAAAAAAAAAAAAGAAACAATGTCTCACTATGTTGCCCTCAGCTTCCCAAAGTGCTGGGATTATAGGTGTGACCCACCTTGCCCAGCCAAGCTGCTGTTTCTTTAACACATAAAGCTCTTTTTGCTTTAAGGTCTTAGTCTTAGCATGTCTTCCTCTTCTCTCTCCATGAAATACTCTTCCACCAGATCTTCACAGGGCTGGTTCCTTCTTGGCATTCAAATCTCAGTTTAAAGGTCACCTCAGAGAGGTTTTCTCTGAACACTTATTACAAAGTTACAATGTAGCTTCCCATCTCCACTTCATTTCTATCACATCACTGTGTATTATATTCATTATTGTTTACTTTTCTTCCTTTTTTTTTTTTTTTTTTTTAGACAAAGTCTTGCTCTGTCACCCAGGCTGGAGTGCAGTGGCGCAATCACGGCTCTCTGCAGCCTCGACCCCCGGGGCTCAAGCTATTCTCCTGCCTCACCCTCCTGAGTAGATAGGACTACAGGCACGTGCGGCTATGCCTAGCTAATTTTTTAAATCTTAAGTAGAGACATTGTCTCACTGTGTTGCCCAGACTGGTCTTGAACTCCTAGGTTGAAGGGATCTTCCAGCCTCTGCCTCCCGAAGTGCTGTATTACAGGTGTGAACTACCATGTCCAGTCTTAGTTGTATACTTATTTATTGACTCTCACCTCCCCCTTCAGTGTAAGTGTCATGAGAGCAGAGATCTTGATTGTTTTATTATTTTATCCCTGGTAACTAGACTTGTGCTTGGCAAATAGATGACATTTAGTAATTATTTATTAAGTGAATAAATGGGAATATTTGTCTCCTGAAAATGCTTAGTCTGGCCACCAGTTTGGCTTTTGAACTGTGCAGCTTTAACTTAGCACTGACAAATTTAGGAGCATAAAGATTAAAAGCAAAATCAAGGAGAAGTGGGGAAAATAGGAGTGGAGAAAGTAAGATTGAGTTATTGAGATGGATTAGTTTTTTTGTTTGTTGTTTGAGACAGGGTCTCACTGTGTCACCCAGGCTGGAGTGCAGTAGTGCAATCTCTGCTCACTGCAGCCTTCACCTCCTGGGTTCAAGTGATTCTCCTGCCTCAGCCTCCCGAGTAGCTGGGATTACAGGTGTGTGCCACCATGCCCAACTAGTTTTTGTATTTTTTAGCAGAGACGGGGTTTCCTCATATTGGCCAGGCTGGTCTCAAACTCCTGTACGCCTGACCTCAAGTCAGGCCCACCTCGGCCTCCCAGAGTGCTGGGATTACAGGTGTGAGCCACCACGCCCGGCCGAGATGGATTAGTTTTGGACCCACTTATATGACATAGCCATTCTAAGAGAGAACTTGCATATGTTGCCTGTACTCTTACTGGTTTTTTCCACTAGAAAGCTAGTTCAGCTGATGAATGTTACCTTGTCAGGTTGTTTCTATTTCTATTTAGGGCAAGGACTTTCTGAGAAAGTCAACCTCTAGACTTTGTTTCCTGGATTGTTGTCAACTTATTTATTGTATGCCTGTTGTATGCTAGCTATTGTATACTAAATACTGGAAACACACCCTGTCTCTGTGGAGAAAAAAGGACTGTTTGGCTGATTAATGATAACTTAACACTTGTTTCTGTGTAGAACATATGCAGTAATGTCACCTCAAAAGAGAGTTAAGAACGTCCAGGCACAAAACAGGACTTCACAAGGTAGTAGTAGTTTTCAGACCACGCTTTCAGCCTGGAAAGTAAAACAGGATCCAAGCAACTCGAAGAACATCTCAAAACATGGACAAAACAATCCAGTGGGAGATTATGAACATGCTGATGATCAAGCTGAAGAAGATGCTTTGCAAATGGCAGTGGGATATTTTGAGAAAGGTAAAGGTGGATTGTTTTCCTTATGAAACTCCTATTTCTGTAAAAATATTCTAGTCTTTTTTTCTTAAGAATTTTTAAAGGAAAGCATAATTTTGCTCATTCATGCTTTTGTTTATTTAATAGACATTGAGCAATTACTATATATCAGTATGCTAGGCACTAGGGACACAACAACAAAACTTACTAGCAGAGTGGTTCCCAAACGGCTGCATATTGGGATCACTTGAGAACCTTTTTTTCTTTTTTTTTTTCCTCCCTCTCTACCCCTTTGGCTCTGAGAATCTTTAACAAACAAACTGATGTCAGGCATCTACTCTTAGACTTTCTGATTTTATTGGTATGGGATGCAACCTGGCATAGGGATTTTTTTTAAAGGCTTCCTAGGTGGTTCCAATGTATGGTAAAGTTTGGGAACCACTGTCCTAATATTGAAACAGGTTGTAGTCTAAGTTCAGTGCTTTTAGTTTAGAATAGGAATGTCAGGGCATAATCCAGCTTTCCTCACTGAAGTTGCTATCGCTGTTAAATATTCTTTAGTTAAAAACATCTTTGAACAGTTTTTGGGAAGACACTTCTTACATAAACTCCTTTATTTATTTTTGGAGACGGGGTCTTGCTCTGTTGCCCAGGCTGGAGTGCAGTGGCATGATCATTGTACGTTTAACCTTTTGGGCACAAGTGATCCTCCCATCTCAGCCTCCTGAGGAGCTGGGACCACAGGTGCGTGCCAGCATGCCCAGCTAGTTTTTAATTTTTTTGTAGAGATGGAGTCTTGTCATGTTGCCCAGGCTGGTCTCAAACTCCTGGCCTCAAGTGATCCTCTTACTTTGGCCTCCCAAAATGCTGGAATTACAGATGTGGGTCACCACGCCTGGTTATTAAGCTATTCCTTTAAAGAGTTCCAAATTCTTATTATTGAGGCCGAAGACTGAAATAATTTTAAAGGTCTCACTATTTAATATTGTTTCTTTTTTCAGGTCCCATTAAAGCTTCACAGAATAAAGATAAAACCTTGGAAAAACACTTGAAAACTGTGGAAAATGTGGCTTGGAAGAATGGGTTAGCTTCAGAAGAAATTGATATTCTATTAAATATTGCACTCAGTGGCAAATTTGGTATGTTGAGGAAATGCTTTTTTTTTCTTTTAACTCACCTAGCACCTATATTTTTTTCTTTTAAAAATAAATCTTATATATATATACACACACACACACACACACATATATATATATACTTTTTTTTATAATAGAGACAGCATCTCACTATATTGCCCAGGTTGGTCTCGAACTCCTAGACTCAAGTGATCCTCCCGCCTTGGCCTCTCAAAGTGCTGGGATTATAGGCTTGAGCCACCGCACCTGGCTCGAGGGGGATGTTGTTTTGTTTTTTGTTTTTTGTTTTGAGATGGAGTCTTGCTCTGTCACCCAGGCTGTAGTGCAGTGGCACCATCTCAGCTCACTGCTACCTCTGCCTCTCGGGTTCAAGCAATTCTCCTGCCTCAGCCTCCTGAGTAGCTGGGACTACAGGTGCGTGCCACCACACCTGGCTAATTTTTTGTATTTTTTTTTTTTTTTTAGTAGGGACGGGTTTTTGCTGTGTTAGCCAAGATGGTCTCCATCTCCTGACCTCGTGATCCGCCTGCCTCGGCCTCCCAAAGTGCTGGGATTACAGGTGTGAGCCACCGTGCCTGGCCGAGGGGATTTTTTTTTCTTTTGGGAGACTGGGTCTCACTCCATCGCCCAGGCTGGAGTGCAGTGGCGCAATCTCAGCTCACTGCAACCTCCACTTTCCGGGTTCAAGCAGTTCTCTGCCTCAGCCTCCCGAGTAGCTGGGATTACAGGTGCCTGCCACCACGCCCGGCTAATGTTTTTGTATTTTTAGTAGAGACAGGGTTTCACCATCTTGGGCAGACTGGTCTTGAACTCCTGACCTCGTGATCCACCCGCCTCGGCCTCCCAAAGTGCTGGGATTACAGGTGTGAGCCACTGCGCCCAGCCTGGGATGCTTTTGTCATCACTTTGCTGTTAGTTTTTCCTTTTAGACTTTGTTTATTTATTTTTTTGAGACTGAGTTTTGCACTTGTTGCCCAGGCTGGAGTGCAGTGGTGCAATCTTGGCTCACTGCAACCTCTGCCTCCCAGGTTCAAGCGATTCTCCTGCCTCAGCCTCCTGAGTAGCTGGGATTACAGGCATGCGCCACCACGCCTGACTAGTTTTGTATTTTTAGTGGAGATGGGGTTTCTCCATGTTGGTCGGGTTGGTCTCGAACTCCCGACCTCAGGTGATCCGCCCACCTCGGCCTTCCAAAGTGCTGGGATTACAGGCGTGACCCACTGTGTCCGACCTTCCTTTTAGACTTTGAATTACATTGTTCATTGGAATTAGTTGCAGTTTTTTATGTTTACTGTTCTCTTCATAAGACCAATCTGTTAAGATTATAAAATGGGTTTTTTTGTGTGTGTGTTTGGGCCAAAAGTTTCTGTGTGCATATGCCAAAAATAACCAGTTACCATATATCATCACAGATAAAATGCAAAATACATACTTTTGTCACCAAATACATGAGAACCATTTTTTAGTATTTATCTTAAGAAGCATACGTAGTAATTTAAACAATGTTGCTGGAAGGCATCTTAAAAGATCACTTAGTCTACTTCATTACCTTCATTTTCTTTCTTTCTTTCTTTTTTTTTTTTTGAGATGAGTTTCACTCTTTCACCCAGGCTGGAATGCAATGGCATGATCTCGGCTCACTGCAACCTCTGCCTCCTGGGTTCAAGCGATTCTCCTGCCTCAGCTTTCTGAGTAGTTGGGCTTATCGGCATGTGCCACCACACCCAGCTAATTTTTGTATTTTTAGTAGAGACGGGGTTTCGCCATGTTGGCCAGGCTGGTCTCAAACTTCTGACCTCAGGTGATCCACCCGCCTTGGCCTCCCTAAGTGCTAGGATTACAGGCGTGAGCCAGTGTGCCCAGCTAAGATGCTTTTTCTTTTGTGCAAATATCTTTTCCTGTTCTAAATTCATTGGTGGTGGTTGGGATGGTTGGAAGAGGTTCTTAGAAATAACACCTGGTCAATATTTTATTTACTTGAACCTTTTAAGTTTTTCTCATTTAAATTCAGACTTGGAAGATATTTTAGACTCTAAACACTCTCATTTAAAGGTGAGGAAAAAGAGGCTCAGAGTAGTTAAAGAGACTTGCTTAAAGATGTCCAAACTCCCATTCTAGTGCTTATACTGTACCACATTGCTGCTTTTTTTCCTACTTAAAAAAAAGTTAAGGCTGGGTATAGTGGCTCATGCCTATAATCCCAGCACTTTGAGGGGCCAAGGCAGGATGATTGCTTGAAGCCAGATTTGAGACCAGCCTGGGCAACAAAGCGAAACCTTGTCTACAAAATGTTAAAAAAAAATTAGCTAGGTGCAGTGGCATGTGCCTGTAGTCCCAGCTACTTGGGAGTCTGAGGCAAGAGAATCACTTGAGCCCAGGAGTTTGAGCTATGATGGTGCCACTGTACTCCAGTGTGGGCCACAGAGCAAGACCCTGTCTCTGGGAAAAAAAAAAAAAAAGAAAAATTAAGACAGCTCTCAAAACCAAATGCTTTATATACTAAGTATTTCCTGGCTGTTGCATGTTAGATTCCTTTGTTTATACCCTAGCAGCATACTTGCAGGGGTGTGTGTGTATTTATTTTAAAGTAACAACACATTACTAACCGAATTCAACATATGACTGTCAAGTATTTTATTTCTCTATTTTTATCTGATTAGTTCTCTGTTTCCCTAGAAAGTTAAATTAGACCTAATAAAATTGGCTTTTTTCTTGTAGATGGTTTTAGATTATTTGGTTCTAATATCTTTCCAGGAATCCATGTTTAACTGAACAATGTCTGTCAAGATCAATTCTCCCACTCCCATCTCACCTTAAAACATATATGGAGTAGGGGCCGGGTGCAGTGGCTCACGCCTGTAACCCCAACACTTTGGGAGGCCGAGGTGGGCGGATCACGAGATCAGGAGATCGAGACCATCCTGGCTAACATGGTGAAACCCCGTCTCTCCTAAAAATACAAAAAATTAGCCGGGCGTGGTGTCGGGCGCCTGTAGTCGCAGCTACTTGGGAGGCTGAGGCAGGAGAATGGCGTGAACCCAGGAGGCGGAGCTTGCAGTGAGCCGAGGTCATGCCACTGCACTCAAGCCTGGGTGAAGAGCGAGACTCCATCTCAAAAAAACAAAACAAAAAAACAACATGTATGGAGTATACAGATGTTTTCTATTTTAGAAATTTTTTTTTCGTGACAGAGTCTCGCTGTGTTGTCCAGACTGCAGTGCAGTGGTATGATCATGGTTCACTGCAGCCTTGACCTTCTGGACTCAAGCAATCCTCCCATCTCAGACTCCCAAGTAGATGGGACTACAGGTGCGTGCCACTGCACCCAGCCTCCTTTTGATATCTCAGAAATTAATGATTAGGTTATCTTGATGTCTGCTAGGACTTGAGGTGTCTCAAAATGCATGCCTCAGACTCGGGAAACTTTTATATAGCAAGTTAAAAAATAATCTCTGGCTTTCTATTGTTACTTTTCATTTTTTTTTTCTGTTAAGCTGGAATTTGCTGAGGTCAAATGTGGCCTCCTTAATTCCTTTTCTCCCTTTTATTATAGTTATTTCTGTGATGTCCCCATCCCTACTAGATCTTTACATGCAGCTCTTTTGGTAAGTTGAGATGCATATTTAGAGGCAGGTATGGTAGAAATGTCATCATAATTAGGTACAAAGGGACTTTAGACTCTTTAAAAATTAAGTCACTTGGAAGTAAAAATAGAATTAATATTGAATTCTCCCTTTGAATTTGGTGCACATGTAATGTGTTGGTGGTGAGACTATTTTAAATTTCGAAGAGTTAGTGGATGGGAGTGAGAAAGAAAACAAGAAAAACAAGAAACCACAAGAGTGGAAAGCAGAGATTTTTATTTTTGTGATTCATTACCTATCATCACTGCTTCCTTTCTTCTCCACAGAATGATAGTGTAGAAAGTGATGAGATATATTCTAATTCTTGAAGCCTTAATTAACAGAAATTGAGATAGGATATATTCAAAGCCAGTCTCTATGACATCTTTTTTTTTTTTTTTTGAGATGGAGTTTTGCTCTTGTCACCCAGGCTGGAGTGCAATGGTGTGATCTCAGCTAACTGCAACCTCCGCCTCCCGGGTTCAAGCGATTCTCCTGCCTCAGCCTCCTGAGTAGCTGGGATTACAGGTGCCCGCCACCATGCCCAGCTAAGTTTTGTATTTTTAGTAGAGATGGGGTTTCACCACGTTGGCCAGGCTGGTCTCGAACTCCTGACCTCAGGTGATCTCTGTGACATCATTTCTATTACCAGATGGGAGAACACCATAGAGGCCTGAGATCAAGTGGAAAGATTGGACTAGTGTAGAATGGTATTACTGCCAGCCAATTCCAAGAATATCTTGTTCTAGGCCAGTCACAGTGGCTCATGCCTGTAATCCCAGCACTTTGGGAGGCCAAGGTGGGCAGATCCCTTGAGCCCAGGATGTGAGACCAGCCTGGGCAACATAGTGAGACCTTGTCTTTGCTAAAAATAAAAAACTTAACCAGGTATGGTGGCACGTGCCTGTAGTCCCAGCTACTCTGGAGGCTGAGGTGGGAGGATTGCTTGAGCCCAGGAATTTGAGGTTGTTATGAGCTATGATTGCACCACTGCACTCCAGCCTGGGTGACAGAGTCAGACCCTGTCTCAAAAAAAAAAAAAAAAAAAAAGAATATCTGTTCTCTTCTGCTACTCTCCCCACTTTTTTGGGGTGAGTGGATGGTACAAATATATATATTTTTAATTTTATATTTATGTTTTTATTTCTGGTTCACATTCTCTCATGAACAAATACATTCTTAAATGTAACACCTCATGCAAAGTGTCCGTCAGTAGCTTTAAATAAATCAGTCTATTAGGCCATTAAAAAAAAATCTTTGAAATTTCCCTGTGATTGAAAGCTTTTTTGGAGGTATAATTTACATACCATAAAATTCATTTTTTTTCTTTTCTTTTTTTTGTGAGATGGAGTTTCACTCTTATTGCCCAGGCTGGAGTGCAATGGTGTGATCTTGGCTCACTGCAGCCTCTGCCTCCTGGGTTCAAGCGATTCTCCTGCCTCAGCCTCCCGAGTAGCTGGGATTACAGGCTCCCACCACCACACCCAGCTAATTTTTGTATTTTTAGTAGAGATGGGGTTTCACCATGTTGGCCATGCTGGTCTTGAACTCCTGACCTCAGATGATCTGCCTGCTTCGGCCTTCCAAAATGCTGGGATTACAGTTGTGAGCCACCGTGCCCTCATAAAATTCATTGTTTTATTTTTTTATTTTTGAGATGGAGTTTCACTCTTGTAGCCCAGGGTGCAGTGCAATGGCATGATCTTGGCTCACTGCAACCTCTGCCTCCCGGGTTCCAGTGATTCTCCTGCCTCAGCCTCCCGAGTGGCTGGGATTACAGGCGCCTACCACAACACTTGGCTAATTTTTTTTTTTTTTTTTTTGAGACGGAGTTTTGCTCTTGTCACCTGGGCTGGATTACAGGCGTGAGCCACCACACCTGGCCTAATTTTGTATTTTTTTTATTAGAGATGGGGTTTCATCACCTTGGCCAGGCTGGTCTTGAACTCCTGACCTCAGGTGATCTGCCTGCCTCAGCCTCCCAAAGTGCTAGAATTACAGGCGTGAGCTACTGTGCCCGGCAAAATTCATTGTTTTAAAAATTCAGCATTTTTGTTTTTGGAGACAAAGTCTCACTCTGTCACCCAGGCTGGAGTCTAGTGGTGTGATCTCAGTTCACTGCAACCTCCACCTTCCAGGCTCAAGCGATCCTCCCACGTCAGCCTCCCAAGTAACTGGGACTATAGGCATGTGCTACCACATCTGGCTAATTTTTATATTTTTTGTAGAGATTGGGGTCTCACTATATTGCCTAGGCTAATCTCAAACTCCTAGGCTCAAGCAGTCCTCCGGCCTCAGCCTCCCAGGAGGCACCACCATGCCCAGCTAATCTTTTTTTTTTTCCCATAGAGACGGGGTCCTGCTATGTTGCCCAGGCTGGTCTCAAACTCCTGGGCTCAAGTGATCCATCTGCTTCAGCATCCCAAAGTGCTTAGATTATAGGCATGTGTCACCACGCTCGGCCCCAAATTCAGCATTTTTTTAAAGCATAGTCACAGAGTTGTGTAATCATCACCACTATCTAATTCTTGAACATTTTCATCACCCCAAGAAGAAACCCTGTACTCATTTATATTTTTTAAATAGAAATATTTGGACCAAATAATTTGCCTTATAGTTTTTTTTTTTTTTGAGAGAGGGTCTCACTCTGTCACCCAGGCTGGAGTGCAGTGGCACGATCACAGCTCACTGCAGCCTCAACCTCCCTGGGCTCAGGTGTTTCCCCCACATCAGCCTCCCGAGTTGCTGTGACTACAGGCTTGCCCCACCACCCTTGGCTAATTTTTGTATTTTTAGTAGATAACGGGGTTTTGTCATGTTGCCCAGGCTAGTCTTGACCTCCTGGGCTCAAGTGATCCGCTTGCCTCGGCCTCCCAAAGTGTTAGGATTATAGGCATGAGCCACTGTGCCTAACTATTGCCTTATTGTATATTAGTAGTTAAAGGTACATTTTTGTTTTGAACAATTTATTAATAATGATAAGAGATACTGAATTTTACATACTGTTGGTTTTTATTGCCTTCAATATAACGTGAGGTGTGGTGTTTTTTTTTTTTTTTTTTTTTTTGAGATGGAGTTTTGGTCTTGTTGTCCAGGCTGGAGTGCATGGCGTGATCTTGGCTCACCGCAACCTCTGCCTCCTGGGTTCAAGCGATTCTCCTGCCTCAGCCTCCCGAGTAGCTGGGATTACAGGCATGCTCCACCACGCCCAGCTAATTTTTATATTTTTAGTAGAGATAGGGTTTCTCCATGTTGGTCGGGCTGGTCTTGAACTCCCAACTTCAGGTGATCTGCCCACCATGGCCTCCCAAAGTGCTGGGATTACAGGCATGAGCTGCCGCGCCCAGCCTAATGTGAGATTTTTAGATCCAAGAGTGAATAATAGTAAAAGAACAATCGAGACACTAAAATGTAGTTTAATTTAGCTTGTCTCCTTTCCAGGAAATGCTGTAAACACACGGATATTGAAGTGCATGATCCCAGCAACAGTAATATCAGAAGATTCTGTGGTTAAGGCAGTCTCCTGGCTTTGTGTTGGCAAGTGTTCTGGTAGCACCAAGGTAATCTTTTTAAACACTTTGATGATAAGTCCTTCAGAACCACTTAAGGGCTGGCAAGGAAGAGCCACTTATGAAGTAATGGCATTGGCCTTTTGTGCAAAGCCTGTAGTTTTGGAACAATATATCTTGATGCAAGGACTATGTTCAAACAGAAATTTTTACTGAGAAATAAAATCTATTATTCTACTTTGTGCCTGAAGCTTCTAAAATAGCCCTGGTGGCGGGGGACGGGGGGCGGAATTAAACTCTTCTGTACCAGTTATATTTCTTTAAAGATAAGTATTTTGTCTCTTCAATAGGTACTTTTTTATCGTTGGCTGGTTGCAATGTTTGACTTCATTGATCGTAAGGAGCAAATTAACTTGCTCTATGGCTTCTTTTTTGCTTCATTGCAAGATGATGCACTGGTAAGTAAAAATTGGACAGCATTAGGCATCAATCAAATAGTACATGTGTGTATATTGATGCACCATATATGCTTCAGTGTGCTACACAATATGTTTTTCCTTATTTTAAAAATATATCAAACATATAGAAATGTACCAAGATAACGTAGACATATCAAATATACAGAAAAGGGCAAATAATAACATTCTATTTTGCACCTGTCTCTCAGATTAACAAATAGAAAATTTTTATCGTATTTACTTTATGTCTTCTTTTAAGGAAATAAAAATGTTACAGATAAAGTTGATTCCACGTTGGAGTCTTGTTTGCTGATCTGGAGCACTCATTGCCATCTTTTCCCTTTTAAACCACTTCAACAGAGTCCTTTGAGTCATTTACTCTACATTTTCTTGATTAACACTGCAAAAGCCTCATCAGAATTAATGAGAAGGAGAGGATTACTTTTCATGAGTGCCAATGGAGTGATTTTGATTAAATAGCATAATTATTTCTCTTAAAAACATTAATAACTTTAAGAAATCAATCTACTGTCCACCTGGAAGACTTTCAAGGACCATCAGTAGTTCACAGACCATGTGAATCACTCATCTAACTGTATTGCTCTTGCCTTTGGGAAGGGAATTCATTTATTGATTTTATTTTTTAAAAATGATGTTTCCAGTGTGTTCATTGCATTGTCCTAGCCACTGTAGAAGATTCAAAGTTTAGCATAGGGTTTCTATATTCCACGAACTTGAAATCTCATTGGGGAATTAAGGAAATCACATAAATTATCAAAAACAGTATATGATAGTTTGAGGATAATAATTGCTGTAATATTTCCAGGAAGGAAGAAAGCACTGTAAATCAAAATGATTAGTTAAAACACCATAAAGTATGTGGGTGTTGAGCTGGGCCTTACAGGTTGAATAGGATTTGGGATTTGATGACAGAAAGTGATACTTGATATGATGGGAATATTTCAAGCAAAGTTGTGAGGTGTGTAAATTGTGTTTTAGGAGACCTTAAATAGACCAGCCTGACCTAATTAGAGGTGGTGTTAGGTGGTAAGCCTGAAAAAGTTGGGTGAGGACAGATTGTAGAGGTCTTCCAATGTGATGCTAAGGAATTGGAACTTTATTCAGTGGGGAAATCACTGAAAATTTTTGGCTAGAATATGTTGAAAGCAGCTTTGTAGGAAGCTATATCTAGTAGTTCCCAACAATGTGAATTAAGAGAGAGGCTGAAGGCAGGAATACTAGTTAGGAAGCTGACATGATAATCTAGGTATAACATGATGTCCTAGACAAGAAATTCTCAAATATGGTCTGTGGACCCCCTGGGGCTTCCTGAGACCCTTTCAGGAAGTCCAAGAGGTCAAAATTATTTTCATAATAATACCAAGGTATTATTTGCCATTTTCACTTTGTTCACCTTAGCGTTGATGGTGCTAAAGCAATGGTGGGTAAAACTGCTGGCCATTTAACAGGAATCAAGGCAGTGGCACCAAACTATACTAGCATATTCTTCATTATGTTCTTCATTGTGGTAAAAAAAAAAATGCTAATTTCACTTAATGTCAAATGAAGCAGTAAAAATTAACTCATTAGTTTTATTAAATCTCTACATCTTTAATATTCTGTATGATGAAATGGCAAGTACAAACAAAGTCCTCCTGCATGCTAAAGTACAGTGGTTATTCTGAGGAAAAGCATTTGTGTGATTGAGTTGCGAGCCAAACTAGCTCCATTTTTATTTGAAAGAATGACTGATGGCCAAGCGCGGTGGCTCACACCTGTAATCCCAGCATTTTGGGAGGCCGAGGCAGGTGGATCACAAGGTCAAGAGATTGAGACCATCCTGGCCAACATGGTGAAACCCCGTCTCTGCTAAAAATACAAAAATTAGCTGGGCATGGTGGCACATGCCTGTAGTCCCAGCTACTCGGGAGGCTGAGGCAGGAGAATCACTTGAACCCAGTAGGCAGAGGTTGCAGTGAGCCAAGATTGTGCCACTGCACTCCGGCCTGGCGACAGAGTGAGACTCTGTCTCAAAAAAAAAGAATGACTGACGTACGAACCGTAGTTATACAGACTTGGGTACTTGGAAGATGTTTTCTTGAAAATGAACAAAACAGTCCTGTTATTTCAAAGAAAACAACTGGCCGTATCTGTTGCCAGTGATAGAATTTGAGCATTCAAGTGAAAAATCAAAGTTTGGAAAATTTGTATCTGCCACTATGAACCTGACAGCTTTTAGATACCTGAAAGACTTTTCTAATAATTGGTGATGGTATTAATGTTGTGATTTTTAGTTATCATATAATGAAATGTGTCAGCATTTGGAAGCTCAGTATAACTCAGTGAGCCAATATTTTCCAGATGAACAAGTACGATGTTCTAAATTCATACATGGATAAAAGATCCATTTAAAATACAAGATACATCAATGAATTTTAATGGAACAGAGTACAGAGCTTTTATTGAGAGTGTTTCAGATTCCACATTGCAGCTAACCCTTAAGAAAGTACCACTTGTCAAGTTTTGGTGTAGTATCAAAAACTAATATCCACAATTTTCTGAAAAGGCTTTTAAAATATTCCTACCTTTTCCAACTATGTATCTGTGTGAGGCTGGATTTTCTTCATGCAATTCAATCAAAACATAACAGAATTAATATAGAAGCACAGATTCCAACTGTGTTCTCTTAAGCCAGAGACATTAAAAAGATTTGTAGAAATGGGCTGTGAGTTGGAGGCAGCAGTGAGCCTCAGGTGATCCACCCGCCTCGGGTTCCCAACGTGCTGGGATTACAGGTGTGAGCTACCACACTGGCCAAGGGGTCCTCTAATTTTTTTTTTTTTTGGGACGGAGTCTCACTCTGTTGCCGTGCCCGGCTGAGAATTAGTTTATTTACCTTGGTGTAGTGATTATTGATATAGTAGAAATAAATTCAGATATCTTATTTTGAGATATTCTAAATAAGCTTTTTTTTTTTCTAAGTGTTCTCTATCCTCCTTTTTTTGGATTGACCGTAGTTTCTTTCCTATTCTTGTTTGGAAGTCACCTAAGTGTTTTCGTACCTACTTAACATGCATACTTTAAGTCTAAAAGTGACTGGCATCTGTACCTTTATCTTATAGGATACAAAAACCTTAGGATGCTTTAACTCTTTTTTTCTTTTTCTTTTTTTTCTCTTCTTGTCATATGGTGCTGAAGAATGCTTTAACTCTCATCATACTGCTCCTGGCTTATATGCTGTTGTTGTCTGGTTTTAGTTTTACCTTGTTTTTCTCCATCCCTTTACACACACACACACACACACACACACACACACACACACACAGAGTAGATTTTTTTTTTTTTTGAGATGGAGTTTCACTCTTGTTGCCCAGGCTGGAGTACAATGGTGTGATCTTGGCTTACCGCAGCCTCTGTCTCCTGGGTTCAAGCCTCAGCCTCCCAAGTAGCTGGGATTACAGGTATGTGCTACCACGCCCAGCTAATTTTTTGTATTTTTAGTAGAGACAGGGTTTCTCCAGGTTGGTCAGGCTGGCCTCAAACTCAGGTGATCCGCCTGCCTCGGCCTCCCAAAGTGCTGGGATTAGAGGCATGAGCCACCACGCCTGGCCGATACTATTTTTACAGTTGATAATTGTTTAGATTTCCCACATATCTCCCAGTATCTTTGCTCATCATTTGTTTTTGCATCTCACACCTTCAAGATGAGATTATTTTCCTTTGGCTAAAAGTGTATTTTTTATTCTTTCATTGAAAATCTTTTGATGGCAAACTCTTTGTCTGAAAATGTCTCTACTTTGCCCTTGTTCTCAAAAACTGGTATTAGTGTATGTAGAATTCTAGAGTGACAGTTAAATTTTTTCGGGATATTGACAATATTATTCCACTGGCTCCTTGCTTCCATCATGTTATTGAATCAGTCTAATTGTAATCCTTTTTTTCTTTTCTCTCTGGCTGCTTTTAAAAAACAGCTTTAGGCCAGGAGTGGTGGCTCACCTCTGTAATCCCAGCACTTCGGGAGGCCGAGGGGGGCAGATCACCTGAGGTCAGGAGTTTGAGAACAGCCTGGCCAACATGGCGAAACCCCATCTCTACTAAAAATACAAAAATTAGCCAGGCATGGTGACAGGCACCTCTAATCCTAGCTACCTGGGAGGCTGAGGCAGGAGAATCACTTGAACTGGAGAGGCGGAGATTGCAGTGAGCCAAGATTGCGCCACTGCACTTTCCAGCCTGGGTGACGAGCGAGACTCTGTCTCAAAAAACAAACAAACCAACCAACAAACAAACACAGCTTTATTGAGATTTAATTCACATACCATACAATTCACCCATTTAAAGTATTCAATTTGCTGATTTTAAGTATAGTCACAGATATGTACAACCATTTCAGCATAGTCAATTTTAGAACATTTTCATCACCTCAAAAAGAAAAAAAGAAACCCCACACCCTTTGCTATCACTCCCATCTCTCTATTACCCCCCTAGCTCTAAGCAACCCCTAATCTAATTTTCTGTCTTTATAGGTTTGCCTATTTTGGACATTTTATATAAATGAACTCATGTAATAATGTGGTCTTTTATGACTTGCCTCTTAGCAAAATGTTTTCAAGTTTCATCTGTGTTATAGCATGTATTAGTACTTTTTTTTTCCCCCTGAGACAGAGTTTCACTCTTGTTGCCCAGGCTGGAGTGCAGTGGTGCAATCTCGGCTCAATGCAACCTCCGCCTCCCAGGTCCAAGCGATTCTCCTGCCTCAGCCTCCTGAGTAGCTGGGATTACAGTCATGTGCCACCACGCCTGGCTAATTTTTGGTATTGTTAGTAGAGACAGGGTTTCTCCATGTTGGTCAGGCTGGTCTTGAACTCCTGACCTCAGGTGATTCGCCTGCCTCGGCCTCCCAAAGTGCTGGGGTTACAGGCATGAGCCACTACGCCTGGTGTATTAGTACATAAAAAAATTTTTTTTTTAATTTATTTTTTGAGACAGAGTTTCACTCTTGTCACCCAGGCTGGAGTGCAATGACGCGATCTCAGCTCACTGCAACGTCCACCTCCCGGGTTCAAGTGATTCTCCTGCCTCAGCCTCCCGAGTAGCTGTGATTACAGGCCTGCACCACCACGCCTGGCTAATTTTTGTATTTTTAGTAGAGATGGGGTTTCGCCATGTTGGCCAGGCTGGTCTCAAATCTCTGACCTCAGGTAATCCGCCCTCCTTGGCCTCCCAAAGTGTTAGTATTACAGGCTTGAGCCACCGAGCCCGGCCATTTATTTTTTTCATTATTTCTATTTTTTTTTTTTAAATTTGAGATGGGGTCTCACTCTTGTGCAGGCTGGAGTGCAGTGGCACTATCATGGCTCACTGCAGCCTCGATTGATCAGCCTGGGTAACGAGCGAGACTCTGTCTCAAAAAAAAAGAACAAAGACAAACACAGCTTTATTGAAATTTATTTCGCATATCATACAATGAGTCATCCACTTCATCCTTCAGAGTAGCTGGGACTACAGGCATGTGCTACCATGCCTGGCTAATTTTTAAAGTTTTTCTAGAGGCAGAGTCTCACTATGTTGCCCAGGCTGGCCTTGATTTTCTGGCCTTAAGCAATCCTCTTGCCTCGGCCTCCCAAAGTGCTGGAATTATAGATGTGAGGCACTGTGCCTGACTCTCACCATTTTAAAACATTTTTTTGGTGTATAATTCATTGACATGAATTACATTCACAGTGTCATGCAAGCATCACCACTATCTATTTACAAAACTTTTTCATTACCCTAAACTGAAATTTTCTAACCATTACGCAGTAACTCCCTATTCCCTCTTTCCCCTGCTCCTGGTAGCCTCTAATCTACTATCTGTCTCTATGAATTTGCCTATTCTAGGTACCTCATATAAGTGGATTCATACAGTATTTATCCTTTTGTGTCTGGCTTCTTTCACTTAACATAATGTCTTCAAGGTTCATCCATTTGTACCATGTATCGGAACTTCATTCCTTTTTATGGGTGAATAATATTCTACTTCATATATATGCAGTCAGCCCTCTGTGTCTGAGGGTTCTGCATCCATGGATTCATCCAATTATTGATTGAAAATATTAAAAGATACATATAACAATAAAAAATAATACAAATAAAAAATATAGTGTAATAACTATTTACATAGCATTTGCATTATGTTAAGTATTATAACTAATCCGGAGACGATTTAAAGCAAGCTTGTCCAACCCACAGCCCAGGATTGCTCTGAATGAGGCCCAACGCAAATTCATAAGCTTTCTTAAAACATTATGAGATTTTTGGGGGGTTTTTTTTTTAAGCTCATCAGCTATCGTTAGTGTATTTTATGTGTGGCTCAAGACAATTCTTCTTCCAATGTGGCCCGGATAACAAAAGACTGGGCACCCCCTGATTAAAGTATACAGGAGGATGTGCATAGATTATATGCAAGTACTACACAATTTTATATAAGGAACCTGAGAATCCGCAGAGTTTGATATGGTGGCGGGGAAGGGAAGTCCTGGAACCAATCCCCTGCTGATAACAAGGGATGACTATATCTAATTTTGTTTATCCATTCATCTGATGTTGGACATTTGAGTTGTTCTCACTTTTTGGCTATTGTGAATGGTGCTGTGTTGAGTATTGGTATATAAATATCTGTTCAGGTTCCTGCTTTTTCAGTTCCTTTGAGTGTATACCTAGGAAAAAAATTACTGTATCATATGGCAATTCTATGTTCAGCTTTTTGAGGAATCGCCAAACTCTTTTCCACAGTGGCTGTACCATTTTTCATTCCTGCCAGCAGTCTATAACAGGGTTCAAATTTCATCACATCCTCACCAATACTGGCTATTTTATCTGACTTGATTATAGCCATGCTAGTAGGTGTGAAGTGGTCTTTCATTGTGGTTTTGATTTGCATTTCCCTGATAACTAATGATATTGAGCAACTTTTCATGTGCTTATTGGCCATTTGTATACCCTCCCTGGAGAAATGTCTCTTAGGATCCTTTGCCCTCTTTTAAATTGGGTTGTTCATTATCCTATAGGGTTGTAAGAGTTCTTTCTGTATTCTAGATACAAGTCCCTAGATACAAGATATATGATTTACCTGAGAGTTACAAAGTTAGAGCCACTTTAAGTTACTCTCTTTAGGTTTTCCAGGCCATCCCACTAGTGTAAATTCAAACTGCAGACATATATATATAATTTTTTTTTTGACAGAGTTTTTTGCTCTTGTTGCCCAGGCTGGAGTGCGATGGCGCGATCTTGGCTCATCGCAACCTCTGCCTCCTGGGTTTAAGCGATTCTCCTGCCTCAGCCTCCCAAGTAGCTGGGATTACAGGCATGCACCACCATGCCTGGCTAATTTTGTATTTTTAGTAGAGACGGGGTTTCTCCATGTTGGTCAGGCTGGTCTCAAACTCTTGACCTCAGGTAATCTGCCTGCTCTCCCAAAGTGTTGGGATTACAGGCATGAGCCACCGCGCCTGGCCAAACTGCAGACGTTTTTTGAGCTGGCTTCTGGTTACAAATTCTTGGGAAAGGTTTTATTTTCCTTTCACCCATTTCCAAGGTCAGGACAAGCAAGTTTTCTTGCTGTCCTGTTCAACACAGTGGAGTTTTAATTTCACAACCATACACTTAGTGTGTAGCTCTTGGGGATTCCAGTTTTTTATTATAATAGATCCTCTGCATAATCTACACATTGGGTGGGTCCTAAGCTTTATCCCCTGCCTAACCTATCCCTGCCTCCCTTTGTAGCTATTAAAGTCGTAAGTTCAAAGTTTCTAAGGTTTGGCAAAAAATCTTGGTGAGAAAGCTTGTTCAATATTTAGTGTTTCTACTTTCACTTTGTTTTTGGGAACTGCAGATTCTTGCTTTCATGCCAGCTCTGAAACATGCTTCAACAGCTGGATATGATGTCAAAAACATTGCTGAGCTGGCAGGAAAGCGGTCAGGGTCATTCAGAGTATCTAATACACAATATTTCTATAGATGGTTATCAGGTCATTGGAATTGAGGTCAGTAAACTGTAAGACCACGGTGATTTGTTGATATGGACATTAAAGTCATCTGGCATGATATTGGGATTAGAGTTAGAGCTGAAAACTGAGTGAGATGCCCAAATCCTCACGGAATTTTGGGGAAGGTACTAGGTTAGTAGTGAGCTGACAGGGTATAGGTAAGGTAGAGGTAGTAAAGTTGGGTGAACTAAGTCTCAGAGGAGGTCTTTTTCTATACAACGGTGAAAGAGTGGTAACCTTGGAAGTGTCGATAGAAAGTAAGGATGCAGGATGCTCATCCCTGTTCCATGTCCTGTGGTGCACAGGTGTGGTTGAATGACAAGTGGTATGTCATTGTCTCTCTCTTACCTTTGACATCTCTCTTAACCTCATATTGTTTCTGTTCATAAACTGACCAAATTGCAATACAAATGAATTCTGTGTTTAAACATACTTTGTAAAGAATAGGAAATAAGAAGAGACGCTTTCTGCTTTCTTCTAACAGCTCAATAGACTGAGTTCTTCCAGTCAGGGACTGAGCCTTTTATAACCCAAGTACTTATTAAAGTTCTTGCCATTGAAATGGCAAAAACTGCAATTACTTTTGCACCAACCTAAATATTTGCCAGAAAGGCAATTGTAAAATGATTAAAATATATGAGTTTTTCCTTTCTAGATGTGATTAAAAGAGAATGTCAGATTTCCTATAATAATGGAGTCTAGGGCAAGTGATTGTGTAACACTCATTTCATATTCAACATGATAGTATTGCTAGTAGTTCATATCCTTAAGCATATGACATAACACATTTTTTATACTGAAAATTGCTATTCTCTGTGTAGTATATGGCAGATGTGGTCATAACATGTATTCTTTCTTTTAAAAAAAGATTCCGGCCAGGTGTGGTGGCGCACACCTGTAATCCCAGCACTTTGGGAGGCCAAGGTGGTCAGATCACCTGAGGTCAGGAGTTCGAGACCACCCTGAACAACATGGAGAAACCCTGTCTCTACTAAAAGTACAAAATTAGCCGGGTGTGGTGGTGCATGCCTGTAATCTCAGCTACTTGGGAGGCTGAGGTAGGAGAATCGCTTGAACCCGGGAGGCGGAGGTTGCAGTGAGCCGAGATCATGCCATTGTGCTCCAGCCTGGGCAACAAGAGTGAAACTCCGTCTCAAAAAATAAAATAAAAATTCCATATCTAAATTCATGCTTCTTAAAAGTATGTTTAGATTCTTTCTCAAACCATTTCTAAGTACAGAAGAGGCAGTATGGAATATGCTGTAGTTTAGACTTTAAAGTTTAGAGTCATGACTACAAAAATACAAATTTGTTTAAAGAAAGTCTTTGCTCTTGTTGCTTTCTCTAGTACTATTAAATATTTTTTCACTTTCCTATTATTTAGAGAAGGTATTGGCAAACTTTTTCTTAAAGGGATAGGTAGTAAATATTCTGAGCATGAAGGCCATATTGTCTCTGTCACAACTATTCAACTCTGCTGGTGTGGTGTGCAAGCAGCTGTAGACAATAAATAAATGAATGATGTGGCTGTGTCCCAATAAAACTTTATTTACAAAAACAGGTAGACCATAGTTTCCTGACCCCTGATCTAGAGTAAGACCTCAACAGATGGACACTGAAAATGAAATGGTAGAAGGGAATCAGTCATACAATAATTTAATTAGCAAATTGAGTGCATACTGTTTGCCAAACTGAAGACTAAGCTGTTAACTAAATTCTTGTATATATACTGACTGGAATATGAAGCATCATTGAAAATGATAATTTTGAAGACTAAACAACATGGGAAAATGGTTTTAAATAGGAAATCAGGATAAAAGTTTCAAGTTTATGTCTTAATAAGTATGGGCCAGGTGCAGTGGCTCATGCCTGTAATCCTAGTACTTTAGGAGGCTGAGTCAGGAGGATCACTTGAGGCCAGGAGTTAGAGACCAGCCTGGGCAACATAGTGAGACCTTGTCTCCACCAACTAACAATACACATACATAAAAATATTGAAAGGAATAACAAAAATTCATGCATTCCTTTCAATATTTGTATGAATTTAGTAACTAAATACATACATGCAAATATTGAAAGGAATACATTAATTTTTGTTAGGTAGGAGGATGATAGGTAATTCTGTTTTTCAAATTGTCTGCAATACCTTTACATTCCAAAAATAACTAAAAAATGACCTAATGAAATGCTGATTAAAACTATTGTTTTTTTATCACTATACAGTAGGAAAAAGAGACTCTTTGTAAAACTATTGTTCAGTGAAGTCCTGAAGGTTTTTTACTTAATCAGCGTAAGATTGACATTTGAGGAAAATGTGTTGCCCCTCTGTTCAAGACATATTATCATTTCTCTTAATATTTTTTTATGTTTTAACAGTGCCCTTATGTTTGCCATTTGTTATATTTACTTACCAAAAAAGAGAATGGTGAGTATTTTCATTACAGTTGTATTATACTTTGTAGAATTAGCATTTGTATTGGCCTTTATAAAGTTAAAATAACTATTAGCATTAGTTATATGACAGAAGTCATTTTGTGGAAATTGCTTTTTAGTACTTTAAGAGCATCTGCTTAATGGCTTAACTGAACAGGTATTTATTTCCTTGATATGTTACAAGAAGAAACTGTATGAATTGCATGGTGGTTAAATATAACCAATTTCTTTTTATTCTGAATCCAAATGCATAGTACGTCTTTCCTTTATGTTTTCTAGTCAAACCATTTCGTGTGAGAAAACTGCTTGATCTTCAGGCCAAAATGGTGAGTACTGAAAAGACCTAAGACCTGCCAATGTACTATGTGCCAGGTACTGAGCCAGGCATTGGGAATACAAAATCAAATAACTCTTGATCTTTTTTTTTTTTTTTTTGAGACAGGGTCTCACTCTGTTGCCCAGACTGGAGTGCAGTGGCATGATCTTGGCTCACTGCAACCTCCGCCTCCCAGGTTCAAGCGATTCTCCTGCCTTACCCTCCCGAGTAGCTGGGATTATAGGCACGCGTCACCACACCCGGCTAACTTTTGTGTTTTTTGGTAGAGACAGGGTTTCACCATGTTGGCCAGGCTGGTCTGGAACTCCTGGCCTCGGTGATCCACCCGCCTCGGCCTCCCAAGGTTCTGGGATTACAGGCGTAAGCCACCGCGCCTGGCCTATCACTCATTATCTTTAAGGAACTTATTTTCTGGGGAGCTCAGTGAACAAAATGAAAAATCAGAATCAGACTTGGGGTCAAGGAGAAGTGGTGATGCTTGAGAGAATTATTTATTTTATTTTTATTTTATAGATGGAGTTTCACTCTTTTCGCCCAGGCTGGAGTGCAGTGGGGTGTAATCTCAGCTCACTGCAACCTCCGCCTCCTGGGTTCAAGCAATTCTCCTGCCTAAGCCTCCTGAGTAACTGGGATTACAGGCGCCCACCACCATGCCTGGCTAATTTTTTGTATTTTTAGTAGAGACGGGGTTTCATGTTGGCCAGGCTGGTCTCGAACTCTTGACCTCAGGTGATCTGCCTGCCTCGGCCTCCCAAAGTGCAGGGATTACAGGCATGAACCACTGCACCCGGCCTGCTTGAGAGAATTTTTAAGGGATGAATAGGATTTAAGTAGGCAAAGAAGGGAGAGAAGGGCATTCCTCCCAGAGGGAACAGCATGAGCAAAGACATGGAGATGTCAAACAGCAAACATTGTTTAGGGAGCTGGGTTGGTATGGCTGGAACAGTAAGTGTTAGGGAGTGGTCATAAATGAATTTATATTTTGTACGGATGTGATCTAGGAAAGCTTTTTTTTTTTTTTTTTTGAGATGGAGTTTACCTCTGTTGCCTAGGCTGGAGTGCAGTGGTGCGATCTCAGCTCACTGCAACCTCTGTCTCCCGGGTTCAAGCGATTCTCCTGCCTCAGCCTCCCGAGTAGCTGGAACTACAGGCGCGCACCACCACGCCAGGCTAATTTTTTATATTTTTAGTAGAGATGGTGGTCTCATCATGTTGGCCAGGCTGGTCTCGAACTCCTGACCTCAGGTTATCCATCTGCCTTGGCCTCCCAAAGTGCTGGGATTACAGGTGTGAGCCGCTGAGTCTGGCCTAGGAAAGCATTTTAAGACATTATCTTCTGGATGCTTAAACTTCAGTATATTCTCTGACTGTTATCTCTGGTCCTTACAGCTCTCTGCATTGTTATTTCCACTTTACCTGCCAGGTAACAGAAGTCTGTGAAGCTCTGGATATGAAACAATGGAAGTAATAGTGGTCATGTCTAACTGGAGCTTTCATGGCCTACCTATAGGCATTTATTGAATGAAAGACACAAACACAGAACACATTTGTGCTTCTCCAATGTGAGGTCTCCTCTTAGTGCAGTTCAATGATTATTCTTTTTTTGTAGCCTTCTGTTTTAGTTCCATGGGTACGATTATTTTTTCTTAGTTCTCTGAAGATATTAATGGTAATATTTTTGTCCAATTTGAATTTTATTTCACATTAATAGAAATTATGAAAAAAATGTACCTTTTCCCATGTTACAGCAAAACATTTCAATGGAATAAGACAATTCTTACCATAATAAAAGATCTTAGTACCCAGGTGCAGTGGCTCACACCTGTAATCCCAGCACTTTGGGAGGCCGAGGCGGGCAGATCACGAGGTCAGGAGTTCGAGACCATCTTGGCCAACATGGTGAAACCCCGTCTCTACTAAAAATACAAAAAATAGCTGGGCGTGATGGTGGGCACCTGCAATCCCAGCTACTTGGGAGGCTGAGGCAGGAGAATTGTTTGAAACCGGGAGGCGGAGGTTGCAGTGAGCTGAGATCACGCCAGCCTGGGCGACAGGGCAAGACTCCGTCTCCAAAAAAACAAACAAACAAACAAACAAACAAAAGATCTTGCTGATTTGTTTTGTATTAGCTGAAACACAGTGTATGTTCAAGTAAAAAATGATTTATGAGATGATTGTCTAAAAATTTATAACGGAGACACTAAATGTCTGGTTTCATTACTACCACTCTATACAGTACATCACTAAATTATTCCATTGTCAGTAAGTACCCATTTATAAAGATGCATACATAACATTGTTTTGATTAGCTGAATTTTGATGAATTTGGGTAAGTCCAACAATATCAAACCAAGAAGGCATAGCTATGTTCATATGTAACCTAACATGCATGATAGTAACAGGCATAGTCAACATATGTGAGGAAATACATTGGATGTGCGAATTTCTGATACCTGCAAAGGCATATATCCCGTCTATCCCCCTCCATGCCCCATAGCTCCCAATCTATGAAGGAAACAAAACCACAAAAATTGTATTTCTGGTAGCAGACATGAATAGTAGGAAGTGGGGCATTTTCCTACATACACTAGGCCCTGTCCAGAGCAATCTTTAGAACAAGAAGGGGGAATTAGGTCTCATCCTAAGGGTTGGTTCTCCCTCTACCGGGCATGAGCCTGTGTGTATGCACTTTGGGCTGTGATTTTTTTCTGTTTCAAGCTTTGTCTCTGTTTCCTCATAGTTTCTGTTTTTAGATTGTTTGGTCTTTTATGATACTTTTTAAATTTAAATTTTATTTTAATTTTTTTTAGAGACGGGGGTCTCACTTTGTCACCCAGGCTGGAGTGCAGTGGCATGATCATGGCTCACTGCCACCGTGAATTCCTGGGCTCAAGCGATCCTCCCTCCTCAGCCTCTGGAGTAGCTGGGACTACAGGCATGCACCACCAGGCCTGGCTGATTTTTAAATTTTTTGTAGAGACAGGGTCTCTCTATGTCACCCATGCTGGTCTCAAACTCTTGGGCTCAAGCAATCCTCCCGCCTTGGCCTCCCAAAGTGCTGGGATTACAGGTGTGAGCCACTGCTCACCAATGCTTGGTAAAGCTTATTTGTTCATATTTAAAAGTAAAACACTAACATGATGATTGGAAACTTGTGTGTATGAGCAGGACTTGTTCATTGTAGGATCTTGATGTTTTGTTGAGGATCCTCCCAGATGACTATGTTAATATTCTCAAAACAGAATTCTCCTGTTTCCTGTCTTATGTGGTTGCACGGTTGTACATATAGAATCAAGTGTGTGTGTGTGTGTGTGTGTGTGTGTGTGTGTGTGTGTGTGTGTATTTATAATATTATAGGGAATTGGCTCATTTGATTTTTTTATGGTGGCTGGTAAGTCCAAAATCTACCGGATGGGCCAGCAGGCTGGAGACCCAGGAGGGCCAATGTTCCAGTTTGAGTTAAGTGGCAGTCTACTATAGAACCAGGAAGAACTGCTGTTGCAAATAAAGTCTGAAGGCAGTCTGTTGGACATTTTCTTCTTCTTCTGGGACCTCTTCTATTCAGGCTGTCAACTGATTGGATGAGACCTATCCACATTGCGGAGGGCAGTCAATTTGCTTTATTCAAAGTCTACTGATTTAAATGTTAAACATATCTAAAAAACCCTCACAGAAACACCCAAAATAATGTTTCTCCAAATATCTGGGCAGCCTGTGGACCAGCCAAATCAACACTTAAAATTAACCATCTGATATGGTTTGGCTGTGTCTCCACCCAAATCTCATCTTGAATTATAATTCCCATAATCCCCACATGTCGTGGGAGGGACCCAATGGGAGGTAGTTGAATCATGGGGGCGGTTTCCCCCATGCTATTCTTGTGATAGTGAGTGAGTTCTCACGAGATCTGATGGTTTTATAAGGGGCTTCCCCTTCGCCCAGCTCTAATTCTTTTCCTTCCTGCCATCGTGTGAAGAAGGATGTGTTTGCTTCCCCTTCCGCCATGTTTGTAAGTTTCCTGAGGCCACCCTAGCCACGTGGAACTGTGAGTCAGTTAAACCTCTTTCCTTTATAAATGACCCAGTCTTGGGCAGTTCTTTATAGCAGTGTTAGAGTGGGCTAATACATCATCACAGGGTGTAAACCTGGCTACTGGCACTCTGAGACCTGAGCACTAGAAAGGGGTGAGAAATGGTCTTGGTATCCTCCCTTGGCTGTGCCTGGTATCCGAGTCCAGCTTCATTTTCAGAGTAAAGCCCTAATGTTTTGCCAGTATAGTGAAGGAATTTGGGGTTCTAACTGCTTCTTATGTAGCCTTTCATGCAATACTCCTGTTTTCTTGTCCCTTTTGCATCCCCACTTTTTAGAGATATGTGGTCCCTCAACTCTTGATCCTTTCTGGGAGTTGTCAAGCATGAATCTGATTTTTTTGAGGCTTTTTCTGTTGATACCTTAGATTTCATTTTATCTATTCTGCTAACTTGGTTACTATTTGACCATCTTCATTCTAGGTTCCAAAATCTTATTTAGATTTCTCATATGCTGTTATCTCCTCTCTTGTTCTCTTTGAACTTGTGCTTTGCTTTATCCTTTTTCATTCTTCTTTTATTTATTTATTGGAGATGGAGTCTCACTCCATCACCTAGGCTGGAGTACAGTGATGCGATCTCAGCTCACTGCTACCTCTGCCTCCCAGGTTCAAGCCATTCTCCTGCCTCAGCTTCCCGAGTAGCTGGGACTACAGGTGTGCACCATCACAGCCGGCCTAATTTTTGTATTTTTAGTAGAGATGGGGTTTCACCATGTTGGCCAGGCTGGTCTCAAACTTCTGACCTCAAGTGATACACCCACTTCGGCCTTCCAAAGTGCTGGGATTACAGGCATGAGCTACCGTGCCCAGCCACCTTTTTCATTCTTTTACTGTCTTTTAAATGGGGCTTTGGGAGAACCCAGAATTAATCATATGTTCGATATGCCATTTTTAACTGGAAATCTCCCCCTTACCTTTTTTAGTATTAACTTTTTAACAAAAAAGATAGTTTTAATTAACTAGACTATAAGTTCTAAAGGCCTCAGCACAACTAAGTATTCTCTAAAAAGCATTCTAGCTCAAAACAAACACTCTGATACTCATTAATAATGGGTGTACAGAGGTTAGGAGATATTTTCAACATAGATAAACTGGGTCATTTTGGTTTTGTTTTAATAAATTTAATTTCAAGAAGCTGTTATAAAATGGAAATATTGTATTTCTAAGCCTCATTTGCTGCCTTTGTGCAGTATTCGATTCAATAAAATTTTAGTATAATAAAACAATTTGGTTACTTCCTTAGAATTCATTTTAGTGGTGTGTTTTCTCTGGATAGCCAGATGTATAAAACAGGTATCTAGCAGTAATCACATCTTTCGTTGTGAAATTAGTGCTTTTGTTAAGACTTGTTTCAGTTATATCAAAGCTGCTTGATTATGGCATACCAATTGTAATTTCCTAGATAATTTTCCAAGAATTATAATAATCAGGTATTAGCTTCTCTTCTGGTCCTGTCTCCTTGAGGTCTAAATCAAGGATGAGTAAACTTTGAGTCCTGAGTATGCTACCAGTGAGAATAAGCTATGCTATGCTAGTAAGTATGACTGGTCAGCCTAAGGTATAGGAAGAGAAGAGAAAAATACAAGGAAGAAGTAAAGTTGGAAAAGGTCCTAAGAGAGAAGATCACAGTTTGGAGAGGGTTGTTTTATGGTGGTTGACTTAAATGTCTGGTTACTCATTCCTTGATTTTTGATAGCATCTTCCTATAGCTATATCTCAGCGAAATTATGGTCTGAATATACTTTTTTCCTTCTTATTGGTATTTGTTTCCTCAGTTTCTTAATAGCCACAGAATTGAAAATGGAAAACTTATTTTATTTCAGGGAATGCAGCCTCATCTCCAGGCTTTGTTGTCACTGTATAAGTTCTTTGCTCCTGCTCTGATTTCAGTATCTTTGCCTGTAAGGAAGAAGGTAAGGGATTAAGGAGAGAGAAATCATATTAAGATTGAAATATGTTATTTTTGGTAAAGTTAACTTACAGATTTCAACTAAAATGTTTACAGCCTACTGTTTTACTGTCTAGTATTGTGGTACTGTTTTGGGAAAGTTTTTTTTTAGGAATTGGTACTTCGTGTTGATCCCATTTGGTATATTTAATAGATTACTAATCAGAAAAAAAAATACTTTAAGTGCATTTGTATGGGTGTAAAGGATTTCATAATATATTTTCAATTAATGAGGCATTTTAGACTTTATGTTGCTTCAGTTTATGGGTACCTACTCTCTTGTACTTTATATCCAAATTTATAGATATATTTTAAGAATTCAGAGAATCTATGGAAGACGGCTCTGCTTGCCGTGAAGCAAAGAAACCGGGGACCTTCTCCAGAACCTCTGAAGTTGATGTTAGGTCCAGCTAATGTTCGTCCTCTAAAAAGAGTAAGTATCTAAAGCTCAAACAACTTGCATGGCTTTCTTTTATTAAATCCAAATAATAACCATTCAGATCTTAGAGGAGATTATAGATATTTAAGTATATGTCAGTTACCCAGGATTCTGTGTAAGCCATATTCAGATTCCTTTAATTGAAACACCTTACCAGTTGCTTTTATATTTGTGGTTTGTAGTCTGTTTAGTCCATTGATAGATTATTTTATTATCTTTCTTCAGAAGTGGAATTCTCTCTCAGTTATACCAGTGCTCAATTCCAGTAGCTACACTAAAGAATGTGGAAAAAAAGAGATGAGTCTTTCTGATTGTCTGAATAGAAGTGGATCATTTCCACTAGAACAACTTCAAAGCTTCCCCCAACTTTTACAGAACATCCATTGCTTAGAGGTATGTGACTGGACCATGTGCTTCTTTGCATTTTCTATTTGAATTTCATGGCCTTTGTTTTTTTGTTTGTTTGTTTGTTTTGTTTTTTTGAGATAGGGTCTTACCTGTCACCCAGGCAGTGGTGTGATCATGGCTCACTGCTGCCTTGAACTCCTGGGCTTATGTGATCCTCCCACCTCAACCTTCTAAGTAGCTGGGACTACAGATGTGCATCACCACGCCTGGCTAATTTTTAAAACAATTTATATCAGGCTGGGCACGGTGGCTCATGCCGGTAATCCCAGCACTTTGGGAGGCCGAGGTGGGCGGATCACTTGAGGTCAGGAGTTCAAGACCAGCCTGGCCAAAATGGTGAAACTCCATCTCTATTAAAAAATACAAAAATTGGGCTGGGCGCGGTGGCTCACACTTGTAATCCCAGCACTTTAGGATGCTGAGGCGGGCAGATCACCTGAGGTTGGGAGTTCGGGACCAGCCTGACCAACATGGAGAAACCCCACCTCTACTAAAAATCTAAATTTAGCTGGGCGTGGTGGCACATGCCTGTAATCCCAGCCATTTGGGAGGCTAAGCAGGAGAATTGCTTGAACCTGGGAGGCGGAGGTTGCAGTGAGCCGAGATCGCGCCATTGCACTCCAGCCTGGGCAACAAGAGCGAAACTCTGTCTCAAAATAAAAAAAAAATTAACCGGGCTTGGTGGTGCATGCCTGTGGTTCCAGCTACTCAAGAGGCTGAGGCACGAGAATCGCTTGAACCTGGGAGGCAGAGGTTGCACTGAGCTGAGATGGAGCAACTGCTCTCCAGCCTGGGTGACAGAGCGAGACTCCATCTCAAAACAAAACAAAAAAAAATTATTTTAAAAATATATTGCTCAGTCTGGCCTCAAACTCCTAGGCTCAAGTGATCCTCCTGCCTCAGCCTCCCAAAGTGTTGGGATTATAGGCATGAGCCACCATGCCCAGCCTATTTTTGTTATATATTTTCTATATGACGATTCCCTTATCCACTTTTCAGATACTTAACTGTTGATCGGTTGTTCTGTCATTGCAGCTGCCTTCTCAGATGGGCTCAGTGCTAAACAACTCTCTGCTGCTTCACTACATTAACTGTGTCAGAGATGAGCCAGTCTTGCTGAGGTTTTATTACTGGTTGAGTCAAACATTACAAGAAGGTAAGAATTGAGTGAGGATGGACCAAGATAGTTAACAAATGGGTTTCTTTTATAAGGGTGCCAAATTCTAGACAGCAGGAGCCTTCATATGCTGTAATTATGTCTGTGGTAATCTTATATTTAGAGCATGAATGTTTCTGTTGTAATTTTAAGGCAGTAAGAAGGTAGAGGGATTTTGTTAAGGAAACACTGCTAGATGGCCACCAAAACTCACTGGGTGGCTCCACTTTGATGACTATCACAATCCAAGGATTCTTCATCTTTGTATGTTCAGAAACTTGCTGTTAGGGCCCCAGAATCATCCTGTTAATGGTAACGAAACTCAGAAGAGACAAATGTACAAGCCAGAATGTCAGCTTATTATAAAATTAATTATTTCTGGTAAGCGAAATGCTCATATCTGCCAACTAGAGTATCCCCTCTGCTATCAGCATATATGGGAGCCAAATTTGTCATTAGAAGATTTCTTAATTATAGAATTAAAGGAAAGGGCAGTGAGAAGTCTTTCATCCAAGCCATAGTAAAGCCTGAGCATTTCATTCCTCCAATGGTGGGGGTCGGTGGGGAGGGGCGGGTATATTTCTCTAGAGATAATATTTCTTTTGACCAAATTTGAGTGTTTCTTTACTGGATACTGGATAAGCAACTCCTGATTCTTCTGGTGGTTAAAGTTGCTTTTAGTTGGTTCCAGGCCAATTCTTCTTCTTCTTCTCTGAATCTTTTAAACAGAATATGATATAGTTTATTAGATTTCCATGTACTAAATTTGTATCACTCTTACATTATACCCAGCATACTCTAATTGAAGTTTAGGGTATTCTAAAACTTTCAATTCAGATGTTTGTACTTTCTTGGATTGCTATGTGATATAAAGCTTATCATATTCATTATATGTGAATTCTCTCCATTTCTATAAGCTTTTCCCTATATTTACACTATAAGCTTTTCCCTATATTACCAAGTTGTTGAGGAATATCTCACTATCATCTCCATGTGACTGTTCCAGTCTACATCATGAGTTAGCTAGGATGTATGAGACTTATGGCTTTTTTACTTTGTCACTTGTCACTTTAGTGATAATTATGTTTTGTGCACTTTTTTATTGTGGTACAACTAGATGCTTATATTTACTGTTTCTGCTCTAGAATGTATTTGGTACAAGGTGAATAATTATGAACATGGAAAAGAATTTACCAACTTCCTGGATACCATCATCAGGGCAGAGTGCTTCTTACAAGTAAGATTTCACTTGCTTCTTCCACTCTCCACCACTCTTTACTAAAATTTATTTAGATATCCATTGAAAACCTTTTCTTGCCCGGCTGCGGTGGCTCACACCTGTAATCTCAGCACTTTGGAGGCCAAGGCGGGTGGATCACTTGAGCCCAGGAGTTCAAGACCAGCTTGGGCAACACAGCAAAACCCCATCTCTACAAAGAATACAAAAATTAGCCAGGCATGGTGGCATGCATCTGTAGTCCCAGCTACTCAGGAGGATGAGGTAGGAGGATCACTTGAGCTCAGGAGGTCAAGGCTGCAGTGAGCCGTAATTGTGCCACTGCACTGCAGCCTGGGTTACAGAGTGAGATCCTGTCTCAAAAACAACAACAACAAAAAACCCTTTTTTTTAGTACCTGACATCTTTTGTAAATAATATTTGTTCAGTTTGAAGCTCATTATAGATAAAGCTGAGTTTTATCTTTGCACTGTTAGATTTGAAGAAAGAATATGTTATATTATGCAAATAAAAGGGAAAAGCCTGTAATTTAAGAGAACAAACTGAAGATGTAATTAAATGTATTCAGTTAACTGAATTAGCCAGTAATGTAAATTTCATAGGGTCACTACTTATATTCTTACAATCAACAAACATTTTTTGAGCATCAGATATGTTCCAGCCAATGGACTATTTGGTTTGGGTAACCCTGAGTTGTATTTTAAGCTGCAGCTTGGGTATCAGCACCATCAAGAAGCCTTCACTTATTGCCCAGTGTGGGTTAGCTCCTTGTTCTATGTGCTCCCATGGCTCCCTGTGCTTACCTCTATCGTGACATTTTTAGCATCCACACATTACGAGCTCCCAGCAGGCAGAAACCATGTCTAACTTTTCTTCATGTATAGATGTTCAGCTTGATTGATAAATGTTTGTGGAATAATTCTTTGTTTTTTTTTAGACAAGGTCTTGCTCTGTTGCCCAGGCTGGAGTGTACTGGCACAATCATGGCTTACTGCAGCCTTGACCTCCTGGGCTCAATTGATCCTCCCTGCTCAGTCTAGTTAGTAGCTAGGACTACAGGTGTGCACCACCACTCCTGGCTATTTTTTTGTTTGTGTGTTTGTTTTTTGTATTTTTTTGTAAAAACGGGGATTTACCACGTTGCCCAGGCTGGTCTCAAACTCCTGGGCTTAAGCATTCCTTCTGCCTTGGCTTCCCAAAGTGCTGAGATTATAGGTGTGAGCCATCACACCCAGCCCAAGTTTTAGGGATTTGGTGTGAAACCATTTAATTGGAAGCTGGGTGCAGAGATGGTAGTGAGGATAGCAATTTAGGTTGACGTTTATGTTTCCTACTTGGGAAGATGGATGGCATTCACTGAGAAAAGAAATATAGGAGGAGCAGTCTTGGAAGGAAAGATGTTTCACTTAAGAGATGCCTAATGGGACATCAAAGCGGTCATATCCAGTACGCAGTAAAATAATGAGTCTAGAGCTCAGGAATGAGATTTGAGCTAGAGATACAGATTTAGGACCCCTCATGTTAAAAGTGGTTTTAGCTATGATATGGATGAGATTGTCCAGAGAATTCATGTCATGAAAAGAAGGTCTTAGGATAGAGTCCTGGTGCATGTCACTGTGAAAAGCTTAGGTGACAATGGAAAAAAGGGAAGTCCCAGATCCTCACTCTGGTGGAAATATAAGCAACCTAGACATTTGAGCCTCTAAAGATGGAGCTGCTCAGAGTTGGGATTTGGTCTATGGCCTCTAATGAAATTCTAGCCCTATTACATAATATTGTATACATTTTATTGACTGTTCAAATTACTGCATGTACCCCAAGATAATAAATCTTATTTTTTTAAAAATATTCTATAACTTTTAACTTTCTTTCCAATTGATGAAGTTTTATGGTATTTGAGAACTGTATTGATAAAAATGGTAATGTATGCAAATACTAATCATCTCATCCTTTTTCTGAGGAAGTCTGGCACCTAACTTAAGGCTTTTATTATATTCATGACAAAAAATTAGTCTAAGAGTGAAGCAACTATAGCACAAAATAAACTGGTTGTTTAGAGCATAATTTTATGACTGAAGAGTTCCATATAAGGATTTACTATTCACTTGTGTTACAGGAGGGGTTTTATTCCTGTGAAGCATTCCTGTATAAGAGCCTTCCTCTCTGGGATGGCCTTTGTTGTCGGTCACAGTTCCTTCAGCTTGTGAGCTGGATTCCTTTTAGTAGCTTCTCTGGTATGTATCATGAAAATTTGGAGTCATTTGATTCAACGTACTATGATTGAAAGGATTTTGAATAATCTTTTTTTTGATTCCTAGAGGTGAAACCACTTCTTTTTGACCATCTAGCGCAGCTCTTCTTTACATCAACCATTTATTTCAAGGTAACAAAAACTTGTCTTGCTTAGATTCAATAGGATGTATTATTCTATTGCTAGTGGTACACAATTCCAAACTGATATTACAGCAATGGTTTTATAACAGGATTTTCTTGGACCTGGGCTTTGAGGTACTGCATCACTCAACTCAAAGTTAATGCATAGAATGTTCCTTTTTTAAGGCTGTGTTGCATACAGTTTTCCTGACCTGTTTCCACTTGTAGCAAATGACATAGTGAACGAACAAGTGGCAGATGCATATTAATAAAAACAAACAAACTGAGAAATACTTAGTTTGATTGTTGTGGTTTATATTTTTGTAGATACATTTATTCATTTCACAAATATTTTTTGAGCACCTACTAAATACCCTTCTTGACACTGGGAATATAGTAGTGACCAAAGCAAACAAAACTCCCTGTGACATTCATATTTTATATTTATAGTAATAGTCGTTTTCTGCTAGTAAAATTGTTCCAACCTTATATATAATATGTTACTATTTTGGAGTGGTCTCCAAGAAGACCAATATGGCTTCCAGAAGTTCTACCTGAATGAGTTTGAGAGCCACTTTCTTATAGAATGGTTATTCCTATTCTAGAAGAGGGGCAATTAAGTAATTTTTCTTTTATAACTTTTTTTTTTAACCTTAAATCACTTACTGTTGGCCACATTGACAGGAAACATGTTGTCCTGGTTAGCGTTTGTCGTAATTGAATGGCACTTGATTAATTACCTATCATATTAACTTGGATTTGAGGTCTATTTATGCTAATTGTAACTTTTACATCCTGACCAATATCATCATTCACATGACATCCACACCAATTCTCCCAGCTAATAAGTTTTCAGAGACTTCAGTTTGAATTTTTTTTTTTTTTTTTTTTTGCAATTCTGTCTCAATCTTCTAATTGGGTTATTCTTTGTTTCTTCTCTTATTCTTCCACGCTAAAGAGCTGTTTAAACATTAGGCTGGACCATAGGAAATTGCTATTTTTTGTACGTCAGAGATGGTTAATGATTGGCAGTTGGCTGTGGTTCAACCTAATATGCATATACACATTCAGACACGTATATTTGAGAATGAGAGGGGTGGGGAGAGGAAGGAAGGAAGGAAGGGAACAGACAGCAAGCTAAAAACAGAACTCGGGAATGCACAGTATTTAATTCTCAGGCCAAGAAGGAGGACAGTCTAAAGGAATCTTAAGAAATTGCCAGAAGTATAAAAACAACCAGGAGAATAATAGTTCCAAGGAAACAAAGGGAATATAGGATATCAATAAAGAATGAAGGAATGATGTTGCCAAGTATCCCAGGAAGGTTCAGAAGGATACGGACAAGAAACGTTTCTTTTAGAATTGACAATACAGAGGTTTTGGCTTCCTTTGTGAGTAGTTCCAGTGGAACAACTTCTAGTTGTTAAGGTGGAATATGGAAATATATTCAGGGGAGGTAGAAGTCAGATTGTGTGGGTTGAGGAGTGAGTGAAAAGTCAAGTCAAGACAATGAGTATAGAATATGTTTCAAAATGTTTGACCAATAAAAAGTTGTAGAGAGAGCTGTAGGGGGACTGGCAACCAGGGGAAGTTGTTTGTTTGTTTGTTTTGCCTCTAAAATGAGAGAAACGTGAGTGTGTTTATAGATGGAGTCGAAGGAGCCAGTGGAGAAGAGGGAGAAGTTGAAAATGGAGAAAAGATTGGGAATAATTGATGGTACAAGATTCCAGAAGAAATATGAAGGTATTGGGTTAAAACTAGGTAGTGAGATTTACTTGAATGGGTGGTTAGGAATTGGGAGGCACCATTTATCCTCTAAGACTGGGGAGAGGATGCATGGATAGGTGGATATATAGATTTATTTGTAAAGTTAGAAGAAAGGGCAAGACATTAAAATACTTTGTGCCTAAGAATGTTAAATTTCTCAAAATAAGAAGCATGATTTAGAGAATAGAATTAAGTAGGACACTCCAGGAGGGTGTTAGCTGCTTAGGACAGCCAGGGAGAAAAAAAGAGCTGGTTAAAGACAAGTAAAAGGATTATTGAGCGTCATTAAGGGCCCAGCAGAAGTTGGCAATCATCAATTTGGAATGATGCCAATCTTTGCAGTTGTGTTTTCTTCCACTTAGATGTTGGAGAAGAGAAAGCAAATTATGAGATTGAATCAGTTTGGGTTTTGCTGGTTGAATGGAGTACAAGAAAGTTGTGATCAGCTGTGTGGTCTAGTCTAGATAGGAAAATAAGGCCAGGAGAAGGCTGATAAACCTGAAAAAGGAGGTTAAAAATTAAGGAATTGGCTGGGTGCGGTGGCTCATGCCTGTAATCCCAGCACTTTGGGAGGCTGAGGTGGGCGGATCACTTGAGATCAGGAGTTCGAGACCAGCCTAGGCAACGTGGTGAAACCCCATCTCTACTAAAAATACAAAAATTAGCCGGGCGTGCCCATAATTCCAACTACTCAGGAGGCTGAGGCAGGAGAATCGCTTGAACCCGGGAGGTGGAGGTTGCAGTGAGCCGAGGTTGCACCACTGCACTCCAGTCTGGGCAACAGAACAAGATTCCATCTCAAAAAAAAAAAATTTACAAAATTTAAAAAAGGAATTAAGGGATTGAATGTCTCTGATGTTGAAAAACGAGTAGCTATAGTTGGAGTTGAGTCTGTGAAAAAGCTGGAATAGGAAGTTATAACAAAGAAAAAAATAATAGATTTTGGTGTGGTTCAGTTCAGGTTATGACAGAATCTAGTGTGTGGCTGTGGGAGTGGGTAACTAAGGTGGAGTGAAGGTGAAGGTTATTTGATTCAAAGTCAAGGAACTGTGAAGCTGAAATGTTGGGATAATTTGCATGGACACTGGTGTAACTGAGGTATTGATGGCAGGACATGATGCAGAGTTCTAAGGTCCTCAATGAATCTGGATAAGATTCCAAGTGATAGCAGAGATATGAGAAGATAAAAAAATAGAGGGTAGTATAGCTGGATAGTATGAACAAAGGAGAAAGGGTTTTTTACACAAGGAAAGAGGAATAATGGTTTGGAAATAGGGTTGAAGATACCTTTTGTGTTGTGTTCAGAAAAGCAAGGGATAGTCAGACTCATGAGAAAAACTGACTGTAGCAAAATGCAATCAAATATTTAGCCTAACAAATTCAGCTTTTAGCAGTAGCTTGACTAATGAGGTTCTTTCTGTAGCTCACAAATTATTTGTAAACAATCTTAAGGCAATTTTTTTCCATGGCACTTGATTAAATAGAAGATCCATTTGATTTTTGTATATTATGGTTTTTTTTTTCTTAGATGGAGTCTCGCTCTGTCGCCCAGGCTGGAGTGCAGTGGCGTGATCTTGGCTTACTGCAACCTCCGCCTAGCGGGTTCAAGCGATTCTCTTGACTCAGCCTCCCCAGTAGCTGGGATAACAGGCGCCCACCACCACACTCGGCTAATGTTTTGTATTTTTTAGTAGAGACGGGGTTTCACCATGTTGGCCAGGCTGGTCACGAACTCCTGACCTCAGGTGATCCACCTGCCTTGGCCTACCAGAGTGCTGGGATTATAGGCATGAGCCACTGTGCCCGACCTGTATATTATCTTTTAAATTAAATCTGATTCCCTTCTTAAAGTAGGATTTATTTCTGATTTTATATTTACCTTCTCAAAGAAGGGGCTTATATTCTGTTCCACATTAGCAGTGGGAAGCTTAGTATAGGACACTGCTTACTTCTAGTTGTTAAGGCGGGATAGATATGGAAATGTATTCAGAGGAAACAGTGTCCTGGTTTGGTGGTGAAGGAGAGCTAGGATATGATTAAGGTAAGAAGACAGAGAAAGCATACTTTGTAGAATATGAAGGTGTATGTTTAGGTTACCACAGAACAGAGGTTCTGGATACTGCAGTTGAGAGATTTGGAAAGGATAGGATCAATGAAAGAGGACAAGAAGCATAGAGACAAGGAAGAATAAGTGACTAAAGGGGCTTACATATTGGGAGGTGACTAAGGATAACAGGAATGTGAAATATGGTAGAATTAGCTAAACGTTAGTTTCTGAGGCCTGTAGTAACTAGTTATTGCCTTGTTATTGTATAGCTTGATTACCCAGCTTAGTCTAATAAATGAATAGTATTTTTAAAGTCTATTAAAATATTTTCACATTTTCAGTGCGTTTTGTTTGGGCCTGGTCAGTTATGCCTATCAGCAAACAACTTATTTTCACCGAAGAATTTTGCATGGGAAAGGCCCCACAAATCCACACTAATGTTGTTATATTTGTTTTAGAGTGTTAATTTTTCAATATCTGTCCTTATTGATTTATCATTTTCCATAGAGTTGCAAACATAGTGGACATAAAAAATCAGAATACGTAATTAACATTGCATAATAATTTTCATGTTTCCACATAGTCGACATAATGTTGTTAATAGTGGCACTGTAGTCCTTAGTACCATAATTTATTTAATAATTTATTATTATTTCTCTCTCTTTTTTTAGAGACAGGATCTTGTTCTGTTGCCCAGGCTGGAGCGCAGTGGCATGGTCATAGCTCACTGTAACCTTGAACTCCTGGTCTCAAGGGATTCTCCCACCTCAGCCTCCCAAGTAGCTGAGACTACAGGCATGTGCCACCAAACCTGGCTAATTTTTAAAGTTTTTGTAGAGACAAGGTCTCACTATGTTGCCCAGGCTGGTCTCGAACTTCTGGCTTCAAATGATCCTTTCACCTCAGCCTCCCAAAATGTTGGGATTACAGGCGCGAGCCACTATACCTGGCCTCTATTATTTATTTCTAATTTGTTTCTTTTGTCGGAATAGATAACAGTCTCGAGCATCTTCATGATATAGATTTTTTTCTTAAACTCTTCCCTTGGCGTACATTTATAGGAGTGAGATTACTGGGTGAAAAGTAAGGTGCTGTTCCTTGGCTAATGGGATGTTCACTGCAAGTTCTTGGAAAGAAGGAGGATGCAGTGGATGGAGTGCTTAAATAACAAGAGTCTAGCAGCCATGGGAAAAGAATTGGGGTTTGGGAGATGATACTAGAATAAGGGAGACTAGCTAGGAGGATAAAATGACCTCAAAGGTATGAAGGCCTGGTCTTCACAGTTACAGTGGGATTGGGAAGGAAATGAATAAGTAAGACATTTTGAAGGAAAAAACATTGATAGAATATGGTGACTGAAGATAAAGTGTAAAGGATGCAAGATGACTTGAAGCTTTCCAACTTGAGATAGTAAATGAACTAGGGATATTTTGCCTGGAGGAAAAAAGGCTAAGATTTTCTGGTTCCCTTCCAATATTTGAAGGATTGTTACATGAAAGGAGATCTCTGTGTGGCTTCAAGAAACAGAGGTAGATATAGGGCAGTATCTCGTAACAGGTAGAGCAGACTCATGACGGAATAAAGGACTTTCAGAGGTGATATATTTCTTGACAGTGGAGTAGGTCAGGCAGAGGTTTAATGGCTGTCTATTCAGGATATTTATGTAGAAAAGGTTCACATGTAGGGTAGAGCTGTGTTTCTCAACCTTGTTTGTTTGTGTTTTTTCTTTTTTTTTTTTTTTTTAAAGATAGAGTTTTGCTCTTGTTGCCCAGGCTGGAGTGCAATGGCAGGATCTCCACTCACTGCAACCTCTGCCTCCCAGGTTCAAGTGATTCTCCTGCCTCAGCCTCCCGAGTAGTTGAGATTACAGGTGCCCGCCACCATGCCTGGCTACTTTTTGTATTTTTAGTAGAGATGGCGTTTCACCATGTTGGCCAGGCTGGTCTCGAACTCCTGGCCTCAAGTGATCCGCCCGCCTCGGCCTCCCGAAGTTCTGGGATTACAAGTGTGGGTCACTGCAACTGGCCCCTCATACCTTTCTTTAATGTGGTGACAGGGGTAGGGTAGGTGGGGAATTAAAGATTTTTTTTTTTTTTGATACGGAGTCTCACTCTGTCGCCAGGATGGAGTCCAGTGGCGTGATCTCGGCTCACTGCAACCTGTGACTCCCTGGTTCAAGCAATTCTCCTGCCTCAGCCTCCTGAGTAGCTGGGATTACAGACATGCCCAGCTAATTTTTGTATTTTCAGTAGAGATGGGGTTTCTCCATGTTGGCCAGGATAGTCTTGATCTCCTGACCTTGTGATCCACCTGCCTCAGCCTCACAAAGTGCTGGGATTACAGGCGTGAGCCACCACGCCCAGCCAAGATTTTTTTTTTTCCTGAGATGGGATCTCATTCTGTTGCTCAGGCTGGTGTGCAGTGGTGCGATCTTGGCTCACTGCAACCTCTGCTTCCTGAGCTCAAGTGATCCTCCCGGCTCAGCCTCCTGAGTAGCTGGGACTACAGGCACGTGCCACCATGCTTGGCTAATTTTTATATTTTTAGTAGAGGCAGGGTTTTGCCATGTTGCCCAGGCTGGTCTCGAACTCCTGGACTCAAGGGATCTGCCCACCTCAGCCTCCCAAAGTGCTAGGATTACAGGTGTGAGCCACTGTGCATGGCCAAGATTTTTGTTTTCTACTTTTTTTTTTTTTTTTTTTAGTTTTAGTAGAGGCGGGGTTTCACCATGTTGGCCAGGCTTGTCTCGAACTCCTGACCTCAGGTGATCCACCCGCCTCGGCCTCCCAAAGTGCTGGGATTACAGACGTGAGCCACCGCGCCCGACCTTTTTTTTTTTTTTTTTTTTTTGAGACAGTGTCTCACTCTGTCGGCCAGGCTGTAGTGCAGTGGCATGATCTTGGCTCACTGCAAACTCCGCCTTCCGGGCTCAAGCAATTCTCCTGCCTCTCAGCCTCCCGAGTAGCTGGGATTACAGGCACGTGCCACCACGCCTGGCTAATTTTTGTATTTTTAGTAGAGATGGGGTTTCACCATGCTGGCCAGGCTGATCTCGAACTCCTGACCTCAGGTAATCTGCCCTTCTCGGCCTCCCAAAGTGCTGGGATTACAGGCATGAACCACCACGCCTGGCCAAGATTTTTGTTTTCTAAATGTAACATTGTATATACCTACCGTGTACCCACAAAAATTAAAAATAAAATATTAAAAAAAGATAATATAACATTGTAATGTTGAATATCTTCAAATGATAAAATTCCTTGGTTGACACCAAAGTAGACTATTGTCTTAGATGATTCCAGAGTTGCTTTCAACTAGAACATACTTCTAACCTGAATGTGAGTTGTCAAAAAGTATATTAATTGAACTTTTCTCTGAAGTAGCAGTGAGCACTCTATTACTGGAAACACTCAAATGATTAGTAGACCATTATGTAGTAAGAATTTTTAAGAAAGGTTTGCTGTATTAGATTTTGGGATGGTATGGATTGCTTTCAAATTTATAGATATTACGGTTTATCATCATAAATGCCCTGGACGAATTTATGTCATTATTGTATGTTTTTTTTTTTTTGTTTTTTGTTTTTTTTTTTGAGAAAGAGTCTCACTCTGTCACCCAGGCTGGAGTGCAGTGGCACGATCTTGGCTCACTGCAAGCTCCTTCTCCTGGGTTCACGTCATTCTCCTGCCTCAGCCTCCCAAGTAGTTGGGACTACAGGCGCCCGCCACCACGCCTGGCTAATTTTTTTTGTATTTTTAGTAGAGACGGGGTTTCACCGCGTTAGCCAGGATGGTCTCGATCTGCTGACCTTCTGATCCGCCCGCCTCGGCCTCCCAAAGTGCTGGGATTACAGGCGTGAGCCACCGCACCCAGCCCATCATTGTATGTTTTTGTATGTGATTGAGGCTTGGGAAATCAAGGCAAGGCCTGAGAAAAGAAAGACTAGAATTGCTTTTTTTTTCAAAGTCACAGAAGATAAGATAAATTTTTATGACCATCAAAAAGGTGGCAAATTGTAATTGTAGACCACAAGGTAAAAAGGGAGAGAAATTCATATCTGTAGCAACTTCAAAAGTTCTCTGAGGGGGGATGATAAAGATGCTGTTTTTATTTGATGATGTAATAGTTGTTATAAATTGATGTAATTTAGAGAAAGGTCTGTTCTAGGCTGATAAGTTAGGCAGTCCTGTTGAGGTATGTTTCTTGTAGAGAAAATGGCAAAATAAACTTGTACTTGGCATTCGTCTGTCTTCTGGAGACTAATCATGGTGTAGAAGCAGCTGTTGGGTTCAAAATTTGATGTGGTCATCTCCATGGTCCTTTTCATCTCTAAGCCTCTGTTAGTTCTGAACACTGTTATGTCTGAATGATTTCATGAAATCTTTTTTCATTTTGTCCCCCTCAGTGTAGTGTGCTTCAGAGTCTGAAAGAGCTATTGCAGAATTGGCTGTTGTGGCTTTCTATGGACATTCACATGAAACCTGTTACAAACAGTCCTCTGTGAGTTATCTAACGGTCTTCCACAAGAGACGATCTGTATACAAATGTTTGCATATGTTTAATAGTGTGGCGTGAAACAATTTTTTTCATGTAAATGCTTAGTAGTACTTTTTTGGAAGACTTTTTTGTGACTTTTCACTCTTCTTCCCCCACAATCCTGAAAGGAAGGCTAATTCTCTAAGTTCCTATTGTGTAAATCAGAAAGCAACCCTTATCTGCTAAATGACTTCTTTCAAGAGTTAATATAACAAAACACTAGAGAGATGAGACTAGAATTTGCAACTTTGACTTCCATTCAGTTTAACTCATTTTATAAATTATATTCTTATATTTAAAGCCAATTTTCATGATGGCTAGAAAAATCTCTAACGTAATTTTGCGTACAACTTTGTTTTTATGTTTCTGTGCTGTATTTTGGTTATATGTGTTAATTTATCTTAACTTTGGAGTTTAAAATAAGAGCCCTAAATTGTTAAATGTGTGCTTTACCTTCAAAGTAAAAGTAAAAGACTAAATTTCAAGGAACTGCATAATCAGGTTGTTTTGACTCTTTCTACCTAAAATCTTTGCCTTCTCCTACATATATATATATATTTTTTGAGACAGTCTTACTCTGTCACCCAGGCTGGAGTGCAGTGGCACAATATTGGCTCACCTCAACCTCCACCTCCCAGCTTCAAATGATTCTTCTGCCTCAGCCTCCCAAGCAGCTGGGATTACAGGCATGTGCCACCATATCCAGCTAAGTAGAGATGGGGTTTATTTAGTAGAGATGGGGTTCCACCATGCTGGCCAGGATGGTCTCGATCTCTTGACCTTGTGATCTGCCCGCCTCAGCTTTCCAAAGTGCTGGGATTACAGGTGTGAGCCACTGCGCCTGGCCAAGAACCACTATTATAAAGAAATTCCACTTAAACATTTAATCTCTTCTACCTAAATTACATTAAGAATAGTACGTTTGAAATTACCTCCACCTGCCCCCCCCTTTTTTATTGAGACAGGGTCTTGCTCTGTCTCCCAGGAGTACAGTGACGCAGTCTTTGCTCACTGCAGCCTCGACCTCCCAGGCTCAAGCAATCCTCCCACCTCAGCCCCTGAGTAGCTCTGACCACAAGCGTGCACCACCACGCTTGGCTAATTTTTTTATTTGTTGTAGAGACAAGGTCTCACTGTGTTGTCCAGGCTGGTCTTCAACTTCTAGGCTCAAGCTATCCTCCTGCCTTGACCTTCCAAAATATTGGGATCACAGGTGTGAGCCACCACATCCAGTCTGAAATTCCTCTCTTTTACTTGTGGTTCTCCCTAACCTGCATTCCCTTCTGTGGGCTGCTGAGCCTGGACCCATATTTGTTCGTTCTCTATTCCCTGGATCAGCAGGAGATTTAACAAAATAGTAGGTTTGCATCTATAATATTTGGCCAACTTGCAGTGTAAGTCTCTGATACCCCTGAAATAGCTGCCTTACAATTTCTGTATTATCTTTTCAAAAATCTTCGGATTCCTCTTTTATTAGTGTCATAAGTTAAGGCAGACAATTTAAAAAGGAATTCTGTTTTCTAAAATTCTTATAAAAATGGTGATACATGTGGATAATTTTGCTTGCCATATCAATATTTGGCATTATATAGTATAGCTCAAGTTTTAAATAATTCTTTTTATTAAGTGTAGGTATAATGCCCTATTTTTATCATGTGACCATATGCCATATCACTGTCAAAAAGGGAGTAAATTGTAGTTATATATCATAAAAAGAGAAGGGTAGAAAACTTCTCAACAGTGGTTCTCGAAGGGGGCCATTTCTGGTTGTCACAGCGACTGGGAAGAGGTTGCAACCATCATTTAGTATGTGGGAGATGGGGATGCTCAATGTGCTTCAGTGGGTGGGAAGTAGGAGGCAGTCCTGAACAGTGAATTGTTTCATCCAAAATGCCGATAGTGTCTTGTGGAGAAACACTTCAAAAGAGGCTGTTCTGAGCAATCGTCTTTGTTTCAAATTATTTCAGACACAGTTGCCAAGTGCTACCAAAAATCATAGTTAAGATACAGTTATGCCTGTAATCCCAGCACTTTGAGAGGCTGAGGCCAGCGGATCACTTGAGGTCAGGAATTCCAGACCAGCCTGGCCAACATGGTGAAACCTTGTCTCTAGTAAAAATACAAAAGTTAGCTGGGTGTGGTGGTGCACGCCTGTAATCCCAGCTACTCAGGAGGCTGAGGCACGAGAATTGCTTGAACCTGGGAGGAGATTGCAGTGAGCTGAGATTGCGCCACTGTACTCCAGCCTGGGCGACAGAGTGAGACTCCATCTCAAAAAAAAAAAAAAAAAGCATATAGTTTTGCAAATAGCCAGCTGGCTATGTGTAGATGCTCGCCTATTTGAATGGTCTCCTGATCCTTCCTTGATTGCCTTGGCACTGAAGTATCATGGTGGTGGGCAGTAGTAGAGTCATCATCATCTCTGAAACTCTAAGATTATACATGTTCTTTTCCTTATGCGTAACCATTGTTGACTACCTAGATAGGAGGGCAAAGCTATGAATTCAAATTTGTAAGTCTTTTCCTAATCCATTTAACATTGGATTGAAGGACAGGGGTGAGTAGATGGATGGATTGAACTAATACCCATAGGTACTGTAAGAGACTCCATTCATTGATCCAGGGAGAATATAAAATAGCTAGATCTGTTTTTTGCTAGAAGAATAAAAGATGCCAAAAATTTTGCTAATTCCCTTTTAGGGTTGAATTGAATTCAAGTGAAAAAAAAATATACATATATATATTTTGAGATGGAGTCTCACTCTGTCGCCCAGGCCAGGCTGAAGTGCGATAGCACGATCTTGGCTCATTGCAACCTCCACCTCCTGGGTTCAAGGGATTCTCCTGCCTCAGCCTCCCAAGTAACGGATTACAGGCGTGCACCACCACACCTGGCTAATTTTTGTATTTTTAGTAGAGATGGGGTTTCACCATCTTGGCCAGGCTGGTCTTAAACTCTTGACCTCAGGTGATCCGCCTGCCTCAGCCTCCCAAAGTGCTGGGATTACAGGCGTGAGCCACTGCCCCCAGCCAAATTCAAGTGAAAATATGTTTAACAGCATTTTAGCTCAGGAATTCAGGCAAAACTGAGTTTTGATTTGTGTACTGTAGGTTTCCTTCAATCTGTGTTGCAATGTTACTAACAGTATAGGAAACGATTCCTGAAGTCATTTTAATGTTTATTCCTTTAAATCACTTTTGATTTGGTTGGGATAAATTAGTTCTCATTTTTTCTAGTTTACTGTATCATTTTGTCCGTTTTCACATTTTATCCTGAATATTTTCTTTTTCTTTTTTTTTTTTTTTTTTGAGACAGGGTCTTGTTCTGTTGCTCAGGCTGGAGTGCAATGGCATGATCTTGGCTCACTGCAACCTCCACCTCCTGAAGCAATTCTCCTGCCCCAGCTTCCCAAGCAGCTGGGATTATAGGCACCCACCATCACACCTGGCTAATTTTTGTATTTTTAGTAGAGACAGGGTTTCACCATGTTGGCCAGGCTGGTCTCGAACTCCTGACCTCAAGTGATCCGACTGCCTTGGCCTCCCAAAGTGCTGGGATTACAGGTGTGAGCCACTGCACCTCGCCTGAATTTTTTTTTTTTTTTTTTGAAACAGTCTTGCTCTGTCACTCAGGCTAGAGTGAGGTGGTGCACTCTCGCTCACTGCAACCTTTGCCTCACAGGCTCAAGTGATCCTCCCACCTCAGCGTCTTGAGTAGCTGGAACTATAGGCATGTGCCACCACCGCACTTAATTTTTGTATTTTTTGTAAAGACGGGCTTTTGCCATGTTGCCCAGAATGGTCTTAAACTCCTGGATTCAAGAGAGCCCCCGACCTTCGCCTCCCTAAGTGCTGGAATTACAGGTGTGAGCCACTCTGCCCGGCCCTGAATTTTTCATGTCACTTTTATGTGAACTTTTTTTCTCCACTTAACTTTTAATGGAATACCTATTTTTTAATGGTTTTTATATATCTCACTTGAGAATTTTCATATCTGCTTGGAGCTTAATACTTTATTTCTCTGGTATTTACTAGTAGAGTCTGATTGCTTAGAATGTTCTATGAATTCGTCTTAATGGTTCCCTGGAGGGCTAAGTGTAGTTTTATGATTACTCACTGTGATTTTTTAAAAAGTGAATTATACGTTGGAGCACTGATAGTTTTTAAAATCCTCACCAACATTTTGCTTTATATTATTCAGCTTTAGCTTGGAAATTGTGAACACTATTGCTACTCTATATCTGAATGTTATGGTTTCTTATTGCAGAGAGACAACTTTGGGTGGATCCATGAACTCTGTGTCTAAACTGATCCACTATGTAGGGTGGCTATCCACTACTGCAATGCGCTTGGAGAGCAACAATACTTTCTTGCTGCACTTTATTTTGGATTTCTATGAGAAGGTAGTACACATTACATTTTCCCCATTTGGATTTATGTGAAGGCTATCCACTTTATTGGCTTATTATTTAAATTTCATGCACAACCATTAAGGTGGGCTATGATCTTATTAGCATCATTAAAATAACCTCACATTTTGAAGTTCATGATTATTTTCTCACCAGAATAACTGACTTTCATAAACAAAGTGGAAAAACAATTGCTTTTATTTAGGGCCAGGTACCACTACATTGACCTGTGTTAATACTGGCCCTAGAGAGAAGTCTATTGTTAGCATTATTTTTTGTTCATCCCATTCCCAACTCCTGGCAGAAACCAAAAATATCTTGTTGTTTCTTCAGATCTCCATTTCTACCTTTCAGCTGCCTTACTTCTCTTGCTACCTAGTACGCTTTTATTGTTTTATAGTATATGACCTGGACAGAACTATAGGTTGGTGCAAAAGTAATTGCAGTTTTTGCCATTGAAAACAATAGCAAAAACTGCAGTTACTTTTGCACCAATTTAATATTATCCATGAAGTATCCATTATAGTCTCACTTTTCCCAGCTTCCTCTCTTTACTAATACCTAGTTGTCTTGTGTTATGCATTTGCTTAGAAGCATGCTCCTTTGTTTTCTAGGTTGACAGCTAACTCACATGGTAAGTAAATATTATGGGACTTAAGGATAAAGAAATACTTCCTTAATCTACCCTGTCCCCCTAACTTTAAGACCTTTCCCCCCAAAAAATGAAAGATTTGAGTAATGGCCTTCTGGAAATAATCCTCTATAGTGTGGCTGATGTTTGGTGAAGTATATTTTAAGCCAGCTTGTAGATGTTTATTTAGGAGTCAGGCATGTCCAAAGCTAATGTTATGTTATTGCTTATCTTGTACTGATGATTCTTTGGGTGAACTTAGTTGAGGAGTTCTGGGGAATACTCTGTATACTGATGTTATCATTCTTCCTCCAAGGTGTGTGACATATATATAAATTATAACCTTCCATTAGTGGTATTGTTTCCTCCTGGGATCTTCTATTCTGCACTCCTCAGCCTGGATACCAGCATCCTGAACCAGCTGTGTTTTATTATGCACAGGTACAAAGCCTTTTTACCATTTTATGAAACAGTGTATTATAATTCTCTCTTCCTCTTTCAGCTATAATACAATAAATATTCCTACTCGTCTTCTGCCAGGGCCTCTGGAAATAGGAAATGTGGCTTGCTTTTGGACATGACCTTCCGATATGGGGCCATGGTAGCTGTGTTTTTTAAATCCTCCACTGCTGTGGCTACAGAATAAAAAAAAATTCATAGTTAAGGACTTGTTGTGCAATGGTACTGTTGCACTCAGCATTGTTCATTCTAATTGCTGTGTCTTCAGGAAAAATTAGTCATTTGGTGATAATTGCTTGAAGTGTTTGTAGCTTCTCTGGTAAAAATAACATTTTCTGGGCGATAAGGGGAGCTATTGCCAATTATATGAAACTGTAAGTATTATTTCTGGTCTCCTCTAATTCTTTCACTTGTGGACTGAAATTACTTTCTTCAGTCCATAAGCGTAGACTTTTTTTTTGAGATGGAGTTTTGCTCTTATCACCCTGGAGTGCAGTGACATGATCTCGGCTCACTGCAACCTCTGCCTCCCGGGTTCAAGCGATTCTCCCCCCTCAGCCTCCCGAGTAGCTGGGATTACAGGCGCCCGCCACCACGCCTGGCTAATTTTTTGTATTTTTAGTAGAGATGGGGTTTCACCATGTTGGCCAAGCTGGTCTCGAACTCCTGACCTCAGGTAATCCACCCACCTCGGCCTCCCAAAGTGCTGGGATTACAGGCGTGAGCCACCATGCTCAGCTTAGTGTAGACCTTCTTGGCATAACTTGTAGGACTATGTCAAGGTTAAAATGTTTAAAAACTAATTAGTTGTTAATAGTTCTCAGACAAGAATTTCCTGTTTATCCTTTCTGCTGCACCTTTTTTTTACATTAGGAAAACATGTTCTATATCAGTGACTGACTGCTTTTGAGCCTCTGTTAATTTTTTTTTTATTATTTTACTTTAAGTTCTGGGATACATGTGCAGAACGTGCAGGTTTGTTACATAGGTATACATGTGCCATGGTGGTTTGCTGCACCTATCAACTCATCATCTAGGTTTTAAGACCTGCATGCATTAGGTATTTGTCTCAATGCTCTTCCTCCCCTTGACCCCCGACCCCCGACAGGCCCCAGTGTGTGATGTTCTCCTCCCTGTGTCCATGTGTTCTCATTGTTCAACTCCCATTTATGAGTGAGAACTCTATTACATTTTTAATAGTGAAACATTGAAAGCATTTTTCATTGCTTATTTTTTATTTAGTCAACTACACATCTTAAGTGTACAACTTATTGAGCCTCTATTTTCACTTGAGGAGAATGTATCACAAAAGGATAAAATCCTTAACTAGACAACTGGATATTTGTGTATATGCACATTTGCATATATTTACATTTAAAATGTATGTTTTTTTTAAATTTTACCATTTCAAAGGCATTATATTCAAAGGCATGTTAAATGTTTCATTCTGTTTGTTTTTTCTGTTAGATATCGTAAAAATTTGACTGCCGCAAAGAAAAATGAGTTGGTACAAAAGGTATGAATGAGAAAGCTCTGTGTTAAATCACTGTTGTTTAAAAATTAAGTCTAGATATATATGACCTGATGGGAGTAAGAAGGAAAGGGAGAATAGGTGATAGTGACAATTTTTTATTTCTTTCCCATTAGACAAAATCAGAGTTCAATTTCAGCAGCAAGACTTATCAAGAATTTAATCACTATTTGACATCAATGGTTGGTTGCCTGTGGACGTCCAAACCCTTTGGGAAAGGAATATATATTGACCCTGAAATCCTAGAAAAAACTGGAGTGGCTGAATATAAAAACAGTTTAAATGTAGTCCATCATCCTTCTTTCTTGAGTTACGCTGTTTCCTTTTTGCTACAGGTAAGGGTATTTAAAGAATTTTTAGATTTTGTATCTTAATACTGTGGTGGCAGAAATAGGAAGTGCCATAAATTTAATGTGTCTGAATTGTAAGACGTGTGTTTAGTAATTTTTTTTAAGTAACAACTAAATTTTGGGCATTGTGCTAGGCTCAGGGATTCCAGTTAATTTAAGTAAGTTTCTGTCCTCTAAGAGAGCTTGAGCTTGTAACAGAGACAGACTTGTAAACAAATTACTATAATACAGTGTGGCAAAATGAGAAAAGGTTCAGTTGTAAGAAAGATGGGGGAGTGATTAGTCCAGTCCTGCCTGGGTAGAGGTGGTGCCATGTAAGGAAACGCTTCATAGATGTGGAAGCTCTCATAAAATCCTTCTAGACAAGATAGAATATGTAGGTTAGTTAATAGTACAATTAGAGTCTTAGTCAAAGACTGCTGATTTAATGGATTGATATCAATATGCAGGCAGGTGGAGGAGGGTTTATGTTTGTGTGTGTCCTTTCAGGACTTCATTCTCAGCCCTGTCACTTTCAACATTATGTGTGTGTGACATGGAGAAGAACTCAAATGGTGGTATCTGAAATGCATGGATGAGACAACAGGGTGGAATTACAAATACCCTGAAAGAATTTGGACTCAGGATTCCCTTAACAGACGGGAACATTGAGAAATCTAACAAAATGAAAAAAAAGTGTGCAGGGTGGGGGAGATATTCATTGAATAAATTTTAATATATGTATACAATGAACCAGGCACTACAGTGAATAAGACACTCTGAGTGTTGTCCTCAGAGAGCTTAACATCTAGTCAGGGAGGCAGTCATTAAACAGACATCTTAGAAAAAACAATAATAAGTGATGTAATAGGGGAAAGTATAGAGGATGATGAAAAAATATAAAGGGGCGCTAAGTTCAGGATTTGCAGAAATGATGCTGATTGGAATTTTGAAGCACGAACATGAGCTTGTCAAGATAGGAGCAGAGTTTGAGGAAAAGTACAAAGATGCAGAGCAAAGATAGAACAGAAGTCAGCAGACTTTTCTTGTAGAGGGCCAGATTGTAAATATTTTAGATTTTACAGGCCACGTGGTCTGTGTCAAGAGTACTCAACTTTATCATTGTAGCATGAAAGCAGCTGTAGACAAAGCATAAACAGATGGCTATAGTTGTATTCCAGTAAAAAATTTATTTACAAAACAGGTGTTGAGCTAGAGTTTGGGCTTTGGGCCGTGGTTGGCTGAACTCTGTGTTAGAGCCTGTCATGTTTGAGGAACATGAGGCAGAATTGTAGGGCTAGAGCAGTGATTCTACACTGGCTGAGCAGCAGAATTGTCAGTGGTGCTTCTTCTTTTTTTTTTTTTTTTTGAGATAGAGTCTCGCTCTGTCGCCCAGGCTAGAGTGCAGTGGTGCGATCTTGGCTCACTGCAACCTCTGCCTCCCAAGATCAAGCAATTCTCCTGCCTCAGCCTCCCGAATAGCTGGGATTACAAGTGCCCACCACCACGCCTGGCTAATTTTTATATTTTTAGTAGAGACAGGGTTTTGCCATGTTGGCCAGGGTGGTCTTGAACTCCTGACCTCAGGTGATCTGCCTGCCTCGGCCTCCCAAAGTGCTGAGATTATAGGCATGAGCCACCGCGCCCGGCCAGTGGTGCTTTTTCAAAGTGTACATCCTTGGCTGCTCCCATGCTGAGACTCCGATTTAATAACTCTAGGGTGACATTCAGGACCCACCTTTTAAATAGTTCTGATATACAACAAGAGTTGAGAGCCACTGGGCTAGACTATAACATGATAGGAGATGAGGTTTTGAAATGTAGTCAAGGACTAGATGCTGAGGAAAATAATACATAAGCCTCTGAAACCATATTGATTGATTAGAATATTTGAATAAGAATTATATTTTTTAACTACGTAGAAGAATTTCAGAGACATTATAGTGATTTTCTGATATTTCTTGTCTTTTTCTCTTTTCTTACCTTCATAATAACTTGATTTATCATACAATATACAATAACCTGTGTCAAATTAATAATATTAATGTTACTACTAATATGAGGCTACTAGATGAAATTTTAAATGTTTGCAGGTCTTTTTCCCCCTGCACTAAATCCTTCTACAAACGTAAGGTGCACATACTGTATTTTACATGCAGTTAGGTACATTTGTTGTTTCTGTTTGTTTTCATGTTTTACAGATTGCCTTATTATTTTTTTTTTTTAAGACAAGTTGTCATTCTCACTCTCTGTCCCCCAGGATGGAGTGCAGTGTCGCAATCTCGGCTCACTACAGCCTTGACCTTGGGGGCTCAAGTGATCCTCCCATCTCTGCCTCCCAAGTAGCTGGGACTACAGGCGTGCGCCAACGCTCCTGGCTAGTTTTTTTGTATTTGTAGGGATGGAGTTTCGCCATGTTGTCCAGGCTGGTCTCAAACTCCTGAGTTCAAGCGAGATGCCTGCCTCAGTCTCCCAAAGTGCTGGGATTAAAGGTGTGCGCCACTGTGCCTGGCTACTTTTTTTTTTTATTTAATTTTATTTTGAAATATGTAAAAATTTACATAATTCTATACTATGAAAATCTCACTTCTGTCCTTTCCTCTTCCATCTTTTACCATCTTCTGCCTTGAGATAACCATTTCTATTGCTTTTTGTTTTTTCCATCCAGTGTTTTCCTTTCTTTAAACTTAGTAAGCATTGTTTTATAATCTGTATTTGATAATTCCAATGTCTGAAGTTTTTGAATGTCTGTTTCTGTTGCCTGCTTTTGTGTGTGTGTGTGTGTGTGCTTCTTCCTCATACTGCTTAGTTTCTTTGTGTGCCTGGTTATCTTTGACGATGTGCTGGATACTTGGAATATTATTTTATAGAAATAATTTGAACACTGAAATGATATATTTCTGCACAGAGGACTTTTCTTTGCTTCTCACTGGTACCCAGTGGTGTTCTTTGTCTGGTACTACCCTAATCCAAGTTCTGTGTCTGAGATTCCCTGAACTATAGGAGGTTAGACTGCAAGCTTGTGAGAGGACTAATTTACTTCTGGTTATGTCTTATCTTGAAGGTATAGCCCATTGGGTTTCCAAGTTTAAAGTGGGGCATGATTTATAAGAGTTCCCAATTTTGGAAAACCCTGTGCTCTGAATTTAATTACCTTAGTTCTTTGAGACCGTGGAAGTACAGTTCACTTTGGTAGCAAATTCCTCTGGATTGGCAAATTCCCTCAGGCCAAAAGTGATTTTGAGTATTAGACTTACTTCTTTGGGTTATCATCTTCTATATTTTGGCCTTGTAACTCCTTACCGTAGCATTAGCACCTTGTTACTTTAAAAAAAAATCTACCTTTTGTTATGGAAAATGTCAAACATAACAAAGGTAGAATAGTATGATGAAGCCAGGCACGGGGTGGCTCACGCCTGTAATCGCAGCACTTTGGGAGGCCAAGGCGGGCAGATCACTTGAGGTCAGGAGTTTGAGACCAGCCTGGCCAACATGGGGAAAGCCCGTCTCTACTAAAAGCACAAAAAAATTAGCCGGGCGTGGTGGCACGTGCCTGTAGTCCCAGCTACTCAGGAGGCTGAGGCATGAGAATCGCTTGAACCCAGCAGGCAGAGGTTGCAGTGAGCCGAGATGGCACCACTGCACTCCAGCCCAGGTGACAGAGCAAGACTCCATCTCAAAAAAAGAAAAAAAAAAAAAAAACAAGAACAACAAAAAACAAATATACAGTTCAAAGGCTTTTAGTTTATTCATAGAGCTGTGCATCCATCACCATCATCAATTTTAGAACATTTTCATTATTCCCAAAAGAAACATCACACCCCTTAGCCATCATTCCCCAGGGCCTCCCACCTCCCAGTCTTAAGCAAACACTAATCTACTTTACATATCTATGTATTTGCCTATTCTAGAAGTTTCTTTTTTTTTGAGATGGAGTCTCGCTCTGTTGTCTAGGCTGGAGTGCAATGGCGCGATCTTGGCTCACTGCAACCTCCGCCTCCCGGGTTCAAGCTATTCTCCTGCCTCAGCCCCCGATAGCTGGGATTACAGGCACGTGCCACCATGCCTGGCTAATTTTTTTGTATTTTTAGTAGAGACGGGGTTTCACCATGTTGGTCAGGCTGGTCTCGAACTCCTGACCTCGTGATCCACCAGCCTCATCCTCCCAAAGTGCTGGGATTACAGGCGTGACCCACCCGGCCTGGCCTCTAGAAGTTTCAAATCAATGAAATCACACAATATGTGGTCTTCTGTGACTGGCTTCTTTCTTTTTCTTTTTTTGAGACAGTCTTGCTCTGTCGCCTGGGCTGGAGTGCAGTGGTGCCATCCCGGCTTACTGCAACCTCTGCCTCCTGGGTTCAAGCGATTCTCCTGCCTCAGCCTCCTGAGGCATGTGTCACCATGCCCCGCTAATTTTTTGTATTTTTAGTAGAGACAGGGTTTCACCATGTTGGCCAGGCTGGTTGGTCTCTAACTCCTGACCTCAGGTAATCTGCTTGGCCTCCCATAGTGCTGGGATTACAGGCATGAGCCACAGTGCCCGGACTGGCTTCTTTCACTTAGCATAATGTTTTCAACATTCAGCTATCTTATGGCATGTATCAGTACTTTATTTGTTTTTACTGATAAATAATATTCCTATATATATATATGACACATTTTATTCATTTATCAATTGATGGACATTTTTGTTATTTTCACTTTTTGGTGATTATGAATAAGTATTCTTATAAAAGGTTTTGTGTGGACATATGTTTTCATTTCTCTTGGGTATATATACCTTTGGTATATATACTTAAGAGTGGGAATACTAGATCATATGGTAACTCTATGTTTAACCACTGGAAGAACTTCCAGACTGTTTTCCAAAGTAGCAGCACCATTTCACATTCCCATCAGCAGTATGTGAGGGTTCCATTTTCTCCACCTCTTTCCTAACACTTTTTATCTGTTTTTTTGGTTCTAGCCATCCTGGAAGTGTGAAATGGTATTTCATTGTGGTATTGATTTGCATTTCCATGGTAGCTATTGATGTTTAGCATCTTTTCATGTGCTTATTGAACATTTATATATTTTCTTTGGAGAAATGTCTATCAGACTCTGCTCATTTTAAATTTTTTAAAAAGTTTTTATATTTCTTGTTCTTTTTTTTTTTTTGAGACGGTCGTTCTGTAGCTCAGGATGGAGGGCAGTGGCCAGTGGCACAATCACAACTTACTGAAGCCTTGAACTCCAGAGCTCAATTGATTCTCCCACTTCAGCCTCCTGAGTAGCTGGGACTACAAGCGCACGCCACCACTCCTGACCGTTTTTTGTAGACAGGGTTTCACCAAATTGCCCAGGCTGGTCTGGAGCTCCTGGGCTCAAATGGTCCATCCAGGTTGGCCTCCCAGAGTGCTGGGGTTACAGGTGTGAGCCACCATGCCTGGCCCTTTGCTCATTTTTTAATGAGTTTATTTGTGATTTTATTATCAAGTTATAATGGTTCTTTTTATATTCTAGATACAAATCCTTTATCAAATATGTAATTTGCAAAAGTTTTCTCCAATTTTGTGGGTTGTCTTCACTTTTTTGTTAATGTCTTTTGATTTACAAAGGTTTTTAATTTTGATGAAATGAAATTTCACTTTTTTTTCCTATTGCTTATGCTTTTGTTGTCAGAGCTTAAGAAATCACTGCCTAACCCAAGGTTACAAAGATTTACTCCTCTGTTTTGTCTGAGAATTTTATAGTTTTAACTCTTATATTTGGGTTTTTTAAATCAATTTTATCTCTTGTATATGTTGTGATTTAAGTATACAACTTCATTTTTGTGTGTGTGAGTACACAAATGTACCCACACCATTTGTTGAAAAGGCTACTCTTTCCCATTAAAATGTCTTGGCACCCTTGTCTAAAATCAATGGACCATAGATGTATGGACTCTTAATTCTATTTTATGGATCTATATGTCTATCCTCATGCCAGTAAATGCTGTCTTGATCCGTATAGCTTTGTAGTAAGCTTTGAAATCAGAAAATGTGAGTTCCCCAACTTGTTCTTCTTTTTCAAGATTGTTTTGGCTATTGTTGGTTCTTTGAAATTCCATATGAATTTTAGGACCAGCTTATTAATTTCTATAAAGAATCCAGGCCGGGCATGGTGGCTCACACCTGTAATCCTAGCACTTTGAGAGGCTGAGATGGGTGGATCACCTGAGGTCAAGAGTTCAGGACCAGTCTGGCCAACATGGTGAAATGTTGGGCATTTCTCTACTAAAAATACAAAAGTTAGCCAGGCGTGGTGGCATGCACCTGTAATCCCAGCTACCAGCTACTCGAGAGGCTGAGGCAGGAGAATCGCTTGAACCTGGGGGGCGGAGGTTGCGGTGAGCTGAGGTCGTGCCACTTCACTCCAGCCTGGGCGAAAGAGCAAAACTCTGTCTAAAAAAACAAAACAAAACAAAAAACGGATCCAGCTGCGATTCTGATAGATAATGGCTTGTAATCTGTAGAAATTTGGGTAGTATTGCCATCTTAATAATATTAAGTCTTCCAATGCATGAACATCATATGTCATTCCATTTATGTAGGTCTTCAGTTTTTTCAACAATGTTTTGCAGTTTTCAGATCATAAATTTTATACTTCTTTGGCTAAATTTATTCCTAAGTACTGTGTTTTTTGATGTTATCGTAAATGGAATATTTTTCTTAATTTCAGTTTTGGATTGCTTATTGCTATTATATAGAAATGCAATTGATCTGCACCCGTATATTGATCTTATATCTCATAATGTTGAACTCATTTATTAGTTTTTATAGCTTTTTGGTATATTCCTTAGGATTTTCCATATACAAGATTATGTCTTCTGCAAATAGAGAAGTTTTGTTTTTTCCTTTTAAATTTGAATGCCTTTTCTTTGTCTTGCTAATTGTACTGCCTAGAACCTCAGGTACTATGTCAAAAAAAAATGGCAAGAATGGCCACTTAATCGTAGGGAGAAACATTTCACTTTGTCGTTTGTCAGGTTGGGGAACTGCCCTTCTATTTCCAGTTTGTTGAGTGGTGTTTTTTGATGGAATCTTGCTCTTCTTGCCCAGGCTGGAGTGCAGTAGTGCAGTCTTGGCTCACTGCAACCTCCACCTCCCGGTTTCAAGCAATTCTCTTGCCTCAGCCTCCCAAGTAGCTGGGATTATGGGTACCCGCCACCACGCCCGGCTAATTTTTGTATTTTTAGTAGAGATGGGGTTTTACCATGTTGGCCAGGCTGGTCTCAAACTCCTGACCTCAGGTGATCCGCCCACCTCGGCCTCCCAAAGTGCTGGGATTACAGATGTGAGCCACCACACCTGGCCGAATGTTTTCTATTATGAATGGGTGTTAGATGTTGTGAAACCATTTTTCTGCATCTATAAACATGGTTTTGTGGTTTTTGTCCTCTATTCTGCTGATATGGTATATTCCATTAATTGAGGTTCATATGTTTAACCAACCTTGCATTCTTAGAATAAATCCTGTTTGGTGATGGATAAAAATTCCCTTTTACACATTACTGGGTACTTTTTTTGTTTTGTAACCCTCTATAGCACACAGGCTTACTAAATTCAGGAAAGGCAACCAAAAACTCTTTTTACAAGTCTTATAGATTCTTGGAAACAAACAGATTTGACTATTGAAGAAAAATGTTAAAGCATATAAGTGACCAGTTTAGTTTGGAAAATAGCTCAGGCTAGATTGTCATGTAAGACTTTTATGATGTAATGTTGAACTTCATGAAGACAAGTGAGTCAAGTGCAGTCATAAATATTTGCAATGATAATAATTATTATGATGATGCTAATGTTTTGCCTTGCCTTTGTTTAATAACTTATCCTCTTTTTTTTTTCTTTTTTTTTGAGACAGAGTTTCACTCTCGTCACCCAGGCTGGAGTGCAATGGCATGATCTTGGCTCACTGCAACCTCTGCCTCCTGGGTTCAAGTAATTCTCCTGTTTCAGCCTCCTGAGTAGCTGGGATTACAGGCACCCGCCACCACACCCAGCTAATTTTTGTGTTTTTAGTAGAGATGGGTTTCACCATGTTGGTTAGGCTGGTCTTGAACTCCTGACCTCAGGTGATCCTCCCTCTGGCCTCCCTAAGTGCTGGGATTACAGGTGTGAGCCACTGCTCCCGCCTTATCCTCTTTCTTTAAGTACCACAATATACATTGACTCTTTGATTATCAAAGCAGTCCTGTGAGGTTGTAAGGTTAGGCACCATTATTCCCATCTGGAAGGTGAAAGGAATAGCCTCAGGAAGATTGATTTATTGCTAAAAGGGAAAAATAATTAACAATTATTTATTTATTTGTTTATTTATTTATTATTTTCAATGTTTTATTTCCATAGGTTTTTGGGGAACAGGTGCTATTTGGTTACATGAGTAAGTTCTTTGGTGGTGATTTGTGAGATTTTGGTGCACCCATCACCCGAGCAGTATACACTGTACCCAATTTGTAGTCTTTTATCCCTCACCCCCTTCCCACCCTTTCCCCGAGTCCCCAGAGTCCATTGTGTCATTCTTATGCCCTTGCATCCTCACAGCTTAGCTCCCACTTATGAGTGAGAATATACGATGTTTTTTTTTTCATTCCTGAGTTACTTCACTTAGAATAATAGTCTCCAGTCCCACCTAGATTGCTGCAAATGCCATTAATTCATTCATTTTTATGGCTGAGTAGTATTTCATCGTATATATATATGCCACAGTTTATTTACCCACTCATTGATTGATGGGTGTTTGGGTTAGTTCCATATTTTTGCAGTTGCGAATTCTGCTGCTATAAACATGCATGCACAAGTGCCTTTTTTTGTATAATGACTTCTTTTCCTCTGGGTAGATATCCAGTAGTGGGATTGCTGGATCAAATGGTGGTTCTACTTTTAGTTCTTTAAGGAATCTCCACACTGTTTTCCATAGTAGTTGTACTATTTTACATTCCCATCAGCAGTGTAGAAGGGTTCCCTTTTCACCGCATCCACGCCAACATCTATTTTTTAACTTTTTTTATTATGGCCAGGAATTAACAATTATTGAAGACTTATGACTCACCAGACTTGGACTATAATGTACATATATGTGTTAGGCCTCTAAACTAGTTATCACTATCCCTGTTTTACAGGAGAAGAAGCTTAACTCAAAGAGGTGGAGTAAATTGACCCTAGATCAGTAACAAGCAAGAGAGGACACTGGGGCTGGGCACTGTGATGCATGCCTGTAATCCCAGCACTTTGGGAGGCCAAGGTGGGAGGATTGCGTGAGCCCAGGAGTTTGAGACCAGCCTTGGCAATATAGTGTGATGCTGTCTTTACATAAAATTTTAAAAACTTAGCTGGGTTTGGTGGCATGCACCTGTGCTCTCAGTTACTTGGGAAGTTGAGGTGGGAGGATTACATGAGCCTAGGAAGTCAAGGTTGCTGTGAGCTGTGATTGCTCCATTGAACTCTAGCCTGGGTGACAGAGTGAGACCTTGTCTCAAAAAAAAAAAAAAAAAAAAGGACTTTTTTTTGGTTGTTTCATTTTTTTAATATGGGGTATTCGCATGATATTTTGATACAGCATACAATATATAATGATCAAGTTAGAGTAAATGGGATATCTATCAACTCAAACACTTACCATTTTTTCATGTTAAGAACATCCCCAATCTCTTCTAGCCACTTTGAAATATACAATAAATTATTACTTATAGTCACACTACTGTGATATTAAACACTAGAACTTATTCCGTCTATCTGACTGTATTTTGGACCCATTAACCAACCTCTCTTCATACCTGTCCCCCACCCGCTTCTCCCAGCCTCCAATGACCATCATTCTACTCTCTACCTCCATGAGAACCACTTTTTTAGCTCGCACATATGCATGAGAACATGCAATGTTTGTCTTTCTGTGCTTGGCTTATTTCATTTACCATAATGTACTCCACTTCCATCCATCTAGCCACAAATGACAGAATTTCATTATTTTGTATGGTTGAATAATATCCCATTGTGTATATCTACCACATTTTCTTTATCCATTCATCTGTTGATGGATACGTTATTGTTAGTTTAACAAGAATAGCATTGAATCTGTAAATTGCTTTGGGCAGTATGGCTTTTTTTTTTTTTTTTTTTTTTGAGACAGAGTTTTGCTCTTGTTGCCCAGGCTGGAGTGCAATGGCGCAATCTCCGCTCACCACAACCTCCGCCTCCTGGGTTCAAGCGATTCTCCTGTTTCAGCCTCCCGAATATCTGGGATTACAGGCACGTACCACCACGCCTGGCTAATTTTTGTATTTTTAGTAGAGACGGAGTTTCACCATGTTGACCAGGCTGGTTTGAACTCCTGACCACAGGTGACCCACCTGCCTCAACCTCCCAAAGTGCTGGGATTACAGGCATGAGCTACTGCGCCTGGCTGGAATGATTTTTAAGTAGGGTTGTAAAGTGGTCTGAGTTGATGTGATAGAGATCACTTTTTTTTTTTTTTTTGAGACAGTGTCTCGCTCTGGCACCCATGCTGGAGTGCAGTGGCATGATGTCAGCTCACTGCAACCTCCGCCTTCCAGGTTCAAGTGATTCTCATGCCTTCACCTCTCAAATAGCTGGGATTACAGGCTTGCGCCACCAAGCCCATCTAATATTTGTATTTTTAGTAGGGACGGGGTTTCGCCATGTTGGTCAGGCGGGTCTTGAACTCCTGACCTCAAGCGATCCACCCGCCTCGGCCTCCCAAAGTGCTGGGATTATAGGCATGAGCCACCATGCCTGGCCAATAGAGATCACTTTGGCTTCTTTATGGAGTATGGGGTTATAAGAAGAGGCTCGAGTGGAAACAGGAACACCAATTAGGTGGCTACTGCTGAAGTCTAGACAAGAGATATTGACAGTGATTTGTATGAAAGGGGTAGTAATGGAAATTGACAGAAATGGACTGCTTTGAGATATATTGCAGTGGTAGAACAGATGGAACTTGATGATAGTTTGATTGGAAGTGGGAATGAGAAAATGACCCTTTTTTTTGAGACAGAGTCTCGCTCTGTCGCCCAGGCTGGAGTGCAGTGGTGCGATCTTGGCTCACTGCAAGCTCCGCCTCCCAGGTTCACGCCATTCTCCTGCCTCAGCCTCCCGAGTAGCTGGGACTACAGGCACCCGCCACCACGCCTGGCTAATTTTTTGTATTTTTTAGTAGAGAGGGGGTTTCACCGTGTTAGCCAGGACGGTCTTGATCTCCTGACCTCGTGATCAGCCCACCTCAGCCTCCCAAAGTGCTGGGATTACAGGTGTGAGCCACCGCGCCTGGCCTTTTTTTTCTTTGTGAGACGGAGTTTTGCTCTTGTTGCCCAGGCTGAAGTGCCATGGCATGATCTTGGCTCTCTGAAACCTCCGCCTCCCGAGTTCAAGTGATTCTCCTGCCTCAGCCTCCCAAGTAGCTGGAATTATGTGCATCTGCCACCGTGCCCAGCTAATTTTTTTTGTATTTTTAGTAGAGACGGGGTTTCACCATGTTGACCAGGCTGGTCTCGAACTCCTGACCTCAGGTGATCCACCCGCCTCGGCCTCCCAAAATGTTGGGATTACAGGCATGAGCCACCGCACCTGGCTGACTCTTTGGTTTTTTGACTTGAGCAGTTGGGTTGATGGTGGTTCCATTTATTATTAAGAGGAATACTGATGAGAGAATAGGAGAGGTTATTTTGTTTTGTGAGGAGGACAATTTGAGAATCAAGTTCTGTTTGACCTGCGTAAATTTGAGATGCTTGTTAGATATCCAAGAAAAAAATGTAAGTAGTCAGTTGGGGCTTGGTGTTCAGAAGAGATGTTCAAGCTAGAGAAATAAATAGAATATGGAATTCATCAGTGAGTAGTATATTCATCAATTTCAAAAACTTTTTGTTCACTTTCCTGCTTCTAAGAGATCAGATACATCGTTGTGATCATTGTCAGTCAGGTAGGAGTCATGGCATATTTGTCATTTGCTATTGGAGTGTGCACAGGCAGACTGCCAGAATCAGACTTTGCAGGATGGATGTCAGCAGCTTGGGGAAAAAATCTGGAGACAATATTGGAGCATTGTTGTAATCCTCAAAAACCCAATGATTTGGAGGGAGGGAGGGCAGAAGCAGTGATTCATACTTGTTAATGGACTTTCCTGAAGCAGGAGCCAAAAGTAGTTAGCTTTACATAATTGAGACCCCAGCACCCTTAGCTTTTAGTTCTTTTTTTTTTTTTTTTTTTTTCTTTGATGGAGTCTTGCTCTGTTGCCCAGGCTGGAGTGCAGTGGCACTATCTCGGCTCACTGCAACCTCTGCCTCCCAGGTTCAAGCATTTCTCCTGCCTCAGCCTCCCAAGTAGCTGGGATTACAGGTGCACGCCACCATGCCTGGCTAATTTTTGTATTTTTTTTTGTTTTAGTAGAGACGGGGCTTCACCACATTGGCCAGGCTGGTCTCGAACTTTTGACCTTATAATCCACCTGCCTCAGCCTCCCAAAGTGCTGGGATTACAGATGTGAGCCACCATGCCCAGCCTAGCTTTTAGTTCCTTTAAGAAATGCATTGTGTATTTCCAATAGCCAAGAGAGGACTTAGAATGTTCCCACAGCAAAGAAATAATGTTTACAGTGATAGATATGCTAATTACCATGATTTGATCATTAAACAAAGTATACACATATTGAAACATTGCACTGTACCACATAGATATGTACAATTATTATGTGTCAGTGAAAAGAAAAAAGAAATGGTACATAACCAACATTCTATGGCACAGAGGATGATGTGTGAAAAAATACAGACATCCCACAACTCAGAGGAGTTGTACTCTGAATAGAGGGGTTTACTCTGAATATGAAGTTTTAGAAGTACTTTCACCAGTTTATTTTGTTTATATTTACTATCTTATGTTTATAAAAATGATATATGATAAAAACCTGCCTACATCTGAAACAACTATTTTAATCATTATAACAATTCTGTTAAAAAGGCATTGTGTTATACATAGTTTATTTATTTAAATAGAGACAAGGTCTCATGTTGACCAGGCTGATCTTGAACTCCTGGTCTCAAGAGATCTGCCCGCCTTGTCCTCCCAAAGTGTTGAGATTACAGGCATGAGCCACTGCACCCGGCCTGTTTTACATAGTTTAAGAGTTTTCACTTAGCAATAATTTTTAAAATGTTATTTCTTAAAGCTGATGGATATTTGAAAGGAATCCAAGAGTGATGGTAGGAATAGAACTTTGCAAATGAGCAAGTGAATTGCCATCTTAATTTTCTGATGATTTGTACTAACCAAGTATTTCTATCACCATATCTCCCCACTTCTTTTTTGTTTTGCTTTGTTTTGTTTTTTGTTTGTTTGTTTTTAAGGAAAGCCCAGAAGAAAGGACAGTAAATGTGAGCTCTATTCGGGTAAATAAATTTACTTTCATCGTGTTGAGGGATTTCATACAGCTTAATTTCATCAAGAGAATTTATACTTTTCCTTTTTTCCAAACCTTAAGCCTGCTGCCTCCACAAAGTCAAAATGAAGTGTTTGCCTTCCAAATTCATTCCAGTGACTTTAATGTGAATTTATTGGCACTTATTCTTTCTAGTCTTATCTAGGATATAACTTTTGATAGTTACAGTTGCATGTATATAAAGTATGATTGTAATGAAATAAAGTATGATTTGTTACTGGCGTAACAAAGCCATACATAGGCTGGGCATTGTGGCTCATGCCTGCAATCCCAGCACTTGGAGTGGTTGAGGCAGGAGGATCTCTTGAGGCCTGGATTTTATTTTATTTTATTTTTTTTGAGAAGGAGTCTTGCTCTGTCCCCCAGGCTGGAGTGCGGTGGTGTAATCTCGGCTCACTGCAACCTCTGCCTCCCGGGTTCAAGTGATTCTCCTGCCTCAGCCTCCTGAGAAGCTGGGATTGCATGTGTGTACCACCACGCCTGGCTAATTTTTGATTTTTTAGTAGAGAAGATGTTTTTCCCTGTTGGCCAGCTGGTCTCGAACTCCTGACCTCAAGTGATCTGCCCGCCTTGGCCTCCCAAAGTGCTGGGATTACAGATGTGAGCCCCCGCACCCGGAGGCCTGGAATTTGAGACCAGCCTGGGCAACATAGCAAGACCATGCCTGTACTAAAATTTTAAAAAATTAGCCAGGCATAGTGGCACGTGCCTGTGGTCCCAGCTACTTGGGAGGCTGAGGCAGGAGGATTGCTTGAGGCTGGGAAGTCGAGGCTACAATGAGCTGTGATCACTGCTGCATTCCAGCTTGGGCAACAAACAGAGCAAAACCGTATCTCAAAAAAAAAAAAAAAAAAATATATATATATATATATAATTATCTCATTATCAAAAACTGCTATTTACACATTTAATATAGGCAGTAATATAATAATATCTGCTCCTATGTTATCTCCTAGAGTGTGAGAATGATGACACATTTCCATTGCACAGTACTTAAATTTTTTTGCCAACATAATAAAATGGACGTTTAGCCCTTGGAATTGGGTACTTTCTGGTTTAAATGTTACTTAGTGACTGAGCTCATTTCCCCCCCGAACTAATTTTGATATGTGCATGCGGGATGCTGCAAACTCTTCCTAGGGAAAGAGGAGGAAATAGAGAAAAAGCATAGTAAAATATTCGATAAGTAATTTTCCTTTTTCTGTGCCTGCAGGGAAAGAAATGGAGCTGGTATTTGGACTATTTATTTTCACAGGGGTTACAAGGCTTGAAACTTTTTATAAGAAGTAGTGTTCATCATTCTTCCATTCCCAGAGCAGAGGGCATAAACTGCAACAATCAATATTAAATGAATGTTGACATAAACTGAACACACTGGACTAAACTCACTCCTCATTGCTAGAGCAAAGTGGCTCATCTTGAGTTCCCATTTTCATTTCACTGACAGACTGCCATCCTCAAGGAGTACTCAGACTGGCCTTCTGTTCATGGCTTAGGAGAGCCTTGGTGTGCCTAACTGATTTTTCAAAATTTAGATTTTTTTAGCCTACCAGTGAAAAATGACCCCTTCATCATCAGGCTCTGCGTTCTACCAAATTGTATGTAAAAAGACACATCTGTTTTGTGGTAGGATTTTTTCACATTTTTGGGTACTATGAGCTGCATTGATGGAAGACAGCAGGCAATATGTGGTGACAGTTAACTCACAGACATAAACATGCAAAATACTTTGCTGTCTCTGGGGATATTGCCATTTTTCTTACTGTGAGCAACAGCACCAACACCAAGTTAACAGGATGCAACATGTGTATGACTCTAAAAGCCCTAAGTAGTTGGTAACTTCCTGGGCCTTCAATCATAGCAATTTGATGAGGGAAGGAAGGGGAGAGGATTTGTTGGGTAATCAAGACATTCCCGTATATGTCTGATTTCATGGAACTGCTCTATTTTGTTTGTGTGTATTGTATATGTATATGTGTATGTGTGCGTGTATGTGTGTGTCTGTAGCTTCAGTTTTTAAGTGTAAGGACTAAATAAACTAACTGAAATTTTACTTTCAGAAGGAATTCTGAAGTTTTAAAAAAGTTAATAATAGCTAGAATATCTTGCTGAAAATGTACTATAAAATTTTGCCTGCTGGGCGTGGTGGCTCACGCCTGTAATCCCAGCACTTTGGGAGGCCAAGGTGGGTGGATCATGAGGTCAGGAGTTCGAGATGAGGCTGGCCAATATGGTAAAACCCTGTCTCTACTAAAAATACAAAAAATTGGCCGGGCATGCCGGCACGTGCCTGTAGTCCCAGCTACTCAGGAGGCTGGGGCAGGAGAATCGCTTGAACCCGGGAGGCGGAGGTTGCAGTGAGCCAAGATCGCGCCACTGCACTCCAGCGAGACTCTGTCTCAAAAAAAAAAAAAAAAATTACCTCAATGCTATTGAATAATTCTCCCTTCTAGTAAAATTCGTATCATTTGAGAAGAATCAAGCTGAATTAATTTTTGTCTTTAAGGATGCATACTTGGGGTTCTTTTTTTTCCCCATTTAAAAAACAAACCCTAAACTATATTATTGGATGGCGTTCAGACTAGAAATCCCACTCGTCCATTGACTCATTAATTGATTCAATAAATATTTATTGAGCTCCTTTCTCTGTGCCAGGTACTCTTCTGTGTGCTGGTTATACAGTTGTGACCAATACAAAGTACCCGGGTTTTTGTTTTTGTTTTTGTTTTTTGAGATGGAGTCTCACTCTGTTGCCCAGGCTGGAGTGCAGAGGCATGATCTTGGCTCACTGCAACCTCTACTTTCTGGTTCAAGCAATTCTCCTGCCTCAGCCTCACGAATAGCTGGGATTACAGGCACCTACCACCACGCCCAGCCAATTTTTGTATTTTTAGTAGAGACAGGGTTCCGTCATGTTGACCAGGCTGGACTTGAACTCTTGATCTCAAGTGATCAACCCGCCTTGGCCTCCCAAAGTGTTGGGATTAGAGGTGTGAGCCATTGCACCCAGCCCAAAGTACCTGTTTTTATGGAGTTTACATTCCAATGGAGAAGACAGACAATAACATATATCAAATGCTATAAAGAAAGGGCAGGGAATAGGGATACAATGTGTTGAATTTTGTCAAATGCTTTTTTTGTATCTTTTGAGATTATCATATGGCTTTTGTCCTTCATTCTGTTAACATGATATATCACATTTACTGATTTGTGTATACTGAATCATCTTTGCATCCCGGGATGAATCCCACTGGGACAGAATGTGGAGAGGGTTGAAACTTTAGATAAGATGGTTTGGGAAAGCCTGTTTGAAGAGATGACATATGCAGAGGCCCCAGTGAAGTAAGCATATGAGTCATATAAATATTTGGGGAAAGAGCATTCTGGACAAAGGTAAAAAACAAGTGAAAAGGCCCTAAAATGTTAACTTACTTGGCATGTTTGAGGAATAACAAAGAGGCCAGTAAGGTTACAGCATAGTGATTAAGAGAGAAGAATGGTAAGAAGTGACATAAGGAAGAAAGCCAGGTCCTTATAGCCTGGCATGGATATGTAAATGGGAAGCAATTAGATTGAGAAGAGGAGTGACATAATTTGATTTACCTTTATGAAATATGGAGCTACAATGTCAAGGTTAGACTGAAGAAGATTAAAGAGGAAAGCAGAGACTGGTTAGGTTATTATAGTGTCCTAGGTAACAGTTTTGGACAAGTGTGATAAATGTTGAGGTGGGAGGGGTTAGAGGTTGGATTCAGACTCTGTTTTGTAAGTAGAGAAGATAATGTCTGCTGATAGCTTGGATATGAGGAGGAAAAGGAGAGGAGTAAAGGATGACTCAGATTTTTGACCTGTCAATTGGGTGAACTCTGAGATTAAATTCTGTTTTGGCTATGTTAGGTTGGAAATGCTGTGTAGGCAATTGGATATCCAAGTCTGGACTTCAGAGTACAATTTGGGACTAGAAAATTAATTTGGGAGTCATTAGGGAATAACCATGACTTTGGATGAGATCACCTAGTACAGCTAGAGAAGAGAAGGTAGCAAAAGACAGAGACCTAAGGTATGCCAGCATTGAGAAGTAGAGGAGAAGAGGAACCAGCAAAAGACTGAGAAGGACCCACCAGTGACCTAGAAGAAAAATCAGGAGGCTGGTATTCTGGAAGCCATCAGAAGAAAATGTTTCACAAAAGGAAGGTAGTATTGAATGGTGTGAAATGTTACCTATATACCTGGAAAAAAGCAACTTCAGCTGCTTTTTAAGTAAATGTGATAGTTTGTACTGCAAATAACTTTCCATATTGCTTTTCAGATCATGATATTTTGGTCCTTAAGATCATGTAGAACTTTCCATTGTGAGAAGGGAGTTGATTATTTTATCATTAAAGAAACTTTTCTAAACTTAAATTTATGAAAAATAATTTTTCCCTTAGGTTTGTCTTTTTGTTCAATAATGATTCCCTGGGTATCTTTTTTTGCCCCACAAATAAAATACTTAGACATACCTGGATACCTTTTTTTGTGCCTATTTCTCTTTTAACTTTTTTTTTTTCTTCTTGAGACGGAGTCTCACTCTGTCACCAGGGTGGAGTGCAGCGGCCTGATCTCAGCTCACTGCAACCTCTGCCTCCCGGATTCAAGCGATTCTCCTGCCTCAGCCTCCCGAGTAGCTGGGACTACAGGCACATGCCACCATGCCCAGCTAATTTTTGTATTTTTGGTAGAGATGGGGTTTCATCATGTTGGCCAGGATGGTCTTGATCTCTTGACCTCGGGATCCACCCGTCTCGGCCTCCCGAAGTGTTGGGATTACAGGCATGAGCCACCGTGCCCAGCCCTCTTTTAATTTTTTAACTCACTTAAGATTATATGGCAGTGCAAATAAGCCAAATGTAGTTATCTGAAAACATATTTTTTGAAGATTCTTCATGGCAAAAACCATAATAGTTAAATAAAGAATAGCTATTTTGCTTTGGTGCAAAACATGTCTAGAAGATAAAAGAAATGGAAAATTTGGTTTATTATTGCAGTTGTAAAAAAGTATTTTCTTTACCCAGTGTTTGTGTAGAATTGGTGGCATTATTAATATTGACTTAATGTTCAATACTAAAGAATACTAAAGTTGCTATTAGAGTTCTAACATATTTTTCCTTTTGTTTTTTGAGACGGAGTCTTACTCTGTTGCCAGGCTGGAGTGCAGTGGCGTGATCTTGGCTCACTGCAACCTCTGACTCCCTGGTTCAAGCGATTCTCCTGCCTCAGCCTCCCAAGTAGCTGGGATTACAGGCACATGCCACCACACCCAGCTAATTTTTGTGTTTTTAGTAGAGACGGGATTCCACCATGTTGGCCAGGATGGTCTCAATCTCATGACCTTGTGATCTGCCTTGGCCTCCCAAAGTGCTGGGATTACAGGCGTAAGCCACAGCACCCGGCCCATTTTTTTCCTTTTTATTATACTTTCTCCTTCTTTTTGATCTTGGGGTTGATCTGGAAAGAAAAGTAAGGCTATGGTGTCACACATAACTTTTATTAACATAGTAGAATTGTTTACTAGAAAAGTGATTCTCTGTAATTCTTACTGAGATAATTTGCATTTGGGAATCTTCATGGGTGAACAGATTGCTTGAGCCTTTTTGGACAAAATGCAAAAAGTATGAATGAATGAGCACGTATTTAATAGACTGACATCCTGGGCATTTATGAGTACTCCAGCCTTGGATACAATGACACCTACGAAACTGAACAAGACTGATTTTTTTGCGTTGTACGTTGCCCTTGCATCCATTTGTATGCAACTTACTGTTACCTCGGGTAATAAGGGAGAACATAGTATATAATTTTTAAAAATTAACCTTTAATTCCAGCTTTTAAAAATTAGAAATGAATCATTTTTGCATTTATAATCAGCTTCATGGACTAGGTTAAATTCCCAAACTTGATTACCACTTTCTGCGTAATCAATTGAAAATTGGAATGTGGGGGACCTCTGGGTGGCACTGTGAAGAGTTCAGTGGAACTTCTTCCCAGAGAAATACCTGTTTCATTGCTTAAAATTAGCAAAAGCAATCATTCAAAGTCTCTGGAGAGTGATCAGAAGATTCACAAAATTGAAACTCAATTTATTCAAAATTTACAGAACTCAATAATAGTGGAGGTCATAACATCTGAACTAGAGGCTGCACTTATTTTCCCACCCAACTTCATGTTGCAGAAGAGCTATTGTTATGGAAGAAGTATTCCAATGGGTGTGGTCCAAAGTAGAACTCCCATCTCTTCCAAATACTGCTCCATAATACAGAGGCTCTGCCAAGGGAGGGGGTCAGGGCAAGCCTTAAAGACTGGCAAGACCCTGGCCCTTCCTGAGAGGCCTGACTTTATGTGGAGACTAACAGCATGGTATAATACCTATAGAGGAAGACCAGCCAGAAGTTTAAAAGGGAGATCAGAGAAAGAGCAAAGGAGGCCTTGCTAAAATCACGGTCATACTTGGTGATATGGAAAAGTGTACACATACGTAAATCTGCATTCTCTCAGAAGCAACTGAAGAAGGAATTGCTTTGCTATTAGTTCCTGACTAAATGTGAGACAAACTTATAAACTCCCTGAAGTGTGAAAGCAGTCTCCAAGCTACAGAGCAAACAGTAATGAATGGAAACCTTATTGGGGCCAGGCATGGTGGCTCACGCCTGTAATCCCAGCATTTTGGGAGGCTGAGGCGGGTGGATCACTTGAGGCCAGGAGTTCAAGACCACCCTGGCCAACATGGCGAAACCCTGTCTCTACTAAAAATGCAAAAATTAGCTGAGCATGGTGGCGTGTGCCTGTAATCCCAGCTACTAGGGAGACTGAGGCAGGAGAATTGCTTGAACCCGGGAGGTGGAGGTTGCAGTGAGCCGAGATCGCCCACTGCACTCCAGCCTGGGCAACAGAGCAAGACTCTGAAAAACAAAACAAAACAAAACAAAACAAAAAATCTTACTGGCTCAAGGGGCTTAAGCACAACTTCTGATCTATCAGTAGCTGACTGCTAACCTGTACTGACGTAAGGATGACCCTTAGGAAGCCAGATTTAAAGATAAAAACAAACTAACAAAAAATCTAAATGGGGTCATTAGAGGCTATACAGTGGGGGAATGGACTTCACAGGATTAGTCTAGCCACATCACCAAATAAGTGAACAAACAACAGCGACAAATCCTGGAGTAGAGAGTATCGTTATCCAGAGCTGCAGCAGTGTAGTACCTAAAATGTTCAGTGCAGTAAAAATGAGACATGCAAAGAAATAGGAACATGTGATTCATACACAGGAAAAAAGACTAGAAATTACCTTGATAAGGACCAGATGTTGATCTTAGTGAACAATGACTTCAAAGCAGCTATTATAAGTATCTTCAAAGAAATTAAAGCAACTATGTTTAATTAAAGGGAGATATGATGACAATGATTGTATCAATAAAGTATAGAATATACACATACACCATTTCTATACACAGAAATGGAAATTCTGGACTTGGAAAAAAGTGAAGAAAAATGAATGGAGCCTTAGAGAAATGTGGGACACAAATATGCTCATAATGGGAATACCAGAAGAGGAGAGAAGGGGACAGAAAAAATATTTAAACAAATAATGGCTAATAATGCCCCAAACTTGATGAAAAACAATCTACACATCCAACAAGCTCAAGGAAATATAAGCAAATCAAATCCAGCAATATACAGTCATGTGCCACCACATAACAACATTTTGATCAATGATTGACAACATGTATGGTGGTAGTCCCATAAGATTATAGTGCAGCTGAAAAGTTCCCATCACCTAGTGCTGTCATAGTGCAACGTGTTACATGTTTGTGATGATGCTGGTGTAAACAAACCTGTGTTGCCACTCACATAAAAACAGCACATACAGTTATGTACAGCAGATTATACTTGATGAGAATAAACGACTGTGTCACTGGTTTATGTATTTACTGTACTTTTTATTATTATTTTGGAGCATCTACTCATACTTACTTTTAAAAAGTTTACTGTAAAACAACCTCAGGCAGGTCCTTCAGGAGGTATTCCAGAAGAAAGCATTGTTATCATCAGAGATGACAGCTCCATGCTTATTAGTGCCCCCGAAGACCTTCCAGTAGAAAGAGATGTGGAGGTGGAAGACAGTGATATTGATGATCCTGCCCTGGTGTAGGCCTAGCCTAATGTATGTTTCTATGGCTTAATTTTTAACAAAAAAGTGAAAAATTAGAAATAAGCTAACAAAATAAAGATATAAAGAAAATATTTTGTACAGCTGTACAATGTTTGTGTTCTAAGTGTTATTACAAAAGAGTAAAAAATTTTAAAATTTTAAGTATATGAAGTAAAAAGTTACAGTAAGCTAAGGCTAATTTATTGAAGAAAAGCTTTTTATAGATTTAGCCTAAGTGTACAGTGTTTATAAGGTCTACAGTATTGTTCAGTAATGTCCTAGGCCTTCACAGTCACTCACTGATTCACCCAGAGCAACTTCTAGTCCTGTAAATTTCATTCATGTTAAGTGCTCTATAGAGGTGTACTGCTTTGTACCTATTGTGTTTTACCTGTACTTTTTCTGTGTTTAGATACACAAATACATTGTGTTTCAGTTGCCTACAGTATTCTATTCAGTACAGTAACATGCTGTTCAGATTTGTAGCCAAGGAGTAATAGGCTATACCATAGACTTGTGTAAGTATACTCTATGATGTTCACACAATAAAATCGCCTAACACATTTCTCAGGACATGGCACTGTCGTTCAGAGATGCGGGACTACATAAAAAGAATTATACTTCATGACAAACTGGGACTTATCCCAGGAATGCAAGGTTGATTTAACATCCAAAAGGTAGTTAATATCATACACCATATCAAAACATTGTTTTAAAAAAGTAGACAATCTAATAAATGCAAATATATCCTATATTCATAGATTAGAAGACAATATTGTTAAGATAGCAATACACCCCAAACTGATATACATTTCCAAAGCAGTCTTTTTTCTTTTTTCTTTGAGACAGGGTCTTGTTCCGTTGCCCAGGGTGGAGTGCAGTGGTGCAGTCATGTCTCACTGTATCCTCAGCCTGGGCACAAACAAGCCTCCCACCTCAGCCTCCCAAGTAGTTGGGACTACAGACATGTGTCATCATGCCCAGCTTATTTTTGTATTTTTTGTAGAGACAGGGTTTTGCCGTGTTGCTCAGGCTGGTCTTGAACTCCTGGGCTCAAGCGATCTGTGCGCCTCAGACTCCCAGAGTTCCGGGATTACAGAGTGAGCCACTGCACCTGGCCTCCAATGCAGTCTCTATTGAAATCCCAACTGGCATTTTACAGAAATTGACAAGGTGAACCAAAAATTCAAATGGAACTGAGGGACCCAGAACAATATATTTTTCAATATTATTTCAATAATCAAAACAATATTGAAAAAACTTGGAAAATTCACATTTCTCAACTTCAAAGTCTACAGCGCTATATTAATCAAGACAGTGTGATACTGGCATAAGGGTAGACACAGGTCAATGGGATGGAATTGAGAGTTGAGGAATAAACCCATACATTTAGGGCCAATGTGATTTTCCACAGGGGAGCCAACACAGTTCAATGGGAAGAATAGTCCCCCATTGTACTGGGACGGTATAATAGTTGAAAAGATTATAAAACAATTTTTTTTAAAATGAAAAGACTATAGTATTTCATTATGGTACTGTGACAATAGAATCCAGTTGGGTCTCTGTGTCACACCATAAATAAAAATTAAAATGGATTTAAAAAACTAAATATAAAGCCCCAAACCAGAAAACTTTTTTTTATTTTGGAAACAAGGTGACACTTTCGCCCAGGCTAGAGGGCAGTGGCGCAAACACGGCTCATTGCAGCCTTGATCTTCCAGGCTCACTCAATCTTCCTGCTTCAGCCTCCTGAGCAGCTGGGACCACAGTCATGCACCACCATGCCTGGCTAAATGAGTTTTTGTAGAAACTGAGTCTGTGGCTCAGGCTGGTCTCAAACTCCTGGGATCAAACAATCCTCCCACCTCAGCTTCTCAAAGTGCTGGCATTACAGGCGTGTGCCACTATGCCTGGCCTTATAAAACTTTTAGATAAAACATAGGAGTATATCGTTGTGACATGGGGTGACATGGGGTTGGGCAGTGATATCTTAGCTATGGCAGCAAAGGCATACATAACAGAAAAAAATGAACTTTATCATAGTTAAAAACATTTGTGCTTCAAATGACACCATTAAGTGAGGTGGAAACAAAATGAGAGGAAATATTTGCAAATCATACCTGATAAAACTATTTTATTCCGAATATATAAATAAATAATGATGACCCAATTTAAAAACGGACCAAATATCTGAATATTTCTCCCCAGGAAGATATGCGAATGGATAATAAGAACATGGAACAATGCTGAACATTATGAGTCATTAGGTAAATTCAAATCAAAACCACAATGGTCTACAACTTCATACCCTGTAAGATAGACAGGCATAATAAGACAGACAATAACTAGTGTTGGGGGGATGCGGAGGAATTGAAATAGTCATGTATTGCTGGTTGGAACATAAATATTGCAGCCAGTTTGGAATAGAGTTTGGTAGTTACTCAAAATTTCAAACATAGAGTAGTCATATGAGCCTGCAATTCCACTGGGTGTATCCCCAAGAGAAATGAAAATATGTCTTCACAAAAGTTTGAACACAGATTGTTCATAGCAGCATTATTTTTAATAGCCAAAAGGTGAAACAATGCAAATGTCCAACTGATGAATGAGTAAAGTATGCTATACCCATTTCACAGAATACTGTTTGGCAGGAAAAAAAAAAACATATATTATGACATGGACAAACCTCAAAGACACTATGCTATATGAAATAATCCAATCACAAAACACATATTTTGTGGTTCTATTTACATGAAAATGTCCACAATATGTTAATGTATAAAGACAGAAAGAAGTAGTTGCCTAGGGCTGATCGGGATAGTTGGCAGGTAATGGGGAGTGACTCTTAACGGATAAGAGATTTCTTTTTGAGGTAATGAAAGTTTTAAACTATGTAAATATAAAAACCACTGAATTGTACATTTTAAATGGATAAATTGTTATGTAACATATCAATGTTTAAAAACTTATAAGGACTATTTTAAGTCCTTTGGAAATGGATGAGATGAGTAATCTTAAAGCTCTTATATTTGCATAGTGATCATCTTAATTGTATAATAATACATTTAGAAAAATTATACTCATAAAATCATTATTTGATTATCTTCTGTCTCTTACCCTGCCCTCTTCAAGTCTAGGAAGTTAGGAATATGCAAAGACAATTGTATATGATCATGTGCACCTATTAAGTAGTTGTAGGAATTTTTTTTTTTTTTTTTTTTTTTGAGGTGGAGTCTTGCTCTGTTGCCAGGCTGGAGTGCAGTGGTGCGATCTCGGCTCACTGCAACCTCCACATCCCGGGTTCAAGCGATTCTCCTGCCTCAGCCTCCCGAGTAGCTGAGACTACAGGCGTGCTCCACCATGCCCAGCTAATTTTTGTATTTTTAGTAGAGACGGGGTTTCACCATGTTGGCCAGGATGGTCTTGATCCCCTGACCTTGTGATCTGCCCTCCTCGGCCTCCCAAAGTGCTGGGATTATGGCGTGAGCCACCATGCCTGGCCTCTTTTTTTTTTTTTTTTTTTTTTCTGGAGGCGGGGTCTCACTCTGTCACCCAGGCTGGAGTGCAGTGGTGTGATCTCAACTCACTGCAGCTTCTACCTCCTGGGCTCAAGTGATCCTTCCACCTCAGCCTCTCAAGTAGCTGGGACTACAGGCATACAGAATTTCCACAGTTCTGAATGAGGATGCAACCAGAGTGATGATGTTTTAAATAGAATTAGGAAGCTTTCTTATGTGTTTAAATGGTAATTTATGTAGAAAAATGTATTAATCTATTTAAGCACAATCAGAAATGACAAAGATTACATTACAACGAATCCATAGAAATACAAAAGATCCTCAGAGACCATTATGAACACCTCTATGCACACGAACAAGAAAAGCTAGAGGAAATGGATAAATTACTGAAAACACAACCTCCCAAGATTGAATCCAGAAAGAAATTAAAACCCTGAAGAGACCAATATCAAGTTCAAAAATTGAATCTTATAAAAAACCTACCAATCAAAAAAAAACCTGGACCAGATAGATTCACAGCCAAATTCTATCAGACAAACGTCTAATATCCAGAATCTAAAAGGAACTTAACAAGCAAAAAACAACCCCATTAAAAATGGGCAAAAAACATGAACAGATGCTTCTCAAAAGAAGACATGCAAGTGGCCAGAAAACGTATGAAAAAATGCTCAACATCACTAGTCATCAGAGAAGTGCAGATCAAAACCACAATGAGATACCATGTCACACCAGTCAGAATGACTATTATAAAAAAGTCGAAAAACAATAGATGTTAGTGAGACTGCGGAGAAAAGGGAATGCTTATACACTGTTGGTGGGAATATAAATTAGTTCACCCAGTGTGGAAATTAGTTTAGAGATTTCTCAAGGAACTTAAAACCATTTGACCTAGCAATCCCATGACTGGGTGTATCTATATCTATCTATATCTATATCCATATCTGTATCTCCCATGAGATACCATTTGACCTAGCAATCCCATGACTGGGTAAATATCCAAAAGAAAATAAATTATTCTACCAAAAAAACACATGCACTCGTGTGTTCATTGCAGCACTATTCACAATGGCAAAACATGGAATCAACCTAGGTGCCCATCAGTGGTGGATTGGATAAAGAAAATATGACACATACATGCCATAGAATACTACATAGCCATAAAAGACAATCTTATTTCCTTTGCAGCAACATAGATACAGCTGGAGACCATTATTCTTAGCAAATTAATGCAGGAACAGAAAACCAAATACCACGTGTTCGCCCTTATAAGTGGGAGCTAAACATTGGGTACTCGTGGACATAAAGATGGTGACAATAGACACTGGGGACTACTAGAGGGGGGAGGGAGGGGAGCAAGAGTTGAAAAACTATTGGGTACTATGCTCAGTACCTGGGTGATGGGGTCAATCATACCCCAAACCTCAGCATCACACAATATACCCAGGTAACAAACATGCACATGTACCACCCGAATGTAAAATAAAAGTTGAAATTTTAGGCCAGGCCCGGTGGCTCACACCTGTAATCCCAGCACTTTGGGAGGCCGAGGCGGGTGGATCACCTGAGGTCAGGAGTTTGAGACCAGCCTGACCAACAAGGAGAAACCCCGTCTCTACTAAAAATACAAAGTTAGCCGGGCATGGTGGCACATGTCTGTAATCCCAGCTACTCGGGAGGCTGAGGCAGGAGAATCACTTGAACCCAGGAGGTGGAGGTTGCGGTGAACCAAGATCGTGCCATTGCACTCCAGCCTGGGCAACGGGCAAAACTCCATCTCAACAACAACAACAAAAAAAACCAAGTCGAAATATTTTTTTAAATGTATTAATCTATTTAATTTAAGGTGAGGATTATAACAATTATGCTATTTCAATAACTTAACCCCATTTTTACGATACTCTGTGTGAAAAAATCTTAGCAATGTTTAGAATCCCATGTTATTGCTTTACTCTGTTGATTGTTTCCTTTGCTGTGCAACAGCTTTTTAGTTTATATAGATCTACCACCTACCCCTGTTGGATATTTACCCCATTATAAGGAAGTAAGAATTTTGCCTCGCAACTTAGCCTCTACAGTTGCAGGGAAAGCTAAAGTAAAGAAAATGATCCTACCACTTCCATGGATGGGAAGAAAATAAGAAAGAAAATGAGCATGTTGTGCTGAATGGGGAGTTAGAATAAAATTGTAGTTTCTTGTCCTAACTTCAAATACTATTCCCCTTGTGTTTGGAAATGAATTGAGCTGAAGGAAAGAGCTGAAGGATTCTTGGCCTATAACTTAGCTCCTAGAGGTTGGACAGTAATTGAGCCTTTCTAGTATCTATACTTCTATTTTTAATTGATGCATAATATTTGTACATACTTATGGGGTGCATGGGATACATTATTACATGTATAGACTGTATAATGATCAAGTCAGGGTACTTGGGATGTCTAACACCTCGAGTATTTATTATTTCTGTGTTGGAAACATTTCTATTCTAGCTATCAAAATATACAATACATTGTTAACTATAGTTACCCTCCTGTGCTGTCAAGCATTAGAACTTATTCCTTCTATCTAACTGAATGTACTCATTAACTAATCACTCTTTATCCTCCGCCAACCCCCACCAAACCCACACCCTTCCCAGCCTCTGGTATCTATCATTCTATTCTCTACCTCCATAAGGTCAACTTTATTAGCTCCCACATATGAGTGAGAATATGTGATATTTGTCTTTGTGTGCCTGGCTTATTTCACTTAACATAATGACCTCCAGTTCCATCCACGTTGCTTCAAATGACAGGATTTTATTCTTTTATAGATGATAGTATTTCATTGTATGTGTGTATGTATGTGCATTTTTAATTCATTAGTCCATTGATAGGCACTTAGGTTTATTCCATATCTTTCTATTGTGAATAGTGCTGCAGTAAGCTCACAGGTGTCCCTTTGATATACTGATCTGTTTTCCTTTGGATAAATACAGAGTAGTGGGATTCCTGGAACATATGGTAGTTCTATTTTTAGTTTTTTGAACCTCCCCTACTGTTCTCCGTGGTGGCTATACTAATTTACAATCCCACCAAGAGTGTATAAGCATTCCCCTTTCACATCCTTGCCAGCATGCTATTTTTTTCTTTTTAATAGCCATTCTAACTGGGGTGAGATGATATCTTATTATAGTTTTGATTTGCATTCCCTGATGATTAGTGATCTTCAGCATTTTTATTCATATACCTATTGGGAAATTGTGTGTATTCTTTTGAGAACTGTCTATTCATGTCCTTTGCTCACTTTTTAATGGGTTTGTTTGTTTTATCTTGTTAAGTTGTTTGAGTTCCTTGTATATTTGGGATATTAGTTCCTTGTAGGATGAATCATTTGCACATATTTTCTTCAGTTCAACGATGCCTCTACTCTGTTGGTTGTTTCCTTTGCTGCGCAAAAGTTTTTTATGTATATAGTCCCATTTGTCTGTTTTTGTTTCTGTGCTTTCGAGGTCTTAGCCATAAGTTCTTTGCATAGACCAATGTTTTATAGTTTCAGGTCTTATGTTTCAGTCTTTACCGTGCTGAGTTGATTTTGTATATGGTGATGTTTGTGATTTCCTCAGTGGCTTAGGATGCTATTATTGGTGGAGGCTGTGGTGAAGTTTTCCTGGGGACAGGAGCACCACATGGGCCTGTCCTTGGTCCCTTGATTCCAGTGGCGGGCTGAATGTACCTGTCCTTGAGTCTCAGCGTGGTGTATGTTGACACCAGTGTTATTTTAGATCCAGTGGGGCTGTCTTTTGGGCTCCTAGGTGGCTTGCTTGGGTGCCAGTAGTGGCAGTGGCAAGCTGGGAAGGTGGGCAGGTTTTTGGGCCCCTGGATGCAGGTATGGTGTGGTCAATGATAGTTGCAGTGGTGGAACAAGCCTTTTGCTCCCAAGCTATCCACACTGGTATTTATGATGGCTGTAATGGGTTATGCAAGATAGTCCTGAGGCCTGCAAGTGGCATGTGCAGGTGAGTACCAGCTGCAGGTGGGTACCTGCAGTGGCAGGTTGGGTGGGCCCAACCTCAGGCCTTCAAGATGAATGCCCATTTGTCACCAGTGGTGGGCTTTGCTGGGCAGCCTCTAGGCCCTTGGAAGGCATGGTAGGTCACAGCGAGCATTGAGCCAGGCTGGGTGGACCTGTCCTCAGTTCCCCAGGTGGTGCATTTAGGCATTGACTGTGTTAGGTAGAGGCAGGGCGCTCCTCAAGCTCAAGGCAGAATGATTGAGTGGGGACAGCAGCAACTGTGCAACAGCCCTGCTACTATAGAGGACAGGGTTGCTTTCAGTTGGTAGCAGTCATATGCAGGTGGGTGCTCACACTTTGGGCCTGGTGGAGGCAGACTGATGTGGTAGCTACTGTTGGTAAGGGAGTTTGTCCTCAGGCCATGTGAAGGTGTGCTGCAGCTTCACTGCTGGGGGCAGCAGGATCCTTGCCGATGCCTTCCCTTGCACTTTAGCCCTCGTGGCACAGTGAGCTGCGATGGTGGCTGTGGGTGTGAAATGTCAATGGGGCTCCAAAGATGTGGAGATGCAGGGGCTATTGGGCCCCCAGGCAGGATGCAGTCTGGTGAGTCTTAGCAACCAATACGCTGCCTTGCTGTAGCTGCTTAGGGCTTGGAGTATGTATGGGACCCAGTGTGAGCCCCCTCTCTGGAGCCGTGTCTTCATGCATTTTTCAGGCAGCTTATTCTCAGGGCCTGAAAGAGTCTAGGGGCTTTCCTGTGGCTAGGAAGAAGGAGTCTGCAATGGAAATGTGGATCACTGGGGGTCACTCACATATCCTTTCCCCTGGATAGGGGCTTCCCTGGAGCCTCTCCAGGTTCCCAGCTGATCCCAGGTAGCAGGCTGCTTCGCATCCCTCTCCTTCCTTGCTTTAGGTGTTTCCTGTCACTTCTCTAATTCCAGTGTTCTCTGTTAAATGATCCGTTTGAAATACGATTATCTACTTGCTACTTTGGTTCTTTGTGAAGGTGAGTACCAGATGCCTCTAGTCAGCTATCTTGAAGCCCCTTCCTTAGGATCTATGCTTCTTCTTCTTTTCTTCTTCTTTTTTTTTTTTTTTTTTTTTTTTTTTGAGACAGAGAGTTTTGCTCTTGTTGCCCAGGCTGGAGTGCAATGGCATGATCTCGGCTCACTGCAACCTCCATCTCCTGGGTTCAAGTGATTCTCTTGCCTCAGCCTCCTGAGTAGCTGGGATTACAGGTGTCTGCCACCATGCCCAGCTAATTTTTGTATTTTTATTAGAAATGGGGTTTCACCATGTTGGCCGGGCTGGTCCCGAACTCCTGACCTCAGGTGATCCACCCGCCTCGGCCTCCCAAAGTGCTGGGATTACAGGCGTGAGCCACCACACCCGGCCGGATCTATGCTGCTTAAAGAACTTTCACCCTATAAGCCACTTTACATAAGAGTACTCACATTGGTTAATAACTACAGTAGCTCTTCTTACCCTAAATTTCAGAATTTCTTTGCCATCGGTGAGCATTACATTTTTTCTTCTTAGCATTTTGTTTTATTCTATCACCAATAGATTTAACTTTGATTTCTTAAACATTTCATAATTTATGTTTTAGAATTATTAGATTTCTTTAAGCATTTTTTAAAGGCGAGTTTTGATAAGATAACTGATTTGCATTTTACTACTTTTTCTTATTCTAGTAAAATACTCATTGCATAATATTTACCATTTGAACCATGTTAAAGTCCAATTCAGTGGCATTAAGTATATTCATAATGTTGTGCAACTACCACCAATATTAGTTTCAGAACTTTTTCATCACCCAGAAAGGAAACCCTGTACCCATTAAGTATTTTCTCCTCATTCCTTCCCTTTTCCCAGCCTCAGGCAACCACCAATATGCGTTCTGGTCTCTATGAATTCACCTGTGCCGGACGTTTCATATAAATGGAATCATACAATATGTGGCCTTTTGTGTCTGGCTTATTTCACTTAGCATGATGTTTTCAAGATTCATCCATGTTAAAACTTGTATCAGAACTTCATTCCTTTTTATGGCTGAATAATATTCTTTTGTATTAATATAGCACATTTTGTTATTCCTTCATCAATGATGGACATTTGGATTGTTTCCATTTTTGACTGATGTGAATAGTGCTGCTGTGAACATTCATTTATACAAATGTTTATTTGAACGCCTGTTTTTCTTTCTTTCTTTTTTTTTTTTTTGAGACGGAGTCTCGCTCTGTCGCCCAGGCTGGAGTGCAGTGGCACCATCTCGGCTCACTGCAAGCTCCACCTCCCAGGTTCACGCCATTCTCCTGCCTCAGCCTCCCAAGTAGCTGGGACTACAGGCGCCTGCCACATGCCCAGATAATTTTTTGTATTTTTTAGTAGAGACGGGATTTCACTGTGTTAGCCAGGATGGTCTCGATCTCCTGACCTGGTGATCTGCCCGCCTCGGCCTCCCAAAGTGCGGGGATTACAGGCGTGAGCCACTGCACCCGGCCTGAATGCCTGTTTTTCAATTCTTGTGGGTTTGGAGTGGGTTTACTAGACCTTATGGTAATTCTATGTTTAAATTATTGAGGAACCACCAAACTTTTTCAGTGTGGCTGTACCATTTTACATTCCTGTCAGTAATGTATGAGGCTTCTATTTTCTCCACATCCTTGCCAACTATTATTTTTTATTATGTTCATGCCAGTGGGTAGGAAGTAATATCTTATAGCTTCATTTGCATTTACCTAATGACTGGTGGTGTTGAACATACTTTTCATGTCTTGTTGGCCATTGTGTATCTTTTCTGGAAAAATGTCTAATTATGTTTTTTGACCTTTTTTTTGAGACAGGGTCTTGCTCCACCACCCAGGCTGGAGTGCAGTGGCATGATCGTGGCTCACTGTAACCTCAACCTTCTGGGCTAAAGTGATCCTTCTGTCTCAACTTCCTGAGTAGCTGGGACCACAGGTGTGCACCACAGCACCTGGCTAATTTTTTTATTTTTTGTAGAGATAAGGTCTCACTATGTTGCCTAGGCTGTTCTTGAACTCCTGGGCTCAAGTGATCCTCCCACCTCTGCCTCCCAAAGTGCTAGGATTACAGGCATGAGCAACCACAGCCAGCCTTTGCCCATTTTTAAATTGGGTTATTTGTCTTTTGGTTGTCGAGTTCGAAGACATCTTTATATATTCTGAATATAAGACACTTCTCAGATATATGATTTGCAAATAGCAGGTTATCTGTATACTTTATTCATAGTGCCCTTTAATGCACAAACTATTTAGATTTTGATGAAGTCCAATTAATTTTTTTGTTGATTGTTTGTACTTTAGGTGTAATGTCTCAGAAACTGTTGCCTAGTCCAGGGTCATGAAGATTTACATCATTGTTTTCTTCTGAGAGTTTTCTAGTTTTATCTCTTATATTTAGGTATTTTATCCATGTTAAGTTAATGGTTTTGTTTTTTGTTTTAGAGAGAGGGTCTTGCTCTGCTGCCCAAACTGGAGTGCAGTGATGTGATCATGGCTCACTGCAGCCTTGCTCTCTTGGGCTTAAGCAATCCTCCCACTGCATCCCCCCAAGTAGCTTGGACTATGGGGGCATGCCACCACACATGGCTAATTTTTATTTTTTTGTAGAGATGGGATCAAGCTAATTTTTAATATGGTATGAGGTGGTCTAAATTTATTTGTTTTTCATGGTGATATCAATTTGTTGCAACACCATTTGTTGAAAAGGCTATTCTTACCTTCTATTGAATTTTCTTAGGATCTTTGTCAAAAATCAATTGACTATAGAAGTACGGAGCTATTTTTTTTTTTTCTGGACTTTGAATTCTACTGCAGTGATCTATATGTCTCTTCTTAGATCAGTACCACAGTGTCTTTGTTATTGTACCTTTGTGATAAATTTTGAAATAGGGAAGAATGAGACTTTCAAACTTTATTCTTCTTCAATATTGCCTTTGGCTTTTCTGGGTCCCTTACATTTCCATATGAAGTTTAGGATTAGCTTGTCAATTTCTGCAAAGAAAGGCAGTTGGAATTTTGATAGGAATTACATCGAAACTGTAGATCACTTTGGAAAGTACTGACTTAAAACAATTTTAAGTTTTCTAATACATGAACACCAGATGTTTTTCCATTTATTTAGAAAACAACAACGTTTTGTAGTTTCTAGTGTACAAGTCTTATACTTATTTTATTGAATTTATTCCTCAGTATTTTATTATTTTCGATGCTATTACAGATGAAATATTTTTATTTTTGCATTTGTCATTAAAGCATATAGAAATACAACTAATTTTAGTAATTTGATCTTGATCCTTACAACCTTGCTAGCTCATTTAATGGCCTTAATAGTTTTTGAGTGGATTTATTAGAATTATCTGTATACAAGATCATGTCATCTGTGAATAGAAATATTTTTACTTCTTCCTTTTTAATCTGAATGTCTTTTATTTCATTTTCCTGACTAATTATCCTGGCTGGAACCTCCAGTACAATGGTGAATGGAAATGAGGAGAGTGAACATCCCTTTATTGTTCCTGAACTCAGGGAGAAAGCTTTCAGTCTTTTAATAGTAAGTATGATATCAGCTGTTAGGTTTTGGTAGATGCTGTTTATAGGTTTAAGAAATTTTCTTCTATTTATTTGTTTATTTTTGATACAGGGTATCACTTTGTTGCCCAGGCTGGACTGCAGTGTCATGATCATGGCTCACTGCAGCCTTGACCTCACGGGCTCAAGTGATCCTCCCACCTCAGCTTCCCAGGTAGCTGGGACTACAGGCATGTGCCACTAGGCCTGGCTAATTTTTAAAATTTTTTGTTGAGATGGGGGTCTCATTATATTTCCCAGGCTGGTCTTGAACTCAAGTAATCCTCCTGCCTTGGCCTCCCAAAGTGCTAGGGGTGCTGCTCCCGGCCCAGTTCCTTTTTTTTTTTTTTTTTTTTTTTTTGAGATGGAGTCTCACTTTGTGCAGTGATGCAGTCTCGGCTAACTGCAACCTCCGCCTCCCAGGTTCAAGTGATCCTCCCACCTCAGCCTCCCAAGTAGCTGAGATTATAAGCGTGGGCCACCACGCCCACCTTATTTTTGTGTTTTTAGTAGAAATGAGGTTTCACCATGTTTACCAGGCTGGTCTCGAACTCCTGACCTCAAACGATCCGCCCACCTCAGCCTCCCAAAGTGCTGGGATTATGGGTGTGAGCCATGGCACCCGGCCCCAGTTTCCTTTTATTCTTTGTTTGCTGAGTGCTTTTGTTGTGAAAGGATATTGAATTTTGTGAAATGGTTTTTCTGTGTCTATTGACATGTGATGATTTGGTTTTATCCTTTATTAATATGATGTGTTACATTAATTGATTATTGTATGTTGACTCAACATTACATTACTGGGATAAATGCCACTTGGTCATGGCATGTAGTACCGTTTATATGTGGCTGGATTTGGTTTGCTAGTTTTTTGTTGAGAATTTACTATGTCTATATTCATAAGTGATATTAATCTGTAGTTTTCTTTGCTTGTGATTATTTTGTCTGGTTTTAGTATTGAGGTAATGTTGGCCTCATAGAATTAGTTAGGAAGTGCTCCATTCTCTTCTGTTTTTGGAAGAGTATGTGAAGGCTGGCATCAGTTCTTCTTTAAATATTTTGTAGAATTCATCAGTGAAGCCATCTGGTTCTAGACTTTTAATTGTGGGAAGGTTTTTTAAAATAACTAATTCAATCTCTTTAGTTGTTATATATTTATTCACATTTTCTCCTTTTTCTTGAGTCAGTTTTGGTAGTTTGTGTCTTTCTAGGATTTTTTCTTTTTTTTTTTTGAGACGGTGTCTCGCTCTGTCACCTAGGCTGGAGTGCAGTGGTGCGATCTCGGCTCACTGCAACCTCTGCCTCGCAGGTTCAAGCGATTCTCTTGCCTCAGTCTCCTGTTGGGGTGATTAGATCCAACACCAGGTCATGGGGGCAACAAAGTCCGGCGGAGTCAAAGAAATGAGAAAAAGACAGTTTGAGAGACAAAGTGGGACCAGGAGGCCATTGCAAGTGTGGAGGCTGCGAAGGCCCTGAGCTCTGGGAGCCCACACTATTTACTGGTGCTCAAACAAAGAAACAGGTGGTGAGGATGTGGGGGTTGAAAGGAAACAGTGTATCAAGTGAATGAGAAGCATAGGGCTGCTTGAGATAATGGGAATTCTAGAAGCAAGGAGCCAGCAAGTCTAGCAGACATGCAAGCCCTGCCTCAGCTTCTCTCCCAACACTCAGCTTTCTCCCAACATGCTCCCCTTCTCTTTTTTGTAAAAACCGCCAGAGCTATCATTATTATTAGCATAAGGTGACCTTTTTTAAAAAAAATTAATTGAGCAAGATAATTGCAGGCTGTGCAGCCCTTAATTGCCAGTTGGTGATCCAGCTTCAATTTTTTTTAGCCCTTATTCAAAATGGGGTTGCTCTGGTTTGAATGCTTCATACATATCTCCCCTTTCCCTTTTACAAGAGGACCCTTAATCCTAGGGGCTGCAGAAGGATGAAGGTCCATCTTCTGTAACTTCTTCATGCTGAATAGGGGCAATGATACTCCTGCCTACCTATTAGGGTCTATTGTATTCAGGGTAGAGAGGAGTTCAGTCAGAAAGCATTGGTCCGTAAAGCATCTATAGGTAAAACCCTGGCGCTCCAGCAGTTTCTCAGCATGGCTCGTACTGGGGGAACCCAGTCCATGGTTGGGATCCATGGGTCCTTCCAGTCTCATGTTCCATGGTCATACACATCTTGAGGGCACCTACACAGTTTGTTCATCTCCTGCAAAAACACAAGCATACCCTCACCCCCACATTAGTAAATCTATGGAAACAGAAGCAAAAACTTTTGAGGCTGTAGCCGGGAGGCATGCCATTGCTGAAGCATTTGTAACTCAGCTTCCACCTCTTTGGTTAATTACCACGGGGTAAAACTTACCGTTGATAACAAGAAGCAGGCCCCTTCTAACAGAAGGCACAGAGAAAGCAAATTGAGGCTTAAAAACAATCCTTAAACCTTCAATGTGCACTGTACAGGTGGGTCCACTAGATGCTGTGGCTCATGATAGATCTTCAGATGTTTGGTGGGCACCCACACAGGCACCTGATTGTCACCTGGAGAAACACAAGCAAATCCTCTTCCCCATAAAATTATCTTTCCTTTTTCCCAGCTCTTTGTATGTGCATCCCTCCACCATATATCTTGTCCAGCCTTTTAATTTTCCTTTTGTCCTGTCAGGTGTTGTTCAGCTGCAGTCATGGGTTAATCTTTCTGTAAATTTAAAAAATTTAATGTTAATAAAGCTAAATGCAATTGCATATGTTGTGTCTTATATTCCTAGTCTCCTCCCTTTTGCTTTTGTATTTGAGTTTTTAAAGTACAATTAGCTCTTTCCACTATTGCTTGTCTTTGTGAGTTATATGGAACACCCGTAGTATGGGTAATATTCCATTGTTGAAAAAATGTAGCCATGGCTTTACTACAGTCTCCTGGGCCGTTATCAGTTTTGATTTTTCTGGGATTCCCATAACTGAAAAGCAAGATAAAAGATGTCTTTTAACATGAGCTGTGGCATCCCCTGTTTGACATGTGGCCCAAATAAAATGTGAATAGGTATCTAATGAAACATGAACAAAGGACAATTTTCCAAAAGCAGGAATATGTGTTACATCCATCTGCCAGATGGAATTTGGAGATAAACCTCTAGGGTTAACTCCTTTTCCTTGATGTGGCAGATGCAGGACTTGGCAGGCAGAACAATGTTGCACAATTTCTTTAGCTTGTTTCCATGATAGACCGTATGTTTTTCTAAGGCCTGTGGCATTAAGGTGGGTTAAAGAATGAAATGTTTGTGCATCAGCAAAGGCTGCAGACACCAATGCAACCGCCCTTTGATTAAGTTTAGTTAAAGGGCCAGGGAGGTTAGTATGTGCTCTCATATGAGTGATATAGAAAGGTGAATGCCTTTGTTGTACTGCTTGCTGTAAAGAATGAAATAAAAGATTAAGTTGTTCATCAGTCATATTTTGAACTAAGGCACATTGAATATTTTGCATGGCTTGCACTACATAGGCTGAATCAGAAACACTGTTTACTGGCTGTTTAAAAGTTTTTAACACTGTTATCACAGCCATAAGTTCAGCCCTTTGAGAAGAAGCAAAGTCAGTTTGAAAAACTTGCTGTTGAGGTCCTGCAAATGAGGCTTTTCCATTACTAGATCCATCAGTAAAAACAGTAATGGTCCCTTCAATAGGGGCTTTTTGAGTAATAGAAGGCAACATCCAGGATGTTAATTTTAGAAACTGGAAGGTTTTAGACTCAGGATAATGATTATCAAGAATGCCAACAAAACCGGCCAAATTAACTTGCCATTCTTGGGAATTAATATAGGCTTGTTGAATTTGTTGTTTTGTTAATGGAACTATAATCTTATTTGGATCATATGCCATTAACTTTGTTGAGCGCAGCTGCGCTTGTCCTACTAGCACAGCAATTTGATCTAAGTACAGAGTGAGTGTTTTGGTTGTATTGTGAGGTAGAAAAAGCCACTCAACCAGATCATCCTGTTGAACTATAACTCCTGTAGGCGAATGCTTAGTAGGAAAAACTAAAAACTGTAATGGCTGTATTGGATTAATCCGTTCTACTTGTGCTTGCTGAATTTTTTCCTCAATTAATTGAAGTTCCTCCAATGCTTCTTTGGACAGGGAGCGTTTACTTTTAAGGTTAGAATCACCTCATAAAGCAGAAAAGAGGTGAGACATAGCATAGGTAGGAATGCCTAAAGTTGGATGAATCCAATTAATGTCTCCTAATAATTTTTGGAAATCATTTAAGGTTTCTAAATTATCTCTTCGAATTTGAACCTTTTGAGGCTTAATAGCACTTTGCTCTACCTTCATTCCTAGATATTGAAAGGGAGTAGAAGTTTGGATTTTATCAGGGGCTATAACTAACCCTGCCGCATTTACAGACTTTCCTAACTGCTTGTAGCACAACATCAATTCTTCCCTAGTTTCAGCTGCACACAGAATATCATCCATGTAATGGATGATATAACATTTTTTAAACTGTTCTCTAACTGGCTTAATAGCTTTCCTGACATAAGTTTAACAAACAGTTGGGCTATTTAGCATGCCTTGTGGCAGTACTTTCCAATGGTATTTGTCCGCTGGTTCTTTATTATTTATGGCAGGAACAATAAAAGCAAATTTTTCATAATCTTGGGCAGCTAAAGGAATGGTAAAAAAGCAATCCTTTAGATCTATCACTATGAGAGGCCAGTATTTTGGGATCATTGTTGGGGAGGGCAGCCCTGGTTGTAGTGCACCCATGGGTTGACTCAGAGCATTAACAGCCCTTAAATCTGTTAACATTCTCCATTTCCCTGATTTTTTCTTAATGACAAATACAGGAGAATTCCAAGGGGAGAAAGTAGGCTCTATATGTCCCTTTTGCAATGGTTCCTGCACCAGTTCTTTTAAAGCCTCCAGTTTTTCCTGTTTCAGTGGCCATTGCTGCACCCAAACCGGTTTGGCAGTTAGCCAAACAAGAGGAATGGGAGCCAGAGGCTCAACAATGGCCGCTCCTAAAAATGACACCCAATCCGGTCCAATCTGTTTTTCCTTTTAATTCTAAAGTTTCTGATTGGCCAATTTTATCTTTTTCTAGTCCTTTTCCCAGGCAATATCCCATATTTTTCATCATTTGTCTACTATTATTACTATATTGATCCGTAGGAATAGATATTTCAGCATCCCATTGTTGCAATAAGTCTCTACCCCATAAATTAACAGGAATAGGTGTAATGATAGGTTGGATTATCCCTTCCTAACCATCCGGCCCTTGACATGGTAAAATCAAAGAACTTTGAAAAACTTCTGACGCAGCTCCTACTCCAACAATAACAATGGATGCCTTTTGCTTAGGCCAGTGCCGGGGTCATTGATTTATAGCAATAATAGAGACATCAGCTCCAGTATCTACTAGTCCTTCAAAATCTTTTCCCTGAATAGTTACTGTGCAAATAGGTCTTTTGCCAGACACTTGATTAACCCAATACACAGCCTTCCTGCTGGATTAGTACTACCAAAGCCTCCTGTTCTTTTCACTGTGCTGCTTCCTAGTTTTATGTAAGGTAACAGCAACAACAGCAATTCTTTCTCCTGGGGAGGCAGACTGTGGAGTCGAGGAACTAATAACTAATTGAATTTCTCCGGTATAATCAGAGTCAATTATTCCCGTATGTACAGTAACACCTTTTAAATTTAGACTAGACCTTCCAAGTAATAGACCAACTGTTCCTGAGGGTAAGGGTCCCCTAACTCCCGTGGGGGACCTTCTTTGGTGGCTCCCCAGGAAGTAAGGAGAGGGGAATTGTGCTGTAGAGGTCTACAGCAGCACTGCCTGCTGAGGCGGGGGACAATTCTTGTACATTTGTAATGGCACTGGCTGTGCCAGTTATGCCTCGGTTTGTTGAGGGGCTCGAGGTGGGCTTCTCTTACTGTTTCCTGAAAGAGGATGTCCATCTTGACTAAATTTAGAATGACACTGACTTTCCCAGTGATTGCCTTTCTTACACCGGGGACATACACCGGGACTTTTCTGTTGATTGATGGTACTAATTTTTGCCCTTTGATTTCCTTTTCTACATTCCTCTCTTGTGTGTCAAAATTGCCGACAATTAAAGCAAGAGCCTGAGAAACAGGGCATATTCTTTCCTATTCTTAATCCAGCCATAGCCTGAGCTAAAAGAGTAGCCTTATGTAAGTTATCTGCAATGCCATCGCAAGCCTTAATATATTCAGCTAAATGAGCCTTCCCTCTCGGGTCTAATAGCAGTTTGACACTCTGCATTAGCATTATCGTATGCAAGAAGCTGTATTACAACATCCTGAGCCGTTTTATCAGTTATGGCTTTATACATAGCCTCTTGGAGCCAAGCAATAAAACCAGTATATGGTTCTTTAGGTTCTTGTCAGACAGAACTGAAAGAAGGATATTTTTCCTCTGTAACATGTATCCTTTCCCATGCCCATAAGCACACAAAGCACAGCTGAACAATGGCAACATCATCTATTACTGCTTGATTCTGTAATCGACCCCAATTAGGGCCAACTCCCATTAACTGTTCAAAGGAAACAGGCACAGGTGGCTGTGCTTGTGTGTTTTCCCTTGCCTGAGTTTGAGCTTCATCAGCCCACCAGGTTTTCAACTGCAAGTACTGAGATGGAATGAGAACAGATTTTGTCAAAGTATCTGAATCATATGGTATTAATCTATTATCAAGAGCCATATTTTTAAATAAAGTTTGCACAAAAGAAGAGTTCGGTCCATATTGACTAATGGCTTGTTTAAATTCCTTTAGTAACTTAAAAGGAAAAGTGGCCCAATTAGCTATATTCTTTCCTCCCTGCTGGATTATAGTAATGGGAAATTGCCATGCTTCAAGGTCTCCCTTAGCTCTAGCTTTTTGAATAGAATTTTGTATAGCACTGCCAATTGCTCCAGGTTTCAATGGTGCAACTACAGGAGCAATAAGTTTTTCAGCTAATTTATTTTCTTGCCCATTAAGGGGAGAGAGAGGAGGTGGCCATTCACTTAATTCAGCAGGTGGAGCTGACAGGCTAGTAAAACATACTATTTAGTTTTCCTTTCTTTTCTTTAATCTCCTCCAGTAGCTGTTCCTCACACTCAGAATCTGAAGTTAGATTTTTACACTCGACCTCCTCTTCCTCATCTGAATCTGCCTCATCATCTGTTTGAAATGGCTCAAGAGCTGCCTTTATTAGCACCCACACTGACCAAACGGAAACTGGAATTTCTGCTCCCTCTTTATATGCCTTTTTAAAATCTCTTCCAATTCTCTCCCATTCATCCAACTCCATAGTCCCTTGTTCAGGAAACCATGGGCAAAACTGCTTTACTATACTAAAGAGTGATAACAAATTCTGAGTACTAACTTTCACTCCCCCTCTTTGTAATAAATCACTTAAGAAATTTAAATAAACAGAATGTCTGCTTTCACTTTGTCTCATTGTTACCCTGGTTCTTCCGAGTGCTCAGCTTTTCCACTGAGCTTCTTTTAGGACATCTTTTAGACATCCTCGGGTGTCCTCTGACGATGCGTCCTCTGCTTTCACATGCTCTAGCATTCCTTCACTGGGGTCTTTGTTGCCCCACGTTGGGCAGCCAGGAATGTTGGGGTGATCAGACCCAACACCAGGTCATGGGGGCGACAAAGTCTGGTGGAGTCAAAGAAATGAGAAAAAGTTTGAGAGAGAAAGTGGGACCAGAGGGCCATCGCGAGTGTGGAGGCTGCAAACGCCCCAAGCTCTGGGAGCCCACACGATTTATTGGTGCTCAAACAAAGAAACAGGTGGTGAGGATGTGGGGGTTGAAAGGAAACAGTGTATCAAGTGAAGGAGAAGCACATGGCTACTTGAGATAATGGGAGTGCTAGAAGCAAGGAGCCAGCAAGTCTAGCAGACATGCAAGCCCTGCCTCAGCTTCTCTTCCAACACGCAGTTTTTCTCCCAACAGTCTCCCAAGTAGCTGGGACTACAGATGCGCGCCACCATGCCCAGTTAATTTTTGTATTGTTAGTAGAGACGGGGGGAGGAGGGGCGGTGTTTCACTATGTTGGCCAGGCTAGTCTCGAACTCCTGACCTCATGATCCGCCTGCCTTAGCCTCCCAAAGTGCTGGGATTACAGCACCTGGCTGATATTTTTTCATTTTATTTTATTTTATTATAATTTGGTGATTTTGTAGTTTTAATTGACAGTTTATAACTGTACATATTTACAGGGTACAATTTGATGTTTCTATATATATACTAATACTGATCAAATCAGGGTGTTTAGCATATCCATCACCTCATACAATCATTTCTCTGTGGCGAGAACATTCAAAAGCCTCTCTTCTAGCTATTTTGTAATATGCAATACCTTATTGTTAACCATTGTCACCCTACTATACAATAGAACACCGGAAAGTATTCCTACTAATTGTAACTTTATATCCATTGACCAATCTCTCCTTATCTTCCCTTCTCTTCCCTCCCCTTCTCAATCTCTGGTAACCATCATTCTACTTTATGCTTCTATGGTATCAGTTGTTTTTTTGGGAGGTGTAAGTGAATTTTTATTGGGAAGGGAGGTTGTCAACTTAAACAGCAACAAATAAAGAGTGAATAAGGAAACTCCTTGTTGCCACAGATATACATGACCTCCTTATGTGACACAGGAGGCATTTCAATTTGTGACTCCCAGACAGAGATGGCAAGTGCTTTTCCATTCAATCTAATATTTCTGGATTCCTACTAAAAAGGAATACATTAAGAGCATGGAAAAGTTGCTTATTGGAAGGAAACCCCCAAAGAGTAAGGGAGGGAATGTAGAAATTAAGTTATGTAGAACACTCTTCAAACTGTAATTAACATTTTCATATCTTCACAGTAATACAGTCACTTGCAGGACTGGTTCAGATTACTTAAATACCAGATACATTTTTAGTCCTGTGTAAGTGTTTGGAAATTACTTATGTTTATATAAAATGAAGCTATTAATACTTTTCTACAGCAGTAACTGCACACCAGGAAGGCCAAGACAAACAGATCAAGGGATGAAGTTTTCCCAAAGTTGCGTGTGAAAAGCCTATGAACAGTTGATTCCATAGACATGAATGGGTTTCTTTGCTATAGGAAATCCAAGTGGAATAAGGAATGGAGATGTGTAAAAAGGCTTCTTGAAGTAAAAAAGGATGACACACTGTATGGATTTAGATTTCAGCCCCTTCTGCAACATCACATTCTTCTCCTGCACTGTCTGATGTCCAAAGCGTTAGGTTGTCTCAAAGCAACTGTATGATAGTCCTTAATCAGCTGCAACTTCTTGTCGGAGGTGTAGGTATTCTGCTCGATGCTCCAGATGACGCCCCAGGCGGACCTGCGGCCCCGACCACGTTCTTGTAGGCCACGGAAAGCAGGTTGCGCTCCTCCTTGGACAGCTCGGCGCCCTGCTTGGTCCCGGCCTTCATGCAGGTGGCCATGTCGTCGTAGCGCTCGGCCAACTTGGCCTTCTGGATCAGCTCCGTCTTCTCCATGGCGGGCGCGGGGCCCGGGCCTGGCCGGGGAGGGAGCCTCCAGAGCTGCGGAGGGGCGGGGCGGCGAGGCGATAACAAAAAGCAGGGAGGGAGCTCCGTCAGACAATGGGGCCGGCAGCCCGCTTTTATCTCTGGCACAAGGCGGCCGGTTGAATTTCCCTCTCCCCCGACTCCACCACCACTGGGCGCCCGGGGAGGCCGCTGCCCGGGCGGGAGGAGGCGGGGGCGGTGCAGAGGCCCAGCGCGCTGGGAGCCCGAGCTGCCGCCGCAACCACCACCCCCGCCCGGCCGGCCCAGGATAGAAGCGACCGTTTGACATCAGTCTTTTAAAAAATGGATTCCACATATGAGGGAGATCAGGTGTTATTTGTCTTTCTGTGTCTGGCTTATTTCACTTAACATGATGTTCTCAAGGCTCATCCATGTTGTACATGACAGGATTTCATTCTTTTTTATAGCTGGATAGTATTCCATTGTGTGTGTGTATTATATATATACATACACCACATTTGTGTGTGTGTATATATTTATATTCACACATTGTATATATACACCACATTTTTTATCCATTGTTGGACATTAGATTAACTCCATATCTTAGCTAATATAAATAAACATGGGAGTGCAGAGATCTCTGCAACATATTGTTTTTATCTCTTTTGAATAACACCTGGTAGTGGGACTTCTGGATCATATGGAAGTTCTATTTTTAATATTTTGAGGAACCTCTATACTATTTTCTATAATGGCTGTACTGATTTACAATCCCACCAACAGTATATAAGTGTTTTCCTTTCTCTACATTCTTGCCAACAACCATTTTGTTTTGTCTTTTGATAATAGCTATTCTAACTGGAGCGAAGTGGTATTTTGTTGGGGTTTTCATTTGCATTTCCTTGATGATTAGTGATGTTGAGCATTTTTTCATACATAAGTTGGCCATTTGCATGTCTTCTTTTGAAAAATGCCTGTTAAGGTCTTTTGCCTATTTTTTAATTGGGTTGTTTGATTTTTTTTTGCTCTTGAGTTAAGTTTCTTAGTATTCTAGATATTAATCCCTTGTCAGATGTATAGCAAGGACTGCTGGCATCTGTGGTGGCAATGGGGACAGGTGGGAGCCTCTAGTTTACTTTTTCCCTGTAAGAAGTCGTCTCCCTGTATTTGATGTAATTCTGGTGGAGGAGACAGTGTGTAGCAGAGGCAGAGCGCCTTGTTTCCCTCTCTGTGGTGCTGTTCTGTGCTTCCATGCTCCACAGGGATTTTGCTCTCCCCTGTTGCTTTCCAGTGTACTTTCTCAGTCACTCCTGTTGAAATATAGTTGTCCATTTGTTGTTTTGGTTCCTTTTGTGAGGGGAATGAGTGCCAGGTTGACTCTAGTTGGCTGTCTTGCTGATATCAGTCAGAATTTTTCCATTTTAGGTATGTTATCTAATTTATTGACATATAATTGTTCATATATTCCTAAGTAATCATTTTTATTTCTGTAAGGTTGGTAGTAATGTACCCTCTTTTATTCCTGAATTTAGTTATTTGTGTTTTTTGTCCTTCTTGTTTAGTCTAGCTAAATGTTTATCAATGTTGTTGATGTTTTCAAAGAAACAGCCTTTGGTTTTATTGATTTTTCTCCATCATTTTTCATTCTCTATTCCATTTATTTCTGTTTTAATCTCTATATTTGCTTTCTCTTCTTGCTTTGGGTTTAATTTGCTTTTCTTGTTCTAGTATCTTAGGGTATAAGTTTATATTATTGATTTAAGATATTTCTTTTTTAATATAGGATTTTGTAGCTATACAAATTATGCATTGCAAAAGTTTTATTATGTTATGTTTTGGTTTTGATGTAACTCATAACATTTTCTTATTTGTTGTAATTTTTATTTGATTCATTGATTATTTAGGAGTGTGTTGTTTAATTTCCACGTATTTGTTACTTTCCCAAATTTTCTTCTTTTATATCTAATTTCATTCCATTCTTGTCCAAAAACATACTTTGTATGACTTCAATCCTTTAAAATTTATTGCAGCTTGTTTTATGTCACAATATATTGTCTATTCTGAAGAACGTTTTATGTGCACTTGAGAAGAATTTGTATTTTGCTGTTGGATAGAGTATTCTATAAATATTTGTTATTTCTGTCTGGTTTATTTTGTTGTTCAAGTCCAACATTATTTGAAGTGGGGTATTGAGGTATCCAACTCTTGTGATTGAATCATATAATCCTCTCTTCCATTTTGTCAGGATTTTTTCCTGTATTTTGGAGCTCTATTGTTAGATGCATATATATTTGTAAATGTTACATCTTCTTGATAGATTCACCCATACACACACTCCTTTTTTTGTCTCTAGTAACAACTTTTATCATAAAGTTCGTTTTCTCTGATATTAGTATAGCCACTCCAACTCTCTTTTGGTTAGTTTGCATAAAAAAATCTTTGTTTTGGCCAGGGGCTGTGGCTCACGCCTGTAATCCAGGCACTTTGGGAGGCTGAGGTGGGCAGATCACTTGAGGTCAGGAGTTCAAGACCAGCCTGGCCAACATGGTGAAACCCCGTCTCTACTAAAATTACAAAAATTAGCCAGGCATGATGGTGTGTGCCTGTAATCCCAGCTACTCGGGAGGCTGAGGCCAGAGAATCACTTGAACCTGGGAGGCAGAGGTTGCAGTAAGCCAAGATCGTACCACCGCACTCCAGCCTGGGCAACAGAGTCTCAAAAAAATATATATATATATATATATACATACATATTTTATTCTCTTTCTACCTATTTGTATCTTCGGATCTAAAGTTTTTTTGTTATAGACAGCATATAGTTGGATAATGCTTTAAAAATCTCATATAGTGCCAGCTGCGGTGGCTCACGCCTGTTATCCCAGCATTTTGGGAGGCCGAGGCGGGTGGATCACCTGAGGTCAGGAGTTCAAAACCAGCCTGGCCAACATGGTGAGACTCCGTCTCTACTAAAAATACAAAAATTAGCTGGGCACGGTGGTGGGTGCCTGTAATCCCACCTGCTCTGGAGGCTGAGGCACGAGAATTGCTTGAACCAGGACCTGGGAGGCTGAGGTTGCAGTGAGCCAAGATCGTGCCACTGCACTCCAGCCTGGGTGACAGAGCGAGACTCCGTCTCAAAACAAACAAACAAACAAACAAAAGCAAAACAAAAACAAAACTCATATAGAACATAGATATTTTCTAGTGTACATCCTAATTCCCTTGTTATTTCACTTACTGTGTTTTTAAAAATTATTTTTAGTGATTGCCCTGAGTATTACAATTAGCATTTTTAACTTATAACAATCTAATTTGGACGAACAGTAACTTGATTTCAATAGTATATGAAGATTTTGTTCTTTAGTAGCTCCATCCTAACCCTCCTTTGTGCTGTTGTTACCACAAATTATATGTATATACATTGGGTGCCTTTTAACACAGATTTATAAATCTCGTTTTATGCAGTTGCCTTTTAAATAAGGAGAGAAAAAGTGTTATAAACAAAAAATACGTTTGTACTGTATTTTATTTTATTATTAATTTTTGAGACAGAGTCTTACTCTGTCATCCAGGCTGGAGTGCAGTGGTGCAATCTCGGCTCACAACAGCATCAATCTCCTGGGTTTAAACGATCCTTCCACCTCATCCTCCCAAGTAGCTGGGACCACAGGCATGCACCACCACACCTGACTAACTTTTATATTTTTAGTAGAGATGGGGTTTCACCATGTTGAGCTGGCTGATCTCAAACTCCTGGCCTCAAGTGATCTGCCCGCCTTTGCCTCCCAAAGTGCTGAGATTACAGGCATGAGCCACGGTGCCCAGCCATACTTTCTTATTTATTTGTATCACTCATCATTTTTTGTTGAAAACTAGACTTTTGAATAATCTGATGTGGCAACTTTGGAAATCAGATGCTCTCTCTTTACCAAGGTTTATTGTTGTTTTGACTTGTTTTTACTAATGTGGGTGGGTGGTTGTTTTAGTGACTTCTCTGAACTAGTCTGTATTCTTTGTCATATGTGACCACTGAATTCTCTACTCAGCTATTTTAGAGATTAGTTCATGATTGGACAGAGCTTCTTAAATGCCCAGAACCAGCAAATCTCCTAGTCTTTGTCAAAGAACTCCGTGTGCATGTTGGGGTGTACTTTCAACAATCACCCAGGCCATTAACAACTCTGCCTTAGTGTTCACTTCCTGATTGTGCAAAGGCTCAAGGTCAGCCAAACATGACAGTGTGGGGCCTTCTTGAGTCTTTCCAGAGCATGTTTACAGTCCTATGCATGCTTATGCCCTTCTAGATCTTCTGAAAAATGTAGGAGGTTTTCAAAGTGCTTATAGATATATTCTTCCCCAATTTTTCTGTTTAAGATTTTTTATTAGTCTATTGTGTACCTTAACTGTTATTCACAGCCTTAGGCAGCTGCAAAGCTAAATCACTTGCCTGTATTTGTTTTTGGCAAATACTCCCCCTGGAGAAGGCTTTTTGCACTGTGTTATCTCTGAGCAAGTGGTATTTTCCAGGGAACCACCAGACATATATAACAATGACAGTTGTTTAGGAATGAGGCTTTGAATAAGCTCCCACCTCTTTCTGCTCCCTCACGTGTCAGGCTGCTGGTTTTCTTCATAAATGTGGACTGTAATTTTTTAAGGCTACTGCAGAGCTAGAGAGTGGGAGATGGAACTAGGACAAATTAAAATGACGTGAAGCTCACTTTTCTTACAGAGATTCAGGTGTTTTTCTTTAAAATACATTCCCCAGGTTGCTGCAAGCCTTTGGTTAATTTCCAGAGTTCTGAAAATGTTGATTCTGACTAGTTTTGGCTTCAAAAAAATTTTACGGAGGACTGAATTTGGGGGGCCGTTACTCTTCCATTTTCGCTAATATTGTCTCAATAATTCTTTTAAAAAGCTTGTTAATATAATTATATCTAAAAACATTAACAATACTGCCTTAATATATGTCTATTTTATGTTTCCCTGATTGTCTCAAAGTATTTTTATAACCATTTGTTTGATTCAGGTATTTTAAATGGTCCCCAGGTTACATTTGGTTGATATGTCTTTAATGCCTCATTTAATCTATAGGTTCTCCTTGTTCCTTTTTATTTTTGCAATTTTTTTGTTGAAGAAACTGGGTGTCTTCCTAAGTTTCCCACATTCTAGAGTTTGCTCATTCTATTCTCATGATATTGTTTAACATGCTCCTTTGTCCCTTTTTTCCCTACAGGTTTAATTAGAGTAGATCTTATCTTTTGATAAGAATATTTCATATATACTATTGTCTGTCATTCTCCTTATATTTTAAAGCTACATTTGGGTGCCCATATCAGGGCCCTACAACAAGTGGATTAGAATATAGAGGCTTAGGCTAGGCACAGTGGCTCACGCCTGTAATTCCAGCATGTTGGGAGGCCAAGGTGGGCGGATCACCTGAGGTCAGGAGTTCCAGACCAGCCTGGCCAACATGGTGAAACCCCGTCTCTACTAAAAATACAAAAATTAGCCAGGCGTGGTGGTGTGTGCCTGTAATCCCAGCTACTCGGGAGGCTGAGGCAGGAGAATCGCTTGAACCTGGGAGGTAGAGGTTGCAGTGAGCCGAGATCGCGCCACTGTACTCCAGCCTGGGTGACAGAGCGAGACTCCGTCTCAAAAAATAAATAAATAAATAATAAAGAAATTAAAAATAGAATATAGAGGCTTACCTATAATCTCTTCCTTCTGTGCACTCCCTTCTTCCCAAACAGATATACACTTATTCTCTCAGTAATGAAATACTTATTTCTAGGAATTGAAAAGTAACCTTTTTTTCCATTAAAATACTGGTTCTGTCAGTCTTAGATTACCACGACCATTATTAAAATCTTTATACTGCATTTTTTACTATTTAGTATTTTTAGATTTTTAAACCCCAAACCTAAACCTTTGTCAGCCTAATTGTACTGGAATTTTAAAAATAGTATCAAGCTGGGTGCACTGGCTCTTGCCTGTAATCCCAACACTTTGTGGGGCTGAGGTGAGAGGATCACTTGAGCCCAGGAGTTCAAAACTAGCCTAGGCAACGTAGCGAAACCCCATCTGTACAAAAAATTAAAAAATTACCAGGGTATGGTGGCACACACCTATAGTCCCAGCTACTCAGAAGGCTGACGAGGGAGGATTGCTTGAGCCTGGGAAGTTGAGGCTACAGTGAGCCATGACCATGCCACTGCACTCCAGCCTGGGTGACAGAGTGAGACCCTGTCTAAAAAAAAATATTGTCATGCATTATATCCAGTTCACATTCTAAGATATTGTGTGGATGCCTTTCATCCAGATTCTTCAGTGTGGCAGGCATTATTATAATAGTCTCATTTTACAGTTGAAGAAACTATAAGCTCTGAAAGATTGAATAATTCACACAAAGTCATTCATAATGGAGTCAGGTCTGCCTTTCAGATCTACTAACACCAGAGTCTATGGGTTTTTTTCATTACACCATTTTGAGAATAAAATCATATGGTATTGCAAGCTGCTCCTTGTACTCTTTCTTTTTTTTTTTTTTTTTTGAGATGGAGTCTCGCTCTGTCACCCAGGCTGGAGTGCAGTGGCACGATCTCGGCTCACTGCAACCTCCACCTCCCGGGTTCAAGTGACTCTCCTGCCTCAGCCTCCTGAGTAGCTGGGATTACAGGTGCCCGCCACCACGCCTGGCTAATTTTTGTATTTTTAGTAGAGATGGGGTTTCACCATGTTGGCCAGGCTGGTCTCGAACTCCTGACCTCCTGATCCGCCCGCCTTGGCCTCCCAAAGTGCTGGGATTACAGGCGTGAGCCACCGCATCCGGTCTCTTTTTTTTTTTTTTTGAGATGGAGTCTCACTCTGTCTCCCAGGCTGGAGTGCAGTGGTACAATCTCGGGTCACTGCAACCTCCACCTCCCGGGTTCAAGTGATTCTCCTGCCTCTGCCTCCCAAGTAGCTGGGATTACAGGCACGTGCCATCACACCCAGCTAATTTTTGTATTTTTATTAGAGACGGGGCTTCCCTATGTTAGCCAGGCTGGTCTCGAACTCCCAACCTCAGGTGATCTGCCCCCCTTGGCCTCCCAAAGTGCTGGGATTATAGACGTGAGCCACCACACCTGGTGCCTGGTACTCTCTTAAGAAAAATATCTCCTTTTTAAGATTATTAGTATCATAAGATCTAATACCTTGAAGCAGATAATATAGATACTGCAAGTATGGGCTATAATATAATAAATCACACTAGGGTGAGGAAAATTGAAAGGTTGTTCTCCACTTAATGCTTTAACATTACCAAATTAATGTTGTCTTCAATTACCACTTTCCCACACTAAAAATTAAAACTAATCACTATGTATAATTTAAACGTTTTGAATTATTGCCCTGAGCTTAATCTTAGTTTAAAACAATTGAAACACACCAGAACTTTCTTCAAAGAAAAATGTATTTGAAAACTCCTGGTAAAAATACTGATTCCTCTTTTAATGATAAAAGATAAAACACACTCTTATTGGAGCAGAGAATAATGACCACTTTTGTTTTATAAAACATGTGTTTCCCTCACCCCTAATTGAGTACACATGCTCCAGGAAAAAAATCAGGGCCAAATACTGCTAATAATGAAAGGGAAGAATATTAGGATCATAATTTAATTAGCTCTAAGGATCTCTTTGCTCATCGCGAAATAAAAGGATCAATGATCCCTTTGAGCACTTGAAAGCTTTTCCTGTCAATTAGCCATTGTGACTAGATTGGCTATTTAAAGGCATGCTTTTCAAACTGGGTATGAGTACTCCCAGGGAAATTAAAAACTGTATAAATATACACACAATCACAGAGTGAGGAATGGCATTTTTTACTCAGATTATTTGCCAAAAACAAAGTATCCTGAATTGGGTCAGAGCAAATCTTCTGAAGAATATATGATGTCTGTATGGCATAAACTAATATCTGGGAGTAGGAAGAAAATTCTCTCTTCTGCTTTATTATACTTGGATACCACATCCAAAGCAAAAAATCTAAGCAAAAGAAAAGCAAAATAATCTGTTTAGAGGAAGATTTAATCAATTTGAGAGAGAAGCAATTATTTTACTTATCTAATTTGAATGCTGGGATAACATACTTTTTTCTTGAAGTGTTCAGTGGGACCATTAACCATTTTTTTTTCTTTTTTAAATTGATATTGTCTTTTTAAATATTTTTCTTCTTTTCTTTCTTCCTTTCTTTTTTTTTTTTTTTTTTTTTGAGATAAAGTCTTGTTATATTGTCCAGGCTGCTCTTGCACTCTTGGGCTTAAGCAATCTTTCTGCCTCAGCCTCCCAAGTAACTGGGACTACAGGCATGTGCCACTGTGCTTAGCTAATAATTGTTTTTTTCTTTTCTACAGTAAAAGTTCACAGATCTCAAGCGTAGCTCACTTAATTCTCTCTCTCTGTGTCTCCCTCACACACACATCTCTTTCTCTCTCACACACATACACACACACAATCATTTAACTACCTACCACCCAGATCAAGATGTAGAACCATTTCCAGTACCTCAGAAGACTTCTTCATGCCCCTTCCCACTTGATACTCTCGAAGGTAACCACCGTTTTAACTTGTATCACCATAGGTGTATTGCCTGTTTTAAAACTTCATTTAAATGGAATCAAACTATGTACTTATGTATTTGACTTTTGCTAAACATTATTTTCTTTTTCTTTCTTTCTTTTTTTTTTTTTTTTTTTTTTTTTGAGAGAGTCTTACTCTGTTGCCCAGGCTGGAGTGCAGTGGTGCGATCTTGGCTCACTGCAACCTCTGCCTCCCAGGTTCAAGCGATTCTCCCGCCTCAGCCTCTCGAGTAGCTGGGATTACAGGCACGTGCCACCACGCCTGGCTAATTTTTTGTATTTTTAGTAGAGATGGGGTTTTGCCATGTTGGGCAGGCTGGTCTCGAACTCCTGACCTTAGGTGATCTGCCTGCCTTGGCCTCCCAAAGTGCTGGAATTACAGGCATGAGTCACCACACCCAGCCAACATTGTTTTCTTGAGATTTATCCATGTCATTGCACATTCTAGTAGTTTCTTCTTCTTTTTAGCTGCTATGTACTAATTCCATTGTGTCAATTTACCACAATTGGTTTATTCATTCTAGAGTATAAATGCATTTGAGTTTCCAGTTTTTGAATTATGAACAAAATGGATACGAACAGTCTTGTACATATCTTTCATAGAATATAAGCACTCATTTTGGTTGAGTTCATATGCAGGAGCGGAATTTCTTCGTCATAGAATGAAATGTATGTTTGGCTTTTGTAATAACTGCCAAAGTGATTATGTGTTTATTTACATCACCACCAGCAATGTATGACAGTCTCAATAGCTCTATATCTTCATTGGCACTTGATTTTGTCCATCTAATTTAACCATTATGTTGGATGTATGGTAGTATCACAATGTCATTTTAGTTTGCATTTTCCTGATGATTAATGATGGTGAGCATCTCTTCATAGGTTTATTGACCATATGGATATCTTCTTTCGTAAAATGCCTGTTCAGGTATTTTACCTATTTTATTACTGAGTTTTTGTCTTTCTATTGTTTTGTAAGATTTCTATATTTTTATTTTTTATTTTTTTAGAGACGAAGTATCACTCTATTGCCCAAGTTGGAGTGTAATGGTGCAAACCTAGTTCACTGCAGCCTGAAACTCCTGAGCTCAAGTGATCTTCCTGCCTCAGCCTCTTGAATAGCTGGGGCTACAGGCGTGTGCCACCACACTTGGCTTTTTTATTTTTTTTTTTACTATTTTTTTGTAGAGATGGGGTCTTGCTATGTTTCCCAGGTTGGTCTTGAACTCCCGGCCTCAAGCGATCCTTCCGTCTCAGCTTCCCAAAGTGCTGGGGCTACAGGTATGAGCCACCACACCTGGCCCAGTTCTTTACATATTCTAACTGCAAGTCCTTAGTCGTATGTATTTCAGAAATCTCCCAGTCTATGGCTTGAATTTTCGTATTCTTAATGATATCATTTGACCAGAAGTTCTTAATTTTAATTAAGTCCAATTTATCATTTCTTATTAGTTAGTACTTTTGATGCCCTACTTTAAAAATCCTTGCCTATCCCTAAGATCAAGAAGATACTCTTCTATGTGTTTTGCTAGAACAGGAGTTGACAAACTACATCCCAAAGGTCAAATGTGGCCCAGATAATGTTTTACTGAATCATAGCTACATCCATTCATTTATGTATCGTCTATGGTTGCTTTCACACTTCAGCATCAAAGTCAGTGTGACAAAGACCATACGAGCCACAAAGCCTAAAATATTTACTATCTGGCCTTTTACAGAAAATGTTTGCCAACCTCTGTTGTTCTAGATCATTTAGATCTATTACCCATCTCAAATTAATTTTTGTGTGTGGTTTGAGATAGTTCATTTTTTTCTATATAGATATCCAGTTAACCCATCACTATTAAAAAAAAAAAAACTCTAACCCTTTCCCACTGAATTGTAATGGTGCCTTCACCATACATCTGATGACTGGATATGGGTGGTTCTCTTTCTATATTCTATATAGTGCTCCATTGGTCTATTTGACTATCATTGCATAAATACCATATGGTCTTAATCACTGTAGCATTATAACAAGTCTTGATACCTAATAGTGTAAGCCCTCCAGCTTCGTTGTTGTTGTTGTTGTTGTTGTTGTTATTTTGAGACAGAGTCTCGCTCTGTCGCCCAGTCTGGAGTGCAGTGGCGCAGTCTCAGCTCACTGCAAGCTCCGCCTCGCAGGTTCACGCCATTCTCCTGCCTCAGCCTCCCGAGTAGCTGGGACTACAGGTGCCCGCCACCACGCCCGGCTAATTGTTTGTATTTTTAGTAGAGACGGGGTTTCACCATGTTAGCCAGGATGGTCTCGATCTCCTGACCTCGTGATCCACATGCCTTGGCCTCCCAAAGTGCTGGGATTACAGGCGTGAGCCACTGCGCCCGGCTGTTGTTGTTTTAAGATTGGTTTTTCTAGGACCTTTGTGTTTCCCTATAAATTTAAATTTTATTGATATTATTTTTAATTGACAAATCATAAGATATACATTTATGGGGTATAATGTGTTGTTTTGGTATATGTATGCAATGTGGAATGATTAAATCAGGCCAATCATCTTGTTGATTTCCAGAAAAAAGAGCGTGCTGGTATTACTTTTGAGATTGTGTTTAACCTATATATCAATTTGGGTAAAATTAACATTAAAATAATGAGTTTTCTAACCAATAAGCATAATATATTAATCTATTTATTTAGATTTTTTAAAATTAAAGCAATATTTTGTAATTTTCTATCTTATGCAGCTATTTAATAATATTTAAAAATTTTTACTGTCTTTTCATTTTCTCCAACCTTGAAAAAAAACCCCATCCTACCACATCTACTTTGTTTTTCTGTTAGACATGAATTTTTCTTAAATATTGTGTCCTTTTTTAAGTCTTCATTCCCCCCAGCTCATAAGCACAATGAAGCATCATATTATGGCTGATAGTAAATGGAAAGAGGGATAATTAAAATCAGTGTACTCATATTATTACAAATTCACCACCAAATCTTAAGATGAATTTGAAAGCTCTAGGAGAGCTTTTTTTATCCTACCATTCACTATTAACACTAGGTTCCATACCTTTTTCTTCAGTACACTTAGATTAGGGGAAGAAATGTTAGCAAAACCCACTTTGGTTATCAGCCATTTCTGCAATTACCACTAAAGCAACCCATTTAGTGCTTTGATGGGCCTATAAAAGGAAAACCTCTTCCAGTGTATTTAAAGAGGTAGTAGACTAGAAGAGGCTATTTTCTTAGCAAAATTTTGACCCGAGGCTCTCAGTCTAATGGTATACCCTTTAGCGTTTATTCATTATGCACAAAATTAACTCCCTCTCTAGAGGTGGATTCTCCTTATGTCTTTTTCTGTTCAAGAATTTCATTAGGAAATTTTGAGGAACTTCATTTCTGAAAAATCATTCAGCCTAAACCCTGGTTTCGAACTTTAGGCTGATTCTTCTGAGTTCTTTGAAACTTTGTTTTTTTCTTTAAGTTCATCTTCTAGTTTAATGCACCTAAGAGTTTCTGAAGTGTTTATATTTACTTTATCTGGTTTGAACTTTATAACTCCCTAAGGCAAAAAGCATGCATATGCGCAACATGCGTGTGCACACACACACACACACAAGCTCTAAGAAATTTCTGCTCTCTTTTTTCTCAGACTTTATATATTCAAGGTCACCTTTTTGTTGGAAAGATTCCCAACATGATCTGGTATAGGGAATGATTTTTAAGATTAGTGTGAAACTCAAATGGCATCCTGATTTTTCAATTCAGAGGTCTCCACATTTTTAGTTCTCTTGACACTAGTCAGTATCTACTATAGTTCCTAGCCTACCGATTTGCCTCTGCTTGCTCCAGCTGAAAAGTTTCTCTCAAAGGAAAGCATGCAGAGAATGCTAAGGATTATTTCTAGAATCGTTTTATTGTGTTTGGAAGCCTTGGCTCAGGCTGCTAGTCATGCAGATCATTTTAGTTTATCTATATTTAGTGCTGCTACAGCATGCCTATCTGACCAGATTATCTCCAACTTTATGGGATGGTAAGGACAAGAATATAGTAAACAAGATGGCCAAAATATACTTATTTATGCTATCTCCCTATTGGTTCTGATTCTGCCCTCTGAAAGTGCAGAGAATAGTTTCAATTCCTCTTCTACATAATAGCTCTTTAAAAATTTTAAAATAGCTGTGACTTTTTTTCCTCTTTGCCCCAAGCCTTCTCTTTTTCTAGTGTAAGCAACTAGATCTTTACTATCTTGGTCATCCTCAACAAGTCATCTAATTAATTGGTATTGTGCCTGATGTTATCTACTTTTAAAATATAGACTCAGATCAGACCTTGTTGAGCAGCCATGTTTGTTCATACAATGGAATATTATACAGCAATAAAATGGATGAATAATTTCTTGCATAGGAATGGGTGAATCTCAGCGATATAATGTTGAGTGAAAGAAACCAGACACAGAAGAATATATCTTGATTGCGTATATGTGAAAGTTCAAAAAACAGCAAAACTAAGTCAGGGCATATGGGTTCATGCCTGGGCAACAAAGCAAGACCCTGTCTCAAATTAAAAAAAAAAAATAAGCCACTAATGTTCAGGGATGCATGTTTAGGTGGAAAAGCTATATATATAAAAAAAAGGGCATGATTCTCCTAAAAGGCATGTTAATGATTACTTAAGTGGAAGAGAAAGGCCTTAGTGGTTGGCAGGGGGATTCTGGGCTGCTGGAGATGTTCTTTTTCATGACCTGGGTGCTGGTTACATGGCTGTTTGATTCCTGGTAAACCATTGAGTTATATATTTGTGTGCTCACTTTTCAGTATGTGTTATTCTTTACAATATAAAAGGTTAAAAGGCCGGGCACAGTGGCTCACATCTGTAATCCCAGCACTTTGGGAGCCTGAGGTTGGGGGGTCACTTGAGCTCAGGCGTTTGAGACAAGCCTGGCCAACATAGTGAGACCTCGTCTCTACTAAAAATACAAAAAGTTATCCGGGTGTGTGGCACATGCATGTAATCCCAGCTACTCAGGAAGCTGAGGCACAAGAATCGCTTGAACCTGGGAGGTGGAGGTTGCAGTGGGCCAAGATCATGCCACTGCACTCCAGCATGGGTGACAGAGTGAGACTCTGTCTCCAAAAAAACAAAAACAAAAGCAAAAAAACCCAAAGCTTTGAAAAAGTACAATGCTTTGTTGTTTTCAACCCTCTGTTGCTATTCTGGTAATCGTCACTGTTTCTCAAAGATTGTCAATAGAGAATCAGTAGTTTCATCTTTAAGTTCTTTTAGGTCTTATTCAAAGTCCAGCTAGGTAAAGAGAAATTACTCTTGGTGTTCCAAAAAGGGAATTTAATAAAAAGAATTAGTTGGCCAGGCGCAGTGGCTCACGACTGTAATCCCAGCATTCTGGGAGGCCGAGGCAGGCAGATCACCTAAGATCGGGAATTCGAGACCAGCCTGACCAACATCGTGAAACCCCATCTCTACTAAAAATACAAAAACTAGCTGGGCGTGGTGGCATGCACCTGTAATTCCAGCTACTCGGGAGGCTGAGGCAGGAGAATCGCTTGAACCCGGGAGGCGGAGGTTGCAGTGAGCTGAGATTGTGCCACTGCACTCCAGCCCGGGTGACAAAGTGAGACACTGTCTCAAAAAAAAAAAAAAAAAAAGTTACTGGCTGGGCACGATGGTTTACCTGTAATCCTAGCATTTTGGGACAGAGGCAGAAGGATTGCCTAAGGCCAGGAGTTTGACACCAGACTAGGCAACATAGCAAGACCCCGTCTCTGCAAAAACATTTTTAAAAATTAGCCAGGAGTGGTGGTGCATGCCTGTAGTCCCAGCTACTCGGGAGGCTGAGGTGGGAGGATAGCTTGAGCCCAGGGGTTTGAGGCTGCAGTGAGCTGTGATCATGCCATTGCACTCCAGCCTGGGTGACAGAGGGAGACCCAAACTCTTAAAATAATTGGTTACATATTGGGTACAATGTATACTGCTTGGGTGACGGGTGCACTGAAATCCCAGAATTCACCATTAAATAACTCATCCATGTAACCAAAAACTATTGAAATAAAATTAGTTACAGAGATTTCGGATACATGGCATAGTAAAAGGGAGTGGGACAAAAGGAAGAAGAGTGATACCCAAAAATCAGAAACTAATAGTCCTGAGGTAGAGCCCACAAGCTTGTAACTTTTGTTGCACTGTTAGAGACATTATCACAATCAGTCTAGATCTACCCAAGTATTACCACCTTGATTAGGGCTGAAAATACTATTGCTATCACTACAACTCCTGCCAGCAACTGACACCCATTAGAGCCAAAAGCACTAAAAAGTTATAATTGGTAAGCATCTCTAAAATTGATAATAATGGTCACTACCTCTTTGTGTTGTTGAAATTAAATGTGTTAATGTATGTGAAGTGTTTAGAATGGATGCTGACCCATAGAAGACAAAATAAATGTTAGTTACTGTTATTGTTACACGGCTAATCTTTTAAAAAGTATTTATTGAATACTTATTATTTGCCAGAAACTGCGCTAGATGCCTAGGGTTGTCATGAGAATGAATTCAGAGAATGCATGTAGAGCAATCAGCACAGTACCCCCGTATGGAAATAAGCAGAAGCCAAGAGATATATTGAGTAGAGAATGCACCCTGCTGGTTGGTAGGGGTAAGGAAGGGGAAAAGATCATTTTTTTAAAAAGTCAGACATGAGTCAGTGGCATGATCTTGGCTTACTGCAACCTCTGCCTCCCAGGTTCAAGTGATTCTCTTGACTCAGCCTCCTGAGTGACTGGGATTACAGGTGCCCACCACCATGCCCAGCTAATTTTATTTATTTATTTATTTATTTATTTATTTTTAGTAGAGATGGGGTTTCACCGTGTTGGCCAGGCTGATCTTGAACTCCTGGTCTCAAGCAATTCCCCCACCTCAGCTTCCCAAAGTGCTAGAATTACAGTCGTGAACCCCTGTGCCCAGCCTCCCATTACATTTCTTTTCTTTTCTTTTTTGAGACAGAGCCTTGCTTTGTCACCCAGGCTGGAGTGCAGTAGCTCAATCTCGGCACACTGCACCCTCCATCTTCCAGGTTCAAGCGATCCTCCTGCCTCAGCCTCCCGAGTAGCTGGGCCTACAGGCGCATACCAACACGCCCAGCTGATTTTTGTATTTTTAGTAGAAATGTGGTCTCACCATATTGGCCAGGCTGGTCTCGAACTCCTGACCTCAAGTGATCCGCCTGCCTCGGCCTCCTAAAGTGCTGGGATTACAGGTGTGAGCCACCGTGCCTAGCCCTCCCATTGCATTTCTAATGTCATAAGTAAATCAAGAATGGAGGAGGAAGAATATGATATCCTCAGGGAAAGATATTTTAGCTAGTGATACTGTTGTAAACCCTGGCAAGAAACCCCTCACTAGCCTCACAGAGCAAAGCTTACATCAGAGAAAAATCCATCGCCAACAATCTGTCACGTGGTACCTCTTCTTAGTTCTATTTTCTCATTATGTCTTAATAGATCTTATCTCTAAAAAAATACTAATTCCAATACAAATGTTAGGATCAGTCCTAACACTTGAATATTCATTCAGCAACTATTTATTGATCTTATACTATGTGTATTAGTGTGCTCAGGCTGCCATAACAAAATACCACAGACTGGGTGGCTTAAACAACAAAATTTATTTCCACACAGTTCTGGAGGCTGGAAAGTCCAAAATCAGGGTGCTGGCCAATTTTGTTCCTAGTGAAGTCTATTTTCCTGGCTTTTCCAGAGAGCTAGGTTTTTTTTAAGCAACATACTACTATTTCTTAGTGTTTTTCAAACCTGCCACCTTTTAGTACCCACTACCACTACCCTAGATGTGGTTCTGATTTCTTATCTAGACCCGTGCTAGAGCCTCCTAAATAGTCTCCTTATCTCTGCCAATCAAACGTCCATACTCCTGCCAGAGTTCTCTGTAAACGTGAATTGGATTGTGTTTCATCTGCTTAGAACGCCTCATTGCCTAAAAAAGAAAGTTTAATTCCCTTAACATGGCATTCAATGTGCTTCACAAATCTGCCCCACTCTACCTTGTTCCGGTTTCTTTGGCATCACTCTCACTGCTCTGATGGCCTTCCCTGTAGCCCCACTAGACTATTAACTTTCCTGAACTTGAATATGAGAACAATGCACTTGCATACCTCTGCACACTTGCTCATGCTGTTTGCTCAGCCTGGAATGCTCTTCTCTGCCTAGTGACTGGCAGATATCAGCCCCTCTTGCAAGTCTCACAGACGCTATCCCCTTTTGAGGTCAGAATTAATTTCTCAGTTCCTGCGCTATCAGGCTGAGGTTTTCCAAGAGCAGGAAACAGTGATAAAAAGCAGTAGTAATAGTAATAGCAGTAGCTGCAAGCTTTCAGTAAGAGGATATCTTTTGGCTAGCTTGGACAGAAGAAAAGACTAGACAACGTGGGTGCTTGGTTCATCTCTGTGGGAGTCAGGAAGTATAATCAGATTCACATGGGTGAAAGAGGCTGTCTTTTTGCTTTCAAGATGAACTACACCTAACCCATCCCACACTATCAAAGGAGAACTCTTTGAGCATGTCTTGCAGAAAAGAAAAATAATCATAGAAAAGTACTTGCCTCTGCCTCATACCTCCCCCTCACTGTGAGCCTTCTTACCCTAAGTGGGAGGTGTGTGGAACTCTGAGGAATCTGGAGAGTGTACCGATACATGGGTTCATAGCTTGTTGATGCTTAGGGTTCATTCTGCTCAGTCTGCCATTGTCCTGCTTCTCTCACAATTAGATTGTTCACAAATGGTTGTTCACCAGCCCACTGTTTCTGAGGTTCAGCCCATTGAGAGCAGCAAACAAAAACAAAACCTTCAAATGGCAAAGGGATTTGAGAGAAAACAGCAGAGCTGATACAGGAATGGCTGATGGTGTTAACCCACTGTGTATATGTCCTTGGGATCCCTGGAAGGACCAGAAATATTTCAGTGGGTTAGTTACTGTTTAAAGACAATGGAATACCAGTCCAACGAGAGACCAGTGCAGCAAAGAATATAAACAGAGAATTTTATACAGTTCTGGCTGCAATCCTATAACAAACAGAAGTACTCACACATGGTTTTATGTCAGTTTGTGAATTGAGTTCAAGAGGCCCTAAATCTAAGTGCTGTATGTAAAATAAAAGCAATTAGTGCAGCTGTTACATTGTATTCTCCAATCTGGAATTAAGTTATGGGCAGAAACTACAGAATATTTTTCCCACTTCAATTTAATCACAGTTTGGAAGCTTATTTGTTGCTTCTTTTGTATCCCTTACAATGTTTGGCACTGCTGTGCACAGAATAGACACTAAATAAACATGAAAGCCAGGAATGAGGTTAAAGATCCCTGCTTGATAGTCATTAGTATAGTCAAAACAGAGTCTCACTGTCACTTCCCACCCTCCCTACATTGCTTTTGAGCCTTGCCCCAGCAGGAGACCCCCAAGACCCTCAAGGTAGTCCTAAATTAATCCTCTCAATAGGCTCATCAGTAGGCTTTTCTCTCTGACATCATTTCCTTTTTTTTTTTTTTTTTTGAGACAAAGTCTTGTTCTGTCACCCAGGCTGGGGTGCAGTGGCATGATCTCGGCTCACTGCAACCTCCACCCCCACCTCCCAGGTTCAAGTGATTCTCCTGCCTCAGCCTCCCAAGTAGCTGGGATCACAGGCGCGTGCCACCACGCCCGGCTAATTTTTTGTACTTTTAGTAGAGACGGGGTCTCACCATGTTGGCCAGGCTGGTCTTGAACTTCTGACCTCAGGTGATCCACCTGCCTCGGCCTCCCAAAGTGCTGAGATTACAGGCGTGAGCCACCGTGCCTGGCCACTATTTCCTTTTCTTGGGTCAGTTGAAGTACCCCAACTCACAGAGCTAATTCCAGAAATAGGGTTGCTGGGAGAAATTGGGGGTAATTTGTTAGGTTCTGGGCTTTGCACCTAAGAATCACTGCCTTAATTCTGTGCTTTATAGTGTGATGGAAAACATTGGTGCTAAGGACTGGGCTTGTTAGCAGGAATCTTTTCCTCTAGAATGGAATGCATTGATATGCAATAGTGTCCTCTTTGGCATTTATATTCTTCTGAAACTTCAGTAATGCAACAAGTCATTCTCTGGCATCCAAGTGTAATTTCTACTTTACCTCCTTGAATCACAACACTTTCTCTACTGCTCTTCTTAGCACATGCTTCTTCCCCAGAACGCTTTCAGCAATGGGCCCATGAAACTGGTGGAAGGTCCCTAAAATTTTACTCCATTATCTATTATGTATTGTTCATTGATCCCTGACAGGTTTGCTCTGATTCAGCATGAATAACAATACTAGCTAACATTTATTGAATACTTACCATGTACCAGGCAATGTGCTAGGCACTTCACATATGCATCTCATTTAATCCTCATACCTACCCTCTGGCAATTTTAGTCTTTTCATTTTACAAAGAGGGAAACTAAAATCAATAAGCAGATAGTAGCATCAGGATTTGAGCCCAGGCAATCAGCCTTCAGATCCCATGCTGGTAACTACTATGCTAGTACCACTCTTAAGTATTAAAATGAGTATGTACTCAATAAATATTTGAATAAATAAATGATTAGAGGGCTCTAATTTCCAAAGGGCTTCCCCAAGGCCTCCCTTAGGCAGGGTCACGTGTTTTTGGCCCATTGCTCTGAGGAAAGTTTAGACAGATGGTTGAGGGCAATTAGGTTGTGCTTGCATTTTCAAGCACAATTGAGTCCCACTTCAGGAAAGTAGAGAGCAGTTCAAAAGTGAAATTGCCTTCTCTGGTCTGTTGAATATGAGTTAGCTGTGCTCTGGCAGCCTGCTTACTCTTAGCTACTCTTAGGAGAAAGGCTTGGGACCTGGGGAGTAGGCATCCCAAACCCACAACCTTAATAGCTAAAGTTTTCTTGTGGGTAGAGTGAGGGTAAGATAGGGAGGACACACAGAACTTCAGTCTGGTAATATTTCCTTTTTAACTATTGGGTCACTTAATCTCTATGTACCTCATTGTCTCCATTTATGAAGTGGGAGCAATCTCCCTGGCTTGCTTTCTATTTCTGAAGCAAAATACTGAATCAAACTGCTTCTAAGACTAGAAAGGCTCTCCGAAGGTTTAGCTGATTGTAACCATTATCTCCAGAAGCTGGGGTGTTCTGATACAAAGAAGTGTAATGGGAATGATTCAGGTAAAATAGTAGATTGGAGAGGGTACAATGTGGAACTGCTGGAGTAGGATTTGCTTATTATTGGTAAGATGGTTGCAATGAGAGATTATTATTTATAACACACCATAGAATTACAAAGCACTTTACAGCTATTCTTCAGTACAGTCCTACAAATTGATATAAGACTAAAAATAATGAGGCCAGGCCTGAAAGGTTACTCAGTGGGTAGTAAGTATGAATAGTCACTGAAATGAGAAAATGACAAATATACCTCTCAGGTCCAGCACAGTATATCTCCAAGAGCCCTATTCCCTGCTCTTATAGCTGTTTCCAAGAAGACTCTGGCTTAATGTGGTAGCTGCATAGGGGTAAGGATCTAGGCTGCTTTGGTGATGTTTGGGGCTGCTTAGCACTGTACTTTGGAAGAATTGCATGCCTTAACACCCCTCTGCACTTCCACTGCCTTATTATAGCACTTTTCTCATTCCACTTTGTTTAATAGTTGTTTGAGTAGGTGTCTGCCTCCCCTATTAGACAGAGATTGTGAGTTAGTCATTTTTGAATCTTGCTTTGGTGTTGGAAATGTTTTACACTGAGCAGGCCCTCCCTTATGTGCTTTCCAGCCCCAGGAACCTAATTAATTTGACTGATCCCCGTCCTTGATGGCCTAATAATAGGTAGATTAAGCACATGCTTAGGAAACCAGCTAAATAGAGGCATTAAAGATTTTTTTTAAAGATTTGAGTCCACACAATGAGATACTACTTTATAACTTCTAGGATGGCTATACTAAAAAAGACAAGTATTGGCAAGAATATGCAGAGATGGGAACCCTTGTACATTGCTCGTGGAGATGCCACTTTGATGAACGGTCTGGCAGTTCCTCAAAAAGTTAAATGCAGAGTTATCATATAACACAGCAATTCCATTCCTAGGTATGTACTTAAAAGAATTGAAAACATATATTCATACAATAAACTTGCACACAAATGTTCATAGCAATAATATTCATAATAGCCAAAGGGTGGAAACACCTAAATGTCCATCAATTGATGGATGGATAAATAAAATGTGGTATATTTATACAATGGAATATTATTCAGCCATACATAGGAATGATGTAGTGAAGCTTGATGATAATATGCTACGTGAAAGAATCCAGACACAAAAGACCACATGTTGTTTGATGTCATTTGTGTAGAATGGCCAGAATAGGAAACTCTATAGAGACAGAAGGTAGATTAGTGGCTGCCTAGGCCTGAGAAGGGACTGGGGGGATATTGGGGGCAACTGATAATGGGTATGGAG